>NC_000009.12:126345552-126970552 GCF_000001405.40 Homo sapiens | reverse complement strand
TGAATTTCTTAGGTACGCAGCATCATTCTAGAAGGGACCCCCTAGTTGCCTGGTTTCAAGAGGTCATAATGGCTATTCCACAGATCCCTTCTACTCACCCATTATTTGAATAGTCAAAATCCCTGCCAATTTCAGCTGCTATTCCCACCCTGACCCACTGAACTTTCTAGCAAATACCTATTGACAACTTTGGGGTTCTCTTATTCTCAAGTCTATCAAATACCCCAGTGCTTATTCTGCTTTCTCCTCTACAGATGCTGATACCCTGAAGGTCTTGTGGATGTTGGTGGTATATATTCAACCACTTGTATTTTGGGGGTGATGACGATAACTTGTCACCTAGGTTTACTACAATTTTGTTCATGGGTTTCAGGGTTTGCTATCTAGTTGTTCTGAATGTTTACAGTGGGGCGGTGGGGGAATACGGATTAAGAGAGAATTTAAAAATATGCTACTGCCGCCACCATCTTCCCAGAATCACTCAAATAATTCTTTCACTGGGTTTTCATGTCTGGGTTTTTTCTTTCACTAGACAGGAAACTAAAATGCCAGTTGGTCTGGTTCAATTCTAACACCTAGGCACTCCAGTGCTTTCCCAGAGGCCAAAGACTCCAGAGACCTGGTTTCACATGTAAGCTGAAGACATACTAGCTCCAGCAGGGACAGCCAAAGTTTTAGCACTGCATTCTCAAAAAGTATTCACCATCCTTCCCTACAGTCTTCCCAGCCTCAGAAAGGCAGCCTGAAGCAAGCCAAGCAATACCCTACGGCTGAGGCTAGAAAACCAGGCCCTGCGTCTCACCAAGGAGTCCTGTTAGGCAATGTTTTTCTATGATGCAGTCTAACTCTCTGCCATTCCACAGGGTAAACAGCTAGAAAGGGATTTTTAAGCCTCGTTATTGCTTCTTTCATGAAGCTAAAAAACATGACTCTTAAAAGTACAAGTAAACATACATAAATAGAACATAGAAGCTAGGCCACTGGCCTGCGAGATCCATGACGTCCTCTAAAGGAGAGGCAATACAGCTTTGTGGCTAAGAGTGCAGGCTCTAGTGTTATACTGTCCAATATGGTAGCCACTAGCCACATGTGGCTACTGAGCATGTGAAATGTTGCTAGCACCATAAAGTGTAAAATACACATTGGAGCCAGGTACAGTGGCACAAGCCTATAGTCTGAGCTATTTAGGAGGCTGAGGCAGGAAAAGGGCTTGAGTCCAGGAGTTCAAGGCACTGCACTGTGGTGTAATTGCACCTGTGAATAGCCACTGCACTCTAGCCTGGGCAACATAGTGAGACCTTGTCTCTTACATACACACACATCGGATTTTGAAGACTTAGCTTGTAAAGAAAAAGAATATAAAGTATTTCAATAATTTTATGTTGCTTATATTTTAAAATGATAATATTTTAGACATACAGGGTTAAATAAAACATATTATTACAAGTAATTTTACCTCTTTCATTTTTTAATGTAGTTACTAGAAATTTTTTTTTTCTTTTTTGAGACGGAGTTTCGCTCTTTTTGCCCAGGCTGGAGTGCAATGGCGCAATCTCGGCTCACCGCAACCTCTGCCTCCTGGGTTCAAGTGATTCTCCTGCCTCAGCCTCCTGAGTAGCTGGGATTACAGGCATGCACCACCACGTCCAGTTAATTTTGTATTTTTAGTAGAGACCTGGTTTCTCTATGTCGATCAAACTGGTCTCGAACTCCCGACCTCAGGTGATCCACCCGCCTCAGCCTCCCAAAGTGCTGGGATTATAGGCATGAGCCACCGCGCCCGGACGATTACTAGAAAATTTTAAATTGCATATGTAGCTTACATTGTATTTCTATTGGAAATCACTGGTCTACAGTGTCAGACAGCCCTGGTTTTAAATCCCAGCTGTGCCATGTACTATCTGTGTGAAGAGACGACTTTCTTCTCTAAGTGTTGACTCGCTTATCAGTAAATTGGGAATAATAATTATACCTAATTTATAAAGCTGTTATGAAAAGTAAACTAGATAAAGCATGTAAAACATTTAACACAAGACCTAGACATAATCAGTGTTCAAAAATAGGAGTTGCTCTTATAATTACTTCCTAGCATTACATGGGTAATTAGGAGATGAGAGTTTCAGACCTGGCTCTGCCAATACCTGGCTATATAATCCATGTAGAAAATTAATCTCTTGGATCCTTACTTTATCAGAAAATTGGGAGCAAATGATATGACTCATTGAGTTGTTGTAAGAATTGAACTCTTGGTCAGGTGCGGTGGCTCATGCCTGTAATCCCAACCAGCACTATGGGAGGCCGAGGCGAGCAGATCATGAGATCAGGAGATTGAGACCATCCTGGCCAACATGGTGAAACCCTGTCTCTACTAAAAATGCAAAAATTAGCTGGGCATGGTGGTATGCGCCTATAATCCCAGCTACTCGGGAGGCTGAGACAGGAGAATTACTTGAACCTGGGAGGCGGAAGTTTCAGTGAGCCAAGATCCTGCCACTGCACTCCAGCCTGGCGACAGAGCGAGACTCCGTCTCAAAAAAAAAAAAAAAAAAAGAATTGAACTCTTTCAGGCAATACGTATGTTTTGAGCACCTACTATGAGCCAGGTATATTTTGGGCACTGGGAAAAAATGCAGTGAACAAGTCAGATAAGTTCCCGTCCTTAGAAAGTTTATATTCCAGTGGAAGAGATATGCAATTTAAATTTATTATTATATAGGCTGGGAGTGGTGACTCACACCTGCAATCCCAGCACTTTGGGAGGCTGAGGTGGAAGGATCACTTGAGTCCAAGAATTGGAGACCAGCCACAGCAACACAGTGAGATCTCATCTCTACTAAAAATCAAAAAAATTAGCAGGGCATGGTGGTATGCACCTGTAGCACCAGCACTTTGGGAGGCTGAGGCAGGAGGATCACTTGAGCCAGGGAGATTGAGGCTTTTATAAGCTGTGACTGTGCCACTGCACTTCAGCCTAAGTGATGGAATGAGATGCTGTCTCAAAAAAAAAAATTATTCTATAATGTAATGTTGGGTAGTAATAAGAGTTATGAAGAAAAACAGAGCAGAGTAAGGAGAAAGATAATGATGGAAAGATGCTACTTTAGCCCAGTGAAAGTCCTAAGGACAGACATTTGAACACAGAGTGAGCAGACAACTAAGGAAGAGCCATGAAGACTGAAAAAAGAAAAGGACAGAGGATGCAGGTGAGCCTGGGGAAGAAAGAGACAGTGGGAGAGCACAGAGGTGGGGGCAGAAGAGGAGGCTTAGCCAGACCATAGAGAGTACTGGAGGCCTCAGGAGGAACTCTGGGTCTCATTCTAGTAGGAGGGAGCCACTAGAGAGTTTGAAGGTTTTAAAATGATCCCTCAGACACACTGAAGGAGATGATGCATGTGCCAGGCTCAGTATGGCCTGGCACAAAGTAAACACGGAAGAAGCCAATGATGGCAGAGCAATGACATGGGGCCCAGCTAGTTCCCTTGGCACCTAGGAGGACAAGAAACCTCTTTTACCAAAGAGGGTAGAGGAGACGTGGGTATGGGTTAGAAACACTTTCAGGGTTCTGGAGAGAAGTTCAACGCTTGGACAACACTCTCAATCAGGTTTGAGGTCACCCCAGAATCAATATTCTCCCTCTACTGTCAAAGTTCAAAAAGAGGAAACCAAGTCATGGCAAAACAAGGAGCTAACACTGCTCCACCACAAGGGACAGTCCCTTAGTTAGACCGGGAGCAACACATTGGTTGAAGATATATCTTTTTTTTTAATTTATATTTTTTTAAATTGCCCAAATAATATTGTTTATCATTGTAGAAAATGGTTGTTATAAAAATATAGAAAGTATACATAAACAAAAAGAAAAATTAAATTCCAATTACCTGGAATCTATAACCAAATACTACAGTAAATAATATGTTTGGCTATATAGATCCAGACATTTATGAATATGTAAACAAAAAATCTAGACCTCATGCAAATGCAAATACATGTCATATGTGTGTTGTACATGCTTTTTTTTTTTTTTTTTTTTTTGAGACAGGGTTTTCCTCTGTCACCCAGGCTGGAATACAGTTGCATGATCACAGCTCACTGCAGCTTCAACTTCCCAGGCTGAAGCAATCCTCTCACCTGTCTCCTGAGTAGCTGGGACTGCAAGTGTGTGCCACCACACCTGGCTAATTTTTTTATTTCCATTTTTTGTAGATGCAGTCTCCCTATGCTGCCCAGGCTGATCTCGAACTCCTGGGCTCAAGCCATCCTCCTACCTCAGCCTCCCACAGCACTGGGATTATAGGCGTGAGCCACCTTGCCCAGTCTGTACATGAATTTTTTAAATTGCACGTTCTCCACAAACGTTGCTTTAGTCTGCTCCTTTCACATTTATATATATAGCGTACAGCCTTCCAGGGTAGTTAATTTCAAGACAGCATCCTTTTTAATGCTGCATTGTATTTCACAAAGGGTGGTACGGACTTTACTCAACACTCCCCTCTTGCTGGGCATATAGAATGTTTCCAATCTGAGCCCAAAGCCTAAGTGGTGGCTCCCTCTAGTGCCCTGCTGTGGTGCCCAGCCACCCACACCAGCCCTGTTTCACTTACAGCAAACTCCTCTGGGGTCACTTTCAAGACATCGAAGACAACGGCATCATAGCTCTTGCTGGCATAGTCGCAGCTCTGGCCCTCCAGAGAGTCCGAGCTGCTGCTGCCCTGTGGAGAGCAGGGAAAGATGGTGCCAACTGAATGATATGACGTGGAATCATTGCCTCCCAAACCTCCTCGGAATTCAGGATGGGAGAGCAATGGAATAGTACAATAAAAAATGGCTTCTATTGATTAGAGCTTTACCCCAGTCCAGGCACCATGTTAAGCACTGCATGTGTATGATCTTATTTCCTTCTCACATGTGCCCTATGAGTACAAATTATTATTGTTCCCATTTTATAGAGAAGGAAGTAGAGGCAATGTTACTTCTCCAAGGTATCTCAGCTATGAAAGGGAAAGCCAGAAAGTAAACTTACTTTTGTATCTATCCGACCCCAAAACACATACCTTCAGTTGCCACACCCTAACTTTCTCTGGCCAGTGGTTTAGTGGTGGGGTAAAAAAATTACAGCCCAATCTTCCTTGAGGGAGAACAGGACTGCATGTCTTAGGAGGCCTGAGGAGACAATCTGCCTCATGATGTCTTTCAAACATTACCTGGTTTTTTCCTACTTGAAGTCACTGCAGGAAATTGTTACACAAAATGTGAAAGTAGCTCTCAAGGCTTATTTATCATGCGGGGCACTTGGAATTCAAAGCCTGCTTGCTAATGAGGTGAGAGGTAACCAACTGGCTTTAGAGGCTGTTGTGAAAGTTATATTTAGTAGAGTCCTTTGTGCTAAGGACGCTCTGCATCCTGCATGTATATGAAAGAGTCTCCCATAAAAAGGCAAGTTAAAACTCCTCAAATGTGGCTGATTTCACGAATCTCAACACTGTGGGGATCCCAGAATGTTGAATATACTTTCTCTTTAATTTAACTTCATCAAGCTCAATCAAGCTTACCGCCCAAAAATTGTGCCCTGTTCATAAATGATTTTATTCGTCTCAGCTCACGAAGAAGGATTTTGTGGTTTCCATTAACCTCAACATCTTGGACTGGGATTTAGAGAATATGCTTTTATTAATTCTTCTTTATTTCACTCTTTCCAAAATGGCTATATCTGGAAAAACTTTGTAATCTTCCTGAAAACTAGAGTGCTTTTAGGCCAGTGAGGGAAACCAATAGTCAACAACTGCAAATGTAAGGTTAAAAAGAGGAGCAGGAACTTAAACCTGCAGATTTCGATAGGCCTGTGTCATCAAAAGATTTTAAAATGAGTCTACTATACCAAAAACTCTTAAGATGATCTTAAGAAGCAGTATACCATAGTGGTTAAGACCTCTGAGGTCAGATAGGCCTGGATAAAATGCCAGCTCCACACCAGTTGCTGTCTGTGCTCAGACGAATAACTTCGTTTTACTGAGTCTCAGTTATCATCTGTAAAATGGTGATATTAAACCTACTTCCCAGGGCTATAGTACGGGTTATATAAAATAAAGCTTAAAAAATAACTGGCAGAATCTGCCTCCATCCCCAGGAGGGCTGATTCAAGGGGACTCGGGTGAGCTCAGGCATGGCTTTTTTTTTTTTTTTTTTTGAGTGGGAGTCTCGCTCTGTCACCCGGGCAAAAGTGCAGTGCTGTGATCTCGGCTCACTGCAACCTCCACATGCTGGGTTCAAGTGATTCTCCTGCCTCAGTCTCCCAAGTAGCTCAAAAGTAGCTGGGATTACAGGCACCCGCCACCATGCCTGGCTAATTTTTGTAATTTCAGTAGGGGCAGGGTTTCACCATGTTGGCCAGGCTGGTCTCGAACTCCTGACCTCAGGTGATCCACCCACCTCAGCCTCCCAAAGTGCTGGGATTACAAGCATGAGCCACCACACCCAGCCCAGGCATGGCTATTTTTAAAGTTCCACAGTGACAGGACATTCTCCCCTGAGGAGAACCTACGCAGAGTGAACTTTTGAAAAGTTATAAAGATTTCTCCTGATGCTGCTGGAATCGGCAGTCTACTCCATCTCCCAGTCTCATATGTAGATCCTGAGCAGACAATTCTGTACAAACCGTTCTATACTTCTATACCCACCTTCCAGAAAACAGAATATATCAGGGTGACAGGGTGGATTTTCTTTTGGATGGTATAATGTCATGGTTAGGAGCACCGGCTCGAGAGTCAGGGAGGCCTGGCTTTGAATCCCCACCCACATGGCAGCTGTGTGATTCCAAGCCAGCTTGTTCACCTGTCTGTGCCTTAGCTTCCTCATCTATAAACTAGGGATAAAATAATAATATACACCTGATGGGGTTATTGTGAATATTAAATTAGACAGTGCCTATGGAACATGCAAAAAAGTGCCTGGTATATAGTAAGCAACAAATTATGGGGCTATGTTGGTGTAAATGTATCACTCAGTCATCAAAATTTATTGAGCACTTCAGTTATACATGTATTCATCATTTGCTCATTCATTTATTCAAAAAATATTTATTGAGTACTTACCTTGTGCTGGATACACATATATGTACATATACACAGCATATATGTGTGAATGTGTATAATGTGTATACACATATATATACACACTCAAATATATATATATACACACACACACACATATACATATATACACATACAGACCAGAGAAGAAAGAAGCTTCACTCTAAATGGAAATAGAAGTCTGACTCCTCTAGTTACAAAAAGGAGTCCATTCCTGGGATTTCGGGTATTATAACTTTCCAGTGACACACCATTGTATCTGCCCCAAACACACACAATCATACAAGGGGACGTGTTGATCAAAAGCTGCCCCAAATACATTCATTGGTGATGATGATGAGGGTAATGACAATTCTGCTGCAGCAACAGCTTTACTTAAACCTATCCCGATTTCAGGACCAGAGATCAAAACACCGAATTTTCTTGAAAGGTTTATAAGAAACTAACTGATTCCTGTGACTTTTTGGCAGGTTACCCAGGATCACTTCAAAAGCCTAGCATAATGAGGAGGGCCTTGTGGGCTCAAACCCTGGTATGGCCTTGCCAATCTGTCCGAGGAGCAGGCGTTACACACACAATAGGGTGGTGGCATCTTGGGCCTCAAATGGCACCCACTCCTCCTGCATGCTTCTGTGCCATTACCGAGCATGGAAATCAAACTCTCAAACCCCACAGCAGGGGCCCTAGCCCAGGCCACTGCAGACCACCAGTCCTTATAACCATTTCCCACTGAGCAAGGTAAATAAGAACCCAGGGCCAGTTGGAATGACTTCTGTCTGACTTCATTCCGGAATGTGTGTGACTTATTTATAATCAGCAGCGGCTTTTCCTGGGAAAGGTCTGATCCCTTCTTGCCACCAAAATGGAATGTGGCACTTGCTACAGCTGGACTGGGCAGGTATTTGTTTTTCTTTGAAGAGAACAACTTCAGAAAACACGCTGATCCTCAGGGCTGACTGCCTCCCAAATCTCACGCCTGGCATGGCCAGGGGCCTTAGGAGTGCTAAGAATGGTGGTATTCACAGAGCCCTACTGCCTCGCTGTCCAAGGCTCAGCTGGGGCCTGGGTTAGCTGAAAGGAGACCCCTCTACCCACTGTCCCGATTCTTGCAGCCTCAGTACCTGTGGAGTGGCAGAGGTGACCAACACGCTAGCCATCAGACCATTCCTCTTGTACATAGTCTCCAGGCCACAGGGAGCTTCAGGGCAGCCTCTGCAGGTAACATAACCTGTCTGGAGAAGTCCTGCAAGGCAAAGGGGCTCATAAAAATCAGTCTTCAAAACAAATTTATCCCCACCCCCAGGCAAAAGTTGTACCAGACTTGAGCAGATCATCTCAGAGGAGACCTTTAAAGAAAGGTCATAAGCTAGTGGCTTTCAGGCTAACTATGGCCCACAGATACAGTTTGATGGGCTTGTACAGGGTATTAATATTTTTAAAATTAATAACCAACATTTAAAAATTGGAAGATTTCACATAGAATTCTGCATTTCTGACTTTTCTGGCAATACTGGGCCCATTTTACTGTATGGTGACCATCAGCCAGCTGAGTGGTGGCTGCCCCTTGGATTGGAGCAGGGCCTTTGAGTCCCCAGTTAGCTTGTGCGACCATTTCAGTGCGTGCCTGGCCCTTGCAGGCACTAGAGTTTGTGATCTTTGTCTTATTTATTTTGAGACAGGGTCTTGCTCTGTCACCCAGACTGGAGTGCAGTGGCTCAATCACGGCTTACTGCAGCCTCAACCTCCTGGGCTCAGGTGATCCTTCCACCTCAGTCTCCCGAGTTGCTGGGACTACAGGCATGTGCCACCATGCTCCACTAATTGTTTTGTGGAGGTGGGGTCTTGCTATGTTGCCTAGCTGGTCTCAAACTCCTGAGCTCAAGCAATCCTCCCACCTGGGCCTCCCAAAGTGCTAGGATTACAGGTGTGAGCCACCGCATCCAGCCTTGATTTTTCTTTTAAACCAAAGGCAGGGTGAAGAAGACAAGCAAATTCTCTTGTGTTCCCCTGGCACCACACTTCTTCATCCATAATAACCTGGGTAATAGCTAACCCCATATAGTACCATATGCCATGCTTGGCATACATTAGCTCATCTAACCCAAAAATCCTGAAGTAGGTCCTATCATTACACCCTATTGCATGTGGGGAAACTGAGGCACAGGGAGGCAGATATCTCATTATTTGATGGCTTTGTTCATGCCACCCTGCCACCCTGTCATCATTCAAGACCCTGCTCAAATGTCCCTTCTTCTGGCTATCATGCCTGAACAACCCAAAACAGAGCCAGCTGTTCTGTCACCCAAGTGCACACACCTCTAGAAGAGCATTTACCACATCACTGAACGCAGAAAGCTGTGGCCACTGACAGCTTTTTAGTGGCAAGTGACCAGGAGAGTAAGGAGGGAGTTGGGAGGAAGGCGAGGAGAGGACAAAGACTGGAACCAACTGCAGTTATCCAGGCAAGAGGTAAGGAAGGGCCCCTGAGCTGAGGCTGCGGCAGTCAAGTCAGAGGGGAGAGAGACTGAGAGACAGGAAGGACAGAGACTCCCCAGGCACTGAAGTGGAGGGAGGCAGAAGTACCAGCTGAGGATGAGATGGTTTTTGGCATGAGGTACCAGAAGGATGGTGTGTCCTTCTTCAAGGAAGGAACAGAGGTGACATAGCAGATTTGGGGGAAGGATGATGAATTTGATTTGGGAAATGCCGAATCTGTGATGCCTATGTGAAAATCAATCCTGGAGAGCAAGATCTAGCCCAAAGGTCACTGCGAAAAATGATTTGCCTGGATAATTGCAGTTGGCTCCAGTCTTTGGAGGTAGCTCAAAAAGAAGAAAAAGTCAGCCTGATGATATTGACTCCATCTGCAACCCTCCCAGGTCCCTCAGTCACAGGGCCTGGCACACAGAAGTATGCTGTCAAAGAAACAGGGGTGGCCAGGCACAGTGGCTCACACCTGTAATCCCAGCACTTTGGGAGGCTGAGGTGGGCAGATCACTTGAAGTCAGGAGTTCGAGAACAGCCTGGCCAACATGGTGAAACCTCGTCTTTACTAAAAACATAAAAATTAGCCGGGCGTGGTGGCAGGCGCCTGTAGTCCCAGCTACTTGGGAAGCTGAGGCAAGAGAATTGCTTGAACCCGGGAGGCGGAGGTTGCAGTGAGCCAAGATCTCACCACTGCACTCCAGCCTGGTGATAGAGCAAGATTCCATCAAAAAAAAAAAAAGGAAGAAAGGAAGGAAGGAAGGGAGGGAGGGAGGGAGGGAGGGAAGGAAGGGAGGGAGGGAGGGAGGGAGGGAGGGAAGGAAGGGAAGAAAGGGAAGAAACAGGGGCAAGCAACCAAAAAGGAATGTCCAAATGACCCAGGTTCTCTCCTGGTACATCTCCAGTGCTGACAATGACTCTTCTCTCATCCCTCAAAGTTGCTCCAATACAATATATCCACTTCAGTTATCCCCTCCTCAGTTCTATCCTGTGAGCCTTCTACCTTCCCATTCTTCCCAAGAACACTCAGAAGAACTAGCCTGCCCTATAAACAACATTTGGGAATCAACTGGGGAAAGCTGACTATGGATCTTAGAGGGTACCACTGACTTTCTGTCAATTCTCCTAAGTATGATAACAATGCAGTGGTTAAGTAGGAAAAGGTCTTTATCCTTAGTGAGGTGTGTGTCAACATATAGACGTAAAGTGAGTTTAAAACTTAGGTTAAAATGGGTCAGCAAAATATATGTGAGTAGAGACAAGGCAAATATGCCAGCATGATAACGATGGCTGAATCTAGTCAAGAGGGTATAGAGGAGTTCATTGTACCAGTCTCTGCACTTTTCCAAGTACTTGATAATTTTCATAGTTAAAAGAAAAAAAAAAAAAAGAACTGGTCAGGTAAAGTTTTTCCTTAGAGAAACAGCTGAGCTGGAGAGGCCAAAGTCCTCTTTCATGAGCAAGGAGAGGAGACGGGCTGAGAAGTCTCATTTGATAGTCATTTTTGTCCTGAGAGAAGCCACGTTTGCCATCACCAAGAACCACAGATCCACAGCTGGTGCAGCTTTAAAAAGCAGCTCCACAAAAGATTTGAACAGACATTTCACAAAAGAAGATATATGGGCCAGGCACAGTGGCTCACACCTGTAATCCCAGCAGTTTGGGAGGCCAAAGTGGGCAGACCACCTGAGGTCAGGAGTTTGAGACCAGCCTGGCCAACATGATGAAACCCCATCTCTATTAAAAAGACAAAAATCAGTCAGATGTGGTGGCACATGCCTGTAATCCCAGCTACTTAGGAGGCTGAGGCAGGGGAATCGCCTGAACCCAAGAAGCGGAGGTTGCAGTGAGCAGAGATTGCACACTACATTCCAGCCTGAGCAACAGAGTGAGACTCCACCTCAAAAAAAAAAAAAAAAGAAGAAGAAGATACATGAATGGCTAACAAGAGAAATGCCATCAGGGAAACACAAATGAAACCATAATGAGATACCACATCACACCTACCAGGATGGCTATAATTAAAAACAAAAGAAAACAACAACAACAGGCCATAACAAGTATTGGCAAAAATGTGCAGAGACAGAACCCTCACGCGTTGCTGGTGGGAAGGCAGAATGGCACAGGCACTTTGAAAGATCGTTTGGTATTCTCTTAAAAAGTTAAATATAAATTTATCACATGACCCAGTAATTCTACTCCTAGGTATCTACCTAAAAAAAGAAAACATATGTCCACACAAAGACATGAACATGAATGCTTATAGCACCATTATTCATAAAAGCCAAAAGCTACAAACCCTCCAAATGTTTATCACCTGGTAAACGGACAGAGAATTCAGTCGACACACCGCAGGATGGAGCACTATCCAGCAAAACAGAGAGGTGACGCACTGATACAGCCACTTCACCAACAAACCTTAAAACACATGCTCGGGGAAAGAAGACAGATGAAAAGGAATGTACTGTGTGATTCCATTTTTAGGAAATGTCCAGAAAAGGCAAATTTAGAGCGACAAAAGTGCACATCACTGGTGGGCCAGGGGAAGGGACAGAACTGACTACACAAGGACACAGGAGTTTCTGAGGGATGGAAATGTTCTAAAACTGGATCGTGGTGGCAGTTAGCTCTAAAAATTCCCTAAAAATCATACAATTATACCATTAGAAGGGGTGGGTTTTATGAAATATAAATTATACTGCAATAAAAGAAGCACCTTCAGCTCTGTTTCATGATGGTGATCTGAACTTACATGTTTAACTCTTCCCTCCCCCATTCCCCTTGAAATTTCATATATATACACATATATGTGTGTGTGTGTGTGTATATATATATATATATTTTTTTTTTTTTTTTTAAAGAGACAGCTCTGTTTCCCAGTTTGGAGTGCAGTGCTGCAATCATAGCTCAATGCAACCTCAAACTCCTGGGCTGAAGGGATCCTCAGCCTCCCATGCAGTTGGGATTACAGGCACGTGCCACCATGCCCAGCTATTTTTTTCTATTTTTTGTAGAAATGAAGTCTCACTACATTGCCCAGGCTAGTCTTGAGGCTGGGCTCAAGCGATCCTCCCACCTTCACCTCCCAAAGTGCTGGGATTATAGATAGGCATGAGTCACCACACTTATCCAGGATACTATTAATAAGCAAAAAACTTTGAGGAATGTCTAGTGCAGAAGAGACGGCACTGAGAGGAGGGAAACAGCCCCTGGAGGCAAGGAAAGGCTTCCCAGGATGGAGTGGCTGGGACCCTCCAACAGAAACTCCCATGAAAAACCCATACACTTCAAAATGGGAAACCAAAAACTGAGACTAAAAGTAAATCCATCTCAAGATTCAAAGGCAGTATAAGGCTGACCAACTCAGCCTGTCTGTTCTAAGCCAGAACAAACCAGCTGGTATGGATGGAACCTGTTCAGATCAGTTCAAACAGGATTAAAGTGACTCAATCCAGGCCTAACAGAGAGTCACCACAGGAGACCAAATGGAAGACAGCCAGCTTGATCCTCTTTGAGTGGATCCAGCCTATCTCAGGCCCAGGCTGAAGTGGGCTTGACTCCTTTCTGGGTGTGCCTGGCACTCTGTAGCTCTTCCCAAGGGGAGCCCAGACATGGAGCTCAAACTGCTCAGCCTGGCCCAAACGAGAGGCCTTGCTCTCCCTGCTTTCCTAACAACTGAATTCTCAAGTCTCACAGCCCTTCAACACAGCCCTCAGGCCCTCTTCTGTCACTGGCCATCGGCGCACACCCTCTGCCCATCTGAAGGGCACCACCACGCTACCCACTTCTTCAGCTTCACTGGGTGGCTCCGCTCCACACACCACCACCAGCACTAAAGTGAGTGCAGGTGCTGTGCAAGGCACCCGGCTAAGCATCACATGATTAGCTCATTTAATCGTCACAACAGCCCCATGAGGTAAAGACTACAGACTTCAGGGAAATGGAAGCACAGTGAGGTAATGTGACTTGCTGTGAGTTAGTGGCAGGACTGGGAGGTGCAAACCCTAGTCAGTCAATGCCAAGGCCTGGGCTCTTCATCATCCCTGACACTGCCTCTTGCAAGAGTCCGGGTGAGCACTGGATGAGGAAACGTGTTTAAAATGCTCCATCAGGGCTGGACATAGGGCAAGTACTCAATCAAGATTATCAGTTACTATCGGTGTCAGTGTTATCATACAATTTTCTATTCATTTATACCTATTCTTTTTTCCTAAAACAAACAAAAAATTAACTTTAAGTGTCTGAGAAAGAACAGTATCATGCTTTGTAAAACCATGGGCTTCCACTGCTGGGAAGGGGATCATCAGCAGTGGGTTCCAGGCTCCCCAGGGAGCATAGCTGAGTCCAGGGGTCCAAGTACAGGAGTCCTCTCAACCTGCCCATCTTCCCCCTGTGGCCCACCCCACCTACAGATGAAGCATGGCAGCCGTAGTGTGTTACCCATTATGCTTTATACGGGAGGTCTGACCTAGAAGGAAAGACAGAGCACTTGTTTCCAGTCTGACTCCGGCATGTCTCGCCCCCGACAAAAATGGCCGAATTTATGGGCAGCGACTCTCAGACAAGTGATACTTCACATACTAGGAAAGTACAGGATCAAGTACAACGGACTGTCCTTTTCAAGGCTCAGAGAAACCCCCACCCATCCAACTTCAGTCCCTGAGGCCTGGCTGAGCCCCCAGTTCTGTATCAGGGAGCAGACTGCCACTGAGGGGGTTAGCCTGGCCTAGCCCCGCCCTGAGAACAGCTTCCCTACCCAGAGTAGGGCCCTGAAGATAGGGAACTGTGCTTCCTAAGCCAGACTGACTAGACCAGGGTGCCCCCTGGTTCTCCTAGGAACTCAGGACCCTGAGATATTAAGTCTCTGCTGGTCAACTAAGCTAAGGTGCCACACCCTCGGGAGTAGACAGTGGCCCCATGCAGGGACAGTCTGGTCAGAGGGATGAAAGCAGGGGGAGGAAGCAGATGCACAGGCAGGAACTGAAGAAAGAGCCTGTGTCTGAAAGAAAAGGAGAGCAGCCCAGGGCCCGGCGATAAATGCCTCTCTGTCAGCATCAGGCAGTTAGAGTAGACTTCCACAAGACCTTGACCAAAGCTCGTTCCTAAACATCAAGTTCATGCCAATCCACGGGAAATCTGACCCTGGAAATGCATTGGCTCACTGGAAAGGGGAAGACACACACTATTCATTCACTCACTGTGTCCCTACCTCATGCTAGACACTGTCCTAACCAACAGTTGCTAACGATTTTCTGTCCTAGACCCTTCTGGCAGTCTGGTGAAGCCTCCGGGCTCCTTCTCATAGAAATGTTTTTAAATGCATAAAATTATACCAAAAAATTATATTAAAATATATTAAATTGTTTTTTAAATAATTTGTTATGTAGTAATATATGTATTTCTTTATGTAAGGGAATATATATCTTTATTATTGTATTCAATAACAAGAACTATTGGGGAGTCTAATAACTACCGTAATTTCAAAGTAGTTATGAGCACAGATATTCTGAGTTGCCCACGAATGTTATGTGACATGAAAATATCTGAGATTTCCACTGGTGACCAAGTCCCAGGTACTGTTAATATTACTGTGGTTCACTGTCTATATTAATAAATGAGAGAAATGCTAAATTTCAGTTCAAAGTTAATGAATGTCATTTTTTCCATCCAAATTCATAGATACTCTGGTCAAGAACCTCTGTCCCAGGCACTGGGCACACAAGGTGGGCAGGCACAGAAGGTCCCTGCTGCCACGGAACTTATATTCTAGGTAGGCAGTCAGAAAATAAACATAACAAAGAAGGTAACTTAAGATACTGATAAATGCCTTAAAGAAATGAAATAGGGTGAAAGATGATATTTGCCAGGATGGTCAAGGAAGGACTCTCTACAGATGCGATATGTAAGCTGAAACCTTAGGAAGGAGGCAGCCATACAAACCAGTGGGAATATGAGTATTCTTTGCAGAGGGAACAGCAAGTGCAAAGGCCCTGAGATGCACATGAGCCTAGCAGGTTTATCATGGAGGGAGAAGGCCATGGCTGGAGCTGAGTCACCTGGAAGCAGTCGACAGACAGGCTGGGGCCAGGGCATGAATGGCCTTGTAGGCCATGGTGAGGAGCTGGGGTTTCATTTGGAGTATACTGGAGGGAATGCTAGAGAGGTTCTTCCTTTTGAGACAGAGTCTCACTCTGTCACCCAGGTCCCAGGCTGGAGTGCAGTGGCGCAATCTTGGCTCACTGCAACATCCACCTCCCAGGTTCAAACAATTCTCCTGCCTCAGCCCCTCGAATAGCTGGGATTACAGGCGCTGGGATTATAGGTGCCCACTACCATGCCCGGCTAATTTTTGTATTTTTAGTAGAGATGGGGTTTCACCACATTGGCCAGGCTGGAGTTGATCTCCTGACCTCAAGTGATCCACCTGCTTTGGCCTCCCAAAGTGCTGGGATTACAGGCATAAGCCACCATGCCTGGCTGTGCTAGAGAGTGTTGAGCAGGGGAGTGACATGATCTGATCAGCACTGTTTTGGAAGATCACTTCGGCTACTCTGTGGAGAACTACATTGGAAAGGCCAAAATGGAGGCAGTTAAGTCAGTTAGGAGGTAATAGATGGCAGCAGCTTGGATTCGTGGGGAATGGATCCAGGAGATGTTCTGGAGGTTGCATAGACAAGACTTACTGATGGACTGCATGCAGGGGGAAAAGAAGAGAGAGGAACCAAGGATGCCTTCTAAGTTTGAGGCTGTTATGAATGAGTAGATGGGGGCCTAACTGCCACACACTGCTTGGTAGTTCATTCGTTTATTCAACACCCACCCACTAGGTGGTTCACCGGAGCACAAAGAAGTGGGTGACCAATGCCTTTGGGGGTCAAAGAAGACATCGCTGAGAAGAACCACTGAGCTGGGTCTTAAAGGATGAATGAGAGGCTCCAAGTAAAGTGTGGGCAGTGTGTGGAGGGCGCTGGGCATGTGTGGATGCACAGGGGAACAAAGGGACAGGTGGGATACCAGCATGTTGGGGCATGAGTGGCAGGTGTCCTCTCCCACCTTCCCCAGTCCCATGTCCATCACAGATTAAATGGGCTCTGGGGACACAGCAGCAAATAAGATAGGCAGGACTCCCCATGGAGTTTATCCTTTAACAGATGGAACTAACACCACAATATAGCAACAGCATCTTGCCTTCTGTTCACTCCCTCATTCTCTCAACAAACTTTGTAAAATTTTCCCAAGCCCTGCTCTGTGCAGGGGAGTCGCACAAGCCTCTAGGAGCTCATACACAGTCTGATCATTGTCATTGAGACAATTTATCAGACACTTATGTGGTGTCAGGTGAAAGGATTTATATACATTAAGACCCATTTTACAGATGAGGCAACTGAGGCTCAGAGAGATAAATTAAACTGTAGGGGCTACATTTTTATACATCTACATCAGCTGTGTCATCTACTACACAGGGAGGTAGCCTGGCATAATGGTGAGAGCACCAGCTTTTTCAGTTTGGGCAAATTAGTTTGCACTGCACCAAAAACGCCATTCTTTCCACCCTCCTTCTGCCTCTCTCACCTTACACATACACACACGCGCACACACACACACACACGCATGCACGTGTACATGCACACACATACTCTGGCTGCTAATTCCTCCCTGGAAACCAAAACACTGCAGGAGAAAAAGTGATTCTCATGATGTAACTTCTTAAGAACGTGGCAGTTGTATCAGAACCACAGTACAATCCCACATCTCTTTTTTCTGCTTATGACAGAATCTGGTCTTGTGTGGGGGGACTCCTGAAGAGGGAAAGGAAAATCCCATATGCAACCTTGGTTTCCTTCCAATCTTCCAGAATTCTCCTTCAACGTTTCAGGTTCAGGAAACCAAGAAAATAACATGAGACAGTCCAATGCAGACCACTCCTGAGAAGGCATAATAATCACTTTTTCCAGCTTAAGGAGGTTGTTTCAAAGAAAATACACACGTCCAGGAATGCTCAATTACAAGAAAGTGATTTCTTCCAAATGTTTCAGACAAGTATGAAAATGGATCCCAAACACCATTTCCAAGCCCACTTCCGCAGTGTGGACGTGCAGCTCTCCCACGACTCCGCAGCCGCCTCTTCCTCCTTTCTGTGTCATGCACAGAAGCTAGACAAAGACAAATAGGAAGGTAACAAAGAAGGATTTTGCCACAACCCCTCCAACAACTGTTCGGTCTACTCCATGAACAGTAAGTGTACACGTGTGCACACAGGCACATGCACGCATGCACATGCGCACAGACACACAGACACACAGACACACACACACACACACACACACTCTCTCTCTCTCTCTCTCTCTCTCTCTCAGCCACAGCCACAGCACATCAGATTTTGTATTGCCAAAAGGTTTCCCACTAGGGCACCCATTACTCTGGGTCTGGACCTCCTGCCAGGAGTTCAAGAAAGGCCCCCTTGTGTAAGGATGGCCATGCTGTTATCTCTACCTCCTCCTGACCCTCTCCAAACTCTCCAAGCCTCCTTTCCTGGCAAGTAGCAGCATCTGGAGGCTTTCAAAGAGAGCCTGGCCACGTAAGCACATGTCAGACTGGAATGGCCATCACTCACTCCACTGTTTACCGGCTCCCTCCTCAACTTCTTTCAAACTACACCACTCAGCATCCAACCTCTGGCCTCTCTCCCAAGAAAGGAGAGATAGTGAGCTGAGGAGGCACCACTGAGTCCAAAATGCCATGTGGGGCTAGGCCTCCATGGAGGAGAGAAGTCAGCAGTGCTCAGTAAAGAGGGCTGGCTTTAGAGACAGGATCCTCCACAGGTACTAGGAACAAGCGATAGAACTTGGGAGACTGAAGAGGTCCTTCACGTCCCTTGTAAGTTGGATTCCTAAGTACTTTATTCTCTTTGAAGCAATTGTGAATGGGAGTTCACTCATGATTTAGCTCTCTGTTTGTTATTGGTGTATAAGAATGCTTGTGATTTTTGTACACAGATTTTGTATCCTGAGACTTTGCTGAAGTTGCTTATCAGCTTAAGGAGATTTTGGGCTCAGACAATGGGGTTTTCTAGATATACAATCATGTCATCTGCAAACAGGGACAATTTGACTTCCTCTTTTCCTAATTGAATACCCTTTATTTCTTTCTCCTGCCTAATTGCCCTGGCCAGAACTTCCAACACTATGTTGAATAGGAGTGGTGAGAGAGGGCATCACTGTCTTGTGCCAGTTTTCAAAGGGAATGCTTCCAGTTTTTTACCCATTCAGTATGACAATGGCTGTGGGGTTGTCATAAATAGCTCTTATTATTTTGAGATACGTCCCATCAATACCTAATTTATTGAGAGTTTTTAGCATGAAGCGTTGTTGAATTTTGTCAAAGGCCTTTTCTGCATCTATTGAGATAATCATGTGGTTTTTGTCTTTGGTTCTGTTTATATGCTGGATTACATTTATTGATTTGCATATATTGAACCAGCCTTGCATCCCAGGGATGAAGCCCACTTGATCACGGTGGATAAGCTTTTTGATGTGCTGCTGGATTCGGTTTGCCAGTATTTTATTGAGGATTTTTGCATCGATGTTCATCAAGGATATTGGTCTAAAATTCTCTTTTTTGGTTGTGTCTCTGCCCGGCTTTGGTATCAGGATGACGCTGGCCTCATAAAATGAGTTAGGGAGGATTCCCTCTTTTTCTATTGATTGGAATAGTTTCAGAAGGAATGGTACCAGTTCCTCCTTGTACCTCTGGTAGAATTCGGCTGTGAATCCATCTGGTCCTGGACTCTTTTTGGTTGGTAAGCTATTGATTATTGCCACAATTTCAGCTCCTGTTATTGGTCTATTCAGAGATTCAACTTCTTCCTGGTTTAGACTTGGGAGAGTGTATGTGTCGAGGAATTTATCCATTTCTTCCAGATTTTCTAGTTTATTTGCATAGAGGTGTTTGTTGTATTCTCTGATGGTAGCTTGTATTTCTGTGGGATCAATGGTGATATCCCCTTTATCATTTTTTATTGTGTCTATTTTATTCTTCTCTCTTTTTTTCTTTATTAGTCTTGCTAGCAGTCTATCAATTTTGTTGATCCTTTCAAAAAACCAGCTCCTGGATTCATTAATTTTTTGAAGGGTTTTTTTTTTGTCTCTATTTCCTTCAGTTCTGCTCTGATTTTAGTTATTTCTTGCCTTCTGCTAGCTTTTGAATGTGTTTGCTCTTGCTTTTCTAGTTCTTTTAATTGTGATGTTAGGGTGTCAATTTTGGATCTTTCCTGCTTTCTCTTGTGGGCATTTAGTGCTACAAATTTCCCTCTACACACTGCTTTGAATGTGTCCCAGAGATTCTGGTATGTTGTGTCTTTGTTCTCGTTGGTTTCAAAGAACATCTTTATTTCTGCCTTCATTTCGTTATGTACCCAGTAGTCATTCAGGAGCAGGTTGTTCAGTTTCCATGTAGTTGAGCAGTTTTGAGTGAGTTTCTACAAACCACTGCTCAATGAAATAAAAGAGGATACAAACAAATGGAAGAACATTCCATGCTCATGGGTAGGAAGAATCAATATCGTGAAAATGGCCATACTGCCCAAGGTGATTTATAGATTCAATGCCATCCCCATCAAGCTACCAATGACTTTCTTCACAGAATTGGAAAAAACTACTTTAAAGTTCATATGGAACCAAAAAAGAGCCCACATCGCCAAGTGAATCCTAAGCCAAAAGAACAAAGCTGGAGGCATCACACTACCTGACTTCAAACTATACTACAAGGCTACAGTAACCAAAACAGCATGGTACTGGTACCAAAACAGAGATATAGATCAATGGAACAGAACAGAGCCCTCAAAAATAACGCCGTGTATCTACAACTATCTGATCTTTGACAAACCTGAGAAAAACAAGCAATGGGGAAAGGATTCCCTATTTAATAAATGGTGCTGGGAAAACTGGCTAGCCATATGTAGAAAGCTGAAACTGGATCCCTTCCTTACACCTTATACAAAAATTAATTCAAGATGGATTAAAGGCTTAAACATTAGACATAAAACCATAAAAACCCTAGAAGAAAACCTAGGCATTACCATTCAGGACACAGGCATGGGCAAGGACTTCATGTCTAAAACACCAAAAGCAATGGCAACAAAAGCCAAAATTGACAAATGGGATCTAATTAAACTAAAGAGCTTCTGCACAGCAAAAGAAACTACCATCAGAGTGAACAGGCAACCTACAAAATGGGAGAAAATTTTCACAACCTACTCATCTGACAAAGGGCTAATATCCAGAATCTACAATGAACTCAGACAAATTTACACGAAAAAAACAAACAACCCCATCAAAAAGTGGGCAAAGGATATGAACAGACACTTCTCAAAAGAAGACATTTATGCAGCCAAAAGACAAATGAAAAAATGCTCATCATCACTGGTCATCAGAGAAATGCAAATCAAAACCACAATGAGATACCATCTCACACCAGTTAGAATGGCAATCATTAAAAAGTCAGGAAACAACAGGTGCTGGAGAGGATGTGGAGAAACAGGAACACTTTGACGCTGTTGGTGGGACTATAAACTAGTTCAACCATTGTGGAAGTCAGTGTGGCGATTCCTCAGGGATCTGGAACTAGAAATACCATTTGACCCAGCCATCCCATTACTGGGTATATACCCAAAGGACTATAAATCATGCTGCTATAAAGACACATGCACACCTATGTTTATTGCGGCACTATTCACAATAGCAAAGACTTGGAACCAACCCAAATGTCCAACAATGATAGACTGGATTAAGAAAATGTGGCACATATACACCATGGAATACTATGCAGTCATAAAAAATGATGAGTTCATGTCCTTTGTAGGGACATGGATGAAACTGGAAATCATCCTCAGTAAACTATCGCAAGGACAAAAAACCAAACACCGCATGTTCTCACTCACAGATGGGAATTGAACAATGAGAACACATGGACACAGGAAGGGAACATCACACTCTGGGGACTGTTGTGGGGTGGGGGTAGGGGGGAGGGATAGCATTAGGAGATATACCTAATGCTAAATGACGAGTTAATGGGTGCAGCACACCAGCATGGCACATGCATACATATGTAACTAACCTGCACATTGTGCACATGTACCCTAAAACTTAAAGTATAATAAAAAAAAAAAAGAACTTGGGAGATTGAGCAAGCACGGAAAGAAGGGCCAGGAAAAGCGTCTTCTTGGGGAAGGGAAGCGCCTATGTTTACGGAGCTGAATTGGGGGCCGGCACAAACAGGCAGCCATCCTGTGACAGGCATTCTCAAGCGCCCCCATGTCCCAGGCTCTGTATGCTGAAGCTGAGGAGGCAGAAGGGGAGAAAACCCATCCTTGGCCTCAGGAAATTTATAGTCCAGCCCAGGGATGCCTAACCTTTTCAAGGATGAGGACTTTCTGAAATTTTATTTTATTTTATTTTTTCTTTTTGAGATGGAGTTTCACTCTGTTGCACAGGCTGGAGTGCAGTGGTGCAATCTCAGCTCACTGCAACCTCTGCCTCCCAGGTTCAAGCGAGCGATTCTCCTGCCTCCGCCTCCCAAGTAGCTGGGACTACAGGCATGCACCACCACGCCCAGCTAATTTTTTGTATTTTTAGTAGAGACAGAGTTTCACCATATTGGCCAGGCTGGTCTTAAACTCCAGGCCTCAAGTGATCTGCCCACCTCGGCCTCCCAAAGTGTTGGGATTACAGGCATGAGCCACTGCGCCCAGCCTCAATTTTTAAAAGAAAAGTAATTCATATGCATAGTAGAATTATGTAAACTGGATAAAAAGGTATAAAATATAAAAGGCAAGTCTGCTCTCCCCAAAGCCCCTACCTAGTCCCTGTCCCCAGGGTTAACACAGTTCACAGTGTTGGGTAGCATCTTAATGCACACACCCACACAGATACTCTGATATGTGTGGATATACAGGGATATAAATATAAAGGGAAACACACTCTAGAGACCCGCCTTACAACACTAAAAAAAATGTAGTTCTCTTTTTGTCATCTGTTAAGGAAAAAAACCTTCTGTAACAAAAAGCTATGATAAATTCACCAACACTCTGGTTTAACAATCCCTGCAGTAGCTACATATATTTGAGTAATAGTAGGGGCCATGCACAGCACCCACCCTTCATTCTATAGACAAGGCTCAGAGCACACCTGGATTTGGGGAGGCTTTAAAGTCACCTGTAGCTCAACCCCACCCCCACCAGGGTAACAAGCTGCAGTGCAGGCTTGATAGGAGCACAAAACAAGGCAGCTACAGAGCAAGTGAAAGAAGCCAGGCTCCTCCCTGTGGCTTAGGGGACAGAGAACCAGGATCTGAACACTCACTTTTCACTTACTTTGTGCCCTTGGCCAGTTGCTTGACCTGGCCAACATCCACTTTCCTCCTCTGGGGAGAATCATGCTACAGGTTGCGCATCCCTTATTCGAAATGCTTGGGACCAGAAGTGTTTCAGATTTCTGATTTTTTGGATTTTGGAATATGTGCATTATCTTACCAGCTGAGCATCCCAAATCCCCAAATCCAAAATCCAAAATGCTCCAATGAGCATTTCCTTTGAGCATCATGTCAGCACTCAAAGAGTCTCAGATTTTGGAGCATTTTTATTTCAGATTTTCAGAGTTGGGATGCTCATCCTGTACCTACCCCTGTACCTACTTCACAGGAGGCTGAAAGGATTAATAAGATGATGTATGTAGAAGTGGCTGGTGCAGAGCCTGGCAGGTAGCGTGGATTCAAGAAATGACAGCAATTGTTTCTGGTAACACCCTCCACCACCACTTCACCTTCCAGCACAGACAATGCTCTCTTAGCCTAAGACCACAAGAATCAATTTGAAGGGGAGGCAATGAAACAAATGTGAATGAGGAATATGCATTTCTCTGAAGACCAGGAAAGGGTTCTCTGGTTGGCAGGAGAGTTTTCTTTTAGACCCTCTATGAAAGGCTGGCTAGAGCGTCCCCATCTCCCACATAAGCATCTACAATCTACTCTGGAAATCGAAGGTTCTCCCCTTCCAAAACAAGGTGCCTGCAGAAGACAGGTGAAGGAGGAAAAAATCCTCCCCTGCAGCCACCAGCTGACAAGACCTGATTTCTTCCATAGGGAAAGGAGGCAAATTTTAGGAAACTGGGAGGCCAGGGGATATTTGTGGGGGTGGGCTTAAAGGGAACATCAAGAAATGAGGGTAAAAGGGAGAGTGAAGAAATGAGGGTGGTCTACCTCAGACATACCAGATACCCACAAAAGCCCTGGGTGCATCAGAGGTGCCCTGCTATTCTGGAAGCCTGAATAGTGAAGCTTCCCCTTGTGTGTGTTCGGAATCACAGTGCACAGTAGCCAGGCCAGGAACTCAACCCCCCATTTCCTTTTCCTAACTCTGTAAAGCCCTCAATCTTTTTTTTTTTTTTTTTTTTTTTGAGACAGATTCTTGCTCCCTCACCCAGGCTGGAGTGCAGTGGCGCAACCTCAGCTCACTGCAACCTCCGTCTCCCAGGTTCAAGCAATTCTCCTGCCTCAGCCTCCCAAGTAGCTGGGATTACAGGTGTGTGCCACCACGCCCAGGTAATTTTTGTATTTTTAGTAGAGACGGGGTTTCGCCACATTGGCCAGGATGGTCTCGAACTCCTGACCTCAGGTGATCTGCCCATCTCGGCCTCCCGAGTGAGGCATGAGCCTCCATGCCTGGCCAAACCCTCAATCTTAATCAGGATCCAGGGAACATTTGCTTTGAGTATCAGCAGGCAACATTGTCTGGAACTAGAAGGGGTACTGTCTCTGTCCTGGGCCATCACGGACAGAGAAAATTCCTCTCTGTGGAATATGGCCAGGTCTCACCACCTCCAATCCCTCCATCTTGATCCAAGCCACCAAAACCTCCCATCTACCGTGAAAGCCTCTTACGCAGTCTCCCTGCTGCGCCCCGTCCCTCTATGGTTTATTCTTAATAGAGTGATTGCAAAAGCTAAGTCATAACTTGCATAACAATACACTAAAAAAGGTACATTTTCCTATATCTAAAGCATACCCAGCTGGAGAAAAACAGAATGCATCTTCCCCTTCTCCAAACGGAAGCTGAAGAAATACCCTGACTGATAAGAGAAGACGATGTCTGCCCCAGGGAACGACCTTATCACACAGAAGCAGAAAGCAGGAACTGCAGAAAGAATTCAGTCCATGGTATAAGGTACTGCAGAACCACTTGGGATGAGACCTGAGAACAGGCCTGAGGATATAATGGCAAGAACACCCTGTGTGCAGTGTCAGGGAAGGCCCGATGCACAATGGGACCTGATGGTCCTGACTCTCCCAGAGCCAAGTACAGCAGAAAGGGGAAGGCAAGAGATGAGGGCAGCAGATTGAAGCTGGGGTTTTGAGGTGCCTGAGGAAGACTTCTAAGCACATCCTCAGACTGAAAGAGTTAGCAGAGGGCAAAATATTAAAAATGCAAGAGAAGGCCAAGCGAAGTGGCTCATGCCTTTAATCCCAGCACTTTGGGAGGCTGAGGCAGGCAAATCACGAAGTCAGGAGTTCGAGATCTGCCTGGCTAACATGGCGAAACCCCGTCTCTACTAAAAATACAAAAAATTAGCTGGGTGTAGTGGTGAGTGCCTGTAATCCCAGCTACTCGGGAGGCTGAGGCAGGAGAATGGGTTGAACCAGGGAGGCGGAGGTTGCAGTGAGCCGAGATTGTGCCACCGCACTCCAGCCTGGGTGACAGAGTGAGACTCCATCTCAAAAAAAAAGCAAGAGAAAGAGAGGACACCTGACAAAGACAGTCTTAGAGAAGTGTCAGACCCTGTTAGCTGCTTCCCTTGCAACTGGAGGAAGGAGTACAGTGGCCCACTCATACCTCACCTGGAGGAGGGCAGCAGTGGGGAGCCTCCTGGGCTGCCTCCTGTGGACAGGAAGACTCATGTCCACGGGGAGTGCCAGCCAGGCCAGGTGCCTACAACAACACCTGCAGGGCTAGATGAGACTCTTTCACTCTATAGGCTTGACAAATAGAATCACCAAAACTAGACTCTAAATTTCATCCACCAAGGCTCAGCTGATACCTTCTGGACAGACTAAGGAACTATCACAGACCAGAGGAAACTGATGAGACTCAATGGCTGAATGCACTGAGGGACCCTAGACTGGATCCTGAAACAGAAAAGGGACACTGTGGGGAAAACTGGTAACATCTGAAAAAGGTCTGTAGTTCAGTAAACAGTGTGGTACCTATTAATTTCATAATAGTACTGTGGTTATGTAAGCTCTGTACTGTTTTGCAGCCTTTCTATAAATCTAAAATAATCTCAAAATAAAAAGTTAAAAAAAAATTAAGGATTCTATATTCTCATATCCTATCCCACCCTCCCTCCCCACCCAATTTCCCTCCCCATAGTCTCCCTTAGGAATAGGTCTAAAAACAGGGGTCTCAACATTTCCTGTGAAAAACCATTATGGGAGGACTGCAGCCCTGGGTGTTGACAATCAGGCATTTTACACCTGTTACGTGTGGGCCAAACAGAAACCATCTAAGGTGGACTGTGGAGGCGTGTAGGGAGCAGGGGGTCTTGACCTCCTTTTCCCTCCCTCTTAGATCCTGCCAAAGGCAGAGGCATTACTGGTCTGGCTGGTACCAAGCCAGGTCAGGATAGGACCACATCCATTAGTGTCACTAAGTGCCAAAAGATCATCACCTATTCAAGGCCTTCTCTTCTCTCCACTGCTGCTGTGAGATGTGTGGTGAACTAGGGCCTCTGCTTGAGCTCAGCCCCTCTCTGACTCCTGCGTGCATGCCTAAGGGTGCCCACCAGGCCTGCATGTCCCATACACTGCTGCTGGCTGGCGGATGGTAAGGGACCCAGACACAGATCAAGTTCAGGCAAGTGGGAGGCCCCCATGGGCTGCGAGCCCATTACCTGCTCCAACCCAGCTTTGACCAGAGGGTCCTGTGTTAGGGTGCCAGGCTTATAATGAGGGTCTCTGAGTTCTCCTTGGCTGCTGTTCCTTCTGCGATGAGGTACCTCAGAAACCTTGAGGCAAGGGTTAGGTTGGCAGAACAGGATACCCACATTACATTATTGGGCCTTGTTGACAAACAGCATTGAGTCCTGGCCCTACGACCTAATTTTCATAATGAACAGCCTGGTC
Organism: Homo sapiens; assembly: GCF_000001405.40. Classification (NCBI taxonomy): domain Eukaryota; kingdom Metazoa; phylum Chordata; class Mammalia; order Primates; family Hominidae; genus Homo; species Homo sapiens. The sequence continues at coordinate 126,943,811 of NC_000009.12, read as the reverse complement.
CTTCCCTTAAAACAAGAAGGAAGCTGTCTACAGAGACAGGCAGGGTGGGCAAGGTCTGGTTGGAAAAGGGGCAGTGAAAGCAGTCCAGGCAGCGGTAGGAGAAAGACTTCAGGAGTAAAGGGCACACCCCAGGTGACAGGAAAACGGAAAACCTGCACCCAGTTTCTAAGGCTCTTCAGGGTCAGCCCACATTCCACGGAGAGCACTGCAGGGTTGATGGTGTGGGTTGGAGGTGCCAGAAAGGCACAGGGACAGATGACACTTTCACATCAACCTCGACTAATAGACTATGAAGATAATGAGAGGAGTCCACCCATTTGCCTTCCACTCTCCAGGTCCTGCTGAAAGGACCAAATAAATAAAACATAAGGCCAGGCACGGTGGTTCACGCCTGTAATCCCAGCACTTTGGGAAGCCAAGGAGGGCAGATCACTTGAGGTCAGGAGTTCACAACCAGCCTGGCCAACATGACAAAACCCTGTCTCTACTAAAAATATAAAAATTAGCCGGGCGTGGTGGTGCATGCCTGTGATCCCAGCTACTCAGGAGGCTGAGGCAGAAGAATCGCTTGAATCCAGGAGGTGGAGGTTGCAGTGAGCTGAGATTGCGCCACTGCACTCTAGCCTGGGCAACAGAGTGAGTAAGACTCCATCTCAAAAAAGAAAAAAAGGAAAAAATCTGTTGCAGCATTAAAATACAGAAAAGGATGACATCAATGAACTATAAATTATTAAGAATTTCTAGATTTCAAGCAAATGGAAGTGGACTAGAGAGAAATCTATGAATGATATCTATCCAGCTATAAAATCAACAATTTCCTCTGTACAAACAATAGCCAGCTAGAAAGCGTAATGGCCCAAGAGCCCACTAACAAAAGAGAAAAATATCCAGAAATAAACTTTAAAAGAAATGTACAAAAATCATTTAAAGAAAATTATAAAACCTTACTAAAAGACAAAAAAAAAGACTTAAATCAAAGGAGAGACATTTCACTCCCTGGAATAAGGAGACAGTATTGTAAAGCCATCAATTCCACCCAATCAATCTATAAATAAAATGTAAGTTCACTCCAAATCCTAAGGGGATTCATTTTGGAACTCAACAAATTGATTTAAAATTTCATCTGGAAGAATAATTAAAAACAGCTAAGACATTTTCAAAAAAGAACTACAGTAAGAAGAGTCTTATCCTGCCAGGAAGCCACAGTCAATGATAAATGGCAAAGAAACAGAGAAACAGATTTGCAGGACAAGACACAGTCCAGAACACAGGATCCAGTATATGTGAGGAGTAGCATATAACCAAGAGGCATTTCAAACAGTGGAGAAGATAGATTCTTCAATAAATGTTGATGAAACTATTTACTATTCACTTGGGAAAAAGAGGAATTTGTTTAAAATCTTGCTCAATATCATATATAAGGATAAACTTTTGATGGATTCAAGACTTAACAACAAAAAAAGGAAAAATACTAAAGAAAACACAGATCAAATTTTTAAAATAATTTGGAGGTAAAAAAAAAAAGTCCTAAGAGTGATACAAAAGCCAGAAAACTACTGGTAGATTTAGCTACATTAAAATTAAAACTTCTATAAAGGAAAAGACATCATGAAAAAAATGAAAGGCAGTCAATAAACTGGGAAAAGGGTGTTTGTGATGTCACATGACAGATGATGAATTAACATCCTTAATACAGGATGGCTCAACACTCGGAAGATGGGTGGACCTGAACAGGGGGTTTGTTCTCTCTAAACCTCAGCTTTCTCATCAGGTGAAAAGGAGAAACTAAGAGCAGCATCTTTCTTAGAGGGTTGGTGTGAGGATTAATATGAGCTATTTTTTGTAAAGCACTAAGCCCAGAGTTCAAACAAAGCAAGGAAATCATCAAATAGATAACCAGAGAGTATATGTTCCAGGAAAGCTACTGACTGTAACACTGGCTACAAAAAAGCCAGGAAAACACTTGAAAACCACAGTAAAGACAGTTAGAACACATCCATTCAATGGGATACTAAGTGGTAGATAAAAAGGTGAGGGAGATCAATACTTCCTGACAGAGAGCAATGTCCATAAACTCAGGGCACACTCACTTTCATGCTTTCATTCAATAACTATTTCCTGAAAAGCTAGTATATATCAAGCACTGTCCTAGATGCTAGGGATAGAGCAGTGAAGAAAAAACCCAAAACCCCCAGTATATTCTAGTGGGGGAAACAGACACTAAGTAAATCATTCAGCAAAAGACAAGGCTTGCCAGCTCATGGTAAGTGATAAAGAAAAAAGTAAAGCAGAGAAAAGTAGGCAGGGTGGGAGACAGGTCATAATTTTCTCTTTTTTTTACACTTATTTTTAATTTTTGCAGGTACACAGCAGGTGCATATATTTATGGGGTATATGGGATATTTTGATACAGGTATACAATGTGTAATAATCACATCAGGGTAAATGGAATATCTGTCACCTCAAGCACTTATCCTTTGTGTTACAAACAATCCAGTTATACTCCTTTTGTTATTTTTAAATGTACAATTAAATTATTATTGACTACAATCACCCTGTTGTGCTATCAAATACTAGATCTTATCCAATCTTCTTCCTATCTTTGAATCCATTAATCATCCCTCCTTCCCCAACAACCCCCCCCCACAACTAGACGAAGTCATAATTTTAAAGGGGGGGGGCGTATATGAGAAGTCCTCACTGAGAAAATGACACTTGAACATGTTTTAAAATCTTTATAACACATGTGAACACACATATAGAAGTATAGAAGGATATTCACTAAACTGTTAATATCACTGCCTCTTAATGGCATTATTGTATGGCACTTTTACTTTCTATTTCTGTACACTTCAATATTTTCTGGTTTCTTTTGAAATAGGTATGGAAAACATTTATGAGCAGCACAGCACCTAGAGGAAAAAACTGAAAATGAACTTACACAGACAAGGATGGCTCAGAGCTGGGTATTTAAAGACAGCGGTTCCCAGGTTCGGGTCTGGTGCCTGGTGCTGCAGCACCACCTGGTGGCCAATCACCTAACTACTCAATTTCATACAACCATGCCGAGAAAGCAAGAGACAAGATGCACTTTTGTACACAACAGCATAAGAATATACCTGTTCGACGGATCACGAGGTCAGGAGATCGAGACCGTCCTGGCTAACACGACAAAACCCCACCTCTACTACAAATACAAAAAAATTAGCTGGGCATGGTGGCGGGCGGCTTGTAGTCCCGGCTACTCAGGAGGCTGAGGCAGGAGAATGGCGTGAACCCGGGAGGCAGAGCTTGCAGTGAGCCAAGATCGCGCCACTGCACTCCAGCCTAGGCAACAGAGCGAGACTCCATCTCAAAAAAAAAAAAAAAATTATATATATACATACACCTGCCCAATGGACAGGGACTGAAGAAAAGTACACAAACATAAACACTATTCAGTATGTTGGGGTGGCAGGTGGCAGGATCGTAGCAGAATTTACGTGGCTTGGACTTTCAATCATAGGTTTATAATGATGCTTCATTTCTTTATTTCTAACTGTGCAATGGAACAGTCCAACACGACATCTGAATGTACTCACTCACTCAACAGAAGTGGAGTGAGAGGCGGGCTGGGCAGCACAGATTCATAACCCAGGCTATTTGCACATGGTAAAGAAGTGTGACAGGACCTCAGGGCACAGGTTGCTTGGAAAAGGAGGGGTCAGCCTCAATGGGAGTGCCTGGGAGATAAGATCCCAGAACACTGGCTTGGATGAGTAGCCACACCCCTGCACTCAAATTATTAATCATTAATAGCTTGTACACAGACGACTGAACTAGTACCTCCTCGCTGAAGCCCAGAGGCGAATGAAACGTATCCCTTAGGTGAGCAGGAAGTGACTTTGATCGCAGAGGACTCTACCTAGAATACTGTTTCCTTCCCCTCCACCCAACAGGCCTCCAGCCTGGGTCCATGGCCTTCCTCTGCAGGCTCTCTGCTTAGCCCTCCGCAACGCTTGTCACTCTGACATGCCAATGCGGCTGCTCCCTGCTCAACCATAAGAGCTCTGTAAAGCGAGGGTCATGTCTATCCCATTCACCCTCTATGTCTGTCTCACTCACTCTCAGAGAGGGACAGGACTTGGAAGTCCAACTGTCCTGGGTTTGAATCCTGCTCTGCCATCTACCACCTATGTGGCAAGTGCCTCTTGGCTTCTATTTCCCCTTCTGTAAAGTGGGCATACAGGATTGTACCCATCTCATGTGGCTGTGGTAAGGATTAACTAATAGCAACAGCTGGTGCTCAGGAGTACTGGGGGTGCCAAGCACTCGTCTAAGTGCTCTATATGTGTTAAGTTCCTTAACTGAAGCCATCTCTGTGCAATAAGTGTTGATCACAGTGCCTGGCATGGGATACATGTTCAAATACTGTTATTTCATCCCCAGTTTCCAGCACAGTGCCCAGCATAGTCTATTGTGTTCTCAATAAAAATGAATGAATACTTCCCCTGCCTACTATGGAAAGGAGAAAGGTCAGAGTGAGCCTGTGATGCTCAAGCCACCCCATGAGCACCCAAGCTGCCTGGTTCTGCTGTCCCAAAAGGCTGAAGGATAGTACAAAGGGACTGGAAGGAGAGAAGGTGCCTTGACAGACACATGCGACCCTGCAGGACTGGGGAGCAATGAGGATCACAGAGCCCATCAGGGGAACATGTTCTGTGCTGAAGTGCAGACCCTCTGCCCCCCTCTCCCACTTCCAGCCCTTAGAAGTGGCTCCGCTGTAGGTACAGCTCAGCCAAGGAAGGAGAGATTTGTGGATACCACATCAGGTCCCAGAAGGTCATTCAGGCACATCCCTGGCCACACCCAGCCTGCTTCTTTCACCACCAGCAAAAACGGGGGCTAGTTTGTCTCCCTAAAACCCTCCTCCCTCCTCTACTCCTGGCTCTTTCCTACTCTTCCATTCTCATTTAAATGTCACTTCCTGTGGGAAATCTCAGTGATGCCCTAGGTAGGTCCTTCTCCTACAGCTTTTAGAGCATCTAGACTTCTCCACAACACTCAAAACATTTGTCGTGAAGTGTGTGTTCATCTTCCTCACTGGACTGTCACAGCTGTGGCCACCCACAGCTTCCATGACTCGCAAAGCCTTTTCTGAGCAAGCCTACTTTGAAAACATATCCTTATTGCTATAGCCAAACCCAGTAGGGGTGTACAAATAAGAAGCCATCAACCCACCCTTCCTTGTACGCCCTCCCCCTTCCACCCACCTCACTTTGAGCCACCAAGAGCACATTCCTCCATGCCTTTCTGCCTACCAACATGTAATCATGCTGGGCTCATGCCAGAGACCAGGGTCATGGCCTCCATGCCTGCTGGGCCCAGACAGATCACGTCAATGGTGAAGCTGGAGGTTTAACAGAATAGGGACAGACAGGGCCTATGGCTACTACACCACCTAAAACTTCACATTTTCAAAAGGTGTAGCGTATTCAACTGGCCAAAGCAAGCATCAGAGAGGGAGATTAGACAGAGCTCCTCAGGTAGGGTAGCAGATTTTTTAAACCTAACAATATATCCTGGCCTTCTCTCGTGCCAATTTCTAGAGAGCTGGCTCCTTTCCAACACTGCTGATGGGTGCTCCCCTTCTTTTCACCTTTTTGCCACTATAAACAGTGATGCAGAAAATGGCATTGTATGTACGACGTTTTGCATCAGTGCTTTATTTCTGCAGAAGAGACTCACAGAAGTATACTGCTGGATTGCCAGACACAGATATTTTAACATTAGGTATCTTCAGATCATGTTCCCCAAAAGTTGAACAATTCAGATTCCCACCAGTAATGTAAAGGAGCACCCACCTCCCCCATTCACTTCCTGACACTGGTTTTATCCATCTTTGTGACCTTTCTGCCATTTAACCTGTTGTTGTAACTTGCATCCTGGTAGGGATTATCTTTTGAGGCCAAGTTCCTTTCTTTCTCCTTGTCTTCTTTAGCTCCCATCTTTAGCCAAGCACCCCTAGGTTCCCTCACACCTCAGTGTGGCTAAGCTCTACTCAAGGAGATGCACATGTTAAAGCTATGTAAAACTTCTGAGAAGTGTCTCAGAAGGGAAGGGGCACATCCTTCTTCCTCCTTTTCTCCTCTGAATCCTGGAATGCAGATGTGATGACTGGAGCTCAAGCAACCACACTGGGTCAGGAGGCAATCTGCTATGGATGGAAGAGTGGCAAGATATAAGGAACATGGGTCCATGATATCTTTGATCCCACTATACCAACCCTAGACTGCCCATCTTTTTACTTTTTTATGTGAGGATGTAAACCCATTGTCATTCAGGCATTATTATAGGCAACCAAATCTAGTCCTAATATAAGTTCTGATCTCCAATAGTCAAAACTGAACCCTTATCTCTCCTTCTGTAACACAATGAATAGCTATGTGGCCATGTTCTGTGTGCCCTATGTTTAAGTGCACTTGTTTCCCCACTCTCTCATCCTTCCTCCCAAAGCCTTAGGTATTGGAGAAATGGTTTAGAATTTTGTCTCAACCTATTATCATGTTTTCCCTTACAACAGATCTCCTTTATTTTTAGAACTCTTCATAATTTAATAATAGAAATTCCAACTCACAGCAGTTTAATCCATTGAGATTAAACTACATGCACTAAAAGATGTGCTGTTCCAGCCGTGGCTCATGCCTGTAATCCCAGCACTTTGACAGGCCAAGGTGGGCGGATCACCTGAGGTCAGGAGTTCAAGAGCAGCCTGGCCAACATGGTGAAACCCATCTCTACTAAAAATACAAAAATTAGCTGGGTCTGGTGGTGCATACCTGTAATCCCAGCTACTCGGGAGGCTAAGGCAGGAGAATCACCTGAACTATTTGGGAGATGGAGGTTTTCGTGAGACAGTATCATGCCACTGTACTCCAGCCTGGACAACAGAGCGAGACTATGTCTCAAAAAAAAAAAAAAAAGGTGCCGTTCCTGTTCCCTGCACTCCTTCCTTACCTGTCTCCATATCTCTACTCCACTTCCCTTGTCCTTGGGTTAGAGAACTTCACTGGATATTTTCCTCAGGTACATTTAATAAATGTTTTGTGTCCTCACGTGTTTGAAAATGGCTTTCTTTTGCAATGGCACCTCACTGACATCTTGGCTGGGTATATAGAGGACTTGGGGCCCTCTCCCTTTAATAGTCTGGAGATACCAGCCCACTGTCTTCCAGCCTCCAGAGTTGCACAGGGGAAGCCCAAAGACAGCCTAATTCTCTTTCCTTTGGAAAAAAAAAAATAATAAATAAATCTGTTCTTGCTGCCTCTAAGTACCTCACATTTTCATTATTCCCATTTCTTGTCATTATTACTCTGTCACGAAATATTTTTCCTTTGACCTTCCAAACTACTAATTTCAGTTCTTCATTGACTTTCAGTTCCAGAAAGTCTCTCATATACTTTAATCTCCTCGCTTTGGAAGTTCTCTCCTTATAAAGTTCTTATGCAGTCACTCCATTCATCCTGCCTCAAAAGCGCCACAGCTGCAAGTATGAAGCTTGGCTTCCTTCTCTCCCTTCCATGGCCAAGAGTCCTTAAATGCAATGTCACTTGTCTTTGCCTGTCAGTGAGTGCAGGTTCTCTATCCCCTGTTCACAACAGACTGCTTGACCTCCTGCTGCCTTAGCATGCCTGAGGCTCGGGATGACTGGTCAGCTGTCATCCAGGTGGGCCCAGGTGAAATGGGTTAGCAGACTGCGGTCTTCCTAAGAGGAATGGAAACAGATTCTCTGCCCTTTGGTCCCTGTGGTGACAACGGGGGGAGGCAGTCCTCCCCTAGCTGAATGGACTCGGGCCAATTCAGCCCAGATTCCTCGGGACTGGCAGGATCCCACCAGCCCCTCCAAGAGCATAGGCAGCAAGTGGGCAGCTGCTGTGCTTCTAATGGAATCCAACTCTAATCAGACAGTGGAGAGAGCTCCACTTCTAGAGCCAGAGACGGACCTTGAGTCCAGTCCAACTCTGCCACTTCCTTGCTGTGTGACTTCAGAGAAATTACTCATCTCTGAGATTACTCCTTTGTTGGTTTAAAGCAGAGAGCATGTGAGAAAACCAAGACTGGTTGTTTCTAGCATCCTCCTTAGGAGAACCAATCAACTGATACATAAAGTTTTGGAAACGTGCTTCTTCTAAGTACTATATGAGTTACTTATAGTGTTGTTAATCATGCAATATCAAAGAAGACTGGGCCCCTGTGCAGAAATGCATCAGAAACTTTACCTTCTGCCTCTTTTGTGAAAACAGGTTGACGGAAGAGTGAGGCTACCAGAAGAATCTGAGAAATATTGTTAATATTTCAGCTTTTAACATTTGTTGTGGCTGTTCCTACCTAAACTGAAGCACCTAGGATTCTTCCAGGCAAACATTCTCTGTTTCTTCCCTTATTCTCTGGTTAGCTCAAGACCTGGGCGCCATGGCAACAAAGGGGACGGATGCTGGGAGCCATAACAGATTCCATGCTGGTTTCAGTCTTGTAACGTTTATTGAGCATCTCCTGTGTGTAAGGCATTGAACAAGACACAGATCTTGCCTTAAAAGAGCTTAAAGTCTAGTCAAGGAGATAAGGTAGGAGGTACAGAGTAGATCAAAGCAGCACAATGCAATGCAGAATGTGGCCAGGGCCACAGTGTCATGAGGGTTTAAGGAAAGGAGAGCTCCCGCGAGCTGGGGAGAGCAGAAAAGCATTCTTAGAAGAGGTGCCAAATGAGGTGGGCAGAATCTCAGGGGGCAAGAATGGTCTGCACTGGTGGGGAAGGGAGGTCAACCAGTTCGTAGTTCCTTAAAGACAAGGCTCATGTCTTATTTGTCTTCACATTCCTTCACCCCATTCTCCCATGGCCAAACATAACTCACACAATGAGCTGGCCCTTTCTGATTAAGGGTCTGAAGCAAGGACAGCTCCAAGTGAGGAAGGGAGGTGAACTGGAAAGAAGAGAGGAGGGGGGCTTCTGGGTAGGTACAGGGACCTGACTGAGGTTGACGGGAGGTTGCCCAAGTAAGCCCAGCTGTTGGGGGAACAGACACCAATGGGAACACAAGGGTGACAGCATGACAGGGTAGCAAAAAGAGGTGTGCACAAGGAGGAGGCAGAGAGAGAAAGACAGTTAAAAAACCGTTGACAGGAGAACCAATAGAGAAAACCCCAGAGCTTCATGTGGTGAAGAAGCCCCTAACACATCCCCTGTTTTGTGGCTCGCAGAGGCTGCCTGATGCCCTGAAAACCACTCTGCAGCGCCTCAGTCCCATCGGGCTCCGCTTGACAGGAGGTTTCTCTGACTACAGCACCACCCGGCTCCCCTGTACCCAGTATATACCTGTGGGTGCCCACACGGCATGACCGCCTACTCAAAATGGCACATTTCACTATGGTCAGGGCACTGGCTTACCAGGAATACATGCTGGATTTCATAATCCCCTAATCAATAGGACATACCTTCCCAGCACATCTCTTTCCAAACAGTAGCCACTATAAAAGTAGGGAAAATAATTCAATTTACATTGATGTTCCATATGGTTAAGACTTGTCTTTCAAAGCTCAGTCATTTGGACCAGTTACAGTGCTACAAGGTCTGACTTCAATCTATTATTTGAAATGTTAAAATACTTTTCCCACGCATCCACATTTGGTATCATCATTAGCCAATCAGGTGGCAAATCCTGTCCTAAAATCATGGAATTCATCCTATGTGGTCACTATTTTCCTTTCCCATCATGCTTTGGATACACGCTGTGGTAAATAAGCATGTAAGGTGTGCATGGGGAATGAACCCCAGAGAAAAACTGACACTGTGGGAAAACGCATTCTGACAGGCCAAAAACCGAGCCAAGGCCTCGCGCACCACCCAGCGAGAAGGGACCTCAGGAATGCCTGGACACAAACTCTCCTGCCACAGGTGCATGTTGCTGTGTGAAAAAGAGTATAAAGGCAAGGGAGGGTGGGTGTGGCACACCCCCCCTGCAGGCACACGCAAGCATTGTGCACAAGGTGCTATGAGCTCCGTGGCCACTTGTCTCCCATGGCAGCTGTTCCAAAGCACCCCCTCACCATACCCCACACCTTACTCTACACCTGTGCACCACCAGGGCAGGTTACAAGGGGGCAGCCTCACAACCTCCTTCACTGAGAGAAGGTGACTTCTGCTCCCTCCCGACCCTCCTCTAACCTGGCCTTCCCCTCCCACATCTGATAAAGGCATCCACTGAGAGCCAGGGCTGATGGCAGGCCCTGGACTTGGGGTGCACTCCCAGCTGCCAGTCAGGCAGTCAGCCCCTTCTCTGGCAACCTCAGTCTCTGCCGCTCCCTTGGTTCTTCTCTCTGCCTAAGAACATCTTCAGAACAGCTTTGACCCTTGAAGCCCAGGCTACTTTCCCGTCAGACACTCACCCACTCAGTAACCCCTGCCCGAAGACTGGGGTCACACTGGCCCCTCTGGGGTCCCAGAACCTCCTGCTACTAATTGTTGAGACTAGTGGCCTAAGGCTCTCCCACCTCATGGCAGCTTTAACCTGCTCACCAGCCCCTCTTTCTGGAGTCATCCCTCCAGCCCTGATGATGCCCCGTCCCTCTTTCTCCTCCCATTTCCTTAGCCTCGCTGGTCTCTGGCCTCCCCTGCTGGCTCCTTTCTTCTGTTTGGATGCCACACCAGCGCCGCCTTCCTTTTGTCCTCTCACCAAGCTTCCTCTTCATTCTTCTCAGCCCTCCGGCTGGGTTCCAGGCCCCTGCCCCCTCGCCAGCTTCACCACCACCCTCCCCTGTCCCATATTTCATGATCCTACAACAAGGAAAGCAACCCTAACACAGGCCGCCAACTGAATAGCATGAAGCTCACCCACTCAGCCAGCTGCGTCCACAGCCCGGCCTCGGCTCAGACTGCCCGCTCTTGTGGTGGCAAGCCTTGGCTCACCAAACTTTACGATCCTTCACGACCAACAGTTAAAAAATATTAAGCAAAGCACCTCTAACATGTATATATGTATTTGTAAATTAATTATATGTTCTAATGTTTCAACATTTTTGTTTTATAAAAATGTTTTTATAACATTTTTGTTTTATAAAAATGTTTTATAACATTTTGTTTTATAATGTACATTATATAATGTACTTTATATAAATGGATTTGTATGGTCTATAACCTTTTCTATCTGTATGAACATTATGTTTGTGAAATTCATCGGATTGTTTTAATGGGCTTGTACATTAACTCTAACTGACTACAGTATTCCATCATGGGAGTGTACCACGTGTATTATCCCTTCTACTACCAATGGACACTGGTATTGTTTCCAGTTTGAGCTATTACAGATGGAGCTGCTAGAAGCGTGACTGAGCATGCCTTCTGGTACACATCCATATGTATTTCTTTGTGTCTGTCTCAAAGTTGGGTCGATACCAAGGAGTGGAACTGCTGGGTCATAAGGTATGTATATGTTCAGCTTTGATAGATGATGTCAATTTTCCAAAGTGGATAGACCGATTTATTCTCCCACCAGCAGTATGAAAGCTGATCGCTCCACAACCTCACCAACATAATATTGTCTTTTTCCCCCTTCATTTTAGCCATTCTAGTAAGAAAGATACCACCAAGTACCACAATCCCTTTTCAAGATGAGGACAGGGAGACTAAGTGCCTCTCTCAAGTTCACAGACCCAATGTGAGTTGGAAGAGGCACCCAGATCTTCAAATATGCTATGGTTTCCAAATATGCTAAGGTTTCCACCATGGCCAAGTATTGTTTCCAACGTAACAGCCTAACAACAGAGGAATTCTGAAGCACTAGTGAAAAAAAAAAAACATGTCTGTGGACTATGCTAATCCCAACACATTGCTCCTCTATCAACTCAACTTTGAGGCAGACACACAGAAAAATGTCTGGACACATACCCCAGGTATTGACAATGAGATGATGGCTGGTTCTTTCTTTTTTGTCTATCTTTCTTATTTTTTTACAATTAAAATTTAATAAGAAAAAGTTATTTTTTTAAATTCAGATATAATTTATACAACATAAAATTCACCTTTTAAACCATAGAATTCAGTGATTTTTAGCATATTCACTAAGTTGCACAACCACTGCCACTATCTAATTCCAGAACATTTTATCACCCTACAAAGAAATCCTGTACCCAACCCATCAGCAGTTACTCCCCACTCCCCCTGCCATGAGACCCAGCAACTATGAATCTACGTTCTGTGTCTCTTTGGGTTTGCCTCTTCTACACGTTTCATACAGACAGAATCATACGGTATGTGGACTTTTGTGTCTTGCTTCTTTCACTCAGAATGTTTTCAAGGTTTATCCATATTAGGCATGAAACAGTAGTTTATTCTTTTTTATGGCTGAATAATACTCCTTTATATGTATATGCCACATTTGGTTTATCTGTTCATTAACTGGTAGATATTTGGGTTGTTTCCATTTTTGGCAATTACTAATAATGTTGCTATGAGGCTGCCCGCTAGCAGTCATCCTCCCTCTCTTCTTTTAGGTAGACACATGGCTTCCCTGAGTGTAGATTACATTTCCTGGCTTCCCTTACTGAAAGTTGTGGCCGTAAGACCAAGATTAAATGACTGAGATGTAAGCGGTATCGTGCCGAATTTCTGGACAGTAGCCCTCAAAGGCTGGAATGCATATGGAAAGGCTAGAGCTCTCGCAGCCATTTTAGGCCATGAAGTGACTTTGGACTTAGAAGGAACCTGGGTCTCTGACTATGCAGGCTCCATACCTACTCTGGCCTAATTACCTTCTGACTTCTTGCACATAAGAAACTTCTACCTTGTTTATGTCTTTGTTATTTTGCATTTTCTCTCACTCATAGCACAACCTAAAGTGGCTCTCTCACAAGGAGAGTGATAAGAGTTAAATGAGAAAATATAACACAGATAGCCATTTTTATATTCCCTCAACAAAGAGTTTAGCACTGCTTTTATATAGTAGGCAACTCAAACATTTGTAGAAATGAATAAGAATCTGGAAAAATAAAGGCAATTTCACTCATTTAAAAAACTATCTTGACCAGGAGCAGTGGCTCACGCCTGTAATCCCAGCACTTTGGGAGGCTGTGGCAGGCAGATCACTTGAGGCCAGGAGTTCAAGACCAGCTTGGCCAACCCCATCTCTACTAAAAATGAAACCCCATCTCTACTAAAAATATTTTTTTAATTAGCTGGGTATGGTGGCACAGGCCTGTAATCCTAGCTACACAGGAGGCTGAAGCATGAGAACCGTCTGAACTTGGGATGTGAAGGTTACCGTGAGCCAAGATTACGCCACTATACTTCAGGCTGGGCAACACAGCAAGACCCTGTTTCAAAAAAATTAAAAATAAATAAATATTTTTTTACCAACTTAGTTTTCCAGGTAAACATCATTATTTTTTCAAGCTTTATAAAATATCTCATAGGAATTGCATTAAATCTTTGCCAACATTTGGAGATATAATACTGTCATTATTACTATATTTAAACTTCTTTAGAAAGAGCCAGGAACTGATTAATTTATTTCATCTTACCCATTCAATACATATTTAATATGAGGCTCCTCTGTCACAAGCCTAATTATAACAATGGGGCTTTGGAGTTTAAAAAAAAAAAAAAACTAAAATAAAATAAATAAACAAACATTAGGTAAAGAATCCCAGTAGCCAGGCTCAATGGCTCATGCCTATAATCCCAGATTCTCAGAAGGCTGAGGCAGAGAAGCACTTGAGGCCAGGAGTTCAACACTAGCCTGGGCAACACTGCAAGACCCCATCTCTAAACAAAAAATTTTTTAAGCCAGGAGTGGTGGCGCACACCTGTAGTCTTAGGAGGCTGAGGTGGAAGGATCACTTGAACCAAGGAGTTCAAGACTTCAGTGAGCTATGATTGCACTACTGCACTCCAGCCTGGGCAACAGAGCAAGACTCCATCTCTGAAAAAGGAAAAATAAATCCCTAATGCCACTTCCCCTCAATGTCTATCCACTAAAATACTCAGGGAAGTAGAAGTGGCAATAAAAATTTGTATCAGTCGGGCACAGTGGCTCACACCTGTAATCCCAGCACTTTGGGAGGCCAAGGCAGGCAGATTACCTGAGGTAGGGAGTTCAAGACCAGCCTGACCAACATGGAGAAACTCCGTCTCTACTTAAAAAAAAAAATAATAATACAAAATTAGCTGGGCGTGGTGGCACATGCCTGTAATCCCAGCTACTCGGGAGGCTGAGGCAGGAAAATCGCTTGAACCTGGGAGGTGGAGGTTGCGGTGAGCTAAGATCACGCCACTGCACTCCAGCCTGGTCAACAAGAGCAAAACTCCGTCTCAAAAAATAAAAAAATAAAGAAAATTTCTATCATCACTAAAGACTAAGGTTATTTTGTCCTCATCACCTCCAGGTGTTGATTCAGAATCTCTTGCCTCTCTTCTTCACAGCCAATAAGACTACTTTGATCATACTTAATAGTTCCTTCCTTGTACCTTTTCATTTTCTATCATGTCCTGTTTTTATGATTCTCCACTGCTATCCTTATCCTCTCAGTGTTCCAGTAATTTTGCCAGTGGATCTGGTTTTCCCTCTCATATGTTGCTAATCTCATACTGACCTTGTTACTGTTGATGTTGTTCATTTCAAACATTTATTATACAGGTAGGCTTTGGTCCAGTGGAGATATCTACAGAGGTACTCACATGATGGTCATCACCATTATCATCACCATTTATTGAACCATTACTCTGTGACAGATACTTTGCTAAGCACCTTATCCATAGAAATATGCCACCAAATCCATGCAATAATTCTCTAATGAATTATTAGAGAGAAAGTGAGAAAACTGAGGCCCAAAGAGGTTAGGTAACATATCCAAGAACTCACAGCCAGTAAGAGTATCCTTGGCCGGGCGTGGTGGCTCACATCTGTAATCTCAGCACTTTGGGAAGCCGAGGCGGGTGGATCACCTGAGGTCAGGAGTTTGTGATCAGCCTGGCGAACACAGTGAAACCCTGTCTCTACTAAAAATACAAAAATCAGGCAGGTGTGGTGGTGGCCACCTGTAAACCCAGCTACTTGGAAGGCTGAGGCAGGAGAATCACTTGGAGCTGGGAGGTGGAGGTTGCAGTGAGCCAAGATTGTGCCACTGCACTCCAGCCTGAGCAACAAGAGCGAGACTCCATCTCCAAAAAATAAAAATAAAAAAAAAAAGTATCCTCACTGGTAGTATTTGTGCAAAGGCAGGATTTGAACACAGCTCAGTCTGCCTCTTATTCTGAAACATTTCTTTATGTTCTATAGGAGCTGAATAGCATTTTATGTTCTGTACTGGTACACATATCTCATCATCCTGCCTCTACTTTCTATCTGTTCCCTTCTCTTTGCCCAGCATTTGGGTTTCTCAGCTCAACCAATATTAATTCCTTTTCTTCTTCCTTCCCTAAGAAGCAAAAGGCATCACACCACGATGGTCAGTCCTGGTATTAAGGACTCCCCCTCAAGTTAACCCTGATCCTTCTCACTACTCCTCAGCTGTGGCTTTCAGCAACAGGGTCAGTGGCAACTGGATCTGTGCCTTTGTCCTACACTCCAGGTCTTAGGATTGAGGATA
The DNA here is from genome assembly GCF_000001405.40 of Homo sapiens. Lineage (NCBI taxonomy): Eukaryota > Metazoa > Chordata > Mammalia > Primates > Hominidae > Homo > Homo sapiens. Next base: position 126,928,193 of record NC_000009.12, on the reverse strand, counting down.
ATACTAACAACACACACAATGGATCACAGATCAGTTTCCCACTGGACCTCTCAGATTAAAGGCTCTTCACCTGCTTCTGTAAGCTGAGCTCAGTCAGGCACTTAGGCTTACCAGGGAGACAGACTTCCACTTTTACCAATTTAGGATACCGCCACCAGCAGTCTGAGTAGATCCCAAGTACTCTAACTCTCAGACCCCAACAATAAGTTCCAGAAATTCTGTAACAGGCTTTTCCCTGCTACCCAAGCACAGGATACAGAGTGGACCAGGGATGCACCCCAACCCCAAGTCACAGATACCTACCCACGCATCGCGTTAGTCTAATCTGAATGTTTTAATCATCTTCTCAGACTCAAACTGTTCCGATCAGCTGCCTTTCCTAGGACCCAGACACACATCCCTGAGGTTGCAGATCCATCCTGAACCTCACAATGTTAGATGGGGGAGGGCGCAACTTTCTGGCTTCAGCGGATAGAGATTTTAGTCCCGAGGACCAGCAATAGAAGGCATGAGGGAATTGCTTGAGAAGGTTGCTGGGAGGCGCTGAAGGGGGTAGAGACTGTCTGCAGCAAACAGCCTCTTTCAGAGTCTTCTGCACACGACAACAAAGGTAACTGAAGCATAACCTGTCAGGGAGACTGGCTCTGACACTAGTGTAAACAAATGTTGAAGGGAGGCACGGAAGGCTCAGCTCTAGGTAGCAGGGCAATAATTCCCTAATGAATTACTAGAGAGGAAAATGAGAAAACTGAAGCCCTGCAGGGAAAGAAGTGGAGGTTGGTGCCCCCACCACCGGTTTCCACACCATCGTTCTTCCTGTCTTTCTTCCTAGCTGCCCATTCCTCCTCTTGCTTCTTCCCTGACTTCCACTTCCACCTCTCATGCTGACGCTCCCCAGCAATTCAGCCGGGACTCTCATCCACTACCACACAGCCTTCCTGAGTGATCCCATCCTCTCCTATGACACAACTTCAGGGGCCAGCTATGCAAGAATGACCCCAAGTATCTCCTGGGGCATCAGAACCATCTGTGAAAGCCCTTAAACATAAGACTACCAGCCTCCCTCCCCGCAAACACTACAGAGGACTCTGATGCTCTAGAGTGTGAGAACCACTGTTCCAGCCTAGATCTCTCTCTCAGCTGCAGATTAGCAGGCCAGTCACCAAGTGGGCAGGTCCACCAAGCAACCCCTCATCCATTCCAAACTCAAAATGGCCCAAACCAAATTCACAACCTTCCTCCTACCAACCCAGTATTCCTTTCACGTTTCATAGCTCAGTGACTGGTCCTACCATCTCATGGCACCGAGTGAGAAACTCTGATATCGCCCTTCCTCCCATCTACCAAGTAGGAGAGGCCTCTACATCAGTTTCTTTTGAACCTGCCTTCTCCTCCCCATCCACCTAGCCAGGACCCCATCATCCCACTCCTGAATTCCTATAATAACCCTCACTCAGCTCCCAATCTCTAGTCCCCTTTCACACCATCATCCTCCACACTGCCACCAGGACTATAAGTGACAATCCTTCTCTCCTCTTAGAGCTTGAACGATTCTCCACTGACCACAAGACAACACCTACACTCCTAGGCACTGCCTGCAAGTCCCTCTGTGAACTGACCCCAAACCACCTCTCCAACCAGATCCTCCTCCCTCCATCCTCCACCATAAATCTCACACTCCAGCAACACCACACTGTCCACCATCCCTGAAGCACATCATACTCCCTCCTGCTTCTGTACCTTTGTACAATCTGTTTCCTCTGCCTGTATCCTGCTTCACCTGGAAAAGTGAAAATCTTTAAGAGCCTGTGAGTCTTACTCGGTCCCATGAGCTTCCATTTCCACTACTCTACTTCCCATGACACTGTATTATCATTATGTATTTACTTCTATCTGTCAAGTCTTGGTGCTCCTGAGGGTAGGGTCTGCAGTGTCAAGCCCTATTACATGCTTAGTAAATGTTTACTTAATGACTGAAAACCACTAATGAGGTCCAAGTATTTGCTTCCACACCTTCAAGAAGCAAAGGAAGCAACCAATCTCTAAAGCAATAAAAATAAGGCCAACTGCTATATTGGAAACCACAGGTAATGTTTCAGTAATAGATGCTTTTGGTGACAGCTGGGGAGTTATGAAAAATGAGTCAGCAACTACATAATTTGTCCATTATTTCTGGCACAGTCCAAGGAAACAAGGCCATGACCAGAACATGAACACTGGTCTCTCCCTTGCTCTCAGTGCTTTAGCCATGCTGGCTCCCCAGTACATCTGGAGTCCTCCATGCTCCTTCCCCAGCTAGGATGATGGCAGATGCAACTGCCACCTCTCCACCTGGCTAGCTTCAATTCATCTTTCAGGTGTCAGCTTAAAGGCCCCTTCCTCTGGTAAGCTGTCTCTGACTCCCCTAGCAGGAAAGCCATTAAATGTATGGTCTCTTAGCACCTTATACTCCTCTTTTGCAGACATCAGTGCTATAATTTTTTTTTTAAGAGATAGGGTCTATGTTGCCCAGACTGGTCTCATTACGTTGCCCAAGCTAGACTCAACTCTGGGACTCAAGCAATCTTCCTGCCTTAGCCTTCTGAGTATCTGGGACTATAGGTGCACAACACTATGCACTGTAATTTTTTTTTTTTCTTTTTTTTGAGACAGAGTCTCACTCTGTCTCCCAGGGCCTGAATGCAGTGGTGCCATCTCAGCTCACTGCAACCTCTGCCCCCCAGGTTCCAGTGATTCTCCTGCCTAGGCCTCCCAAGTAGCTGGGATTAAAGGCACGTGCCACCATGCCCGGCTAATTTTTTGTATTTTTAGTGAAGAGGGGGTTTCACCATGTTGGCCAAGCTGGTCGTGAACTCCTGACCTTGAGTGATCTGCCTGCCTTGGCCTCCCAAAGTGCTGGGATTACAGGTGTAAGCCACCACATCCAGCCCCTGTAATTACCTTTATATGTACTTGTTATTATTTTTGTTATTTAACCTTGCTACTAGACTGTAAGCTAAAGGACAGCAAGGACCAGATCTGTATTTTTATTTTTATATTTATTTATTTATTTATTTATTTATTTTTGAGATGGAGTTTCACTCTTGCTTCCCAGGTTGGAGTGCAATGGTGCGATCTCGGCTCACCGCAACCTCCACCTCCCAGGTTAAAGCGATTCTCCTGCCTCAGCCTCCTCAGTAGCTGGGATTACAGGCATGTGCCACCATGCCCAGCTAATTTTTTGTACTTTTAGTAGAGACGGGGTTTCTCCACGTTGGTCAGGCTAGTCTTGAACTCCCGACCTCAGGTGATCCACCCGCCTCGGCCTCCCAAAGTGCTGGGATTACAGGCGTCAGCCACCACGCCCGGCCTGTCTTTTTTTCACCACTGTGGCCTCACACTTGGCATAGCACTGGCACTCAGTAGACCCTGGACAAGAACTGCATGGATGGATGGATGGCCAGATGGGCTAGTAGGCAAGTAGTTACGGAGGACAGGGAAGAATAAGGAATAAGACTACCTTCAGTTATTGGTACAATCCTTTATCATCATCCAGCTCTCTTTGTTCTGACTTAAGCCTCATAACACAATCTCAGATATTAAAACTGGGGCTTTCCTACTGAAAAAGGATGCATGCACACCAAAGATATTCCTGTTTACATGGAAAGTGGGAGTCTCAAAGCAAATGGACACATTTGGCATTCTGACTTCATATTCATTGATCTTTCTATATACCAGGCTGCTTCTCTGTTCAACAAGTACTACTGGCTATATTGATAAAACTAGGTTCCAAGAATCTCTTAGTCCTTAAGAACCCCCTGAAATGATTATCATGTTAACAGACCACAACAGGCACTGTCTTTTCTTAACTAGCCACCAACACTGGACTAGATATTGGAGCTGTGGGCTAAGTCAAGTTTGCATCCTTTTCCTATACAGTCACACTGCAGATTCAACAAAGGCCCCTGAAGCAGACACTTTCATCTGGGATAAATGCTTCACCGTGGGCATGGTTTATTAGCAGCAGTATATGAACTGCAGGCAGCTGTTGAGAAACTGTTACATGCATATGGACATGTTCCAGTTCATGGGATTTGTCAGGTGGGGAATCAGGGCACTTCAGTATGAAACTCTAACAAAGCCTCCATCCTCATCTGGAAAGTGGAAAGAGTAGACTCAATGATTGGTAACCATCAGGATAGACGGACACTATATGTGATAAGCACAAAGGCCATAGTGATGCTCATTGCCAAAGTGTCCCATAGCAGATATAGCCAGAGATACATTAAAGAAATAAACTAACTGAAACAACAAGTATCTTCTGAAAACAGCAAAGGATGCTACATATCAATCAGCAAGTAACTTCTAATCTTACCAAAAAAGGTTGTCAGCCAGGTGTAGTGGCACTTGGGAGCTACTTGGGAGGCTGAGGCAGGAGGATCGCTTGAGGCCATGAGCTGAAGGCTGTAGTGTGCTATAATCGCACCTGTGAATAGCCACTGCACTCCAGCCCAGGTGACTCAGCAAGACTGTGTCTTCTCAACAAGAACACAAATTTTAACCCTAGTTACAAACTAATCATCACAGGTACCAAGCATTACTATACTTTAGCCATTTACAGGAAAGTTCAGTATTTTCTGACCCATAAGCATGAAACAAGACCTTAAACCCATCATTCCAAATTTAACTCAACTCCTCAAATTCAATTATCTGGAAACTGAAATATCTAAAACCAAGAAAAACTATTATAAGTACCTTTTTCCAATGAAGCCCTGTCACCTTATCTCACCTGCGACTTCTACAATGAGTGTGTCAGAAGCCACACCTTGAGGCAGCCAGGAGCATGAGAACAGGCACTTGAGGCGTTAGGACCCTCAGCTTCTCTCACAGCTACATCTTGGGCAATGTGTTTAACCTCTCTAAGCTTCCATTGTCTTCTATGCACATCAAAACCTGCCCTAGCTACCTGCAGAATCAACATAAGGCTGGAATAAAAAGTGTGAAGAGACCTTTTTAAGTGTTGTAAAGGGTTGAGATATTGTATAATGGACAGAACCTCCGATCTAACAACCTTCTCATTTTATAGATTCAGATCAGTCACTGGGAGCCCACTATTTACTCCATTTGTTCATCCAATAAACACTTAAGGAGCATCTACTACAGGCCGGATGCTAGGCTAGGCACTGAGGACCTGCTGGTGGGCAAAACAGTCACGGCCCATGACCTGATGGGACTGTACTGCACCAGGAGAGACAGACATATCCAGCAATTACCCTAGAAAGCATATTCTTACACCTCACCGGCCATGCTAATGATGTGGTCTTTTTTCTGACAGAAATTAGAAGCCACTGGAGGCTTTTAAGCAAAGGGAATGGCATGCTCAGACCATTCTGGCTGCCTTGTACCAGCCCTGGGGTAGGCCCTGAATACGCAAGAACAAATGTGGACTCTCACTCTGTAAAGTCTAGAGAAAGGTCATGAGGGAGTCACTGGTGGGCACAATTGTACTATATGCTAAGGCAGGGCACACAGTGAGAGAGTTGTGGGAGCCCAGTAGGAGAGCAATCTATAAATGCTAGTGGACTGAAAGTGTTAGAGATATGGTGCCTAGAAGGAAAAAATAAACAGATGCACAGAGGACTAATCCTCTCTGTAATTCCACATAACGAACTTTATGCCAGAGAAAGACACAGCAAATTGTCTTGAATCTATTAACTTGTTTTCCATAAATATTTAATTATTCAGAAATATGCCAAAAGCACAAACTTCCCTTGCCCTAGTTATCAGGCTTATACAACAGTGGGTGATAATTACTGTATCCAATAAACATGGACTTAAATACATTCCCTATTCTTCCTTTCATCTCAGATGATTTTAAAAGAAACCTATGATGTCAAGGCCAAAGATTCAAATTTTCTTCTGCTTACTCAAAAATTGACTTAACCTTAAAAAATAAATATTTAAATCCTGAAGAGGGAAAGTATCATGTTGTATTATCAGTTTATATTAAAGACCAATCATTTACACGGAATAATGGAATGATTAAACAGAAAGAACTTGAGAAGCAGCCCCCAGTTCCTAAATGGGCCTGAGACAAACGCGCCCAGAATGGCTCCGTCCTCTCCCTCACCAGTACCCTATGTCTTTGTGGGAGCTGAGGCTTGCCTCTGCAATCCCAGCGCAGGAAGAGTTCTGCCTGCCACCCTGGACATGCTTCCCAGCCCCCCATCACCAAGTACATGTGTGTTTTAACACATTGCTTGTGCAGTAACTCATATAACTTCCACAGACAATACATTAATACCCTGAGAAAAGCATCCTAAAAATCTTACTACCCTGGGTGAAAAGAGGACACTATTCTAGCTCCCACTTCCTGGGTGCTCACAATGTGCAAGCCCTCTGCTAAGCCCTATTTTGTAGCGTCTCCCTGAAACCCTGTACGAACCACACAAAGGCGCGTACTATCTCACCTCTTGTATCGATGAGGAAACAGAGGTATAGTCATTTGCTCAAAGCCACATGGCTTGTGAGTGATGGTGTCAGGACACAAACCCACATCTGTTTGTGTCCCAACTCCAGAGTCCGTGTTTTAAGCACTGCCCTATCTGCCTCTCTGATGCTCAGGAGATAAATCTCCTGCAAAGAAGAACACGACAGACTTGAAAGCTCTACAGAAAAACCAAGGAATTATTTGCTGTTCTGGGTCTTCAGGTCTCTGCGCTCCTCAGCAAGCACAGGTGAGACAAGTACAACTCATGCCTCTCCTTGGGGAGAAGTCATGGAATGATCAGTGCAGGTACTCAGACAAAGAAAAGGTGTTCACAATGATGACAGGTGAAATGTATCTTTCAGAAGAGCTCACGCAGAAAGTGGGGAGGAAACACTTACAGACAAGCCTATAGCCCTGGAGCCATAATATCAGCCACAGGGCTAGTGAGGAAGGTCCTGAGGACTCCTTGAGCGCTTGGTGACTTCAGAGTTGATCTCTCAGACGACTTGACCTTCACATTCAATACCTAACTTTCATCATGACCACGACACTATCACTAGGATCCTGAGAAACAGCTCAAGAGGTGCTTCTTGGTTCTCCCACAGCATCACGTATAATTACAATAGTGAGCACTCTGTAAGCATTAGCTTCCCAGCAGGCACTGTGCTAAACACTGCACTGCATTATTTCACTGAAATCTTCAACAGCCCTAAGTTAGGTAAAACTGCTATCCCCACTTTACCAAATCAGTAAACCAAGACTCAGAGCTGGGAAGACACCTGCCCATGGTCACACAGGTTGTCTGTGACAGAGGCAGGATTTGAACCCGGGTCTGCCTGGCCCCGAGCCTGAAACTGCTTGGCCACTTCATGAGAGGTTCTCTGTTATGGCCAATCGCCTTCAGTCACCTTCTGTTTGTGGGTGACTTCTCCACTGACTGTGAGATCCCAAAGGGCAGGGACAAAGCTTCATCTGCATGTGTCCAGCATCCATTACAAGGTTGAGCCCAAAGCAAGAGCCCAGCAAGGCAGGTTAATGAATGCCCACCTGAAGAAAGTCAAGTGTATTCTCTGCCACGAAAGGAGGCCCAGAAACACTCCTCACAGAAGCCAATCCAACCAACTCTTCCCCCGAGTTAAAATCTATGAGCCACCTACTCAGCTCCTTTGGCCTGCACCTCCACAACTCCAGCCCAAGGCAAGGGAGAGCAGCCATACTTCTGTGGAAAGGAGAGGTGAGTTTCAGCAAGCATGAGCAGCTCATTCCAGACTTGTCCATTTTTCTGCTTCCTCATCTTGACTTTCAGCATCTGCAACAAATATTTCCTTCTTCCCCATCCCTAAGATTTTTTAGGACAAGTATCATCAGCCATACCCAAAGCCTACACCTAGCATATAGCACAGCACATGCCTGTCTCAGAGTCAGCACTCAAATATTTGGGGAGTGAAGAAGTAGAGTCCAGAGAATGGGTTTCACCAGAGACCTGGTGACGTATAAATAAGAATTTGCCACCACTTAGTAGTATGATTTGTCTAAGCACAGGTCCATCACACTATTCAACAAGAGCCTACCCTGTGTCAAGCTCTGGAGACCCAGCAGCAAAGAAAGCAGGAGACTTTCCCTGTGCAGAGTAGAGACACAGGCAAAAAGTCACACATGCAATAACATGATGTGTGCTCTGATCCAGGTACACACAGAATGAAAGTCAAGGGAGTACAAATAGGAGGGTGCCTGGAAAAATTAAGTAGGTTTCACAAAGGAGGGAAAATTTGAGCTGAGGAGGCATTCCAAACCACCCCAGGGAGAAGTCACTGTTCCCTGCCTCTGTGATCTCACACAATGCTCGCCTCCCACGACCTGGCCCACTATACTGTTTGGTAATCAATGGCTTGTGCGCCGATCTCCACACACAGCATGTGAGCACCTCAAAGGCAAGGACTTTAGGTATTCTCCATGGCTCACCCTTAATTGTCCAGTAAATATCTGCTCACAAAGAATAGAATCTATTTCAGATTATTAATAACATAGCAGCTCATCCTTCTTAAGCACCTACTATGACCTGCTATTGCTGTATGTACTTTGCATAGCATGATCTCCCTTCCTCCGCACAAAAACCCCCAAAGACAGATCCTATTATCATTATCTATTTTACAGATATGGAAACTAAGATGCAAAAAGATTAGATAAATTGTTCCAAGTCACACAGCCAGTAAGTGACAGAGCTGGACTTTGAATCAAGGCCTGAATGGAAAATCAGTTCTCAATTACCAGTGAACAAATCTCTTTTCCTTTCTCTTTCTGTACTCCGCCTTGCATCCAGATACATGGATTGCCCTTTAATCTACTGTTCACTGGGACCAAGGCCACTTTTTTTCCTAGGACAAAGGATGTCTCTTGTTAGTCTTCTAAACAATGACTGCTAACCAATACTGAGTAAACATCATTGGGGTGTGGGGGGTGGAGGTACAAAATTATGCTTATATCAGTCAAAAACATTTATTAAGAAGGAACTGTATATACTAACTGACACATTTTCCAATGCTAGAACAATGTCCAAAGTAAATCAAGTGGATACATGAAGCACCAATGAGTATGTATAAAATGCTATTCTTTGTGTAAGAGAAAGAATATATAATAAACAAGAAACTGGTAACAGTGGCTGCCTCTAGGGAAAAGGACTAGGAACTGTCAACTTGAGGCAAGAAAGACACTTACAACTTATTCCCTCACTAGCCTTAAAAAAAATCCATGTGTGGGCCCGGTGCGGTGGCTCACGCCTATAATCCCAGCACTTTGGGAGGCCGAGGCAGGCGGATCACCTGAGGTCTGCAGTTCAAGACCAGCCTGACCAACATGGAGAAACCCCCTCTACTAAAAATACAAAATTAGCCAGGCGTGGTGGGGCATGCCTGTAATCCCAGCTACTCTGGAGGCTGAGGCAGGAGAATGGCTTGAACCCGGGAGGCGGAGGTTGCTGTGAGCCAAGATCGCGCCATTGCACTCCAGCCTGGGCAACAAGAGTGAAACTCTGTCTCAAAAAAAAAAAAAAAATCCATGTGTGATTTTTTTTTTACTTCCTCAAAATATAAAATAAAAACTATACTTGCTAGACGTGGTGGCTCATGCCTGTAATCTCAGCACTTTGGGAGGCCGATGCGGGGATCACTTGAGCCCAGGAGTTCGAGACCAGCCTGGGCAACATAGTGAGACTCCCATCTCTACAAAAAATTTAAAAATTAGCCAGGTGTTGTGGCGCAGTACTTGGGAGGCTACGGTGGGAGGATCATTTGAGCCTGGGAGGTCAAGGCTGCAGTGAGCCGTGACTGTGCCACTGCACTCCAATCTGGCTAACAGAGGGAGACCCTGTCTCTTAAAAAAAGTTTTAAACGATATTCAAAGAAACCATTTATTACTGGGCCTTTCCCAAATGCTTACATACGTACGATTGCAACCATGAAGAATTATGTATGTTTACGAACAAAAATTGAATGAATTTAATGTGTGATGAAATGAAACCATGCAACAACTTTTGTCTTTTATGTTGAAGTTCACTAATTTTACTAATGTTACAATATTTTTGTGCAATAAATAAAATGTATGTTAAGGGTACAGAAACCATATGCATAAAAGTAGCAGGGACAACTTGCCACACCTTCTTTCCAGTCAAAGTCCTTCATCTGTTCTTTCAACAAGCATTCGGTGAGCACCTACTATGGCCAGGCAAGGTGCTAGACAGATATTTTTAAAAGAAGAACTAAACAAGAGGTCATTAGTTTCCTCCCTCCTGCCTTTGAAGAAAAGATGACGGCATGCTAACCAGAAGGCTAGAGCTCGAAGGACTCTTGGTGATCACATAGTCTAACACCCTCCTCACTCAGCTAAGAAACCCAAGGTCTGGAGACAGGAAGGGATTTGTTCAAGGTTACATAAAAAATAGAGGCCTCAGAATTCCCTGTCCTGCTCTCCTTGCATGTTACATGCTGTTCTGAGTAGCTTGTGTTGAAAGATGGGCAGGCAGTGAGAGACAGAACAGGACCCTAACCAGGTGGATCAGGTGCCTTCTCCCCTCCCGTCTCATTTATTCTTCATAACAACCTCACAAGGTGGGCATGGTTATCCTTGCTTTACAAATAAAGAAACCAAAGCTCTGTGAAGCTAAGGAAGTAGTGCTGGTTCACTCAGCAGGAGGTGGCAGCCTGCAGTTTCAAACAGACCTGACTGACTTCCAAGTCTGAGCTCTTACCCTCCATACTGAAAAGGAAAATCCATTTCAAGAGGTGGGCCATATCACAGAGCCTCACATGCAGTATTTTTCATTAATGAAGTATTTCTCTCCACCCTGAATGTTGCTAATCCCCTCATTATTCAACACATGTTCTAGGTCTTCTTTGCCACCAAGTTTGAGCTTTCCTTCTAACCCAAAGAGCATGATGGTCACTCAGACAGCAGCAGTCTCTGAGAGCCATTAACACCGCTTCTGCCAAGACAGAGTGGGAGAACTCTCACATGCTGCTTCTAGATCCTCTGGGACCTGCCACACAAGCACAGGCACCAGTAAGGGCCTAATCCCCTCAATGCTACTGGGTCACCACTGCACCAACTAGTGGTAATGAGGGAGGCCAGCACCATGGTTCCTGGCCCCTAAAGTCCCACAGCTTCTACAGTGAAAAAAAAAAAATTCAGGTTAGTAGAGAAGGCTCCACCTACCTTCACTTCTGTCCATGCAACGAAGGTAGGAGGCATTACAGTTTGGACTGGTCAACTACCAGTGAGCAGAGGCACTGGGCTTTGAAAGGTCACATATATGGGTATACAACACTCTTCTGAAATTCAGAAAAAGCCCTGTCATCCTGCTTCCTTCTCCCCGCCCCTGTGGGTACACAGTGGAGTCAGGCATTGCCTTCTTTTGGGGGTCTTCTTTTGGGGATTTTTGTGTGTTTTGAGATGGAAAAGTCTCACTCCATCGCCCAGGGTGGAGTGCAGTGGCACGATCTCGGCTCACTGCAACCTCCGCCTCCCACGTTCAAGCAATTCTCGGCCTCAGCCTCCTGAGTAGCTGAGATTACAGGTGCCCGCCACCATGCCCGGCTGACTTTTGTATTTTTTAGTAGAGAGGGGGTTTCACCATGTTGGCCAGGCTGGTCTCGGACTCCTGACCTCAAATGATCCACCCGCCTTGGCCTCCCAAAGTGCTGGGATTACAAGCGTGAGCCACCGCGCCCGACCCTCTTGGAATGTGGTAAAATCGGGGTCTGTACTTGGATGGGGGCAGAGGGACTTCCATAGCCTCAGGCCTGAGCTTTATGTTCCAGCTCAGAGTCCTCACCGGGGTTGGGGTCTAAAGGTCAGCAAACAAATGTTCTGCTGCTTCCACTTGCCACTGCTCCCTGCGTTGCAGCAGCTCCCTCAGAGGCCTCGCAGAGAGAAGCAGTCACGATCCAAGACACGGCTGAGTCTTTTGGGAACTCCCAACAAAACCTCATCCCAAACTGCGAAAAGACAGTGGTCTAGTCTCACCTCTTAACTAGAAACAAACCCTCTCTTCTTTAGACTCTCCAGTCCCTGAATCCAACCTGCCCATCGGCACAAGAAAAAGGAAACTCATAACTTTATCCAGCGATTTGCTCAGTAGGCACTGTTTCATCCTATCCTCACCAGGCCCCTGGGAGGCACACAGGCAGGTACTAACATGCTCATTTTGCAACGGAGGAAACAGGTGAAAAACTCTCCCAGGTAGCATAGTCAAAAGCTTCTGAATTCTCATCCCTGCTCTCCCCACTTAACAGGCTGCCATTTCAGTCTTTTTGAGACGCACTGCTGAGATCTACAGCAGCTTCTGGTACCAGTGGCCAGCAAGCCAGGACCCCTCCCAAGCCTCATACTACTCTTCAAGCACACACATTTTTCAACAACCGATCATCCAATGACAACCAACCCCCCGCCCCCCGCATCCTGGCAAGCCCCTTCAATAGCAACAGGAAAGCCCCTGAGGTGCGAAAAACAGCGCGCCCCACTTAGGGCGCGGCGTAGCATAGGGGAGGCAACCGGCCAGTAACCAGGGCAGCTGAGCTCCAAGCCCGAGTCAGCAGAGGCACAGGCAGGCCCGGACGGCCCTTCTAGCGGCAGCCCCGGATGCCCCCAGAATCCTCAGGGAGCCCAAAGCCCCCGCTCCCACCCAAGCACCCCTGGGCAGCGGAGAGGGCGGCCTTTCCTTCTCGGGCGACCACTCACCCTCGCCTGCTCCTCACCTGGGGCCCTGCTTCCGTACCGCAGCCACCCGGGCCCCGCCCCCCACCGCTGCAGGTCCCCGGGCCCCGCCCCCCGCACCTGTGCTTTCCTTGGGTCCAGCGCGGGCCGCACCCCACAGCCCCGCCCACGGCAGCCCCGCCGGCCCCGCCCCCCGCACCTGCAGCCGCGGCGCCCCGCCCAACTGCCCCCCCGGCCCCGCCCCCCGCGCCCGCGCCTCTTCCCCGCCGTCCTTCACGCTCCCGGGGACCAGCGCGCCCCTGGCCCCGGACCCCAGAACCCCCGGACCCCGGCCAGGCCCCGGCGCCGGGCACCCGCAGGCACGGCCCCGGCCCCGCCTCCCGCACCGAGGCCCCTCCCCGGCTTCGGCGGCCCTCGGGGTCCCGCCCCCCACACCTGCAGCTCCCTCAGGCCCGGCCTCAGGGCCCGCCCCGCCCCGCCCCGCCCCGTCGGCCGCGCCTCTCACCGCCGCTCTCCCCGCCGCCGCAGTCCCGGCCGGTCACCTTGACGCGGGCCGCAGTGGCTGCCGCCGCTTCCTCATGGCCCTGGGAGCGGCCCAGCGGCAGCGGCGCCTTCGCTTGGAGGCCGGGGCCACGCCGAGCCGGGCCGGGGCCGGGCCAGGCGCAGCTGGAGCGCGGGCAGACGCGGGAGCGGAGCCGGTGCCCAGCCGCAGTAGGAACCGTCCGCTCCAGGGCCTGAGCGGCGGGCCTCTCATCCAATCGGCGCGCGGCACCAGAACAGCCCCCCAACCAGCTCGTTGTAGGGGCGGAGACACGCAAATCGGCCGGCTGGTCGTACCAGTGCGCAGCCGCTGCATCCGCGGTCCTCCCGGGCCTCGGCCTCCGAGCTCATCTGCAGACGCCCTCCCCGCCCGCAGGGATGCTGCGCTGCCAGCACACCCGGCCCGCCGCCCGCCACGCCCATCCCCTGCCTAGAAATAGCCGCGCATCTTATTCCCCACACGGCCGTCCAGGCCTCACCCGATATCCCCCGTAAATCCCTACCTGGGATTTATCGTTTTCAACAAAAATGGTTTTGTGAGCGAGACATCGCCTTAGTGCCCATTCTTCACAGCTGGGAGGTAGGCACAGAGCCCAGAACGTCAGAGCCAGAAGAAACCTCGGAGTTCCTGGCGGGGCGGGGGGGGGGGCGGTCTCATCCATTTTACAGCTGGGCAGAGTTAGGCCCAACGAGGTGAAGGGACTTGCCCAAGACCACACAGGAGCAAAGCTGGGGAATGAGCCCGGATCCTGTCTCTCTGCTCCCACATCTTTACTCTGTGCCAGGCACGGTGAGGTGGGCACAGAGGTTAAGTCATTTAGCTAGAGTCGCAGGGATAATAAATTGCAAAGACAATTGAAGCCAGGTCTGTGAATCCCTGGAAATCTGGAACCACAGCAAAACTCCGTTCTGCCTCCCACAGACAGGAGGTACTATGACCTGCCCTACTCCGAAAGATTCTTGGACAAATAGAACATCATTCTGACAATCTTCAAAGTAATTTTGCAGTAATATGAATGAATATGGAATGATTGGTTATTATGCTTCCCAAAGCTTATGAAAGGAAAAAAGAAACAAACAAAAAAGAATATAAATAGAGTCAGTAGAAGTTAAACCACCTGTGTCTTAAAAGACCTCTGGGAGAAGTTTCTGCTATTTTGTATTAAGAAAACGGTAATCATCGAAGAAGGTGCTTAATTATTTTGCATAAAGAGAACAAGAGCCTGGCGAGTTGGCTCATGCCTGTAATCCCAGCACTTTGGGAAGCCAAAGCGGGAGGATTGCTTGAGTTCAGAAGTGTGAGACCAGCCTGGGCAACATGGCCAGACCCTGTCTCTAATAACAATACAAAAATTAGCGAGGCGTGGTGGCGCAGACTGTAGTCCCAGCTACTCAGGAGAGTGAGATGGGAGTATCACTTGAGCCCGGGAGGTCAAGGCTGCAGTGAGCCTCAAGTGATGGCGCCACTGCACTCCAGCCTGGATGACAGAGCGATACCCTGTCTCAAAAAAGAGAGAGAGACCATCCTGGCTAACATGGTGAAAACCTGTCTCTACTAAAAATACAAAAAATTAGCCGGGCGTGGTGCGGACGCCTGTAGTCCCAGCTACTCGGGAGGCTGAGGCAGGAGAACGGCGTGAACTTGGGAGGCGGTGCTTGCAGTGAGCTGAGATCGCACCACTGCACTCCAGCCTGGGCGACAGAGCGAGACTTCGTCCCAAAAAAAAAAAAGAAGAGAGAGAGAGAACAAGAGACAGTGTAGTGCAATGGTTCTGCCCTGGCTCTGCCACCAGCAAGCTGTGTACATGTGAGCAAGTTACTTAGCATATCTATGTGCCTCCGTTTCTTTCTTTTTTTTTTTTTTTTTTTTTGAGACGGAGTCTTGCTCTGTTGCCCAGGCTGGAGTGCAGTGGCACGATCTTGGCTCACTGCAACCTCCGTCTCCCAGGTTCAAGCAATTCTCCTGCCTCAGCCTCCCAAGTAGCTGGGATTACAGACGCCAGACACACCATGCTCAGCTAATTTTTGTATTTTAGTAGAGATGGGTTTTCACCATGTTAGCCAGGTTGGTCGCGAACTCCTGACCTCAGGTGATCTGCCTACCTTGGCCTCCCAAAGTGCTGGGATTACAGGCTTGAGCCACCGCGCCCAACCTGCCTCGGTTTCTTTATTGAAAGATGAGAATGATAAAAGTAGCAACCTCTTTAGACAGGCTGTTGGCAGGAATTAATGAGATGATACATGGAAGAGTGCCTGGCACCTAACAGGACCTCAATAAACATTGGCTACTATTATATTTACCTGTGTGACTTTGGGCAAGCACAGAAGTGTGTGCAATGTACGCTTGCTAAATGGCATCTATACTTTTATTATGCTTATGCATACTTTCTAAGTTTTTTCAATGAACACAGATTCTTTTGTGATATATTAGAAGTTATTATAAACCCAATTTTAAAATGAGGAAAGGTCATTTAATATTGATTCTTGATGCTTCCAGAAGGATGTATTCATTCTTTCTACAAATATCTAATGGTTCTCTGCTATGCGCCAAGTGCTACTGTAAATGCTGAGAAAACAGCAGTGAATAAAAGAGACAAAAATTCTTGTCCTCGTGGAGTTGACATTCTAGTGGGGTAAGGCAGCTATTAAAATCAATATTTACAGTAGTAGGCTAGATAGAGAAAAGTGCTATGGGAGTAAAATGAAGCAAGGAAGAAGGGAGTTCAACGTTAAAGAAGACAGAAAAGTTTAGATGGTGATAAGCGAGAAATAATAGGTTTCTTAAAGCAATAAAGCCAAGTGCAGTCTGAGAAAGAGAGAGAGAGAGAAGGATCTGAATAGACATTTCTCCAAAGAAGATACACAGTGGTCAATAAGCACATGAAAAAGTGCTCAATATCATTAGCCATTAGGAAAATGCAAATCAAAACCACAATGAGATACCACTTCACACCCATTAGGATGGCTACAACAAATAAGATAGACAATAACAAGTGTTGATGAGAAGGTGAAGAGAATAGAACCCTTGGCTGGGCGTGGTGGCTCACGCCTGTCTCCCAAGGTGGGTGGATCACCTGCGGTCAGGAGTTCAAGACCAGCCTGGCCAACATGGTGAAACCCCATCTCTACTAAAAATACAAAAAAATTAGCTGGGTGTGGTGGCAAGTGGCTATAATCCCAGCTGAGGCAAGAAAATCACTCGAACCTGGGAAGTGGAGGTTGCAGTGAGCTGAGATGGCGCCATTGCACTCCAGTCTGGAGGACAAGAGTGAAACTCCCTCTCAAAAAAAAAAAAAAAAAGAGAGAGAGAGAATGGAACCCTTATACACTGCTGGTGGAAATATAAAATGGTACAACCACTTTAGAAAACATAGAGTTAGCATATGACTCAATCACTCCACTCCTACTTACCACCCAAGAAGAAATGGACACAACATGTCTGCACAAAAACTTGTAGACAGGTGTTCACGGCAGCATCATTCACAATATCAAAAAATGTGAATAACCCAAATGTCTATCAAGTGATGAATAGATAAATAAAATATGGTTTGTCTATACAAGGAAATGAAGTACTGATGCATGCTACGACATGGATGAAACTTAAAAACATGCTAAGCGAAAGAAGCTAGACCACGTATTATATGATCCCTTTTATATGAAATGTCCGTAATAAGCAAATCTATAGAGATGGAGGGTAGACAAAGTGGCTGTCTAAGGCTGAAGGAGAGGAGGATTTAGGGGCAACAACTTAGGAGTTTCTTTGGAAGAGGATGAAAGTGTTCTAAAATTAATTGTGGTGATGGTTGTAAAACTCTGAATATACTAAAAGCCATTGAATTATACTCTCGCTCTTTTTTTTTCTTTTTTTCTCTTTCTTTTTCTTTTCTTTCTTTTTTTTTTTTTTTTTTAACAGTCTCACTCTGTTGTGCAGGCTGGAGTGCAGTGGCACGATCTCAGCTCACTGCAGCTTCTGCCTCCTGGGTTCGAGCAATTCTCCTGCCTCAGCCTCCTGAGTAGCTGGGACTGCAGGTGTATGCCACCACACCTGGCTAATTTCTGTATTTTTGTAGAGACAGGGTTTCGCCTTGTTGGCAGTCTGGTTCTGAACTCCTGACCTCAAGTGATCTGCCCGCCTCGGCCTCCCAAAATGCTGGGATTACAGGCATGAGCCACCATGTCTGGCCGAATTATACTCTCTAAGTGGGTTAATTATATCTCAATAAAGCTTTTTTTTTTTTTTTTTTTTGAGACGGAGTCTCATTCTGTTGCCCAGGCTGGAGTGAGGTGGCACAATCTCGGCTCACTGCAACCTCCGCCTCCCGGGTTCAAGTGATTCTCCTGCCTCAGCCTCCCAAGTAGCTGGGACTATAGGTGGGTGCCACCACACCCGGCTAATGTTTTGTATTTTTAGTAGAGACAGGGCCAGGGTGGTCTCGATCTCCTGACCTCATGATCCGCCCGACTCGGCCTCCTAAAGTACTGGGATTATAGGTGTGAGCTACCACACCTGGCCAATAAAGCTATTTTTTAAAGTTATTGTTGGCCAGGCGCAGTGGCTCACACCTGTAATTCCAGCACTTTGGGAGGCCAAAGCAGGCAGATCAACTGAGGTCAGAAGTTTGAAACCAGCCTGCCCAACATGGCAAAACCCCGTCTCTACTAAAAATACAAAAATTAGCTAGGTACAGTGATACATGCCTGTAGTCCCAGCTACTTGGGAGGCTGAGGCAGGAGAATCACTTGAACCCAGGAGGTGGAGGCTGCAGTGAGCCAAGATCACACACCACTGCACTCCAGCCTGGGCAATACAGTGAGACTCCATCTCAAAAAATAAATAAATAAATAAAATGAAGTTATTGTAAAGTCTGGTCAATCCCATCATTCCCATGCTTAAATATGTGTAACAGGATGTGGAGAGGATCTTAGCTGTGCCCACTAGAGTTCACTGTCAAAGTGTGATGTGCTGGTGAAATGGGCACATTCTTAGTATCTGATGTGTTTGAGTCACTCTCCATGAGGGAAAGGAACTTTTGAGCCACAGGAGGAAAGGAGGATTGGAGAAATCACCAAGGGTCAAGCCTCAACCCGGCTGTCTTTGCACAAACTTATACTTCATGGAGAGCCAAACTTGGGAAGGTTCAAGGAGTTGTTCTCATTAGAGATGCTGACCCATAAGGAAGGTGTGACAGACAGACTCTAAGGTGTCCCCATAATGCCCACCTCATTATGTCCCTGCCCTTGTGTGGGCAGGACCTGACTTGCTCCTAGCCAATAGAATGAGCCAAAGGCTTTAGGAGGTATGTGATTGCATTACAGAAAACTGTAACCCATCTTGCTAGGAGACTCTCTTGCTGGCCTTGAAGATCTAAGCCACCATGGTGTGAGCTGCCCTATAGAGAAGACCACGCAGCAAGGAACGGAGGGCAGGCTCCAGCCAACAGCCAGCAGGAAACTGGGGGGGCCTTTGGCCGAGCACGGTGGCTCACACCTGTAATCCCAGCACTTTGGGAGCCCGAGGCGGGCAGATCATGAGGTCAGAAGTTCGAGACCAGCCTGACCAACATGGTGAAACCCCATCTCTACTAAAAATACAAAAATAAGCCGGGCATTGTGGCACACACCTGTAATCCCAGCTACTCAGGAGGCTGAGTTAAGAGAATCACTCGAACTCAGGAGGCAGAGGTTGCAGTGAGCCGAGATTGTGCCACTGCACTCCAGCCTAGGCGACCCAGTGAGACTCCGTCTCAAAAAAAAAGAAAGAAAGAAAGAAAGAAAGAAAGAAAGAAAGAAAGAAAGAAACAATGAATCTGGGGCCCTCAGCCCAGCAGCCTGAAAGGAACAGAATGCTGCCAATAATCACATGAGCTCAGAAGCAGATCCTTCAACTGTTGAGCCTCAGATGTGACTGCAGCCACAGCCAACACCTTGATTATAGCCTGTGAGACTCTGAAGAAGAGGGCCTAGCAAAGCTGTCCCTAACCTATAGAAACATTGAGATAATAAATGTGTGTTATTTTAAGCTGCCACATTTGGGATAAAATTGTTACACAGCAAAAGATAACTAATACAGGCCATAACCCACTCTTTTCTGTTGCCTAAGAGGTAGCTCCTGCTCAGAGGCCATCAACACCCAGGTGTTATAAGGATTCTGGAATAAAGTATCCTCCAGATCCTGGTGGCTGGTATCTCTGGGGGCATCAGAAGACAGAAAATAGGGCGCAGGAAAGAGCACTGTCATTAGGGACACAGGTGCTTTTCCTGTGCACACAGGTACAATGGTGAGGTGCCACCAAGGGGCGTCAGGGAAAGCAGGCATCACTATGGGAAGCAGGAAGGAGGTGGAAGAATAGGGACTGAGAGTGAAATTTTGAATTTGGTCAGTTCTAGGAAACGATCTTGGCTTTTCCATTCCCATCTATGTGGCCTTGGACAAGTGTCCAAAGCTCTTTATGCCTCGGTTTTCTCATTTCTGAGAAGATAATATCCAGAGTACCTATCTTACAGGGTGCTCCTGAGGAAAAGTGAGTTAATCCTATAGTGACCATGAGTATGCACCTGGCAGACTTCCAACTATAGGGAGGTTATTTGACCAAGGGCTCAGCTTCTGCACTCTGAAATCCATCAAAGCATTGGCACCAAAGCCATGTTACCCATGGGCTGCACCCAATGACTGACCATGGCAGGAATACTAAGGCAGGCCTGGCCCCGGGTGACAATGGGAGTCCTCTGGTGATAGATAATCTTTGGCTCAAAGACAGCCCGACAGCCTTGCTGACGCTTTGTTGGACTGTGTGGCAGTATGGGATGCTTCCACACACTCCCTTCCCTCTCTCCTTTACTTGAGGTCAGACTTGATTCACAGTCTGCTGGCTCTCTCAACCCATTTCCCCCTGATAAAATCCTTGCACGTTTTTTTGTTTTTTTGAGACAGAGTCTCACTCTGTCTCCCCGACTAGAGTGCAGTGGTGCGATCTCAGCTCACTCAACCTCCGCCTCCCGGGTTCAAGCGATTCTCCTGCCTCTGCCTCCTGAGTAGCTGGGACTACAGGCGTGCACTGCCACGCCCGGCTAATTTTTGTATTTTTAGTAAAGACGGGGTTTCCCCATATTGGCCAGGCTGGTCTCGAACTCCTGACCTCGTGATCTGCCCGCCTTGGCTTCCCAAAGTGCTGGAATTACAGGCGTGAGCCACCACACTCAGCCAATCCTTGCATGTTTAATTCTGTTATGGCACCTGCTCCTTAGTGAACCTGGACAGACGCAAGAAGCCCCAGGAATAGGCAGTGAAAATAGGTGGTGAGATGTGGATTTGGGATGATTCACCCACTGCTCAATAGGCAAAGAGAATACCCTCCTGCTGGAGCACAGATAGTCCCTGGAACAAGGTGGTGGCTCACATGCTAAAGATTTCACTGACAGCAACCTGGGAAAAGACCCCCATGGAGGAGAATGCTGTGCTGGGCACATATTTTCCAGAGTCTGAAAAATATGGGGAGAACAATGTGGACAAAGACAGAGGAAGTTAGTTGACTGGCTGTGTTGCAGAAGGATAAGCAGAGACTGAGAGCTGTTCAGGGGCAGTTAAGGGCTAAGCATGAGAACCAGAGAGCTTTGATGGTAGCTTATAAAAAGGCTCTTATCACCTGTGGTGGTGAAGGATAGACACAATTGAGTTGCAGGCTGAAGAGCTAAGCTACACTCTAGAGCCCCAGAGATGTTCGAATATTCAGGCAAGGAAGGTCTATTGTGTGAAGGTCAGGATCCCCTGGTGGGGTAAACCAAGGATTCTAAAACATGGGATAAGGACATCTGGATGGGTATCCCTCAGGATGTTGACTCCACGAGATGTACCCCAGGCCTCTCTGGGCTTCCCAAGCTGAGTTAGGACTGGAGCTATTGCTGTGCTGGAAGATGCTACAGAGGCTCTTCTGCCACAGGCAACACATGCCCCCGTGGGTGCTGCCCCCACTTCCACTCCTGGCTGCCAGGCTGGAAGCTAGGATTAAATCCCAAAGTAACCTGGCTTGGGATAGACTGGCCCAAACAAGGGAGAACAGAGATCCCCTCCCTAAATCGCAAAAATTAACCAGTTTGTACTGGCACAAGCCGGGGGAGTACCCCTGGGATTGGATTTGGCGGGTACTTGATCAGGGAAGCTGGAATGTGAGATTGGATAAGCAAGAAATCATTCACTTAGGGACATTTTCTCCGGACAAGGGATTTATTTATTTATTTGAGACAAGAGTCTCGCTCTGTCGCCCAGGCTGGAGTACAGTGCTGCAATCTCGGCTCACCGCAACCTCTGCCTCCTGGGTTCAAGCGATTCTCCTGCCTCAGCCTACCGAGTAGCTGGGACTACAAGGCACACACCTCCACACCCAGCTAAATTTCTTTTTTTTTAAGAGATGGGTTTTCACCATGTTGGCCAGGCTGGTCTCGAACTCCTGACCTCAAGTGATCCACCCACCTCGGCCTCCCAAAGTGCTAGGATTACAGGTATGAGCCACCACGCCCAGCCAGGACAAGGGATTTAATACCCCAGTGAGGAATCCAGCTATTGGGGTGGCTCTCAGAAGCCTGGCAAAAACAATGGCCAATTCTCAGTGAAGTGGAAATTCTCTACCATCTTCCTCTACCCTGGCAGATGGCAGAAGTAGGCATGCTGAAACAGACATACGGTTGATCCTCATTATTCATGGATTCCAGTTCCATATTTGTGAATTAGCCTGCTCACTACAATTTATTTGTATCCCAGAATGAATACTTGCAGCACTTTTGCGGTCATTCATGGACATGCACAGAGCAGTAAAAATTTGAGTCGGTCGATATATACACTCCCGGCTAAGGTCAAACAACACTCTGTCTTCTTGTTTCCTCTTGTACTATAAATAAATATCCTTTCTCCATCTATTTAGTGCTATATGTTTCATATTTTTGTGCTTTTTCTGGGTGATTGCACTGATTAAAGTGGCCCCAGGTATAGCGCTGAAATGCTGTCTGGTGTTCCTGAGCACGAGCCGGCTGTGGCCGGACCTTATTGAGAACATATATGAGTTAGATAACGCTTCATTCAGGCATAAGTTATAGCGCTGTTGGGTGTGAGTTTCGTGCGTGTGTGTGTGTTTTTTTGTTTGCTTGTTTGTTTGAGACTGAGTCTCGCTTTGTAGCCCAGGCTGGAGTGCAGTGATGAGATCTTGGCTCACTGCAGCCTCCACCTCTTGGGTTCCAGTGATTCTCCTGCCTCAGCCTCCCAGGTAGCTGGGATTACAGGGACGCGCCACCACGCCTGGCTAATTTTTGTATTTTTAGTAGAGACAGGGTTTCACCATGTTGGCCAGAGTGGTCACAAACTCCTGACCTCAGGTGATCCACCCGTCTCAGCCTCCCAAAGTGCTAGGATTACAGGCATGAGCCACCACGCCCAGCCGAGTTTAATGTTAACAAATCAACAATGTATATTAACAAGGTATCTCTAAACAGAAACACATAAAGTACAATTATATATTGATTTTTTTTTTTTTGAGACGGAGTTTCGCTCTTGTCGCCCAGGCTGGAGTGCAATGGTGAAATCTGGCTCACTGCAACCTCTGCCTCCCAGGTTCAAGCAATTCTCCTGCCTCAGCCTCCCGAGTAGCTAGGATTACAGGCACGCACTACCACTCCCAGCTAATTTTTGTATTTTTAGCAGAGACGGAGTTTCACCATGTTGGTCAGGCTGGTCTCGAACTCCTGACCTCGTGATCTGCCCGCCTCAGCCTCCCAAAGTGTTGGGATTACAGACATGAGCCACCGCGCCCGGCCACACCATTTCCACTTGATGATGGATTGCTGCTGCCCATGCTCAACCTTACAGCTTGGTGGATCAGATAATACTCAATGCTTGATGAGCAGCTCAGTCACATAGTCACTCACTATTCCCACATTATGTGTTCAATTTCAACAAGGGCTCAGTAGCAAGACATGAAATGTTTCTCAAAAGGAGAAACTTGTCTACAGACAAGGGTATGACTTTGCAGAGGTCTGCATCCTCCTACTGGGGGCTCGGCAGAGGCTCCGTGGAGCACTCCTATTAACCATACACACTTGGAGCATCAAAGAATCTACTTAGTCATAAGGCCCAAGTGGCAGAAAACCTTGCACTGCAGTCTGGATTTCGCCAGACCTTTCTCTTGCTATAGGTCCCACTCAAAATCAGCAGCTCAACAGGTAACTGGGTCAGAGCAGCTGACTCAAATATAATATATGTTGTATCCAAAGTCCAAAAAGTCTCACCAAGCATTGTGTTTCTTTTTAATGATAAGCAGTGTATGGTGAAACATTCTTATTTCATGTTAGAAGGAATATCCCAACATTCTCCCAAACCACTGGATCCTCAGGAACTTCATTGAGGTAGTGGGCTCCTGAATCTTTGGGAGGCTTATTTCCCACTCTTTGGCTCACATGTATCTTTCTAAGACATCTAAACACTTGCTATTTCCTGCCCTGTAATCCAGTTGTAGGGGAACGGCTCCTCCATGGCACTCTGGCAACTTGCACTTATCCACAGAGGCCATGCATTAAAACCTTGAATTGCAGCTGGGCACAGTGGCTCACACCTGTAATCCCAGCACTTTGGGAGGCTGAAGTGGGTGGATCACGAGGTCAGGCGATCGAGACCAGCCTGGACAACATGGAGAAACCTCGTCTCTACTAAACTACAAAAAATGAGCCGGGTGTGGTGGCGCATGCCTGTAGTCCCAGCTACTTGGGAGGCTGAGGCAGGGGAATTGCTTGAACCCAGGAGGCAGAGGTTGCAGTGAGTTGAGATCGCGGCACTGCACTCCAGCCTGGTGATAGAGCAAGACTCTGTCTCAAATAAAAAAAATAAAAAAAAAAAAAAAGCTTGAATGGCAGCTTATCTGAATCTTGGAAGAATGCCTCGAAATCCTCCTGGAACACAAGAAGATGGAAAGCTTGTGAGGACTCACCTTCCTATCTTCCCTAGGAGGTTGTCATGAGACAGTTTCTTATTGCTCCCAGGTTCTGATGAGGTATGAGACTTCCCAGTTCAACCCCTCAGAATAGATAGAGCTACACAATCAGTCCTGCAAACTGCTTAGCAGCAGCCTAGTATCACCTTCTTGGTTGCCAAAGATATTGACTCCCCACGAGCTATTCTTCTTTTTGCTGTCTGAATAATAAACAATGTAAAAGTGGCTCATTGTAACTTTATCAGTTGTCAATCACACCTTGGCCTTGACCTTGCTTTATCCTGTAGGCTTGACACCAGTACACATGATTTATCAATGTAGTCAACCAGTGTGACGTTCTATGGGATATCAAGACAATCAAGATCTCTGTGGACTAGATTATGAAAGAGGGCAAGAGAATTGAGGAAGCCCTGAGGCGAGATGAAAAAGGTATATAGTTGACTATGTTGACTATGTTAGGTGGTCCCTGCAATTTTGCATAAAGAAAAAGGACTTTTTGGCCGGGTGTAGTGGCTCACACCTGTAATCCCAGCACTTTGGGAGGCCGAGGCAAGCGGATCACGAGGTCAGGAGTTTGAGACCAGCCTGACCAACAAGGTGAAACCCTGTCTCTACTAAAAATACAAAAATTAGCCGGGTGTGGTGGCACGCACCTGCAATCCCAGCTACTCAGGAGGCTGAGGCAGGAGAATCGCTTGAACCTGGGAGGTGGAGGTTGCAGTGAGCCGAGATCGTGCCACTGCACTCCAGCCTGGATGACAGAGTGAGACTCTGTCTCAAAGAAAAAAAGAAAAGAAAAGAAAAAGAAAAAGATAAAGAAAAAGGACTTTTTTCTAAATCACTCTCTGCATACCAAGTACCAAGGATTATGCTGATTTGCTCCAATAGATTCCATATCTGGGAGAGTAGCTGCAATTGAAGTAACCATCTTGAGATACTGCAACATAATACAAAATATATATTTGGTCTTCATCCCTGGTTCCTGGCACAGAGCTCCTAAAATCTTTGTAATTTCCTGAGTGATAGAGGTGAGAAGAGCATCTTCTGTTATTCATAATAAGCTCCTTTCAACCATACCTGCGTTTATGCTAATGAGATGACCCTTGGTGGGCCCCTAGATAGCATCGGGGTTGGGGGCTAATTGCCTGAGGAACCAACCTTGTAATTAGAGGGTTGGAACATTCAGCCCTGACCCCCAACCTCCAGACAGGAGAGAAGGGCTGGAGATTGACTTCAATCACCAGTGGCCAATGGTGTAATCAATCATGCCTAAGTAATAAAACCTCCATAAAGTCCCCTAAACTGTGGGCTTCAGAGAGCTTCTAGGTTGAACACATCAAGGTGCTGGGAGGCTGGTGTGCCCAGAGAGAGCAGGCCTTCCTGTGGCAGGACAATTCTCCTTGACAATCACATAAACAGGCCTCCATGACAGTCACACAGACAGGCTGCACAGCACTCCAGTTACACAGGCAAATTTCCACAGAGCTGCCTTAACATTGAGCAAATAATTAAACCTAGGGAAATCAGTGCCCAGACATCAAAGCTAGACATGAAACATATGGTCAGTAGGAGGCTTGCATGGGCTTCTCCCTAACTTGGAGCAAGCCAAAATAATGGAGACAGCCTTCCATTCCTAGTGCCAGGACCTGTCTCAGGTTGACGAAATCTGAGACAAGTCAAGGTAACAGAGGCAGCTGTGTGAATAGATTTATTGGACCGTCTAAGGCAGCTCTCTGGCCCAAGCTGTTAATGAGATAAGACAAAAATAATCACTCCGATACCACAGTAGACAGGCCTTGAAGGTACTGAGGCCCCTTAATTGGACTTAGCAATCATTTTTTTGGCCTCTGACCTAGTTGAAACAAAATTAGTTACCTATAGACTTAGGCAAATGCTATACGGCACATAGGCACATAACCCCAACCTGTATAAGCACTAAGAAAATTGTAACACTTTGAGTTGGTCTGGTGGAATTATCTCCAGCCTTCTCCCTGTATCCGGTTACAGCAATAAGTTCCCTTCTTTCTTAGTTTGTCTACTTCTTGCTATTGTGCCACAAGAAAATGCAGCTGGACCCGGCTTGGTTCCAGGAACATTCCCACATCCCTTACCCCATTCTCCTCCATTTGGCTGTCCCTGAGTTGTATACTTTACATTAAGGCAGTATTAATAAGCAAAGTGCCTTTCTGAGTTCTGTGAGCTATTCTAGGAAATTATCAAACATGAGAAGGGGATCGTGGGAATCTCCAATTGCTAGCTGATTGGTCAGAGGTATGGGAGGCCCAGACTTGTGACAGACATGTGGAGTATGGGCAGTATTGTGGGACTCTACCCTTAACCTGTGGGGTCTGCACTAACTCCAAGTAGTTAGTGTTGGAATAGAATCAAATCACTGGACACCCAGCTGGTGTCTAGAAAGTTGGAGAATTGGTTGTTGGTATGGAAAAACAAAAAACAAAAAACATGCATTTGGTGTCAGAAGTATGAGTAGAAATAGACCACAGTACCTCTAATCCACAGATATTCTCCAAGATCATCCCTTTTGTACAGTTCAAACAGGTAAATTAAATGGGAATGAGACAGGAATTACCACCCCCATGTATTTCAAGTCTTTCATGTCATTCTCTGCAATTCTCTCTGGGGAAATGGTATTACTTTTGGTTAAGTATCCTAGTAAAGAAGGGAAATTCCAAGGGCTTCTACTGGGCTCTACCTACCATTAACAATCTTCACTCCACAGATCAGGGAGTCAACGTGGGGGTTCTGCCAGTCATTGAGTATGTCTATTCCAATCATATATTCAAGAACTGTGGAAATGACCATAGGTGGTCTATGGATCTGCCAGGCCCACAGTGAGACAGACTTTGGCCAAAACCCCATTTTTTTTACCTACTCACCATAAGCCCCTAGTTTGTGACACATGGACCACAGTGGTACTTTGTGTGGCAGAAATTATCATCATCTATTTAGACCCTGTAACAGACTAAATGTTTATGTTCCCCCAAAATTCATATGCTGAAACCTTTTATTTTTTTCGTATTTTTTGTGTGTGTGTATGATGGAGTCTCACTCTGTCACCCAGGCTGGAGTGCAGTGGCGCAATCTCGGCTCACTGCAACCTCTGCTTCCTGGGTTCAAGTGATTCTCCTGCCTTAGCCTCCCGAGTAGCTGGCATTGCAGGTGCCCACCACCATGCCCAGCTAATTTTTGTATTTTTAGTAGAGACAGGGTTTCACCATGTTGGCCAGGCTGGTCTCAAACTCCTAACCTCAAGTGATCCGCCTGTCTCAGCCTCCCAAAGTGCTGAGATTACAGGCATGAGCCACCTCACCTGGCCATTTTTTTTGGTGGCGGGGGTGGGGTGCAGACAGAGTCTCAGTCTGTCACCCTGGAACGCAGAGGTGCAATCTTTGCTCGCTGCAACCTCTGCCTCCAGGGTTCAAGCGATCCTCATGCCTCAGCCTCCCGAGTAGCTGGGATTACAGGTGCATGCCACCACACCCAGCAAATTTTCATACTTTTAGTAGAGACGGGGTTTCTCCATGTTGGCCAGGCTGGACTCAAACTCCTGACCTCAAGTAATTAGCCTGCCTCGACCTCCCAAAGTGCTGGGATTACAGGCATAAGCCATCGTGCCTGGCCTCATATGCTGAATTTTTTTTTTTTTTTTTTTTTTTTGGAGGCAGAGTCTTGCTCTGTCACCCAGGCTAGAGTGCTGGAGTGCAGTGGCATGATCTCCGCTCACTGCAACCTCTGCCTCCCGGGTTCAAGTGATTCTCCTGCCTCAGCCTCCTGAGTAGCTGGGACTATAGGCGCATGCCACCAGGCCCAGCTAACTTTTTTTTTGTATTTTAGCAGAGATGGGGTTTCACCATGTTGCCCAGGCTGGTCTTGAACTCCTGAGCTCAGGCAATCTGCCCGCCTCGGCCTCCCAAAGTGCTAGGATTACAGACGTGAGCCAGTGAGCCCAGCCATATGCTGAAATCTTAACCCCCAAGGTGATGGCGTTTGGAAGGCCTTTGGCAGGGGATTAGGTCATGAGGGCCCTGCCCTCACCAATGGGATTAGTGTCATTATAAAAGAGACCCCCAGAAAGATGCCTTGCCTCTTTCACCACGTAAAGTTACAGTGAGAAGATGGCTGTCCATGAGGAACAGGCCCTCACCCAACACTGAATCTGCCAGCACCTTGATCTTGGACTTCCCAGCCTCCAGAACGGTGAGAAATAAATTTCTGTTGTTTATAAGCCGCCCAGTCTATGGTATTTTGTTATAGCAGCCTGAACAGACCAAGACAGAGCCAGTATCTAGTACTCCTCAAAAGATGCACAGTCACTTTAGTAAATAGTTACAGGTACCTCGGGTGCCAGTATTGCAGAATCCTTTCTCAAGGAAACCTCATCTCCTTTCCACTATGGGGCTCTAGGGCTATGAACTGGCTTAGGTCCAGAACTAGGTGAAAAGTTACAACTTCCCATTATGGGCACTTAAGTTGGCTTTCTTTTTTTTTAGACGGAGTCTTGCTCTGTCGCCAGGCTGGAGTGCAGTGGCGTGATCTCAGCTCACTGCAACCTCCGCCTCCCGGGTTCAAGCGATTCTCCTGCCTCAGCCTCCTGAGCAGCTGGGACTACAGGCTCGTGCCACCATGCCCAGCTAATTTTTGTATTTTTAGTGGAGACGGGGTTTCACCATGTTGGCCAGGATGGTCTTGATCTCTTGTTTATTTTTTTTATTTTTTTGAGACAGAGTCTCACTCTGTCCCCCAGGCTGGAGTGCAGCGGCGCAATCTCGGCTCACTGCAACCTCTGCCCCTCCAGGTTTAAGCGATTCTCTGCCTCAGCCTCTGGAGTAGCTGGGATTACAGGCGCGTGCCACCACACCCAACTGATTTTTTGTATTTTTAGCAGAGACAGGGTTTCACCATCTTGGCCAGGCTGGTCTTGAGCTTCTGACCTCGTGATCCACCCGCCTCGGCCTCCCAAAGTGCTGGGATTACAAGCGTGAGCCACTGCGCCCAGCCAAGCTGGGTTTCTGCAATTAGAAATATTTTCTATTATAATGATGAATCAAATAATATTTCAGTAGGCTGCCTGTTTCATCCCTGGAGATACCGTGATTAATTAACCACCCATGAGATCCCCTATAGTTCATAACCTTCTGATTGCCACTGTGTTCTTGCTGCCCGTGGTGGCCGTCACGCCCGCCTTCTGTCTGGTATTTTTTTTTGAAATGGAGTCTTCTTCTGTCGCCCAGGCTGGAGTGCAGTGGCGCGATCTCAGCTCACTGCAACCTCCAACTCCCAGGTTCAAGTGATTCTACTGCCTCAGCCTCCTGAGTAGCTGGGACTACAGGCGTGCTCCACCACTCCTGGCTAATTGTGTGTGTGTGTGTGTGTGTGTGTGATTTATTTATTTATTTATTTTTGAGACGGAGTCTCGCCCTGTCCCCCAGGCTGGAGTGCAATGGTGCAATCTCGGCTCACTGCAACCTCCACCTCCCAGGTTCAAGCGATTCTCCTGCCTCAG
Organism: Homo sapiens; assembly: GCF_000001405.40. Classification (NCBI taxonomy): domain Eukaryota; kingdom Metazoa; phylum Chordata; class Mammalia; order Primates; family Hominidae; genus Homo; species Homo sapiens. The sequence goes on along the minus strand of NC_000009.12, from coordinate 126,898,483 downwards.
CCTCCTGAGTAGCTGGGATTACAGGCACCGCCACTACGCCTGGCTAATTTTTGTATTTTTAGTAGAGACGGGGTTTCACCATGTTAGGCTGGTCTCGAACTCCTGACCGCAGGTGATCCACTTGCCTCAGCCTCCCAAAGTGCTGGGATTACAGGTGTGAGCCACCACGCCCAGCCTTTTTTTTTTTTTTTTTGTATTTTTAGTAGAGATAGCGTTTTACCATGTTGGCCAGGCTGGTCTTGAACTCCTGACCTCAGGTGATCCGCCCACGTCGACTTCCCAAAGTGCTGGGTTTACAGGTGTGAACCACCACGCCCAGCCTCTGCCTGGTTTTTAAAGGCTGCCTGCCACTTGACTTTTGTCACCATAAGTCCCATCATCCTCAGTGAATCCAAGTTTCAGTCAAGCAACCTGGCAAACTGTGCCACTTCTAGCTACATGAGCTGGCACAATGAATCCAGGCTCTCTGGTCAGAGCACCCATATAAATAAATTCAGCCCTGTCCAGTGTTCCATTCTGTCCTCCTTGGTCTAACTACTGCCAAACACACTCCTTAGGTTTTTGTGATATAAATGGCAAAATTATTTCAATAAATGGCAAGATCATTTTGTAGTATTTACTATCTCCTTCCAGGTCACACTTTGTATTCTGAAGCATGCTGAAATCTGATGCTAGATACAATTGTAGGGGTGATTAAGTGGTAGATGGAGTGGGTCTTGGAGAGAATGGACACCTCCATACAAGGCCACTGTCCCAGGTGAGATGATTGCTGGCCTTCAAGCAAGGAAGGAATTTTCCTCTCAGACATGAGAAGGCAAGCTGTGTCCCTCCCACAGAAGGGAAGGAGGCTCACAGACATTCAGGGGTTTGGGGATTCTCAGATTTACCTGAGTCGGCCTGGATGCCCCTCTCAGGATCTCAGGCTTCCAATCTTTCTAAATCAATGCCCTAAATTTTTCATGAGAAATGTGGCAAGGCTGTGAGTTCAACTAATATTTTAATTCTGCAACCCACAAAGTTTGGGTCTGGTTTTCACTGAGGTTGACCCACACTCAAGAAAGAAGAGATGCACTCAGACCCACCATAAAAGCCCGTGGATTCTCATTTTCTTTCTGTAAGTGCTCTAGTGCAGGCAGAGAAAGCCATTCCTTTCTCAGCCCTTGAAGTTAGTATTCCTGCCTATCAGTAAAAGTGGCAGCCACATTTCATCAAAATCAACTTCAGAGGATCATTTCATGAGTCATGATGCTGCTATATGCTGTGCGTTTCCGACTTGCGCTTTCCCATTGGCAAGTGAGGCAGCAGTGCATTCAAGACCAAGAGAACAACCAAACCAGTCCCAGAGTCCCATCCGGAAGAGACCAGTCAGAGCCTAGGCAAGAGAAAGAAATCAGCCAGGTGTGGCCGGGCACGGTGGCTCACGCCTGTAATCCTAGCGCTTTGGGAGGCCGAGGCGGGTGGATCACAAGGTCAGGAGATCGAGACCATCCTGGCTAACACGGTGAAACCCCGTCTCTACTAAAAATACAAAAAATTAGCCGGGCGTGGCGGCAGGTGCCTGTAGTCCCAGCTACTCAGGAGGCTGAGGCAGGAGAATGGCGTGAACCTGGGAGGCAGAGCTTGCAGTCAGCCGAGATTATGCCACTGCACTCCAGCCTGGGTGAAAGAGGGAGACTCCATCTCAAAAAAAGAAAAGAAAAAAAAGAAATCAGTCAGGTGTGGTGGCTCACACCTGTAATCCCAGCACTTTGGGAGGCCAAGGTGGGCAGATTGCTTGAGCCAAGGAGGTGAAGACCAGTCTGGGCAACAAAGCAAGACCCCAACTCTACAAAAAATATAAAAATAAGCCAGGTGTGGTGGTGTGCACCTGTAGTCCCAGCTACTCAGGAGGGCAAGCTGGGAGGATCAGTTGAGCCCTGGAGGGTGAGGCCGCAGTGAGCCATGATTGCACCACTGCACTCCAGCCTGGGCGACAGAGTGAGACCTTTTCTCAAAAAAAAAAAAAAAAAAAAAAGAAAAAATAAACAGAAATCACACTGGTTACTTCAGCAAAGATAACTTAAGAAATGGGTTAAACATGTACTGGCAGTCTAAGAAAAAATGAAAAAGGATCACTAAACTGTGAGAGGCAATAACTGTGGAAGGAAGCTACCCTCCCTCGGGCTGGGTGAATAAAAGGGAAGCGTTTGGGGTTACTAGGATTTAGAGGTTTGAAGAAGGGACCCAGCTTAATACTAGGAAAATAGGTTGTACTTCTCTCCCAGTATTGCCATATTAACATATTTTTCTTTTTAAAATCAACTTTATTAGGGTATAATTAAAATAAAATATTCCCATTTTAAATGTATAGTTTGCTGAGTGGTTTTTTTGTTTTTTTTTTTTTGAGACGGAGTTTCGCTCTGTCACCTAGGCTGGAGTGCAGTGGTGCAATCTCAGCTCACTGCAACCTCCACCTCCGCGGTTCAAGCAATTCTCTTGCCTCAGCCTCCTGAGTAGCTGGGATTACAGGCGACCACCACCACACCTGGCTAATTTTTGTATTTTTAGTAGAGACGGGGTTTCGGCATGTTGGCCAGGCTGGTCTTGAACTCCTGACCTCAAGTGATCCACCCACCTCCTGAAGTGCTGGGATTACAAGCATGAGCTACCGCTCCAGACCCACCACCAGTCATTTTTTAAATCTAAGTTACAACTGAGGCTGTGAGCTGTTCAGGGGCAGGGACCATAAAGACTTTATGTCTGTGGCCTAGTGCCTAGCAAGCACCAAGCACTGCATTTTAGTGGGGCTAAAGAGAGACTCTTTATACAAGCCCAACTATCCAAGTGGACTCAGATACATTTGAGAAGCCTGGACCCCTGCTTCCTTCCCTTCTGTGGGAGGGATGCAGCTTGCCCTCCCATGTCTGAGAGAAAAAGTCTTTCCTTGCTTGAAGACCAGTAATAATATCGTCTGGGGCTAGAGAAAGGCACGATCCAAAAACACAACTACAAAGGAAGTCAGACTGTCTTCGGAAACTCCAACTTTAAAACCAAGTGAAGCAAGCAGAATTATGATATGCAAAGACACCTTAAAGAGACAAATTGGCCAGGAGCAGTGGCTCATGCCTGTAATCCCAGCACTTTGGGAGGCCAAGGCAGGGGCATCACTTGAGCCCAGGAGTTCAAGACCAACCTGGGCAACATAGTGAGACCCCATCTCTACAAAAAATGAAAAACATTAACCAGGTGTGGTGACACCCACCTTTAGTCCCAGCTACTTGGGAGGCTGAGGGAGATTGCTTGAGCCTGGGAGGTCAAGGCTGCTGTGAGACGTGATCACACCACTACACTCCAGCCTGGGTGACAGAGTGAGACCCTGTCTCATAAAAAAAAGAGACGAGTTGACTCTCAGGCTAAGAAAACTTGACTGTCCTCTGAAAAAGAAAAAGTTAACCACTCTAACAGAGGAGTGGATTCTTTAGAAGGCAGTTTGCAGCCGGGCGCGGTGGCTCATGCCTGTAATCCCAGCACTTTGGGAGGATGAGGTGGGCAGATCACGAGGTCAGGAGATCTAGACCATCCTGGCTAACACGGTGAAACCCCATCTCTACTAAAAATACAAAAACACAAAATTAGCCGGGCGTGGTGGCGGGCGCCTGTAGTCCCAGCCACTCGGGAGGCTGAGGCGGGAGAATGGTGTGAACCCGGGAGGCAGAGCTTGCACTGAGCCGAGATGGCGCCACTGCACTCCAGCTTGGGTGACAGAGTAAGACTCCATCTCAAAAAAAAAAAAAAAAAAGAAGGCAGGTTGCTTGGTCACAGAAGCATTGTAAGAGGGTCACCAAGGTTCACACTGGAAATGCAGAGCTGAACACCAGCAACGGGCCCTCTGTGTGTCTCATCTTGGGCCGCTCTCCTGTGCTCCATCCACTTTGGCCTTTTTCGGTTCCTTATATATGTCAGGATTCTTCCAGCCTCAAGGCCCTTGCACGTGCTGTTCCCTCTGTTTGAAATGTTTTTCCTTCCCTGCCACCCCCTTCCCTAGTAACTTACTCACCATCAGGTTTCTCTCAAGTGTCACTTCCTGTGGCTCCCACATGGGGTCAGATCCTCCTGCCATAGGCTCTCCTGTTTCCCTTGACCTTTTCTTCATTGCATTTTGTGATTATGTGCTATTCTGGCCATGTGATTAATGTGACTGATGTTTCTCCACTGCTAAACTCGAAGCTTCCATGAGGGCTGGGCTGTCAGCTTTGCTCACTACTGTGTCCCTAATGCTTAGCACAGGTTTGGGACATGATTGACATATACAGTCTAAAGTAGGGCAAGCTATGAAGGCACATCCCACTTCACACCACCTCAATATTGTACAACCCTGACCAACTGAATCTCCAGAAGTCTCAGTTTCCACTTCTGTAAAATGAATATAATAATAGTATCTGCCTCAGAGTTGTTCTGAGGATGCAAGGAAATAATGCATGAAAAGTGCTTAGTATATTGTTGGGCCAGGCACAGTGGCTCATGCCTGTAATCCCAGCATTTTGGGAGGCCAAGGCGGGTGGATCACTTGAGGTCAGGATTTCGAGACTAGCCTAGACAACATGGTGAAACCCTGTCTCTACTAAAAATACAAAAATTAGCTGGGCATTGGGGTGGCGTAATCCCAGCTACTTGGGAGGCTGAGGCAGGAGAATCACTTGAACCCAGCAGGTGGAGGTTGCAGTGAGCCGAGATCACACCACTGTACTCCAGCCTGGGCAACAGAGCGAGACTCAATCTCAAAAAAAAAAAAAAAAGTGCTTAGTATATTGTCCAGCGCTCGTTAAATGTCTAAGAAATGGCAGCCCTCCACGTTAGTATTACTAGAAGTGGCTGAAAATAATGTGGCAATATGTCTGATTATTGCATTCTACTAGGTCTCTGAAATTTAACACGGTGGCATTCTAATTCTACATGTCAGTTTTACACGTAGTGACTATAAGTCAGTGACAGATTCAGATCCACTTTCCCTGTGTCTCAAAGATAGATTTCTAGGTCTGCAAGGCTGAGGACTAGCCTCAGACCCTGATGAAGTTCCCAAGGCAATCTACCTTGGAGAGCCAATTTATTGACCTTGCCTTGATACAAATGGCATTCTCTGCAGCAATATTCTCCATAAAAAGACCTTTTTAACGTAGACGTTTCTACAGTAGACGCTCCATAAATGTTCGTTGAATTGAGTTCTACTGCCTCCCCATGGCCACAGGGTAAAATCCAAATTTCTCAGCTTGAAATAAAATACACCTTAATATCTGTCTCCAACCACCCTATCCACCCTCATTTCCTAATTGCCAGCATTTACAAAGTATTTACTACATTTTGTCTCGTGAAGTATACTATCTCATTATCTCATTCAACAAAAATACATATCTATATGCCAGGAGCAGTGGCTCACACCTGTAATGCCAGCATTTTGGGAGGCCAAGGCAGGTGGATCATCTGATGTCACGAGTTTGAGGCCAGCCTGGCCAACAATGTGAAACCCCGTCTCTACTAAAAATACAAAAATTATCCATGTGTGGTGGTGCGTGCCTGTAATCCCAGCTACTCAGGAAGGTGAGGCAGTGGAATCACTTGAATCCGGGAGGCAGAGGTTGCAGTGAGTCGAGATCACTCCACTGCACTCCAGTGTGGGCAACAGAGCGAGACTCGGTCTCCAAAAGAAAAAAAAAGATGCCCATAGGTATCCAATATAGAGACCATTATTTATACATTATGTAATATAACATCATATCTTGCATATACATGTGTATACTTTATTTATTTTTTATTTTTTTGAGATGGAGTCTCACTCTGTCACCAGGCTGGAGCGCAGTGGTGCGATCTCGGCTCACTGCAACCTCTGACTGCCTGGTTCAAGCGATTCTCCTGCCTCAGCCTCCCGAGTAGCTGGGACTACAGGTGTGCACCACCACGCCCAGCTAATTTTTGTATTTTTAGTAGAGATAGTGTTTCACCATGTTGGCCAGGCTGGTCTTGAAATCTTGACCTCAAGTAATCCATGCACCTTGGCCTCCCAAAGTGCTGGGATCACAGGCATAAGCCACTGCACCTGACCACATGTGTATGCTTTGACTTAAATAGTCTCACACAACACAGGTTCTTTTTTAAGTTGCTTTTCCACACTCAACAGTGCATCATGGATATTTCCCCATGCCATACAAGTTTATTTACACATGTATAAGTCATTTTATTATCATGATTATTAATTGTAGACATGGGGTCTTGCTATGTTGCCCAGGCTGGTCTCAAACTCCTGGGTTCAAGTGATCCTCCAACCTTGGTCTCACAAAGTGCTGAGATTACAGACATGAGCCACGTGCCGAGCTTACAACATTATTTTTAATGACTCCCTACTATAGCATTGTAGGAATGTACCAGATTTATAGATAGACATTATAGTGGCTTCCAACTTTTCAATATTATAATCAACACTAGGATGAATACATTTGTACATCTTCAGTTACTTAGAGTATCTTCCTAGATTGAATTCTTAAAAGTAGTACTGCTATATCAAGGGAGTGATACATTTACAATTTTGAAACATGATACGAAATTACCTTCCAGAACTCGTTATACCAGCTTATATTTCCAACAGCAGGATAAGAATGTCCCATTTTCCCCTACCCTTGTCAATGCTGGGTATTGCCAACTGAATGGGTAGGAAAACTGGCTTTCATTGCTGCTTTGTTTTCTAGTGAGGTAAAACACCTTTACCACGGATTATATTTATTAGCCTTCAGTATTTCTTTTGTGGATTGCTTCATGTTCTTTCCCCTTTTAAATGGGAGTATTCATCTTTTTTCTTATTAATTTTACAAACTCTTTGTTCTATATGTTGCAAAGTTTTTTTTTTCTTAAATGTGTAGTTTTCATTTCAATTATGTGGGGTTTTTTTGCTTTGCTTTTACTAAACACATTTTACATTGTATATAGTCAAATCTATTTTTCCCCTTAGGATTTCTTCTTTTTGGTCTTATCCTTAATAATATCTTCCCTACTGCAAAAGCAAGTAAATCTTCAACTCCTTTAAAAAAATAAAATAAATAAAAAAAAACTAGGCCGGGAGTAGTGGCTTACGCCTGTAATCCCAGCACTTTGGGAGGCCGAAGTGGGCAGATCAAAAGGTTAGGAGTTCGAGACCAACCTGGCCAACATGGTGAAACCCCACCTTTACTAAAAATACAAAAAAAAAAAAAAAAAAAAATTAGCCAGGCATGGTGGTGCGCACCTGTAGTCCCAGCTACTTGGGAGGCTGAGGCAGGAGAATCACTTGAACTGGGGAGGTGGAGGTTGCAGTGAGCCGAGATCATGCCACTGCACTCCAGCTTGGGTGACAAAGCAAGACTCCAACTCCAAAAAATAAAAATAAAAAATAGGCCGGGCACTGTGGCTCACACCTGTAATCGCAGCACTTTGGGAGGCTGAGGCAGGTGGATCACGAGGTCAGGAGATCAAGACCATCCGGCCAACATGGTGAGACCCCATCTCTACTAAAAATACGAAAATTAGCCTGGCATGGTGGTGCACTCCTATAGTCCCAGCTATTCGGAAAGCTGAGGCAGGAGAATCTCTTGAACCCAGGAGGTGGAAGTTTCAGTGAGCCGAGATCGCACCACTGCACTCCAGCATGGCGACAGAGCGAGACTCCATCTCAAAACATAAAAATAAAAATACATAAATAAAATGTTTTAAAAACTAGTTTATGGCTTCATTTTTCTATAATTAACAGTTTAATTCACCAGAATTTTGTTTCACGGGCCTGTTCTCTCTTCACCTAGCGGGGCCTCCTCCCTCAGACTAGGCCTCTTCTGGTCCCTCCTCCCTCCAGCAGGATATAAGTTCTCAAGGGACCTCCAAACTAGCCCCAGGCAATCTCAGCCCTAGGCTGAGGCCTCCACTTACAGGAGGTGTGCACTGGCTCTCCCTGTATTCTGCCCTCCAGGACCCAAGTGAGTGGTCATCTTTGTGCCCAGGGCAAGTCCCAGGTGCAGAATACCCTGTTCCTGAATCCTCTGCCCTCTTGAGATCTCTCAGGGTTGCCAGGCCTTTGCCAGCCCTGTGGGGGCAGTTGATGAGGTTCTGTGGACCTTATCTTCCACACAGAGCCCCCAGGAAGGGAACGACTCAACCCTTTCCAGCTGGGCCAGACCATTCTATTCACATAATGCCTGACACTTCATAGGGGTGCTGGCCTGGGAACCACTTCCACAGGTACAATCACAGAGAGTTGCGGCTTTATCTTCACGGTGGAAGGCTTTAATACTCACAGGGCCTGCAGCTGGCCATCCCCTGACCACTGTCGGAAGTGGGGCCTTTCAACAGAGCCTGGTGGCAGAAGGTTCCTGGAGGCCCGTTCTGGGGGAAGGTCGGGGGAGGGACACACAGTGGAAGAAAAGAAGGGAACTAGTAGTTTAGCTATTGAACCTAGTAACATTCCCATTTTACCACCAGCCTGATCAGGGCACAGCGGGCAAGAAGGAGAGAGAGAGGCCAGAACGTGGAAAAGCCACTATGATGAACAGGCAAAGAGGAGGAGGGTGAGACTAGCAACTGGCCCAAGTGCCTTCCCTCTGCAAAGGTGATAACCAGGCAAGGCAGGAAACCCTTTTCCCAGCCTTGGTGCCAACCTGAGGTGGCACCAGCGCCTGGGATCTGAGACCCAGCTCCCCGAGGAAGCCAGAGCGCCCTGGAGAGCAGGTAGAATCAGTGATCGAAGCGGGAGGAAGCTCTCAAAGGGAATGGATGGCATGAGAGGCCTGGGGGAAATTCAGATGCAAGACGCTCAGAGCCCAGATTTCTCAAAGTAAAGGTGATGGCTGGCTTCTGATTCTCACCTGAATATCTGGAGAGGGAAGGGGAGAGAGGGAATGGGCTGAAGAGGGAAAAAAGGATTTAGAAAAACCCCTGAAAACAGCACCTGGGCCCCAGATGTGTGATGAATAGATCATCTGGCAGAGACAGGCTAGTTAAAATAACAGTCACATAAAAGTAATTTGCTGGCCAAAAAGTGTTCCTCCAAGTTATGGGTTCCACCACCTTGGTTCCAAGAAAATTCTGTTGGAAACAGGTCCCTAAACTGGAGGGTGGGGGGCGGTGGGCAGAGAGAAAGGGCAAATCTGTCCCCAAGCCTGGACTCCAGGGAAAAGGCGATAGCCCAGAGACACATTTTGCCTAGGGAAGCCCAAAGAGAGGGCTGGACAGACTGGATATTGTCACTGAAGATTTTTTTGTTTGTTTGTTTTTGTTTTTGTTTTTTTAGATGGAGTCTCGCTCTGTCGCCAGGCTGGAGTACAGTGGCGCAATCTCGGCTCACTGCAACCTCCGCCTCCCTGGTTCAAGCGTCCTGCCTCAGCCTCCTGAGTAGCTGGGACTACAGGCGCACGCCACCACGCCAGCTAATTTTTGTATTTGTAGTAGAGATGGGGTTTCACCATGTTGGCCAGGATGGTCTTGATCTCTTGACCTCGTGATCCGCCCGCCTCGGCCTCCAAAAGTGCTGGGATTACAGGTGTGAGCCACCGTGCCCAGCCATCACTGAAGATTTAAAACATACTGTGGTCCCATGGAGTAGAACAGAGAGCAGGGGTGCAAGCTCCAGGGAGGCTGATTTGGGGCTCATCCAAAGCTGTCAAATTTGCAGAGTCCCTTGGGAGGCAGCTGGTTTCCATAACTGGAGATTACTTATGTGGACAACTATAGGAGCCCCAGTACTGGCAGGCCAGGTAGTAGCTCACCCGTGAGGTCCTTCTCCCACTGTTAGGAAACTGCAAAGGTCTTCCCCTTCTACTTCTAGCACTCCGGGAAAGGGAACAGAATTCAAAATGACCTTCACTCTCATTTGTACACCTAAAATACACACATAAGCGGGGCACTTTGGGAGGCTGAGGTAGGAGGATCACTTGAGCACAGGAGTTCAAGACCAGCCTAGGCAACATGGCAAAACCCTGTCTCTACAAAAAAATTAAAACATTAGCGAGGTGAGGTGGTCTGTGCCCACACTCCCAGCTACTTGGGAGGCTGAGGTGGGAGGATCAATTGAGCAAGGGAGGTCAAGGCTGCAGTGAGCCACAATCATACCACTGCACTCCAGCCTGAATGACACAGATCTTGTCTCAAAAAATAAAACACACATACACCAGTGTTGCAGGCACCAGTGAGTGCTAGAGCAGTGAGCTTTATTGTACATCTTTGGCCAGGCAAAGCACAGCAACCACACAGCACAGGGTCCATGCATGATCCCAAGTTGATGTGGTCTGTAATGCCTTTCCTTCACCGTCGCCTCTCTGCCATTTCTTTTGTGTTCTGAAGTTGTGAGCCCCATATGCTGACAAAAGATGTGCAAGGTTGGTCTGCTGTGAAAAACCAAAGGAAAACCTCATAGGAGATGTTTAATAAGTGCCATTGAGCCAGGCAAGGTGGCTCACACCTATAATCCCAACACTTTGGGAGGCCAAGGCAGGAGGATTGCTTGAGCCCAGGAGTTTGAGACCAGCTTGGGCAACATAGCGAGACCCCATCTCTACGAAAATTAAAAATTAATCAGGCTGGGCATGGTGGCTCACGCATGTAATCCCAGCACTTTGGGAGGCCGAAGCAGGCGGATCATGAGGTCAGGAGATTGAGACCATCCTGGCTAACACGGTGAAACCCCATCTCTACTAAAAATACAAAAACTTAGCTGGGCGTGGTGGCGGGCACCTGTAGTCCCAGCTACTCGGGAGGCTGAGGCAGGAGAATGGCATGAACCCAGGAGGCGGAATTTGCAGTGAGCCGAGATCGCGCCACTGCACTCCAGCCTGGGTGACAGAGCGAGACTCCGTCTAAAAACAACAACAACAAAAAAAATTAGGCAACGTGGCTCACACCTATAATCCCAACACTTTGGGAGGCTGAGGCAGGAGGATCGCTTGAGCCCAGGAGTTTGAGACCAGCTTGGGCAACGTTATGAGACCCCATTTCTACGAAAATTAAAAATTAGACATGGTGGCGTGCACCTGTAGTCTCAGCTACTCAAGAGGCTGAAGTGGAAGGATTGCTTGAGCCCGGGAGGTGGAGGCTGCAGAAAGCTGTGACCGCACTACTGCACTCCAGCCCGGGTGACAGAGCAAGACCCTGTCTCAGGAAAAAAAAAAACAAAAAAACAGCCACTGAGGATTGAGGAGCTTGAGGGAAATGGTCCAGGAAACAGAGGTGAAGACTAGCAGACAATTGGGGATTAGTGGTTGTCCTGTGACATTATAATATTAATAAGCATCCCTGAAGCCACCCAGGCTTGGCCAACAATTGTATGAATTATAATTGGAAGAAACCAGAGTAAAGATAGGTCTGACATCAGGACAAATGAAAGATGAGCCAACGACTGCCAATGGCCTTTGCCAGCAATGCTGTTCAGTGCGGTCTACACAACATCTGCTCCGACTCAGTGCGTTGGCCTCAGTTGATGCTCCTATTTCCAGGACCCCACGCCCTTGGGATATTCCTCGAACCCTGCTGGAGAAGAAGCTCGCCCGTTTCTTGATGTGGCGCTACTTTTCCGGCCTTAGGGAGTAAGCAAATTCATCAGAAGCCATTGCCTCACATTTCAGAGTCACCAGAGTCAAACTGGGGCTAACGAAGGTAGGTGGCTTGCTAAAAGTCACAGTCAAAGGCAGGGATGACAGCCAGGCCTTCAGTTATGCTAGCCCATGCACTTTCTCCAGCATTCCCTTGCCTCCCTCAGGAATCCCCGGGCCCCTAGCTAGCAGGTGAAGCTGGTTCCTGTACGGACCTTTCCTGCTGTGCACCATCACCGCCCATCTCACCCTAGAGGAGGCCTGCTGAGCATTTGCTTTAACAGCAGCCGTTACTCACGGGTAAGGAGCAGGTCACCTCGCAGCCCCACAGGAGCTGAGGTCAATCTTGCCTGCATCCCAGCCACACTGCCTCGTGCGACCTTCGGGAGACACGCATTAGCTCATTCACTCAACGAACACTGCCGAGTGCCTACTGTGGTGCCGGGTCCTGTGCTGAGGATACTTGAGGGAGAGAAAAGAGTTTGTAATCCCTGCTGTCAGGGCGCCTCCAGGTTAGAGGCAGAAATACTAACTGAATCATCTCGCTAATGAATATCCTATTACAAACTGAAATAGGTGCTCCAAAGAGCAGGAACACAGTTCAACAAATGCTATGTTAGAGGGGCCTGACCTGGAGGGCTGCTGGTGGGAAGAGGGGTCCCTGGGCTGGAACCTGGAGGAGGAGGGGGAGTTAACTGGCTGAGTGGAGACAGAAGAGCCTGGGCAACCCCACCCTTTGTGGACGACTGAGCAAGAGATATTCTCTGCAGGCGCGAGGGGCAGGGATTCACGATTTGTTCTGGGGGTGCCTGGGTGCAGACCGAGGCCGACAATTCAGTCGCCACACAAGAGGTCAGAAATATACTCGCTTCTTTCTCTTCTTTTCAGCACGATGGTGGCACAAGAGCTTCTTAGGAAACCCTCACCTTTCAAAAACAGTGATTACAGAAACTATGACACTGCAGATGTTTGTCAGAGCCACTGACACTCACCGAAGCTCAGGGGGCCCACGCAGAGGGAGACCACAGCACATTTGCTCTAGCAGCATTTTTATTTACAAACAGCAATGTCCATTGACTTTATTTATACCATAAAAAAGCCATTTACAAGCAAGAAACAAGAATTCAGAACAAAATTAAGCAGCACTGAAATATTCATGTCACAAATCTAAAACAAAGTGAATACAAGAGTAAAATATCATTTGAATAAATAGTCTTAAATTCATGCTATAAAATAATCCTTAATGGCAAGTTACTAGTTGATACAGCATCCGCTTAGCTAGCTTCATTTACTTCATATGGTGATGAAGTGTGGAGTTGTGAGGTTACCAGTTTATATTGCAAGATAATGACACTGTGTTAAGTCATTCAAATTGCTCAACCATTTATAACGGAAAAAAATGTTAGCCCTACTAATAAAAGTGGTGAGAGAGATGGTTTTCACATTAGGAAAATGGTCATTCTCAAACAAACCAGGTAAGTTTACCTCTTACAATAGTCAGGGCAGCAACCAAAGGCTTGGGCAGCAAGTCCAAAGGTTGAATTCACAGCATACTTGTCACTGAGGGGCAGCAAGAGGTCTGTGGACTGAATCTGCTACAAGGAGAGCCAGGCAAGGCTGACTCCAGGACTTGATCAAGAACTACAATAGCCCCGTCTGTGCCAGACTCAGGAAGGAAACCAGAGAAAGCAGGTTCTCTTCCGGGCCGAGAAGTCAAGCACTGGGCAGAAACAGTGGGAACACTCTGGCACTTACTGAAAAAGACGCATGTGACATGTGACAACCATTACAAATTTGGAACAATGTGAATGACTTTTCTGAACTTTTAGTTCAGTTGCACTGAGTAATATGAAATCTATGATTTATGAACTAGATAGTTTCATATAAAGAATTTACATAATTCCCCAATACTTTCATATATAAAATTTAATAAATAACCCTGACCAGTCTAGAAGCACCATTCAAGGGGCATGTGCCCTTGGAAAATAGTTTAGGTGTTGCATATTTGAGTCCCTTTCAGTGGAGGCTTCACAGGAAACCATTACAGAATTTAACAATAACGAGGACAACAACAACAAAAATCACAGTAACTAAGAGAAAAAGTTGATAAAATAAAATACATTGATCTCTTTAAAGTAAAGCTCATTCACATAGATGATTTTCCCCCCAGCCCTTGTTTCGTGTTCCTGCAAATTTTTCCTAGGGTCTAGGCTGTAAGAACAAAAATAAAAACAAAACCACACACAAAATACGCAGGTCTATATGGTCTGGGCTAAGGGAAAAACAAAGAGTTGGTTATATTTGCTATCATTAGAAAAGACATTTACTCATGCTCTGGAAGATTTAAAAATTATCATTTTCGTTCTACAGTATATTCTGCTCAACAGTGAACCGACAGTATCCTTTCTGCTGTTTAAAAAAAAAAACTAAACTAAAACAACAACAACAACAACAAAAAACACAACTGCCAAGGCAGGGCCAATTGGTTGGGAGGCTTTTTCCACTGACCAAAAAATTAACTTGTCTCCATATACTGTATTTACAAATATAATTTCTAAATGTATTTACAGCTTTAGTAGAAATTAGAGGGTAGAGAACTGATTAGAATGAAAATAACTGTTTAAAACCACAAACATTAGTAAAAGTATAAAATTCTTTGTCTTCACAGTTTGTAATAACAGGCTAAATATCTCTAGAAAAGGACGCTGTCACTGTCTTCACATTGTCTAATATTGAAAAGGTAGCTCAAGAAGAGACTCAATTATGAACAAGCCTATATGAATTCAGGATATATTTTACTGTAAAAGATTTCTTCACATATCACTTTATCTTAATTGATTTCTGCATCTGTTATAAATGAAACACCTAACCTAAAACTGTACAGAAATAGGGACTTTGCTTTCCAAAAAGAGTTGCTCTAAGGAGTTACACAGCGTACTTCGTCTGCGGAGACGTGAAGTGAACTTCAGGGAGAGAATGTTTCGGTTCTGTGGTCATGTTAATCCTCCTGACACATCCTCATGCGGCAAGGCACAATTAATTGCTGCTGCCCGATCTGAATGGAGTTAATCTCTCACCAGTCACACCCCTGGGAAGCATGACAGTGCGAACGCTCAGAGAGGCTACACAGCTCCGTGCTGGCCTAGGCGCTGCCTCCCTCGAAGCCCTGCGGAACTTTACAGTACTGTGTTATGGCTTGAGAATTCATTCTTAACACTGCGAGCAGTGGAAAGGGTAAAGTGTTAGCAACACGAATGGGAGCAAGTGGAACTTGCAAAATGTGGAATCATGATTCTTAGAGAGAAACTCAATCAATTTTCTGCCCCTTAACAGTCCCATTACAATGTTTGAACCTGAACTGTACAATCAAAGCAATGGATATTTTTGTCAAAGACAATTTTGGATAAGTCACTCTTTGGTAAACTCAAACCAGTTAAACAGATTCACAAATACAAAGAACTCCATGTAAATAAGGTTAAGACGGACAATGCCAAGAGCCAGGACGCTGGAAGTGCCCGCGCCAGGTGCCCTCCCTCCTCACTGTCTCTCATACCATGGAATGCTCTGGAAACCTCGCTGGAGGCCCCAAGCCTGAGTGAAAAGGAGGTTCCTTCCCTGAGCTTGACCTCTTATGTCCTTGGATTTGGGCATTTCTTGTCACAAACTTAATTTGTATCACAACACAAATTTTTTGCATTCAATTAAAAAAAAATCAAAACCAAACTTATTCATGTAAGGAAAAAAAAACCCACAAACATTTACCTGAAACCCCAGAACATATTTAAGTGGGTAAACACTTGGGGTCCAGCCTCCCCTTGAGGCACGCGGCTTTAACAGGAGTTGAACAAGTGCTTCAGGGAGAGAACGAACCCCTACTTAGGCAGTTTGACGAGGAAAAAGGCATATACTATATACCCGATTTAGCAAAGCCGCTCCTCGGGAGCAGCGGGATTAGAGTGTAATCTGTAGGGAGTTAACACTGATGTGTAGCGCAGCAGTTCACACGTGAACAGATCCTGTGTGCCAAAGAGATGCGACTGCACAGCTGCCACCCCTGGGGGCTATTACACACAAAGGGCTTGAATGACTTTTTATTTCTCAAAACAAAAAACAAAAACAAAAACAAATCCACCATTGGTATTTTAGGAGCCAAAAAAGCACAGAAAACCAGCAAACATCTAATTCTGTATTCCTTTAACTTCTAGCCTCTGAGGCTGGTCCTTCGTTCGTTTTTCTTTTAGGTGGCTGCACTGTTCTCCTATGGAGGTGCACTGGTTGTGCGTCTCAGAGCCCAGGTTCTCAGGCAGATACCAGAACGCTGACATCCCACAGGCAGCCTGCAGCACAAACTCACCACCAAACTGCCTACAAAATTACTCTCTGCCAGAGTTTACAGTACCGAAGCAATCTTGTAAAGCCTGTTTGTGTATGTGAACACAATACAGAACTGAAGACATTTCCGAAAGTACTAATAAAACATTATTCAAATGGACTCAGGTATGTTTTCATACAGTAACGTGTTTGCCAGCACATGCTTTTGAGGTCTCTTTTCAAGCTATGAACTCAAGAGAGGAAAACAATTATAATTCATTATTACCATCAGATTTCACATTTTCTACAACTATACTGACCTAAAAAGACACTTAACAAAAATAGCACCACATGACCAAAAAATGGTGACACACAGATTTGGTGACACACAGAGTATCTTAGAGGGCTTTTAAACTGTTGGTTCTTTAAGCAGGAAACACTGAGAGAGTGGGGGAGCCACTGAGGCTCTCATTAGCACACACAATACTAAGATAGATATATTGCTTGCAATTCCCATAGAGTATAGCTTTACAAAAAGTACAAATTCTAAGTTCTGCAGTTTCCCTGGGAACTGCATGTAGAAAAAGTTGCTGTGCACCTGAACTGGCTGTTTGAAAAGAGAAAGAAAAAAAACAAAAACAAAAAAAACCACAACACTGCTTGGAGAATTTTGTAGACAGAACTACAAATCCCTTTCCTTAAGTGCGAGTGAGTACTAACTCATGATAGAGAGTGATTCGATTTAGTTACCTGGTATGTATGTTTCTACAGTACGGAATGAAGGTAGATTTGTAGGCCAGTAAAAACCTTGAAAACCACTGCTCCTTTGGGGTTGGCTAATATAACACTACACTATGTAAAAAGGTCAGCACCACAGGTCATCCAGCTTACCTGCTGGACAACTAACAAAAATTCCAAACGGTTTCCAACTAGAGTTGAAGAAATTTTATGGCATTTGGTTTATGTATTTGTTATGAAGCAGAGCTGTGAACACTGTGATTTGCTTTGCTTGCTTTTGGACACAATGATTAATATAAACCTACTAACATTCTTTTGTAAGGGAAATGAAGGGGCAAAACCCTAACATATTAGGTAGGGATGAGATAGACTCAGAAGCCCTGTTCACATTGTATTAAATTATATATTCCTCTTACATTCACCTCAACCAGAATAAAATCAAATTTGAAAATGTATATATACTATATATATAATAATAGTTTTATTATATATATATATAAATTGTCTAACTACCCCCTAAAAGGAATTTTAAATTAGAAAAGGTTACCCATTTGTATCAGCTGACGGCATCCTAATCTCCCTCCGTGGAAGTGCACTGCTGCCAGCGCACACAATGAGAAAGAGTATGCCTCTTGGCAGAGAATGGAGGGTCAACCAGTTGGCATAGCTAAATCACTGGCAGATTTTGGATTAAGAGTTCAGCCAAAGAGGAATACTGTCAGCCTGTGTTTTCCCTGGATGCGTTGCCCTTCATGCTTTGAGCTCCTTCGGGGAGGGAGGGCAGGGGAAAGGATAAACACAACGAAGTGTTCCATCCAGAAACTTTAGAAAAACTGCCAAGAGACCAAGAGATTTCCAGATGGTTGGGAAAACCAAAGATTACAACAAAGCAAATCACAAATATGCATTGATTAATGTGCTTTGTTTGGGTGCACTTCTTTACCATCTTAATCGGGAGCATCAGACACTGTGTGAATTTCCATCCGGGAATCTAGGCCCATCTCTGAGGCCGATGCGTCATTTTCTAGTTTCTGTTCCACGTACACATCTGTTCTCTCGGGGGACTCAATGCGACTCCTGACTTCAGCAACGCCTGGGTGGTTTTTCCGCAAGTGCTGGTTGAGGGTACCTTGGAATGGAAAGCACTTCCCGCAGATCTCACAGCGGAATGGTTTATCATCTGTATGGCCCCGGATGTGGTACTCCAGTTGGTCCTTCCGTGTGTACTTCTTCCCACAGAACTTGCACACAAAGGGGGTGATTCCCATATGGAGTCGCATGTGCCTATCAAGGCTTCCTTTCTGGTTGAAGGACTTTCCACAGTAAATACAGATCAACCTCTCATTGTACGGGTACCAATGCCCTCTCGCACTCCTCTCCCGGGGACTGCTCTCATACCCGGGGTTGTTCATCATGGCTTCACTGTCAGAGCCCTGCACCAGGCCCTGCAGGTCACTGTGCAGGTGGACAGACAAAGCCCGCTTCTGGCGGGCACGCCCTCCTCGGAAACAGCTCAGCATGGACCTGGATGGGCTGGAATTACTCAAACTTCCAAAAGCTTCTGATACATTGGTTGGCTGTGAGGCTGCTTGGGAATAGGAGTATGCGTGCTGGAGCACAGAACCATAGGAGCCCACATTCACTGCCACAACTTGTTCCCCATCAACCATCTCGGTGTGGTACCCATCGTCACCCAGGGAGGAGCTGTCGGAACAGCTGGGCCGGTCGGACTTCTCCATCTTCACTTTCACCTCGGTGATCTGGCTCTCCCTCACCAATAGGTCTCCTTGCTCATGGTCTCCCTCTATCTGAATCTCATATTCAGAAACGCTCCCACTGCTCCCGCGGTCTGAGTGCCCCTCCTCCTGTAAGCGGCTGCGCAAAGCTTTGCTGGGGGTCGTCTCCATCCGGAGGTCACTGCTTGCGGTGGGCTGCCGTCCCTGAGAGCAATATGGAGGAGAGATCTCCACTGGGTTGGCAAAGAAGCTGCTGTCTTTCACTCCGTTTCGACTCTCGGGATTCTCTTCAGCACCGACGGTAACAGAGTCAACATCTCCAACGCTGATTTTGGAATGGATGCTCTCTAGGATCTGCGTGCACTTGTCAATGACACACTGCATCTGAAGAAAGCTGGCTGCAGTCAGAAAACTGACAACATCCTTCAGCTGCAAGGACATTCTTCCAGTGTAACAAAAAGAAAGCAACTGCTCAAACACATTGGGATTTTTAATCACTGATATTGACAAGCCACTCATGGTACTTAACGCTGAATGGTCCCGGAAATATGGGGAGCTGGCAGCAAGGACTGCTTTGTGGGCTCGGAATGGCTGACCCTGAATGTGTACAATGATGTCACATAGTTTCCCCTGCAGGCGGAGTTCGTTTAGCTGGCTCAGAACGGTGCTGCTGTACTCGGGCACATCAAACTGAATAAAACTGCTGCTGTCCATTTCTACTGACATGAAGCGTACTCTGCGGAGAGAGAGAGTTTGCATCATTCACCAATGACTCCTCACTAAGTACAAGTGGCATAAACACAAGCTTACAACAACAATACCATTGTGGCTATCATACCTCCTAAAATCTACCTGAAGCATTCTTCCCCTTGTTTTAGTCTTTCATGTTTTGGTTAATTCACCTAAAGCCAAATAAACTAATGATCAATTAGCCTAATGTCATAATTGCCTAATATTCATCTTGATCAAAAGTAAAATATTTTACACATAGTAGGACTATTTTGGCTCTGACTGAGAAATTGGTCTCCTTTTAGGAAAAATATTTCCCCATTTCAAGTACTTTTGAGGGTTTGAAGTACTTTGTGAAAAATAACTAAATTCAGGCCAGGCGCAGTGGCTTACACCTATAATCCCAGCACTTTGGGAGGCTGAGGGAGGCGGATCACTTGAGGTCAGGAGTTTGAAACCAACCTGGCCAACATGGTAAAACCCCATCTGTACTAAAAATACAAAAATTAGCCTGGTGTGGTGTTGTGCACCTGTAATTCCAGCTACTTGGGAGGCTGCAGCAGGGGAATCGCTTGACCTCAGAAGGCAGAGGTTGCAGTGAGCCGAGAGCACACCACTGCATCCCAGCCTAGCGGACAGAGTGAGACTCCTTCTAAAAAAAAAAAAAAAACAAAACAAAAACAAAACTAAATTCATCTAAAAATGTTCTACCTTACTTGTGTATTTCTGATTGGTATTTTTCAACTCTGTAGCACACTGGATACAATAAATGGAGCTAAACCCTTTTCAGTATTATTGTCTTGATTTGTGTGTTTGCCCTTCAGCTCTGTACACCTTTATATCTCTTTTGGGTTGGGTTGCTTTGGCTGAGACTTACCATGCTCAGTCTCCTTCAGTGAAGAGTTATTATTACTTTTTTTTTTTTTTGAGACAGAATCTTGCTCTGTTGCACAGGCTGGAGTGCAGTGGCGTGATCTCGGCTCACTGAAACCTCCGCCTCCTAGGTTCAAGCAATTCTCATGCCTCAGCCTCCTGAATAGCTGGGATTACAGGCATGCGCTACCATGCCCAGTTAATTTTTGTATTTTTAGAAGAGACGGGATTTCACCATGTTGTCCAGGCTGGTCTCGAACTCCTGACCTCAGGTGATCTGCTCCCCTCGGCCTCCCAAAGTCCTGGGATTACAGGCAAGAGTCACCACACCGGCCTATTATTACTATTTTTTATTAGAGATGAGGTCTCATTATGTTGCCCAGGCTGGTCTTGAACTCCTGAGCTCGTGATCCTCCCACCTCAGCTTCCCAAAGTGCTAGGATTGCAAGTGTGAGCTGCCACACCCGACCAGTGAAGAGTTATTTTAGACAATATTTTATTTTATTTATTTTTATTTTATTTTTACAGATGGAGTCTCGCTCTGTCGTCCGGAGTGCAATGGCATGATCTTGGCTCACTGCAACATCTGCCTCCTGGGTTCAAGTGATCCTCCTGCCTCAGCCTCCTGAGTAGCTGGACTACAGGCGTGCACCACCACACCCAGCTAGTTTTTGTATTTTCAGTAGAGATGGGGTTTCACCATGTTAGCCAGGCTGGTCTCGAACTCCTGACCTCAAGTGATCTGCCTGCCACGGCCTCCCAAAGTGCTGAGATAACAGGCGTGAGCCACCGCGCTCTGCCAAGACAGTGTTTTTAAACAGTAGTTATTTTAGACAACAAGAGTGAAAGGGTGATGGACACATCAAAAGGAATCACCTTCTACTAGCGCTCACAGCTGCGGCACACCTACAACAGGTTTCCTTCCTGTGGCCTAAAATCTGCAGCGCCAGACTGCTCAGAACTACTTAAGTATATATAGCCCCGGCTCCATCCTCTGACAGAAACATAACAAAACCAGATCTAACAATTATATTTTAAAACCTGACCAACAGAAATGTAAACACCTCCTAAGTATTAGATCAGAAAAAAATCTAAATGGAATAAAACTACTTAGACAATGAGAAAACACGTAAAATCTGGGTTTAGGAGTGAAGTTTACTCATGTCTTCAACTTGAGAATGTATCTCCAAAAAAGAGATGGACAGATATGTGATAAAGCAAACACAGTAAAATGTTAACAATTGTAGAGTCTACATGGTGGATATCTGGGCACTTATTGTGAAATTTTCTCACCTTTTCTGTTTGAGGTTTTTCAAAATGAAATGTTGGGAGTTTCGAAAAACAACAACAACAACAAAAAGCTGTAACAGGAAAAGTCAGTGCCTTAAGAGTTTTTATCATTAAACAATAAATACTAAAAACAAGTGAAATGACTGAACTCAGGAGGTCAGAAAAGGAAAAACAAATGATGCCCAAAGACAGTAGGAAAATAACTAATACAGAAAAACAGCACATAATCACAGACGGAATTTTTAAATTTTAAGACAAGACAACGTGCAACTAAATCTAAGGCTCTCACAGGAAAGGATCAGTTAAATGTGCCTAGATCATGTCCGAATTTTTTTTTATCACATCGAAATTTGAGTTAAAACATTTTAGTCGAAGAGGAATACTGTGCCCTTATTTATCCTAGATTTATGATTGAAATCAATTTGAAATCTGTATGAAATGAACATATTTTTAGGATAACATAAATTGGCAGAACTAAATAAGAAACAGAAGTGCCAAGGCACAAATGATCTTCAGGCCGTTCACACTGTTCTAGATGCATGTAAAAACATTTAAAGCATCTCAGTTCATATGGCACAAATCTGATACCAGAAGATGACAAATAGCAGAAAGAAGAAAACTGTCTACTTCATCTAAATAAATAGATTTTAAAGTCCTAACAGAAATGCTAGCAAATACAACCTATTAAAATAATATATTATGACCAAGAACAGCTGCTTCACAAATGTAAGGATGTCTACATCTTCAGAAATAAATAGATGAATATAATTTGCAACATCAGTAAGTACAGGAGAAAACCCATATGACCAAATCAATACTATGTCAAAAATGCATGTGAGAAAAAGTTAAATGCCCTTTCAGCGTAAGGCAAAAATAATAGGCTAGAAACAGAACAATACTTTCTTAATACAATAAAGTGTATCTACTACAAACCAATAGCAACATCATCCTTAAAAAGGAAACACTGCATATGTTGGTATACTTAACAGGGAAAAGAAGGAAGGAAGGGGAAGGGGGGAAGGGGGAAAGGGGGGGAAAGGAGGGAAGGGGGAAAGGGGGGAAGGGGGGAAGGACGGAAGGGAAAAAAAAAAAAAGGAAACATGATGTCTGCATTTCCCAAAATGCATTTAGTAGAACCCAAGCCCAATAGCTAGCCCCAATATCCTCACCTCCTAGGGATTAAAACACACATTAGCATAATATCCCATCAGAAAAGTCCTGCGGACAAGAATCCTGCTTAACTCAGCAGTTTGCAAACTCATTTAATGGTGGAACTGTTCTCTCAAGGTACACATATTAATATTCCCAAGAATGAGTGTTCCCTGGAGCACACTTTGGTAAAACTTTAGTGCAGTCATTCCCATCAGTGCCTGGGAAGATATACAAGGTTATCTGCCATCACGACTCTCACTTAACATTATTTCAGAACTTCTAGCCAAAGTAACATTAAGGCAAGTAGCCATTAAAAAAGAGACAAAATTACTATTACATGCAGATATAATATGCAAATTATTTAGAGAAAACCCAAGAGAATCACTTGGAAAATGTCAGAATAGGCATCTACTAAGTAGAGGGTTTCAAAAAATTATACATAAAAACAGGTAAGATAATGACAATAAGGTGCAACCAACAATATAGCAACAGGAACCAGAAAATACCTAGGGGTGGGGGAAGATAAGCAAAAAACAGGGTCAACAAGAAAAATACAACTCATTTTAATATGGACAAAAGCCTGTATAAATGAAGAGAGAGAACATGCTTCTGGCAGGATGATTCAATACCATAAAGAGAGACACTCTCCCCCAAAATTAATTTATAAATATAACATAGCCTGATGAAATCTTTTCTTAGAAATCCGAAAAAATGATTTTAAAATTCATCTAGAACATTGTGGTCCAACATAAATATAAGACACTGCATGTGTAATTTAATGCTTTCTAGTAGTTACATTTTTTAAAAGTTAAAAAAATAAATTGTAGTAATATTTTATATAACCCAATACATCACTGCAGCATGTAATCAATATCAGAAAGTTGAGACATTTTACATTCTTTTCACACTAAGTCTCTGAAATCTGATGTGTATTTTACACACAGCATGGCTCGGTTTGGACTAACCACATTCCATGCGCTCAACAGTCGCCTGTGGTCAGTGGCCACCAAACTGGATAGTGCAGATCTAGAATACTAAAGAAATTTTAGAAATAGACAAATACAACCAAACTTATAGATGTCAAAATGTGTGATTGGGCTATAATTCATTGGCTAAGTATGTATTAAGTGTCAGGCACTAGGGATCCATCAGTTTTAATTCTCTCATCATAAACCATGATAAAAGCTATGAGATCTTTCACGATGGGGGAGTGGTCAGAGAAGCCTATGTGAACAACTGCTATTTTAAATAAGAACTAAAGGACAAGTAAAGGTTAGTCAGATACATGTGGGCATCGGGGTGCTGCAGGGAAACTGTCCAGACAGAAGGAATCACACGTACAAAGGGTTGGGGAGGAAGGACGTGCTGGAAGTGTGTGCACAGCTGGAACAAGGCGCAAGGGGCAGGACAGAAGCCACTTGAGATTGTCAAGGTAGAAATCAGACTGAGATGGCCTCACGGGCCATTTCAAGTAAGTAAAAAGGGGAGAATTACTGAAATAGATGCTGCTTAGAGAATTTGAATTAATAATAAATTTAGATCCTTCTTCACAGCATACCCCAAAATAACCTCTAGAGGTTTTTCTAAGCACACAAAGATACCAGAACAAACGTAGTAACTACAGAAGAAATACAACTTTTATATATCTAAAAAATACTTTTCAGCAAAAAACAAAACAAAACAAAACACCGAGGTAGAAAACAATAAAAATACCTAGAACATACATAGCAGAGGCCGGGCGTGGTGGCTCACGCCTGTAATCCCAGCACTTTGGGAGGCCGGGGCGGGCAGATCACCAGGTCAGGAGATTGAGACCATCCTGGCGAACACGGTGAAACCCCATCTCTACTAAAAATACAAAAAAAAAAAAAAATTAGCCGGGCATGGTGGCGGGCGCCTGTAGTCCCAGCTACTCGGGAGGCTGAGGCAGGAGACTGGCGTGAACCTGGAGGACGGAGCTTGCAGTGAGCCAAGATCGCACCACTGCACTCCAGCCTAGGAGACAGCAAGACTCTGTCTCAAAAAAAAAAAAAAAAAAAAAAAAAGAACATACACAGCAGAGTCTCTCACAAATCAATAAAAGCCAAATGTAACAACTGAAAAACGCGACTATGTATGAACAGAGGCTTTTAAAAAGAAATAAAAATAGCCTTTACATGTAGAGAAAAAATGCTTAGGCCAGGCACAGTGGCTCACACCTGTAATCTCAGCACTTTGGGAGGCTGAGGCGGGTGAAATCACCTGCGGTCAGGAGTTCCAGAACAGCCTGATCGACCTGGTGCAACCCTGTCTCTACTAAAAATACAAAAATTAGCTGGGCGTGGTGGCGGGAGCCTGTAATTCCAGCTACTCGGGAGGCCGAGGCAGGAGAATCGCTTGAACCCGGGAGGCGGAGGTTGCAGTGAGCCGAGATCGCACCATTGCACTCCAGCCTGGGCGACAGAGCAAGACTCCGTCTCAAAAAAAGAAAAGAAAAAAAATGCTTAACAACTTCATCAGTAAACAAACATCAATATGAGGCCAGGAACGGTGGTTCATGCCTGTAATCCCAGCACTTTGGGAGGCCGAGTTAGGCGTATCGTTTGAGCTCAGGAGTTCGAGACCAGCCTGGCCAACGTGGTGAAACCCTGTCTCTACTAAAAATACAAAAATTAGTCAGGCAAGATGGTGGGCGCCTGTAGTCCCAGGTACTCGGGGGGCTGAGGTGGGAGCATGGCTTGAGTCCTGGAGGTCAAGGTTACAATGAGCTGAGATTGTGCCACTACCCTCCAGCCTGGGTGATAGAGTGAGACATTGTCTCAAAAATAAATAAATGCATAAACATGAGACAAAATACTTCTTTCTCAAATTGGCAAAACTTATAAAAATGCAACTCAGCTGGCACCTAACAAATAGGCAAATGTTACCTACTCATCATAGCATTCTCATGACACGGGGTGCGTAAATAGTGACTTTTGGAATGCAAGGACAAAAGGAAGGTGGGTTCAGGCTTTTTAAAGGTGTGGACTGCAGGGCAAAAACCAGTACAGAAAGGAATGCAACAGAGCATTTCTGAAATAGAATGTACAACTGAAAGCGGCTTCCCAATGAGGCTTCCCCCTCCTGTTTTTTCCTTAACTACTTCTCAGAAGAAAGGTGGAGAACTACACTTGAAAGATAATCACTGAGAAAAACGGAACGCCATGATTAACACCTAAGAGTGGGATTCCATTTTTCTGCAATATGAGAAAGGAAGTGCTTTGCTCTCCTCTCCCTTACATTAACACTTCCTTTCCACAGTGACAATGAGATTCAAAGATTCCCCCCTAGAGCTGCTAACAAGCCACACTCTTGAACAAGAAGCTTCTAAATGACTGGCACATAGTGAACTTACAGTTAATTTCAGTCTGAGCCATATGACCAGACTAAAGGAAGAGAAACTCATCATCGATCACAAGTTCTACACTCCATGTGTAGATTTATCAGGTCCAGTGATCCCAGGATAGAGGAGGTCAGAGCCTCTTACGTAGGCACAATTCAAGTTCAAATATGATCCTCTATCCCTCTGTACTAGCAGCTTTACAACATGGGCTACTCACTGGTTTCTTGAAGCTCTTGATTTTCTCCCCTGTGTGGAATGTCAGTGGGCCTACACCTAAGTTAGATCAATTTTGAATTACATTTTCTTAGAGACAGGATCTCACTCTGTCACCCAGGCTGGAGTAGAGTGGCAAAATCTTGGCTCACTGCAGCCTCAACCTCCTAGGCCCAAGCTATCCTCCCTATAGCTATAGCTCCCTATAGACTATAGGCACGCACCACCGTGCCCAGCTTTTAAAAAAGTTTTTTGTAGGCCGGGCGCGGTGGCTCACGCCTGTAATCCCAGCACTTTGGGAGGCCGAGGCGGGTGGAGCACCTCAGGTTGGGAGGTCGAGACCAGCCTGGCCAACATGGCAAAACCCCGTCTCTACTGAAAATACAAAAAAAAATTAGGCGGGCATGGTAGCAGGCGTCTGTAATCCCAGCTACTCGGGAGGCTGAGTATCGCTTGAACCCGGGAGGCGGAAGTTGCAGTGAGCCGAGATCGTGCCATTGTACTCCAGCCTGGGCAACAAGAGCGAATCTCCATTTCAAAAAAAAAAAAAAATTTGTAGAGACAGGGTCTCACTATGTTGCCCAGGCTGGTCTCGAATTCTTGGCCTCAAGGGATCCTCCCACCTCAGCATCCCAAAGTCCTGGAATTACAGACATGAGCCACTGCACCTGGCCAATTTTTAATTAATTTTATCTTTAAAATACAATATATGCATATGGTAGAACTTCAGATCACAGAACAGAAATAATAAAACTTTCCCCCAGCCCCTCTTCCCAAAGATAATCACTGGTAGGAGTTTTGGGGTATTCTTTCAGAGAAAATTTTCAACATCTATCAGCATAAACTGTTCTGTACCCTACTTTAAAGAAATCTATTTAATATAGCTTAAAATCTTTCCGCCTGTAATCTCAGCACTTTGGGAGGCCGAGGTGGGCAGATCACATGGTCAAGAGATCAAGATTACTAAAAATACAAAAATTAGCTGGGTGTGGTGGCACGCGCCTGTAATTCCAGCTACTCGGGAGGCTGAGGAAGGAGAATTGCTTGAACCTGGGAGGGGGAGGTTGCAGTGAGCCGAGATCGCGCCACTGCACTCCAGCCTGGCGACAGAGCGAGACTCCATCTCAAAAAAAAAAAAAAAGAAAAAAAATCTTTCCATAGCAGCACATACACGCTGACCTATTTTTTTCTAACTTCATAGTATTCCATGGATGGCTATATCACAACGTACTTAACCAGTTCCCAGTTGATACTAAGAAAGCCATTACAAACACAGAATGTCACCCCCACTCCACACACACACACACACACACACACACACACACCCCCCTCACTTACATCTTGGCTTTCTTATGTAAGTAAATCTGTAGCCTCAACTTCTAGCAGAATTGTGGTAAATTTTTCATTTCAGTTGATAATGCCAAATTACCCTCTAAGAGGTAGCAGCAATTATCTGTTCACAGGGAAGGGCCTCCTTCCCCATAGTGGCCAGCAATGGGTATCGAACCCTTTCACTTTTTCAGCCAAACTGATAGGTGAAAGATGTACCTCATTGTTTTGATGTGCTGCTTTTTTTTTTTTGAGACAGAGTCTCACTCTGTGGCCCAGGCTGGAGTGCAGTGGTGCAACCTCCACTCAAGGCAACCTCCGCCTCCCAGGCTCAAGTGATTCTCTTGCCTCAGCCTCCCTAGTAACTCAGGCCACAGGTGCAAGCCACCACGCTTGGCTAATTTTTGTATTTTTAGTAGAGACGGGGTTTCACCATGTTGGCCAGGCTGTTCTTGAACTCCTGACCTCAGATGATCCACCCACCTCGGCCTCCCAAAGTGCTGGGATTACAGGCGTGAGCCACTGCGCCCGGCTGCATTTGTTTAATTATAAATGAGGTTGATATCTTTTCTCATGTTTAATGGCAATTTGTCTAAGTTTGTCTTTGAACTGCCTACTCATATCCTTTGCCCTTATTTGCCTTTTTTATTGATTTGTCAGAGCTCTTCGCAAATTAAGGAAATTAGCCTTTTGTCATGCGCTGCAAGTATTAGATTTAATTGCAATCACTAAATGGCACACTGACTGGGAATTTAAATTATTTTTCCTACATTTATAGGAAATATTCACTCAATATCAATCTCTTACATACAGAAAACCAAAGGGAATTCAAAGATGAATACAAGTCCCAGTCTTGCAGTTTGATAGAGGCTTAATGCAGATTCCTCCCCACTCAGAGAGAGATGGGAATGGAATTCATTTTTGATAATGCAGAGTAGTGATTTATATTAGTTTTTCATTTAGATTAAGTTTGCAGCTGCCTCAGAAAACAAAAATGAATTTGATTATTCCACTCACTAAAACCATCAGAACCAGAACTCTTTAATTCAGGAGATTAATCATAGGTGTTTCTGTCACATTATTCTAGGCAAAAAAACCACACCCAAATTAGACATTTACACTGCTATTATTTTAATTTAAAAAACAAGCACATACAAGCTGGATTTATTTTCAGTATCGATACGTATTTTAACAAAAATTCTGTTTTTGTTTATAAAAACTATACTCTGGAAAAAGAATGTGAGATACTTCTTTTAAAAAATACACATGGATAGAACTTTGTTGAAATGGTTTTTTGGTAAGTTCAAAATTGTCACCTCCTCAACTTCTTCACAGGTCTCTTCTGTTCACTCAATCAATGGAAAGACAATCTTTCTGCTCTTTCAATTTCTTTAATTTCTTACTTCCAAAATCTTACTTTCTTACAAAGAAAGAGAATAATTTCACACCTGTGGAATAGCTTTCACCTCACACACAGCCTCTGCCGTGACCACACAAGGCCACCACTGGTCTCCCAGGTAGCTTCTGGGAAGGACCACCTCTGATGTGGGCAGGACCGACATTCTCCTACTTCCAGGCACCCAGCCGCCCCCACACCAGCCTGGGCTGCTGTGAAAGGGGATGACTGCCCCTGCTGCCACACCCCTCAGCCTCCCCCTCTACTTGGCAGAGTCACTCCACCACCGTCATCATCCGTGACCAGCTTTTATTGAATGTGTAATACATGCCAGGCATGTCGTAAGTAAGGCTTAGGACGCAGTATGTCTCTGAATCCTCCCAACCTGCCCCTTAAGGCAGGTACAATGACTCCCATTTTAAAGATGAGGAAACCAAGGATCCAAGCAGCTGACTTTCCCAGGACCCTTCTGAAGTGTGCGTATCTAGGTCCCTATACAACAACCCCTTATCCCTAGCGAGCTGGACCTGTGTTACATTCCTGCCCTAGGACAGTGTCAAGGAAAGGGATGGAGATGGGGTGGGGGGTGGGGGTGGGCAAACATCCTCCCTATTGCTGCCCAGAATAGAGAAGGGCAAATGAGGGCATTTTAGTAATATCCATCAAGATTACATCTGCATATTCGCTGTGACCAAGCAATTTCAGCTGTAGGAGTTTAGTGAAGCACCCTCTTTGTAGAGCAAAATCTCCCTCTTTTCTAGACCAGAATCACTAGCAGAAGGGTTATGAGGAGAAGAATGTTCCAGGTGGGCCCCGCGGCCACCGTGTATCATGCCCTCCATATTCACAGCTTTGATCCCCCTTTCCTCCTCAGAGCCCCGGACCCTGGCTCACTCTACTTGCTTTAAATAAAAAGCTATCTTTACATGCGAAAGCCTCAATTAATTAGAAACCACAGATCTAGGGCTCAAGTAAACCGGTCCTTTTGGTGTTTGAAGGTGAAAGTCACAGAGAGCAGATGCTGCCAAGAAGACACAGGGTTCAGCCCAAGTTCAACAGAATTCAAAGCAGCATTGAGACCGGCGCCCTGAAAGCAACAGCAAACTGTGAGGGGCCCTCCAGGACTGACCAAGCAGTGACGAAGCCAAGTCTGAAAGCACCAGAGGACGGCAGACATGGAAGCCACACTGCAAAGGTGAGCACAGCTGAAGGCGAGCAGCTTTGGGAGAAATGAACACACGCTGTGGAGTGATGGCCGGCTGGGCAACCAGAGCAGGAGGACACTCACACAGTGAGGCACTGTGGGTACAAGCCACAGGGAGAGCGGCACTGCCTGGAAATGACCGCACGAGCCATCCTGGGACACTCCTCCCACAGACCTGAAGTCCAAAGCCAAAGCGGGGGCTCTGGAAATAAGCAGGCATGGATGCGCTGAAAAGAAAATTAAGGTCTGATGCGAGACCATATGACGACAGGCTTGGTAAGTAATGCTGCTTGACATCTTCGCAAGATCCCACTCAAAAAAGCTACAGAATCCATCACTGCGCCCATGCATCAGGACAGCAAGAGGCTGCTCTGCAACAACACACAAGGGAGAGACACCCCCCAATCCAGGTTAACGCATTTTACCCAAAGGGGCTTAAGAACAAAAAGCCACTCGACAAAAACAGGAAGAGCAAGCGACCATCATGTCACATTCACGGCTGAGGCTGAGAAGGGTGAACAGAAACCAGTAACTCAAGCCCCTGCTCTTCCATTCAGCTCCCCACCCTCACTGAGTTAGTAAAAGAGGCAAAAAGGCAATAACTGCCCTTATATGTAACATTAGAGGGTCACATAAAATACCGTGGCCCACCAATGGCAAACACAGCTCCTTTGAATTTTCAAAGGTGTCACATGTCAACCAATTTCTTATAAAGCACCAAGGAATGTATGGAGGATCTTATTACTTTCCATTTAATGCCACTCTATTCCTATGCCAGTATTTTAAAAAGACTTATCACCAAAAAAAAAAAAACAAAAAAATGAAAGACAACATGGGTGAATTTATTTATAACACTGACACAAAGGCCTTTCCAAGCATGACATAAATCTCAGACGCCACAAAGGCAAAGACAAATACATTCGACAACGTAAAAGTACATGACAAAAAAAATACCCCTTTTCGCCAAAAGCCAAAAGATAAATGATATATTGAGGAAAAATATATGCATATTTGACAAAGAACTACTTTCCAAATTCCTTAATTTACAAATCAAATTAGGTGACATACACAAAAAAAACCCCTATGGGAGAATGGGCAAAGGATACAAACAGCTCAAAAAAAAAAAAAAAAGAAAAATGACAAAAAAAGAAGCAAAGATGCTAAAATTTACTTCTGATTAAAGACGTTTGAAATACAAAAAGAAAAAATAATGAGATACCATTTTTAACCCATCAGCCTTGCACACAGTTTAAAAGAGCTGGCAAGTGTAGTCCTCAGGAATGAATAATTTGGTAATATCTATCAAAATGTAAAAGGCATTTACCTTTTGGTCCACAAGTAACGGGGAGGAATTAAGCCTACTAATATATAGGACCTACAAAAGTGTAAGAGAGACATATGAGAACAACCACTAAGAATTTTTCTTTGCTATAGCAAAAAAAAAAAAAAAAAGGAACCCCCAAAGGAAACTGGTTTCAAAAAATATAATCAACAATGAAATACTACGCAGCTATTAAGAAGAGTGGGTAGATCTGTATGCTTTGATATGGAAGGAGTGCTAAGATTTAGCCAAAAACAGCAAGATGTAGACTAATATGTATGCATATATGTCATTCCCTTCATGTACGTTTTGTAAAGGAATTATATTACGTTGCTTGCTGTATCCATTTTGGAAGGAACCACGTGGTACTATTAATGGTGGTCACTGTGGGGAAGGACTAAGGAGAGGGAAGGGAAACAGACTTTATTTTATACCTTTGCATTTAAAAAATCACATAACTATTATTCTCACTAAAATTTTTTTTTAAGCCATGTAGGTTAGTACCTACAAATATATAATTTTTTAAACCAAGGAATCTAGAGTAGAAAGATGGGCTGCAAATGGATAATTATTACATCAAGCAGACAGTTATAAAGGCAGAAACGAAGAACTACAAGGAACAATACAAGGCTGATTACTTTTGACCAAAAAGATTTTTAAAAAATCAAAATAGAACAAAAGAAAACTTCATGGAGGAAGATATTTTTGAACAAGGCCTTGCATTTCAAAGGGAAAAAAAAGAACACTCCAGACAGAAGGAAAAGCAGGAACAGGGCACAGGGGAATGCAAACAGCGTCTGGGGTAGAGCAGGCAGCATGCAGTGGCCCCAGCTCAGGGACAAGGAAGGCCATGGAAGGAGAAGGCCACAGTCAGAAGGTGGAGGGCCTTGAATACTCAGAGAACTCAAACAGAATTCTGGCGGCAGCACCTGGAGACTGAGGCATGGTGTCTACTCGGAGGCCACGTAGCTCAGCCAGGACAAGCTGGGCTCAGGTTTTTCACGGGGTCGTGGGAAATATGGGGCTGGAGCTAGAGAGAAATATTAGACCCGAAGATACTGATTTGGGAGTGACTGTGTACTGACTGAGGATCGTTTTGGTAAAATGAGGTTACTCGGGGAGGGAAAAAAAAAAGAGAGAAGGCTGAGAATAGAAAGGGTGTTTGCTCCTAGAAAAGAGGAATGGAAACACAGCACCTGATGAAGGGGGTAACATCCTCACCTAGCCCTCTCCTCAAGCCTTTCCACTGACTAGTTTTGTTTTTGTTTTGTTTTGAGACAGAGTCTTGCTCTGTGCCCAGGCTGGAGTGCAGTGGTGCAATCTCGGCTCACTGTAACCTCCGCCACCCAGGTTCAAGTGATTCTCATGCCTCAGCCTCCTGAGTAGCTGGGATTACAGGCATGTGCCACCACATTCAGCTAATTTTTGTGTTTTTAGTAGAGACAGGGTTTTACCATGTTGACCAGTCTGGTCTCGAACTCCTGGCCTCAAGGGATCCGCCTGCCTCAGCCTCCCAAAGTGCTGGGATTACAGGAATGAGCTACTGCGCCCGGCCCCATTGGCTAGTATCTTTAAGTAAAATTCTGCACCACGTATTCTGTTAAGCTGTGAGGAAATGCAACAATGGAAAACTAATGACATCCTCTCACACTGCTGACCCATTCTGCAGAGAACCTAAAAATAAGAAGGGACTCTCAGATGCCATCTGGGCAAAACACCCACCTGGGCCTTAAAATCTCCTCTACAACTTTCTTGGATAAAGCCTTGGAACTGTCTCCACATATCAACAACCAGAACAAAAGTAAAAATGTAAAAGCTGAACAATTAGAAATGTGCTGATTCTGTGAGACTCCTCACTGCTGAGCTTCCACTCCTGGCGGTGAGCTCTCTGAGGGCAGGGACTGCGTGCCCAGAGCCCAGCAGTGTGTCTGGGGCAGAGAGGCTCTCAGTACATGTCAACTAAAACAAGCTGGTGGCTCAAGATCCATGGACTGCCACTACAGCCGCACCCTCAGCTCTGAACTTTTCCTTCTGGAGACCCCAGAGATGCGGGATCGTCTCTGCCCACAGCAAAATCTAGCACGGTGGCTTATTCCAACCTAACCCATAAACAGTCTAATTTGCTCCACAAGATGCTACACTTTGTTTAAAAATATCCAGTTACACTTCCAAGAAAAGAAAGGAAAGTTACAAATTTGGAAGTTGTTTAAGGCACCAGGAGGTACCCATTATTCTCAATCAAGATGCTCATGATTCCAAACCCAGATTTGCACCTGCTGGCTTCAGTCATTTGCTGATACCTGAGACACAGCTCAAA
Organism: Homo sapiens; assembly: GCF_000001405.40. Classification (NCBI taxonomy): domain Eukaryota; kingdom Metazoa; phylum Chordata; class Mammalia; order Primates; family Hominidae; genus Homo; species Homo sapiens. The sequence goes on along the minus strand of NC_000009.12, from coordinate 126,864,940 downwards.
CGAGGCTTTCTCTGGCAGGCACTGGAAACCTGAAGATCCCTAATTTTCATTTTCATACAAAGTCATTAAAAAGACCACAGACTGAAGCACCGCAGACAAAAGGCATGGTAACAGAAGTAACAATTATATAAAAATAACTTTTCTAGGTATTTCTGCCTGGGTCTAGATTAAAACCAAAATTGAGCTGTCATGAGCTACAATCTAATCTTTTAGAAAGCAGCAGTCAAATAACACCAGGGCTGTGTGAAACATTCTGGTGCTACTGAAACCCAATGCAAGAAAAAAAAAATAAATAAAATGGCATTCTGTGATGGATATTCATGAAGCACTCATCCTAATTTAAAAGAAAACAAGTTTAGAGTTCTTACTGCATTAATTCATGTGAGCCTGAAAGAACATTTTTATCCAAACTGTTACATTTCCTACCAAGGCGTTAACATTCTCCAGGTCTGCTCAGATACACTAATTCCAAGAGGGTGCGATTTGTCTTTTAGTCAATGCAAAACATCATCAGAAGCTTCTTCTGAGCTTTCCAAGCAGGAGAGGAATGGCCTCTTTAATTTTACTAGCAATGACAAGGACTAACGGTCAGTAGGCTCCTACTGTGTACAGTATGGTAAGTAAGCTCTTAGACGACACTAAGAGGCTGCAGTTATCCCCATTCTACAGACGAGGAAGCAAACCCAGAGAGGCTGAGAAACTTACCCAAGGTCACTCAGCTAATGACTGGCTGAGCCAGGATTTGGACCTAGATTTGTCAGTCTCAGACTCAGAACTCTTATCTCTTATAAGAGTAAGATTTTAATCCAGGCATACTGGTGAGATGCAGGATTTTTATTGGTGCTGGATTCTTACTGATCAACTCCGAGTAGAAAGAGAATTCTCATTTAAGGATGTTCCACCACACAGACAAAGTCAGGCTGGGTCTGACACTGTGATGATTAAGGGGTCACAATATGTTGTACTTCAAGTGGTTTGCAGTCATTTCTTTGCAAAATGTCCCTTATTTTTACTTCTGTCAGTGAAGTAGGAAAAAAGATGTTTCATATTTTAATCATTAATTGAGAGGATTTGTTTCAGATAAAATAAGCTTTCTTAAGGCAAATAACTAAAAAATAGTAAGGCACAGCATCTTATCTGCTTACTGCTGGCTAGCATTTCAGGGGCACTGGCCCTGGAAAATACATTAAGTCCTGCCTCTTATGACAAAAGGATTAGAAAAGCTCACCTTGACTTGCATTCTTCCATGAGGTTTTCCTTGCCATCAACATCAACCAGAAAATAACCATTAGAAATTTAACTGCGTTCAGTTGATGACCTTCACTAAGCTAAATTCAGCAGTTTGTCAGCTACAAAACATTAAATAGACACAATTAAGAAGTTTGAAAAACATTAAGCAGAATTTAAACTAAAGTAACATGAACATTAACGGGAATAAAACGTAACTAGATTCATGGTACTGACATTTTAGACAAGTGCTTCAAATGGAAGGCAAAAGTGGGGGGACACAGCGGTGCAGAAATCCAAAACTCAGTAGGTACACAGTTCAGCAGCTTATCATTTCTCCACCTTGATAAATGTACACCCAATAATGACAATAACAATAATGAAAATGTACTAAGCAGTTACTAGGTGCTGCACATTTTTCTACTTCGTTCCATTTTCGTTTACAGTTCATTGGATTTTATTATCCTCCACACTGCAAATAAGAAACGGAGGCTCAGAGGCATTAGATAAATTGCTCAACTTCACAGAGCTGGTAAGCAGACTTGCTAGGATTCAAACCCAGGTCTCTGATTCCAAAGCTGCTGTTCTTTCCCCACAGCCTCCGAATGAAGAATCACATGACTTTTACCTTTTCCCATGATCAGAGGGAAACGTTTCAAAGTTTCAAAGATTCGTTTTGTGCTTTCTGCACCCTAAGAGAGCAAGCTGAAAACATCCACCTTGAATGGTAGCATTACATATCACTTATCTATGACACAGAAAGCTGATAAAAACAGATTCTCCTTAAAAAAAAAAAAAGGCAAATTACAAAACAAAACAAAAAGTTGTTTACCAACAAAAATCAGGAAGTATTTGAGTACCTATTATAGAAGTCCAGCCCCAGTATTAGATACTATAAGGTCTCCGAGAGGAGTATTAAGACACAATGCCCTTAAAAAAACTCCCACTCCAGTTGGGACAAGAACAAGTTCAACAGCCAAGGAACAAGTGCTGAATCCGAGTGCCACAAAGCCATGGGGGCAGGGAAGTCAGGGAACACCCTCTGGAGGAAGTATATCTGCAGCAGGGGCTTGAAGGAAGTGAAATGGAGAATTTGCACAGAAAAGAAAAAGGAGGCCAGTGCTTCAGAAGGGGGAACAACAGAAGCAAAACCCAAGAAGCCGTAACTAACTCAGTTCTGCAGGGGACAGACTTGGAGAAGCAGAGAATAAGGTTCAGGTAGGTGGGGTGGGGCCAAACCACGGAGAGTCTTGAAAAGACAGGGTGGGCGGTGGCTGGACATACCGTGGCAGGCAAGAGGCCACTACTCAGCTTTGAACAGTGGTATAACTGCCGTGGCCTCTTAACTGATCTCCTGGCCTCTAGCTTCTTCACCAATGCCTTCAGTAGTTTCAACTTTGACCTAGTGTTTGAGTTGAGGAACTAGCCGCGGCCCACCTCTCCTCCTACTTCCCTCCTATATGAACCCTTCTCTGCCAGGAGACTGGTCTATTCACTAACTCCATAGGATCACTGGGCCTGATTCCTCTTTTCCTATCTGAATGCTACTCATCCTTTAACACCCGGCTCAAATCCCGCCCCTCACTAAACCCTCCCTAACCACTCGGCCTACAGTGACCTCCATCTCTCCTTCTTAATTCTACAGCACACAGCCTTGTCTCATCAAAATTACCTTTTCATAAGTAATGTCTCAGCACCCTGTGTAAAGCTGCCTGGAGACTGTAAGTGTGCCTTCTACTACTTTCCCACCACATGGAACAGCATCTTGCCATTTAATAAGCAAGCAAGCACTCAACTATTTTTTGACTTCCTATAGTAAGTTTGGCTTTAGCATAAAGGAAGGATGGGGGAGGGGGGAACCTCTGGAGTCAGCGACCAGCTTAGAAGCTGTTGCAATAATCCAGATGTGAAGCAAAGAGGGCCTGGACTAGGGAACAAAGAGAAAATGGGCAAATATAAACAACAAAAAATTCTGCATGCAAAAACTCGGCGGAATGTGATTAACTACTACTAGGGACAAAAGCAAGGGATGAATGAGGATTAAGGTGAGGTTTAGAAAACGCTTCTTGAAATCATTTTAAAGCCTGTCTGAAACAAAATGCAGTAAGTGGCTTAAAAAGTCCACACTGACAAAGTCTTCAGCGAAACTGCCCAGTATCTTGAATCAGGGACAGCCCTTCCAATTTGAGACATACACGGAATGGCAGAGCCAGAAGGGTTCTTAGAGAGTTAAATGAAACCCTCAATGATCACATGGGGAAACTGAGTCCTAGCATGGAAGGGGCTTGCGGAAGGCCTCAAGACAGAGACTCCCAGACGAGTGCCGCCCTGAAAGCACAGCCACTTGGCCTAGAAGGGCACTGTTTACAACCCCGGTCAGCCCCAGCCCAGCCCTCCGCAATGGCAGGACCAACTGAGCGCGAGTGGCCACGGAGACGTCTGGGGCCAAGCGCAACCCGTCGCCGCCGCCTGTTTACCTGGAGGAAGGCGGTGGCGTGAGGCAGCGGCTCCGTGGCAGCCACCCGAAGGGCCGACCCCTGGCCCGGCCGGCTCTCCAGGGAACTCAACCATCTGCCCTCCCTCCCCGTACAAAAGGGAGCGCCCCCAGGGCTAGGGGCCCGGAAGCTGGGGATCCCGAGACGCCCCGGGCGGAGGCTGGGAGCCCAGGGCAGCTGCCCGAGCGCGACCCTCAGCCGGGCCAGCGGCGCCGGGACTCCAGGACCGAGCACAGCTGGCCCCTCGGGGACGCGCGCCTGACCCCAGCAGGTGCCCGGGGCCTCCGGACCCCGCCCGGCCTCGGCTCCCGCCCGCGCCGGCCGCCTGCCCGCGGGACTGACCAGGCGCGGAGGCTCCCGCCCCGCCGCGCCCAGAGGGAGCCGGACAGCGGCCCGGGGACTGCCCCCCGCCCCGCCTGCCCCGCCTGCCCCGCCCGCGCCTAGCCCGCTGCTCGCCGCCCCCGGCCAGCGTGCCTCACCTGTCCAGAGCGCCGCGCTCACATCGCCCGCCCGCGGCGCCCCCTCCGCCGCCGCCGGCGCCAGGCCAGTCCCCGCCGCTCCGGCTGCCGCCCCAGCCCGCGCCCCCCGCCCCCGGAAGCGCTTCCCGGCCCCGCCCCCTGGACGCCCGCGCTTCCGGGCAGGCGCCAACCCGGGTGGTGGCGTTGCGCGGCGGACCTCTAGCCAGGGCCCGGGGTCCTGAGTCCCGCCCGGTTGTCGTCCCAGAGCCTCGCCGCGGGCTAGCGGCAGCCTTGGTCTGGACCCCGGAGTCCCGACTCCGGGAAGCGGCGTCGGCTCTGCCTTCAGCCCGCGCTCTCCTCGGCGCCCCCTGCTGGCGGGAGAAGGGCGGTGCAGTGGGGCGCGTTTCAGGGGCTCCCGGAATCGAACGGGTGGGAGAGAGCCCAGGACCCTCGACCCCCCCAGCACTGGGGGGCCTGCCCCCAGCCCAGCCCTCCCTTCCAAGACCCTCCCTCCTGCATCTCTTCAGGCGCATGCCACGCACCCGAGCTGCTCCTGGCAGGGCAGCTGAAGGCAGCAAGGTGCAGTGGTTAGCAGCAGGGCTCTGGGGACCTGTCATAGGGGGTCTCTTGACTTACCACCTTGGGCAGGTTTTCTCTCTCTCAAAACGGAGGTGGCTCCCGCCTGTAATCCCAGCACTTTGGGAGGGCGAGGCGGGAGGATCACTTGATCCTAGGAGTTTGAGACCAGCCTGGGCAACATAGGGAGGCCCCATTTAAATTTTTAAAACTTAGCCAGGCTTGGTGGCACATGCCTGTAGTTCCAGCTATTGGGGAGGCTGAGGTGGGAGGGTCGCTTGAGTCCGGGAGGTCGAGGCTGCGATGAGCCATGATCGTGTCACTGTACTTCAGCAGTGGTGAAAGAGCAAGACCCTGTCTCAAAAACAAAACGGAGGTGAAAATTCCCAACTCACTGTTATAAAACCCATGTCACAGAGCATGCCTCAAAAAATGTGCATTTCCAGACCCTTGGGGACACCCCAGTCTTCAAACCGTTGGGTGGGAGTGGGAGCCTCACCCAGCGTTTTCCTCCCAGCATTAGACCAATGTAACACTCTTTGAAGAGCTTCCCTTTGCATTTTGGTGGAGTCAGTAGTTGTGGCAGAGGTTTATTTTCCTTTTTCTGGCTTTGTAATAAAAATAAACTAGGAGGCAAAGATACCAGCTCCTCTTCAGGATAGAAAGCTGCTGAGACTTCCTGATGTTACTTCATCCTTTGCAAGCAGGAACTGTCTCTCCAGGATCTGTCCAGTGGTCATCCTCCAATAGCAACAGCTACCCTTTGTCAAACACTCCATGCAGGGCACTGTGTAGACACTTGACAGCCATGACCTCATTTAACACAACCTAAGGAGGTGGCGATCTATTCCCATTTTAATCCAAGAGGGAACTGAGGCTCAGAGAGGTTGAGTGACTTATCCAAAGTCACACAGCTAGTAAATGGCAGACTTGGGATGAACTCCCTTGTCTCTCTGACTTCTTATAGCAACAGAACATCCAAGCATAGGATTTTAGGCAACCTGCCTATAACTGCAGGCACCTGGGCAGACAGGTAGTCTCGCTCTTGAATTGCTATTGCACTTGAGTTGTTTTCTTGAGATCTGTCCCCAAGGGTGAGATACGTGTGCACCCAGGGCACAGGAATACATCATCTTGTCAGGTTTCCTCCGGACTGCTGAGCTGATTCTTATGCCCAGAGGTTTTCCTACAGATCAGCCTTGGGCCTCATCATTTTAACTGATTTTTGCTAAATTCGTTGATAAGAGTTAGGGTCTTCTTGGCTGTGACACAATATTTGCATATCATTAAGTACTATAAAGACTAAAATAGTTCCTGAGTTTTTGACCCTCCTCTGCCAAGTGTCTCAAAGTTGTTGGCCCTCTGTCTGTCCATTGGATGCTGGGTATTTCCCTCATAGTTTATATTTACTCTCCCACCTAACTGGGTCACCAAACTCATCATTTATATATTTTTCCAGCCCCTTGCTTTTTTCGTTCTTGTTGTTTAGCTGATTGTCATGGTCTCTACTAATTTTAGTTAAAAAACTGTCACTCCTCCACAGTTGAGGTGCATATGTGTTTCTGTTTTCCCATAATCTTTGTGGCAGTTTTAAATGATTTAACTCGTTAGCTCCCTTGAAATCAAGAAGTCTAGGGAGTGATGTACAAGTCTCATTTTAATTTATTCCACACTTACCCATTTTCCTCAGCAGCATTTATGAAATGATCCAATTCACATTTTGTTGAAGTTTGGGGTTGCCCTTCAATCCACAGTTAAGAAGGAGTTTTCTGGCCAGGTGGGGTGGCTCATGCCTGTAATCCCAAACACTTTGGGAGGTTGAGACAGGAGGATCACTTGAGTCCAGGAGTGTGAGACCAGCCTGGGCAATATAGTGAAACCTCATCTCTACAAAAAAGAAAAAAAAAAAAGCTGAGTGTGGTGCCACGTGGCTGTGGTCTCGGCTACTTGGGAGGCTGAGGTGGAGGATCGCGTGAGCCCTGGAGGTCAAGGCTGCAGTGAGCCATGATCACCACACTGCACTCCCGCCTGGGCATCAGTGTAAGACCCTCTCTTAAAAAAAAAAAAAAAGGTGTGGGGCTTCCCATCGTGGGGGTCAGCCTATGTGAGGGTGATGGCTGATAGCTTACCAATACTTGTGTTCTGCCTTTTCTTCTTCCACAGCACATGGCTAAAACACATCTCCAGCCTCCTCGCCATGTCATGTGTTAATTGAGGTAGCCTGTGAAGTGCTTGGCATGTGTGAGTCTGCCGTAAAAGTTAATTCCCTTCCCATTCTTTCCTCTTCTCCCCCTCCTTGGACAGATACGGCCTGAATCTCCGCTTCTCATTGATTCCAGATTCCTGAGCACTTGGAGAGCCAAGATAGCCAGGTTATAACTGGTCCCAGCTTCTCCTTCTGGCCTCCACAAGGGACCCTTTCTGCCAGAAGTCCAGCTGCAGGACTTGGCTCTGGTCCACCTGGCAATCCTCAGAGTTTGGCAAAACCTGTTGACTGTTGGCACCTGTTAGTCTTTATACACACACATAACTCATGTGTCTCCCTTAAACAAAATATATGAATTATTTGCGGTTTCCTCATTCTTCCTCCTCTAATCAGGACCCACTAGTGTGTCCCTTCCACATGCCTCACTACCTGAACAGTACCGTCGAAGGGGGAGCCTGTCTCTCCAAACAGTCCCAAGATGTCCACTGACTTCCAGATCATTCCAGTAGGTCAGGGTTCCTTCTACCTGGCTGCCTCTGCAGAGGAGGGTGAACATTCCTCATGGGTCAGGGAGAGCACTTCCTTGGAGAACCCTCAGACACTCACCACCTTTACAATGGGGACCAGGTAGTTGGTTTACCCCTCGGAGCTTCTCTTCTTCACCTGTTAGATGATGGTGAGGCTGAGGGGTGTGATCTGAAGAGCTTCTTTTCCGTGATCAAGACCGGGCAGTAGAGAATCCTGTGGCTAAGCAATAAGGCAGATCCAGGTCTAAACCCCAGCTCAGCCACACAAGACCTCTGTGACCTGAGATGGGGCAAGACATTTGACCCTACTGAGCCTTGGCCTCCTTGTCTGTGTAGCAACGGGGATGGTACCTACCTCAGTGGGCAAATAAGATAATAATTTAATGTTTTCAGAATGGCATACTCAATAAATATTTTTGATCAGCAAGAAAGCAAGGGAAGGCCGGGTGCAGTGGCTCACGCCTGTAATCCCAGCACTTTGGGAGGCTGAGGTGGGAGGATTGCTTGAGCACAGGAGCTCAAGACCAGCCTGGGCAACATGGCAAGACCCCTTCTCTACAAAAATTAGTCAGGCATGGTGGTGTGCACCTACAGGCTTAGCTACTCTGGGATGCTGAGATGGGAGGTGGGAAGATCACTTGAGCCTGGGAGATTGAGGCTACAGTAAGCTCTGATGGCACCGCCGCATTCCAGCTTGGGCAACAGAGTAAGACCCTGTCTCAAAAAAAAAAAAAAAGAAAGGAAGAAAGGAAAGGAAAAAGGAAAGGAGGAAGGGAAGGAAGGAAAGGGAGGAAAGAAAGGGAGAAAGGATGGTCTCAAGAGCCGCCACCCATTTCCATGAGGCCACTCCTCACTTCCTGCAGAGATGACTTGCTCTCTACTCTCCGCCTGCCTCCCCTGTTCAGCTTCCATGCAGGTCCTGCCTCTCTCTGACCTGAGCCCTGCTGACACCCGCTGGGCCCAGGTGCTGCCTCTGGAGTTCTTCCCCTCTGTAATTTTCTTCTTGGTCTGCGCCCTCCTGGTTTCCTGCTGGTTCTCCAGCACTCTTAACTGACTCTCCTGGCACTCTGCACTTCTTTGTAGTAATCACAATGGCAATTAATTACCTGTATAATTATGTGTTTAATAGCTGTGTCTCCTACCACTAGCCTGTAAACTCCATGAGGATGAGAACTTGTCTGACTTCTTCCCTGCTATTTCTTCAGTGCTTGATACTTAATAAATATTTTTTGGATTAACAGAAAATGAGAGGCTACCTGTTTTTCTTCTAAGTCTATATTCCCTGAGGGCAAGGACTGCTTTATTGTTCCATTTTCCCTGTACCTTACAGAGAACCTGGTGCTGAATGGGCAACAACGTTTGCTGAATGAATGAATGAAGAGACTGAAGCCCCATTTCTCTTCCCCTTTTACCTGTATCATGCCTTAAGACTGGTTCTCCCCTCACTGTAAGTGCTTTCTTGGTCCTAACCAGCCCCTACCTGGAAGCTTCCCTTGACCCATAAGGATAATAGGTGAGAAGAGAGAGAAATGCCTTCCACATTTGTAGGGAATCCTCATTAGAAAAATAGGATTTTCAGGCCGGGTGCAGTGGCTCACGCCTGTAATCCCAGCACTTTGGGAAGCCAAGAGGGGCGGATCACGAGGTCAGGAGATCGAGACCATCCGGCTAACACGGTGAAACTACGTGTCTACTAAAAATACAAAAATTAGCCAGGTGTGGTGGCATGTGCCTGTAGTTCCAGCTACTCAGGAGGCTGAGGCAGGAGAATCGTTTGAACCCGGGAGATGGAGGTTGCAGTGAGCCAAGATCGCGCCATTGCACTCCAACCTGGGTGACAGAGTGAGACTCCGTCTCAAAAAAAATAAAAAATAAAAAATAAGATTTTCAAGAAATCTGCACGGACCTCTCCACCCCAGTTCCTGCAGAGGACACACCTACCTGGTCAAAAAGCGTGCCTTCAACAGGACCCACTTTTTCAACACAGTGCAATTGCCTCTCAATTTTCATCAGAGCCATCAATTGCAAAGTTTCATAACCACACTCACAGTACTGTGGTAGGCAGTGTTGTGTGCTGGTTAAGAGAATGGAGGGGCCTTTAAAGTGGCCTTGAGTGCATCACTTAATCTTTTTTACTTTTTCTTACTCATCTGAAAACAGGGACTAATGTCACTGAATTTCTGTTCTGGAATCAGAGGACAACTTACAATCGATGCATATATTTAATATGGTTGTGTGTTTTTTGCCCCAGAGGCAGTCATTACATCCAGAGTATAGCTCAGAATCAATGGCATTCTTGAAAGCTATGTCTCAGGGTGGACTGATGTAACTCACATTGCATTTTCTCACAGGCAGTCAGAAAAGTGAAGACATCTTCAAAGATCTAGCCTGGTTTAAAGAGGTGACTTTGTGCTGTAAGTGTTAGAAACCAGGCAGAAACCTGCTGAGCACAACCTGGATTTCAGTGAAGGGAGCCAGCCGCACGTGAAGAGCATTCACGCCGCCACATGTGTTTAATCTAAAGCCAACATCCTGTCCGTCAAACATGAGACCAGAAACATTGCTCGCCTTCGCTCAGAAGTCAGAGGGCTTTGCAGGATGACTTTGATGACCAAGGCTTTTTAAATAGATACCTGGGAAGATGGAACCTTTTCCCTCTAAGTAAATTTCCCTAGAGCAAATAGTTCCACTGACCTTAGACATGACTTCAGGGCTTTCTTCAGAGTTGAGAGCTATTTAAAAATAAAAGTTATGGAATCTGATTGCTTGAAGACCTCACTAAAGATTTCAAATGTGGGGATCTGGAGAGTAGGAGGGGAGGGAGTCTCTCTTTAATCTCTTTCCTTTTTTTTTTTTTTTTTTTCTTCTGCCAGTCCTTTATTCCCTTCCTCCTTACAAGAGAATCAGAATGGAGAGGAGCCCTTTGGGGATAAAAATCCCGGGGGGCTATGAGATCATTGTCCCAAGCACTGTGGAGGAGGGAGAGTCTGTCTTTGCTTTTTTTCTTTTAATAAACTTTAATGAGGTATGATGAGTCTTGGCCAATGTACACATTTGTTCATTGTCACCATGACCTTGCTTTTTTTTTTTTTTTTTTTTTTGAGACAGAGTCTCACTCTGTTGCCCAGGCTGGAGTGCAGTGGTGTGATCTCGGTTCACTGCAACCTCCGCCTCCCAGATTCAAGCGATTCTCATGCCTCAGCCTCCTGAATAGCTGGGATTACAGGCATGCGCTACCATGCCTGGTAAATTTTTGTATTTTTAGTAGAGACGGGATTTTATCATGTTGGCCAGGATGGTCTCGAACTCCTGACCTCAGGTGATCTGCTCGCCTTGGCCTCCCAAAGTGCTGGGATTACAGGTGTGAGCCACCACACCTGGCTGACCTTGCTTTTTTGACTTTTGCCTTTCTTCCTGGCTGAACATGAACAGAGTGCTCAGCATCTGTTTTAACTCTGCTTCCTAGAGTCCCCATGCATCCTTGCCTTGCTTGTTCAGGCTGTGAAATAGTCACTGAAGGAGTCCCAATCAGGTGAGATCACCATGATGCACGCAGACCCAGCTGCACAAGGGAGGCCCACGGTGCCAGGGAGAGCCTGTCATGAAAACTACTGTTGCATACTTATTCATTCAACAAATATGTATTGAACTCTTACAAAGTGCCAAGCATTGCTCTAGAAGGAATGTGAATATAGAAGTAGACACGGGAGGCCGGTGCAGTGGCTCACACCTGTAAATCCTAGCACTTTGGGAGGCCAAGGCAGGCGGATCACCTGAGGTCAGGAGTTGGAGACCAGCCTAGCCAACATGGTGAAACCCCATCTCTACTAAAAATGCAAAAATTACCCAGGCATGGTAGTGCACGCCTGTAATCTCAGCAACTCGGGAGGCTGAGGCAGGAGAATTGCTTGAACATGAGAGGCGGAGGTTGCAGTGAGCAGAGATTGTGCCATTGCACATTGCCAGACTGGGCAACAGAGCAAGACTCCATCTCACCAAAAAAAAAAAGAAAAAAAAAAAAAGAACTAGATAGGGGAAAAAGTCCATACTCTTAAGCTTACATGCTATCTCATGCTTTCATGGGAAGGAGAGGCATAGAGTAACCATGTGTGATATGCTAGATGGTGAGAAGGGGTGTGGGAAAGGGGAACAGGAGAAGAAATACATTACCAACGAGGGTGTTTTAATACTAGTTGGAATTCTTACTTTTCTTCTAGTCTTGCCTTACTCTATGAAACAAGAGGAGGCTCATGGATGTCAGGGGAGCAGGGACCCCTGGTACCATTACCTGCCTTCCTGACCATCTTCCTCTCTGCTGATGTTGACCCAGGGTTTACTTGAGCCCTGTTTACTTGTCCTGCTCTGATCAGTCCTCTTCTGTTGGCTCCTCTGGGATCTGCTCCTCCTCAGCTCCTGGGTCCCCTTTGTCTCCTGGTTCCAGCTCTGTAGTCCTGCTCCCCATCCCTGGCCCAGAGCTTCACTGGCCTTGTTTTCACATTCAGTGCTTCCGCTGTTACTGGGCAGTTGACTTCTTTCACTGCATTTCCAAGATTGGGCACACATGGTAAAAACCATGAGCCTTTGGGCAAGTTAATCAGACTCTCTGAACCTCAGGTTTCTCCTCTGTAAAATGGGCATCGTCACAGTACCTGTCCTAGCTCGTTGTTAGAAGAATCCCAGGAGATAGCAGAGGTAAAGTGGTCTGCAGAACATTGCACTTAGTTGGTGGTGGGTCAATAGGAGCTGTGGGCATATGAGGGGCAGAGCAGATGGTAGCAATGCAGGGGGCAGTGAGGGAGCAGCACGGTGTGGAGGTGCACCCTGGCTTTGTTTCCCCCTGCCCTCCTTCAAGCCTCCCCCTCCCTCACTCCACCCCTGACTTGCTGTCATTCTGGGCTCCCCTTTCATCATGGAGCTTAGCTCTGTGGAATCTTTGCCTCTGGCCACTTAAAGAGAAAACTCTTCAACTGATCTGCTCCCTCCCTCCCTTCCACCTCATAGCCTGAAGAGCTGTCTCTGTTCAAAGGGGAGGATGTCTTCCTTGTCAATCAAGACTCCGGAAGACTGAGGTATCTTGGCTGTTCCTTTATTTCTAATTCCCTGGCTTGCAAGATACCGTTTTTCTCCCTGAGAGTAAGTAGCTTTTAGAACTTCCAGAAACCTTGGTGTTCACTGCCAAACTAGTCAGTAGGTTAAATTCATCCAGATGACTTTTTTTTGCACAGAGAGAATCTCAGTATCTCTGCTTCAATCCCTCCTCCTGGCTGGAACCAAAGCAGGTTTTTAATTTCCAAGCCCAGAAGCCTGGCTTAGCTGACAAAAATATACTAAAAGACTTTCCCTATAACCTGCCTCCAGTACTCATAGGACATTCAGATAAGTGGGTAACCTGCACCCATTCTCTTCAACAGAACTTTCAGACCTGAAGTCTAGTTAGGGGTGGCTCAACTTCTGGTCAAGCAATAAATTAAGGACACAGTTTCCATTGTCAAAACTCACTGAACAAAGGAGATGCTTTTCTGAGCTTCTGTTTCCTCATCTATAGAATGGAGATACTTGTTTAATCCCACAGGGTTGCTGGGAGCAGTCCTAGGAGATAATGATTGTATAGTGCTTTACAAAGTGCCTAGTATGTGATAGACATGCAATAGATAGTAGTTCTTACATCCAGGCTGGGGTTTGTTGAGATGAGGTCTTATTTTCCTGCAGCTTCTCTATCACGCCCAACTTACCTGGGAACTATCACACTGAGCCTGGACATCTGCTGACTGTCAGACATAAGCAGCTTAACAACAGGGACCTTGTCTTGCTCTCTCGTGGTTCTTAGAAGTTACCAGAATCTCCTATTGTCACGGGCATCCTGCGATTGGAGGACAGGGACTGTCTTATTTCCCACTGTGGTCCCTGAGCATAGCACCAAGCTGGGCACAGGCAAGTGCTCAATAAATGTTTTAAAATAAGGAACAAAGGAAGGACAAAAAGAGGTCAGGCTCCTGCTAGAATGAGATGGCTCGGAACCAGGGAACACAGATTCATAGCACCCTCCGGATTAGGCAGCATTCCAGCCACCCTGCCTGTAGGCAGACCATCTCCCACCATGCCAGCCTTCCTGGGTCCTTATGCCAACATCCTCTCAAAACTGCTGCTCACCCTGCCTTTCCATACAGTTGACAAACAGGCAGAGTCCACTTGTAAGAGATGACCAACAGCGAAGCCCCAGGAGAGCTGGGTGTAACTGACCTCGTTCCCTCTCTCAGTGGGAGAATCACCTGCAACAACCTCTCCTCCATCATCCCTCTTGTACCAACAATATGTTCCAGAAACCCACTTGTGGGACAGCGATTCTTTTTATTATTTATTTATTTATTTATTTATTTATTTTTTGAGACAGAGTCTCGCTCTGTCGCCCAGGCTGGAGTGCAGTGGCGCGAACTCAGCTCACTGCAAGCTCCGCCTCCGGGGTTCACACCATTCTCCTGCCTCAGCCTCCTGAGTAGCTGGGACTACAGGTGCCCGCCACCACGCCCGGCTAATTTTTTGTAGTTTTAGTTGAGACCCGGTTTCACCAGGATGGTCTTGATCTCCTGACCTCGTGATTCACCCGCCTTGGCCTCCCAAAGTGCTGGGATTACAGGCGTGAGCCACCGCGCCCAGCCTGGACAGCGATTCTTTTCAGTGAAACGGATGCAGCATTTCTTCATGTTTGCTGATATCTTAGCTTTTGGATTCCTCTTCCCATTAAACTTCTTCAGCAGAGGCCGGACGCGGTGGCTTACGCCTGTAATCCCAGCAGTTTGGGAGGACGAGGAGGGCAGATCACGAGGTCAGGAGATTGAGACCATCCTGGCTAATACGGTGAAACCCTGTCTCTACTAAAAATACAAAAAAAAAAAAAAAAAAAAAAAAAAAATTAGCCGGGCGTTGTGGCAGGTGCCTGTAGTCCCAGCTACTCTCCGCCCTCCTTGGCCTCCCAAAGTGCTGGGATTACGGGCGTAAGCCACCACGTCTGGCGACAAAAAAATTTTCTGTTATTTTGTAGAGACTGGGTCTCCCTATGTTGTTCAGGTTGGTCTCAAACTCTTGGGCTCAAGCAATCCTCCCACCTCAGCCTGCCCAAATGCTGGGATTACAGACGTGACCCACCGCACCCGGCCACTACGATCCCATTTATACTGAGTTCAAAGACAGGTGAAACTACTCTATAGTGCTACTAGTCAGGATAGGTTACCCTTGGAAAGAACAATGAGGGAAATTTTGAGCTCCATGTTTTTTGATCTAGATACTTGGTGACACGGGCACATTCATTTTGTGAAAATTCATTGAGTTGTACATTTATGATTTGTGCTTTTATGCTTGATCATACTTCAGTTACTAAAAAAAAAAGTGCATGTGGCCAGCAGGAAATCCTGAGGTCCATGACTGAATCACACAATGATAATGCAAGCTTTTGTGTAAATTTCTTTAAGTTTAAACTAATAGCGCGATGGAAAGAATGGTGCATTCAGCCCAGTTCTCCTGTGTCCATAGGGGTCATTAAACTCTACCAAGAGAAAACCTTCCTTTTCTAGTGAATAAAGGTGGGGGGCGGGGGGGCGGTGGGAATGCTTATCCAGGGTCTCTCCCTTGGATCACTGTCTGTGCAAGTTCCGTATCATTACCCCCGATGGAGGCCAGGGGTCAGTAGCTGCTGGAAAGTGCAGCTGTTACAGGTGAAAATCTGTAAGAGCATGTGACAATTTTGCCTGGAGCAGATAAGGGTCATATTTGGGGAGGGGCTGCCAACCACAAAGGAGGCTGCCCTTCCACCCGGCAGAATCCCCCCACCCCCCAACTCTGATCACAGGACAAGCTGCCTCCCAGGCATTCGGTAGAATAACAAGTTGACTTTCATCCTGCCCAAGGTAGAGGGAGGCAATTTGGGGTCCAGACTTCTGAAAGAGAGGTTTGTGACCCTGATAAGATGACTCAAAGAACAAGAGACTGTGTTTTTAAAGTCAGCCAAGCTAGTCATTTTTCTAAGTTCCAAAAGAAAATCCAGCCTGAATGACCATGGGCCTCCATTTGCAGAGAGGGTGCAGAGACCAGGAGGTGCAGAAGCAGCTCAGCTAGGGGTAGAGTAGAGGGTGGCTGACATACGGCCCGGTCAGACCACTCTGGCTTGTGAACAGTGACCAGTTCCTGATCCCAGGCACCACACGCCAGCTGTGACAGATGCTCGCAGGCCAGGCTGGTGGAGGAGCTGCAGGAGCTTCTTTGTGGCTCAGCACATTTCAGTCCCGAAGAGGGGAGAAACTTGAATGTGACCAAGCTGACCTGTGACACCCAGTAATTTCTTTTCTTTTCTTTTTTTTTTTTTTTTGAGACGGAGTCTCGCTCTGTCACCCAGGCTGGAGTGCAGTGGTGCGATCTCGGCTCACTGCAAGCTCTGCCTCCCGGGTTCACGCCATTCTCCTGCCTCAGCCTCCCTAGAAGCTGGGACTACAGGCGCCCGCCACCACACCCGGCTAATTTTTTTGTATTTTTAGTAGAGACGGGGTTTCACCGTGTTAGCCAGGATGGTCTCCATCTCTTGACCTCATGATCCGCCCGCCTGGGCCTCCCAAAGTGCTGAGATTACAGGTGTGAGCCACCGCGGCCGGCCAACACCCAGTAATTTCTGAAGCAGGTCCTGCCTGGCTTGGGAGTGGCTGGTAATGAAACATCTGTATTTACTGGATGATTGAATTTACAAGAGGCAACACAACCAGTAAGGGTGCAGTTTCGTACATTTGTAGCCCTCACCAGAACAGGAATTGGGTATCTCTGGATCTCAGGGAGTATTTTGGTCTCCCCAGTCTCTCACCCTGCTAGTGCCACTCCCAAGCCTGTCTCAAGACTGTAGGAGACCGTTGTGACCTCAAATGAACAATCACCTGTTGGGGGCCAGGCCCTAGGCTGTAAGGAACACAGAAGCAAGCTGATCTCGCAGCCCTCTGGTCCTCACAGAACTAGAAATGTGCTCTAAATGATGCCTGTGTGCAGTACACGACCTAAACTTTATGGGGTTCTAAGTAAAGACAGATGATGCTGGGCTAGAAAAGCGGAAGTTTCTTAGAGAAGTTGGCATTAGAAATAGCCTTGCCTAGGCTGAGCACAGTGGCTCATGCCTGTAATCCCAGCACTTTGGGAGGCCAAGGCAGGTGGCATGCTAGAGGCCAGGAGTTCAAGACCAGCCTGGCCAACATGGCAAAAATCCATCCATACTAAAACTACAAAAAAATTAGCCGGGTGTGGTGGCACATGCCTGTAGTTCCAGTTACTCAGGAGGAGACACAAGAATCACTTGAACCTAGGAGGTGGAGGTTGCAGTGAGCAGAGATGGTGCCACTGCACTCCAGCCTGGGAGACAGAGCAAGACCCTGTCAAAAAATAAAAATTAGGCCGGGCGCGGTGGCTCACACCTGTAATCCCAACACTCTGGGAGGCCGAGGTGGATGGATCACCTGAGGTCAGGAGTTCAAGAACAGCCTGGCCAACATGGTGAAATCCTGTCTCTACTAAAAATACGAAAAATTAACCAGGTGTTGTGGCACATGCCTGTAGTCCCAGCTACTCGGGAGGCTGAGGCAGGAGAATCTTGTGAATCTGGATGGCAGAGGTTGCAGTGAGCTGAGATCATGCCACTGCACTCCAGCCTGGGCGACAGAGCAAGATTCCATCTCAAAAAAAAAAAAAAAAAAAAAAAGCTTTGCTTAATAGGTAGGATTCTAGCAGGAGGAGAGAGGACAAAGGGGGCGTCCCAAAGGGTACAGCATTAGCAACGCCTACATCCGGATACAGGGGAATGTTCAAGGAATACGAGATTTAGCTGGAGAGTAGAGTAAGTAGGATGCAAAAGTGGGGAAGGAAACAAACCAGAAAGAAAGTCCAAGCCTATGGTCTGGACTAGGCATAGGTCTACAGTAGGTATGCTTTGGCAGGAACTGGGAAACCCATGGAGGTTTCTGAGCAGCCTGGCAGCATGAGGTTTTCGAAAAGTGAGGCAGATAGGAATATGTAGGATGACGTGCAATGGGGAGGCCAAGCTGGAGCAATCATCCAGGTGAGAGACAATGAGGATGGGCGGGGACAGCCACCTTCCCGGTATGAAGGACTGGACCTCTGAAGCATGTGTGTGGGATGGGGTTCTTGACATTCCCTGCCAGCTGCCGTTCCCTGCGTGAGCCTCATGGAAAGGAGGGCACGAGCATGGCTCATCCTGAGGACACTGGTGGAGCAATGCTTGATTATATGAAAGGAATTGCTCATTGGAGTTTGGCTGGCATACATGACTGGAAGGTTGCGTGACCACTGCCAGAGGCAAGTCCCATGGAAGAAAACCAGGTTTAGGAGCCTCTGCAATCCTTGTTCTCAGATGGCCCTACTTAGGCTAACAACAGCCCCCCATTAGGCTACTAGGAGTTGGGTTTGCCTCATTTCATCACTGACTTTGAACTTGACCTACCTGGGCTCCTGGTGGCTCCTCCCTCCAGGCACCTGTTCCACACCCAGGAGACCATATTGGTAAGCCTATTATTAGTCACTCAGCCCACGTAGGGAATGCAGCACACACACCACGTCCTAGATCCTATCATTCAGGCTAATCTTCCTGGCAGCTCTGATGAGCTCCTATGAAATCAAGTCCACCAGTCCTCAGCCTGAAATCTGTAGCCCTTCGTGACCTTGTGCAGCAATGCGGTGTCATCATTGTGAGCTGGGGTGCTAGCGTCAGACAACCTAGTTCAGAATTCCAGCTCCATCACTTAACCTGTCTCAGCCTCAGTTTCCCCTGTCAAGCTGGGTTGTAGTATGGACCTAATGAGATTACACATCTGGAAGGTAGCACACAGCCTGGCATAAGTAAATGCTCGGAAGTTGATATACATTACTATGGTAACAATATGGCCCTCAACCTACCTTTCCTACTGTATTTCCACAGCTACCTCCACACTTTCCCACCTCCGTACCTTTCTTCATACTTTGGTGTTGGCAGTGGATGGCCTCTTCTTCACTCCAATCCACATTTCCCAAGGTCAGAATTCCAGCCATTCTTCCTGCGTCTTTCCTAGGTATTCTGTTCCTACATGAGAGTCCGTGGTACTTCTCATTAGCATTGGAGAGGGACCACTCTTACCTGTCTTTAGAATGTGAACTCCAGGATAGGAGGGATTTAAAAAATCTATTTTATTTACTGCTGTATCTCCAGTGCTTAGAACATCACACAGCATTAGGCTCTTATGGTTTTTTGAAAGCATGACTCTGCCTACTAGATGGATACTGCTGTTTGAGGGTCTGATTTATTCTACAGCTTCCATGCTGCCCTTGTGAAGTCAACGTGCTGAACTATGGCAGGTGAAACATAAGAAAAAGGTTCTGCTCAAATAGGGGAATGGGAAAAGCCTAGGAGGCAGAAATAGAAACCTTTGATGGAGAAGTTTTGCCCCTTTTCAAAGTCAGGTGATAAGTTATGAGTTAACTGAAAGCACCCAGCAAAGGAGATGTGATTGAAGATAGCTACACAGCTATTACAAGAAGTGGCCTTAACTTTGGTCTTGTCCTACAGATCAATTAATTTCAGTAGCTTGGACCATATTCACAGTTAAGAGTGTCCCAGTTAGGCCGGGCACGGTGGCTCATGCCTGTAATCCCAGCACTTTGGGAGGCCGAGGTGGGTGGATCACGAGGTCAGGGGTTCGAGAACAGCCTGGCCAACATGGTGAAACCCCGTCTCTACTAAAAATACAAAAATTAGCCAGGCACGTTGGCGCATGCCTGTAATCCCACCTACTAGGGAGGCTGAGGCAGAAGAATTGCTCGAACCCGGGAGGCAGAGGTTGCACTGAGCTGAGATTGTGCCACTGCACTCCAGCCTGGGCAACAGAGCGAGACTCCGTCTCAAAAAAAAAAAAAAAAAGTGTCCTAGTTACCAAGCACAGTTAGCTTTGAGAATTGTTCTCTGTAAGTTGATGGTTAAATTTTATTTATAGGTCTGGATTCATAAGGTTTAGCCAATTATGAGACACAGACAGCAAGGGACCTATCTACTTTGTGTACTGATTTTCACAACCCCTGAAGACAGGGAAATCACCATTGTAGACCCAGCCCAGAGTCAAAGCTGATGGTCAATAAATATTTGGTAAATAAAGGAGTGAATGACTAAGCCAAAGAACAGACTCTGGAAGGATATAAAGCTACTTTTGAGGTCCCCCATATATTTGCACTACTATCAATTTTTTTTTTTTTTTTTGAGATGGAGTTTTGCTCTCATTGCCCAGGCTGGAGTGCAATGGCACCATCTCGGCTCACTGCAGTCTCCGCCTCCTGGGTTCAAGCAATTCTCCTGCCTCAGCCTCCCGAGTAGCTGGGATTACAGGCATGTGCCACCATGCCCAGCTAATTTTTTGTATTTTTAGTAGAGACGGAGTTTCTCCAAGTTGGTCAGGCTGGTCTCGAACTCCCGACCTCAGGTGATCCGCCCGCCTCGGCCTCCCAAAATGCTGGGATTACAGGCATCAATTGTATATTTTTTTGAAGAATAAATGTAAATGCATTAAGCATTACTGAATTCATAATAGTTTTGTGATTTTGAATTTTTCTTGACCAACTATTATGTGGTGGAGGGGATGCTCTGCAAAATTTTCTAATGTCCAAAACAGGCCGGGCACAGTGGCTCAAGCCCGTAATCCCAGCACTTTGGGAGGCTGAGGCGGGTGGATTTCCTGAGCTGAGGAGTTTGAAACCAGCCTGGGCAACATGGCGAAACCCCATCCCTACTGAAAATACAAAAAAAAAAAACCCCAAAAAACCAGTTATGGTGGTGCGCACCTGTAATCCCAGCTACTCGGGAGGCTGAGACACGAGAATTGCTTGAACCCAGGAGGCAGAGGTTGCAGTGAGCCGAGATCATGCCACTGCACTCCAGCCCGGGCGACAGAGTGAGACTCTGTCTCGTTCATTCATTCATTAATAAATAAATAAATATCCATCCTTCCACAGTACTTGAAAAGATTGGAAACAGTTGTCCTAAGATGCTTCTGAAGCCCCTGCCAGCAGAACTGCATGGCACCTCCTTGGCAGAGCTCCCTGTGTGAGTCACAGACTTCACTCCTGCCCTTTCTAACTTCGGGTGGTCTGAACAGGCTCACACCATACTCTTCAGAGCTGACTCACACGAAACAGTTTTTTATTACATATAACCTCCTAAGTTATCTAGCCCACATTCTGTGTTTCCTGACTACAACGTGCTACTGTCACTTGGAGCTCAGATTGGTGAAATCACAATTTGAAAGTTGTCCAAAAGCAACTTTCGGTCCTTAATCAATTGCCACAAATTTCAGTATTAGATGAAGCACCAAATAACATGTAACCATCTGCTTTAGATTGTGCCAAAACCTCACTGAAAATATGCCCTTCTAGAACAAGCTTCCCAGCAGAAATTAACAACAAAATTAGTCAATTTTTATAACTATAGTTCTGGTATATTTAATCGAGAATGTGTCAATTCCATTTATTCTACCTCCAAAGCTAGTTGCCAGCTGTCATTCTCTTGACACACACTGACTCTACCAGAAACCCTTTTCTGATCAATCCCACTGCCACCTTCTGCCTAACTTACATAAACCAGTGTCCAGTATTTCAGCTGTCTGCTGAGATATAAAATCTTTCATTTGGGTTAGAAAAGAAGACCCATACTTATCTCAGAATTCTCAGGTAACAGGCAATTTTGGCAACACTTAGGTGACATTCAGTTGGAAGAGGGCACTTCGTAACATTGTTGTGTGCCTGTACTTCCTAAGATCTTGGAAGCAAAAAGTTCATGGCTGTAACTGGTAAAGACTCAACAGTGAATCTGCATTCATTAAAAAAAAAAAAAAAAAATCAGCAGTATTGATTGAGTGTGGAACAGGACTGTGCCAGGAACGGGCAGACAATGAAGTCATAGTTCCTGTTTCGGAGGAGCCTGCTGTCTAGCAGGGGACATGTGGGTGTGTGTGGCGGGGAGGGGAGTGAAGATGGATGGTATATACAAAATTACCAAGTGACAAGTGCCACAGCAGAGCCAAGTTCAAAATGAAATGGGGCCAGGCGTGCTGGTTCACCCCTGTAATCCCAGCACTTTGGGAGGCCGAGGTGGGTGGATCACTTGAGGTCAGGACTTCTAAGACCAGCCTGGCCAACATGGTGAGACCCTGTCTCCACTAAAAATACAAAAATTAACCAGGCGTAGTGGGAGGCATCTGTAGTCCCAGCTACTCGGGAGGCTGCGGTAGCAGAATCGCTGGAATGCAGGTGGTGGAGGTAGCAGTGAGTCAAGATCATGCCACTGCACTCCAGCCTGGGGGGACAGAGGGAGACTCTCCATCTCAAAAAAAAAAAAAAAAAAAATTGAAATGGGATCACTGAGTGCTAAGCAGCTGGGTGGGATGCTCAGGGAAGGTGTCTTGGCAATGATTTTTGCAGAGCCTAGAACAATAGAAAGGAGCTCACCCAGGAGGGGAAAAGTCACAGGGGAGTGAATAGAAAAGAGGAGGAGGGAATATTCAAGGCAGAATCATCATGGAAGAGCCAAGAGAAGCCTTAGGAGAGTACCCAGGTCCCAAGTGGGGAGCAGAGGAACAGAACCAACAAGAGGGCTGGTGTCAGATCTGGAAGGGCCTTGGAGGCCAAGCTGAGGAGCTGAGATCCTGTCAGGCGGACCTCACGTGGGAGATGATGGCATCAGATCTGCTTAGGAGGAGGCCTTGGAGCAGTCAAGGGCAGAAGACTACGTGTGGAGTTGAGGCTGCTGTGAGGGAGTGGCTGTCCCAGAGCAAATGGGAACAGGGTAGGCCAGCTTGGGGCCCAAAAACGTGGAGATAAGCAGGTTCTGCTGGTGTTGAGACCCACAGTCTCTTGGAGATAAACACTAGGGCAATGGTCAGGGGCCCAGATAAACCCCTGGCCTTTAGAACCCCTCTCTAGGGCGCCAGCAGGCAGAGTGGGGTTTCCTCTGACATTCTGGGCCCTTGGGCCGGCAGTCACAAGATAGCAACAGGGCACGCGTAGCTAGCTCAGTGGGGCCCAGGACACCGGCTGCCTGGGTTTCTTACATCTGTGAAAGTTAGTGTTCTCCTGTTAGATAGGGACGGCAATGTCACCTACCTGGCAGGGTTGGTGTCAGGGTGAAGGCTTAATCCATGGAAAGCGTTTAGAATGCCGCAGAACACGGTGGGCCCCGGGGAAATGTAAATGCTAGCAAGGAGTGAGCCCTTTGGTCACTGTGGCACGTGAACTTAAAACTGCTCTGGTCAGGAGAGGATGGGGAGGGGTCAATGCTCCTTTTACCCGCCCATTCCTTGGAGTAGGCCTTGATGATAGCTTTTCTACTAGTTTGAAAATCACTGGACTTTGTATTCCTGGGGTTAATTTCTACATGTATCTCCTAAACCTGAGGGTTCAAGTAGGGTTAGCTGCTGGTACCAGTCCTAGAGCACAGTCTGGGGGTGGAGTCTCTATTTCTCCTCAGAGACCCCAGTGCAAGAGCCTGAGGGGGATCCGGCGAGTCACCCACCACCTAAAGGCGTCAGTAGGACAGCCTGGCCTACTTAGGTCCTTGCTCCCGAGCATCAGAAGCTGGCCTTGGTGCCCTGAGAGGGACAACTGTCTGCATCTCACTCCAGACATAGACATCCCTGCTGGCCCAGGAGGAAGCCCTTACAGAGGGGTTTCCCTGAAGAAGAAAAACATCTCACCAACAGAATAGGAAGCTGTCATCCTTTTCCGCTACATGAGGCCTGGAAGGAAATTCTCCTTCATGGTTCTGTTATAAAGGAGTTAATCCAAGTTGCGTTCTTAACACATGTTAAGCATGTAGTGGATCTTCACTTAGAGCTGTTATTTTTACTCCATAATCCCAATTTTTCTTATATCTATTAAAGTCGGCATAGTGTTTAGTGAGTTGAGTGGGTGTTCAGAGGCCAATAAATATATAGAACTGCAGTAAAAAAAAAATTCTCTCCAAGACAAATTCGCTTATATTCTTCATATTATGAATAGACAAAAGAGATTCACACAATATGACATGCTCTATGTGAAGCAAAAATGAGTCCTTTCTAGTTTGGCTGAAGGTCACTTTGCTGTCATGTTTAAGCCTAGAATTTCTAGCTAAGCCAGATCCTGAAGGAATTCCAGCAGCATTTACAGCGTTGTCATCCCTCTATCCTGAGTGGAACGCTGTGCAGTTGAGGATCTTTCCCGAGAATCCTAATAAGTGAGATTTTATCACAGCATTGCTAACCCCAAATTAACACACCCCCAGACTGTGCTCTAGGACTGGTACCAGCAGCTAACCCTACTTGAACCCTCAGGTTTAGGAAATACATGTAGAAATTAACCCCAGGAATACAAGTCCAGTGATTTTCAAACTAGTAGAAAAGCTATCATCAAGGCCTACTCCAAGGAATGGGCGGGTAAAAGGAGCATTGACCCCTCCCCATCCGCTCCCGACCACAGCAGTTTTAAGTTCACGTGCCACAGTGACCAAAGGGCTCACTCCTTGCTAGCATTTACATTTCCCCGGGGCCACTGTGTTCTGCGGCGTTCTAAACGCTTTCCATGGATTAAGCCTTCACCCTGACACCAACCCTGCCAGGTAGGTGACATTGCCGTCCCTATCTAATTAACGGTGGCAGTTCTAGAGGCAAGCCTTTAGCTTCCATTAACAAAGGTTAGCTGTTGCACTAAGCAGACCAGAATACTCTGGGGAGCAACATAGTATCTTATTAAGTTATAAATACATTTAATGGCTTTTGTATTGGTTTCTTATTTTGGAATGAGGGAAAAAAACAGATCTCATAATCACTGTAGTCTAAGTAAAAAGCCACTTTTAAAAAATAATATGTATTTACCTACAATATTGCTTATGAATTATCCTTTTTTATAGAGCCCACAAAGTCCCTCAAAGGACAATGGTAACTCCTTCCTGTAACTGCATCAAGCTACTTGCAATGTAAACTTTGGCTTATTTGGAAGAAATTAAAAGTGGTACAATATTTTAAAATAAAAAAAAAATTTTTTTTTTGAGACGGAGTATCTGTCGCCCAGGCTGGAGTGCAGTGGTGCAATCTCAGCTCACTGCAACCCCTACCTCCTGGGTGAAGCAATTCTCCTGCCTCAGCCTCCCGAGTAGCTGGGATTACAGGCATGTGCCAACACACTCGGCTAATTTTGTATTTTTAGTAGAGACGGGGTTTCACCATGTTGGCCAGGCTGGTCTCGAACTCCTGACCTCAGGTGATCTGCCCACCTCAGCCTCCCAAAGTGCTGGGATTACAAGCATGAGCCAGTGCACCCAGCAAATTGTTTGGTTTTGATTCAAACAAGTCAAACCAGTTCAGAAAAAGTCCCCAAGACTCCTCTCCCCACCACTACTTCACTTTCTGTTTCCCTGTTAAAGGAAAAAAATGTTATTCGCACCCATCTTCACTCACTAAACTTTAAACGTAGAACATTTTCTTAAAAAGAACCTAAGAGTTGGAACCAAGGGTACAGCGTTCTTATCCTTTACTTATCTGCACTGAGAAAGAACATATTTTACATCATTTACGGAATAACAGACTGTTACAGCAAGTTCAAGCTTACCTCATTTCCAATGACCTGCTAACTGGGCCACTGACTGGGCAAATTTTAGAGCCCTGCACCCTCCAAGATGCCCAGGGATGGGGACTGTCTCAAGGAACGCTTCGGTGGTTTGGTGGGAAGTAGCAGTCCCTGAGCTGAGTGTGACGGAATCAAAATAACCGCACAGGTGTTAAATGCTCCATGTGGGTGACACCCCTCACATCCCACCCCGTTCTGTTCCCAAACACAAAGGAACCACTCCATCTTCTTTCTCCTCACAAGAACTGCAGCGCTGCTCTCCTTCAACCCCACCGGCCTCCACCCCGGGGAGAAGCATGTGCAGTGGGGACACCTGCTTCCCAGGTGTGCACGGCTGGTTAACCAGGGCCTCGGTGGGGTCCTCTGCAGGGCTGAAAGTGGGGGTCAGAGAGGTCACCATGCTGCAGGGGCTGAGCTACTTGTCCTTGGTCAGGATGGACAAGCCCTGCCTCAAATAAAGGCTAGAAGTGTTTTTTCTGGATGACTTCTTCCCCATACAGAGAATGGTTAAGCTAGCTGAGGCAATCTGTAGTTGGCTTCAAAATCAGCAATGGGGAGGGGGAAGAACCTCACAACAAACAGTGGTAACAGAAGGTTTGTGTGGGAAGGTGGTTGAGTTTGGTCTAAAACAAGCAGTGTCTCTGGTAATGAGCTGTTGTTAGGAAATACCCGGCGCTTGCAGCCTTTGAAAGAGCACCGCTGCTGCTTCTCGAGGGCAGGGTTGTAGGGGTAGGAGAGGGCAAAGTGACGTGAAGCAAAGACCCAATGAACACTCGAGTGCATGGAGGCATGAGAGAGCAGTGGAGAAACCCACCGCCAAGCGTGCCAGCCGCGGACCATGCAGAGAAGCCCAGCTCCGCTCTGGGTGCTGGACGACCTTTGGTACCTTACTTACCTTTTCTGAATCACAGTTGGCTCACTGGTAAAATGAGGACACCTAAGCTATCAGCCAGGGTCCTGGCAGGAGACAGATGGTACACTCAGATGGAGTGACCAAGAAGAGTTTCATAAAGGGACTATTTACAAAGGGTGTGGGCAGGGTTAAGAGACTCCAATGAGGACAGTGATGTACCCGAGGCCTGGCAAAAGCAGGGAGTCAGGACTGAGACTGGCTTGAGGGGACAAGGGGAAGGTGTGGCTACTAAACCCCAGAAGTTGCCTGACAGGACCTGTGGGCCTTGGCAGAGGAGCCCAGCCACCGCCAACCCACAGCTGGCGGGAAGGAGCCAGGGGAATGAATTCCCTGACTTCTCTGTTCTCTGTTCTGCCAGGCTCCACCCAGAGTGTCTCTGGATCCTGACCGGAAGCCAGGACAGGTCCACCGTGGCCAGCTTCCTGGAGAGAAGTGCATAGCAGGAAGGGGGCCCAGGGGGCACAGAGAGCCTCTAGCACACCCCAAGTACCCGAAGGGGCCAGTGGGGGTCTAAAATATTACTATAAATGCCTGCCTGGCAGTCACTCACTGCCCATTGGATCAGATTATTTGGCATTTACTTACCAAAACGCCACCATATAACTGTATTCTCAGGTGGCAAAACCCAGAGTCAAACAAGATGTGGTCATCTACTCATAGTGAAAAACAAAACTTTTACAAAGTTGACAGATAACATTTATTAAAACATGTCATACAAAAGGGCATGATCTCTTCTATAAGAAGAAAATATTAAACATTAACATTCAATTAAGTAAAACCATGCTGTACACTGAAGACAGCAATATATAAAGACAAAACTATTCAACTTTTGCAACATAGGCATAACATTTCACAAAATATCAATAAGATATGCACCTAATGATAATCTGTTTATCATCAAATGGTTTTGTGGCCTAAGAGTCACCTGACTTGCATAAATAAAGTACTTTTCTGGACGAAACATTGGGAACCTCACAAAAGGAAAGAAGGCAGCAGCAACTAACATGACACAGGCTTCAAGCAAAAATTAAAAAAAAAAAAAAAAGTCACATTTGCAAAATGTGTTCCAGCATCTCCCCATAGGGCACTATCAGTAGAGATTTGAAATAAGAAACTTGTACCTTTAAATATGTAAGTAGCAAAGAAAAAAACCCCAAACAAACCCTGGTTTCACTGAACAAAAGTTAGTCACCCACTAAAGCAACCTAAATCACAAAACTGGTGGCACAGGAGGGATTGGGGATAACACAGTGCTGGTTTCCAGCACCCCTAAATTATCAGAGACCTTCCAAAAGCAAAAACCTGGACTCGTTGTGATGGCGCCCTCTCCACGCCCACCCAGGAGGCCGCAGCACATCCCCTTCCCCAGGGAAAGCACAGCTTTGCAGCTTCTGCTCCGTCTCAAATTCACTCCACAGCAGCTTGGGGGTGTGTGAGCCTCTCAAGGAGGGAGCCCTGGAGGCTAAGCAGCTTTCCCCGGTGGTTAGAAGCCAGCCTTAGGGGCAGGTTAGTTCAGCAAATGCCCACTAGAATGGAGGGGATCCCTTTGGGCAAGCTTTTAAAGTAGTGGCCAAAAGGGACCAGAGGAAGATGAGACCTAGAAATCGGAATCAACAGGCTGGGGGCCTGGAGCGCCTGCAGGCAACCTACAGCCCTGCAGGGTAAGTTACCGCAGTCCTTCCTTAGTTAACGGTGACATGCACTTCACCACGTGGATTACTGTAACGTGTGTATCTAAAGGTAAAAGCATGGCATAAGTATGAATTTTTTTTTTTTTTTTGAGACAGAGTCTCGATCTGTCGCGCAGGCTGGAGTGTGGTGGTGCAATCGCGGCTCACTGCAACCTCCGCCTCCCAGGTTCAAGTGATTCTCCTGCCTCCGCCTCCCGAGTAGCTGGGATTACAGGTGTGCGCCACCACGCCTGGCTAATTTTTGTATTTTTAGTAGAGATGGGGTTTCACTATGTTGGTCAGGCTGGTCACAAACTCCTGACCTCAGGTGATCCACCCATCTCGGCCTCCCAAAGTGCTGGGATTACAGGCGTGAGCCACCATGCCTGGCCCCAAGTATGAATATTAAATACCACTGGTGGTGCCTTGAAGCCCTTTCCCATGGGGATTGAAGAAAAACCACAGTTAAGACTCAAAGTAGGGGACAAATAGCTTGGTTGTAGGCCATTGACGTGATCCCTGAAAGATTGTTTGAACAATGTTACCCACAACCATCCAAACTTATTAGGAAGGATAAAGATTTTCTAAAGCTATATTGAGGTGAAGAGAAGAGACTATTCCTCCAACTCAACGTGGGGATGAAAAAAAGGTAAAAACCAGAGTTTACAAAAATTCACTTTTAATATTCAAATGAAAGCAACCCCCTTCTCCTGCCTCTCTGAACATGGCCAGCATTTCAGACACCCTACCACCTCCCAGGCTCTGGCTGCCTGATAAAAAAATCCCAATTTTTGCCAAAACCTCAAATACCACAAAACACTAAAAGAACAGATGTGAGCAACTTATTTAAGTTCTACATTTAGTAGCTGATGGACACATAAGGCTTTCAAGAAGACACTCTTCTCTTCACAACATATTAAATAAGTCCTAGCACAACTGACTGCTTCCAAAACTACCACCCAAGCGTGCCACCACTCTTGGCTGAACAGAAACTCTTCCTCATGACAAGGGCACTATGCTGATTTCAGCAGAACTGAAGGACCACGACTCTCCCAGAATATCTGTATTTTTACCTCTCAGACTTCTCCTGCAATGTCCTAATGATCATGTAAATAGTCTTCAATGAGAAACAGGACATCAAACCTTCCAAACAGGCAGAAAATGCTCTGCTAATACCATGGGAGAGGGTGATCAGTTTTTGGCAGAACAAAATGGCATCACCACCTTAGTACTGAAATTAGTAGGAGTAATAGAACAATTTCTCCTCAAATATAATGGCTAGGATCATACCTAAAACCCACTGGCCTCTACCATGAGTGAAAGAAAAGGAGACAATAGGCTTGATTGTACAATCCCCTCAGTATACGTGTGTCAGGTACACAGAGAAAAGACTGCTAACCAGTAACGTTTCAATACTAAGAGAAGCTATTAATGTGGCAAACAACCAAGAGGTAATATCTAGTTTCTAGGTTTAAAAAAAAACAATATATATATATATTTATAATAAAGTTTTAAATACAAAGTGCTTTTTATATATCGAGAATGATACAGTGTTGTGAATAAATCCCTGTTTGTAATCTTGCTTACAAGAGTTAACTGGTAAATAAGTATTTTCTTTCCTCTTTCCAGACAATGTTCAACAAGTAAACACCCTGGTGTTAGGAGCTTGAGAATCAGAGGCCATTGCCAGCAATGTCTATTACATTACAGCAAAGCCAAACTTTTCAAATAAAATTTCACCCCAAATCCAAGAAAAATTATTTTTATTTTAAGAAAAAAAAGTTTCTATTTAGAAGTAAATAACCCAGTACGATTGTGGAAAAGATGACATGGTAGTAGCACCCTGTCCTACCCTGGTGATAACCTCAGGTATGTTACACAGCTTAAAAGCATGTGCAATATTACCTTTCTTTTTAACCTAAATCATCTAACTGATGGGCAGAAAAGGTCTCAGAATAGTTGCTTTTCTTGTTTGTTTTTTTAATTTTTTTTTTCTGGTCGGCGTAGCTTTGTGGACTTTTAAGTTTAAGCAGCTTTATCTATAATGTGGGAGCATGGTTCTGTAGACTACCTTGCTAAACTTAGGACTCCTTTTACAAACACATTCCAGTGCTCATAAAGAACTGGTAGTATTAGCTCAGTGTACCCTCTAAAGAGTATCTCCCCCACCTTGAAAGAGTGTATTCTCAAGATTCTTCTTGGGCAGTTTTGTCCCCCTTAAGTATAACCACTCATAGAATCCTGCCTATCTGCCCTCTCACTCTGGTTGGTGGAGTGTCACCTTAGCACTCTATGAACTACTCAAGTTCACAGGGAACTCTCAGCCACAACTTGTGGCTCCTTCTCACTAAGTGTGGTCATGGACCACTCTCTTTGTAAAGCACCATAATCTAAGACAGAGCAGGGGCTGTGGCAGCCCGTGGTACCGTGGTCAGTCACAGCAGCTTGGTGTCTACCAGCCACAGAGAAGACCCCACTGTATGGAGGCTACAATTAACCAAACAGGATTTGGGAAAGCAAACCAATGAGAAATACCTATCTCTGGCACCCTAGAGAATTACAATTAGATAAAATTGTCCAAACTCAATGTTAGAACTAAAATACAAAACACTGCCTTATCAAGAGTCTGAAACACCTTGTGACAGTAGTGGCATCTTACAGAAACTGACAAGGGCACTATGTCAGCCTTGTACCGTAAATTATCTGTTTCATATTTAGAAAGTCACTCTCTTAGCATCTCCATAGTTTTAGTTAAAATATCCTTTAGAAAGACTAAAACCAGACAACAGAGCTCTGTTAACCAATTTCTCATCCTAGGAATCACATTATTTCTAGCTTTTATATAAGTAGCACTTCCTTCAGTGAAATAGCTACCAAAACAAATCCACATTACCTAAGTATCTATAGCAAGAGCAAAATAAAATTTCAGCATGACCTTGTAATAATGAGTGATCCAAAGCTGCTGCCACCCAAAATGGAACTGGTGGGTGGAGTCCAGTTCCAAGTGCAGGTGTCTCTGTCCACCTGTTTCGATCACAACCAGTCAGAAGGTTTCCCTTGCCAGCTGGGCGGTGGGTTAACTCACCCCATTACCCATTCCAGGCCAGGACTGGAACACACAAATTTGAGGAATTAGATTTTTTTAATTGGCCTACTTAGAGCTGGTCTTTCAGAAATATCTTCCTTTTTTTTTTTAAGCTTCTCTCATAATAGCAAGTAGCACGCATCATCTGTGCCCAGATTTGCATTAATTACCATAGTTTATTTTTGTGCATGCCACTCAAGGGCCAGATCCTATTTTTAGTTAGCCTCAGTTGTATTCTGCTCAGCCTTTGCAGCTTCGTAGGACTTAGTACAAGAAGTCACATGCCGGTGGAAACTGTCCCTCCACATAAACCTCTTTGCACAGATATTACACTCATACGGCTTTATGCCTGTGTGAATTTTCATGTGGCCCACGAGATGGTGCTTCATTTTGAATTTCTTACCGCAGACCCCACAGCCGTAAGGCCGAAGACCGAGGTGCATGCTCATGTGCCGATCTCTCTGACTCTTGTGAGTGAAACTTTTCCCACACTGACAAGGATACAGCTTGTCAGTGGCTGAGAATCCTAAGTGGGAAGCTTCTTCTTTAATCCCTGTTACCATTTCAATATTCTCACTGTAACCTGCTGCGAGGGCAGCCTCCTGTCTGTGCCCAATTAGATTCCCATCTGACCTCTCTCCGGAAAACTCTTCCATGGAAGAGCCATAGAAATCCACCTGCTCATCATAATTGCTTTCATCAGCCTGTTCATCAAACTCAGCTTCCACTTTCTTCTCCCCGATGTGGAAGTCCTCCTCCACTCCCGAAGGCTGCACCGTGTGCTCTGTCTGCACGGTGTTGATGGACTCTGTGACCTGGTGCTCGTCGTAGGTCGCGTGCACATCCATGCCCTCGCAAGCCTGTTCTAAGCGCTCGGGCTTCACGTGGATCCAGCGTTTGTGAGCCATGATGCTGGGCTTGCTGTACATGGGCCGGGTGTAGTGGAACTCGGCGCTGTCGCTGGCGCCCTCCTCCCCATCCTGGCTTGCCATTTCCGTGCTCAGGCGGTCATGCTCTGTGGACGAGTTGCTGGGCAGGTATTCGTGCTCGGTGAGCTGGGATGACAGCTCGTCTTTGGTGCTCTCCTCTTCATTTTCACCATCTCTCAGTTCTTGGGCTTTGGGAAAATCAGTATGACCCCCAGAGCCCAGCTCAAAGCTCTCTACCAGGCCATTATAACTACTGCTGCTTGGTGACTGGTGGTCACTGCCATGATTTAGCTTCTGACAAAGGACTGTAGGGTTTCCCTCTAAAACTTCAGTGCATTTGTCTACCACATGCCACATCTGGAGGAAGCTTGCCGCTGTCAAGTAACTAACAATTTCTGGAGCGGGCATTACTAGACGTCCTGTATAACTAGATAGGAGAATGTTCTCAAACACTCTTGGGTTCATCACATCAGGCAAAACAATTCTCCTGCTGTTTTTCAGGAGTACCTGGTCACAAAAGTAGGGTGAACTGGCAGCAAGAACGGCTTTGTGTGCCCGGAAAATGTGGCCTTGGACAACAATGGAGACGTCACATAATTGTCCTTGCTGGCGCTGCTGGTTCAGTTTCTGTAGAATGGTGCTGGAAAAATCAGGAAATTCTACCCGAAAAGAGTTTGTTCCAGGCTCCATTTCATCACAAATCTTGTTCGGTGCTACAAGAGAAAGAAAAATTAGTACAAATTCCAGCCCAAAGATAAACTTATTTTATCCCCTCCTCCATTGTTAAGACAAGTTCCAAAGTTCCACAAAGTCCTCTAGCCTATGGGCCCCACTGGGTAAGGGATTCAATCCCTAGAGCAAAGCTTGCAGGTGCGTGTTTGCCAAAGGCAGGACTCACCACCACTCCTTGTGGAACTCCTGATTTTGGTTCTGTGTCTGTGGGTAAGAGAACTGAATCCATAGGGACAAGATTTGTAAGCTATACAAATCTCCCAAGTAAAACCAAGTACTGTAAATATTTACAGTTAAAACAAACAAGATACCCATTCAAATAATATAATTTTTTTTTAAACGAGATGGGGTCTTGCTCTGTTGCCCAGGCTGGAGTGCAGTGGCACAATCATAGTTCACTGCAGCCTTGAACTCTTGGGTAATCAAGCTATCATCCTGCTTCAGCCTCCTGAGTAGCTGGGACTGTATGTACATGCCACCATGTCCAGCTAGTTTTTTTTTTTTTTTTTGAGATAGAGTTTTGCTCTTGTTGCCCAGGCT
The DNA here is from genome assembly GCF_000001405.40 of Homo sapiens. NCBI lineage: Eukaryota > Metazoa > Chordata > Mammalia > Primates > Hominidae > Homo > Homo sapiens. Next base: position 126,831,927 of record NC_000009.12, on the reverse strand, counting down.
GGAGTGCAATGGTGTGATCTCGGCTCACTGCCACCTCCACCTTCTGGTTTCGAGCGATTCTCCTGCCTTGGCCTCCCAAGTAGCTGGGATTATAGGCGCCCGCCACTACACCTGGTTAATTTTTTTTTTTTGTATTTTTAGTAGAGATGGGGTTTCACTATGTTGGCCAGGCTGGTCTCGAACTCCTGACCGCATGATCCACCCACCTCAGCCTCCCAAAGTGCTGGGATTACAGGTGTGAGCCACCACGCCAGCTGCCCAGCTAGTTTTTTTAAAAAATTAATTTTTTTTGTAGAGACAGGGGTCTCACTTTTTGCCCAGGTTCGTCTTGAATTCCTGGCTTCAAGTGATCCACCAGCCTCAGCCTCCTAAAGTGTTGGGATTATAGGCATGAACCACCGCTCCTGGCAGAATTTTTTTTTAAAGAGATGAGGTCTCACTCTTTTACCCAGGCTGGAGTGTAGTGGCACCATCATAGCTACTGTAGTCTCAAACTCCTGGGCTCAGGTGATCCTCTCACCTCAGCCTCTTGTGTAGCTGGGTCTATGGGTATATACCACTATGCCCAGCTCAAAATGACAGAACTTTTAAGCCTCAGATTTAACTGATATTTGACAGGTTGTGGTGAGGGTGGGAGAACAGAATGGTGGGAACAAGGAAAAGCATACGCAAAGGCTCCGAGGCAGGAATGCATTTGGCAATTGCAAGGAACTGAAAGGAGACCATTAGACTAGAGTACAGTCAGGGAGTGAGGGGCCTGGGGGCTTGAGCAGTGAGGACGGGACAATTGCACCTCTGGTCTTTCAGCACTAAAGGGGCACAGTCACTCAGGCCCTGAGCAATGCAGATTTCTCCAGCTGCTGCCAGAATTTTAGCCCTTTAAGAGCTTCTGAGAATATGAAACTGAATGAAACTGCAAGGTGAGGTATGCTTCTTATCTGGTGATCTCCAAACTGTCTATAGACCAAAGAGGATAGTAAGTCCCTGCTACTGAACAGAGTCGATCAGAAGACAAAGTTATAACGAAGACTAAGGCATTGCCTGTGTTGCTACTGTAAATATATTCTGTGGGGTAAGTCAAGCATTAGAAACAATTCCTAACAATGGCACACAAGATGAGCTGTGCTAGAGATCCTGCCCATACTCTGTAATTCCCCCAAATTCTGTAATTAAAGCAAAAAAAAAAAAACCACCCAAACGATTTATTACTGCATATGTCACCTTGCTCTGATACTACATCCAAACATTGCTAAATTACCAAGTCTTCTTTTGTTTTTTTGAGACAGGGTCTCACTCTTGTCACCCAGGCTGGAGTACAGTGGTGTGATCACAGCTCACTGCAGTCTCAAACTCCTGGGCTCAGGTGATCCTCCCATCTCAGCCTCCTGAGTAGCTGGGACTTCAGGCATGCACTACTACCACATCCGGCTAATTTTTGTATTTTTTGCAGAGACAGGGTTTCGCCACGTTGTCCAGGCTGGTCTCGAATTCCTGAACTCAAGCGATCTGCCCGCCTGGCCTCCCAAAGTGCTGGAATGACAGGCGTGAGCCACTGCGCCCAGCCCCAAGTTTTCTAAGTATGATATAAAAGAGCCAGACAACCCAGACAAAGACTGAAAGTCATCTTCGAGGGATAGGGAGAGATGACAAGAGAAGAAATGAAGGTTTCTTGAGTAATTATGATATGTTAGGGACTGATACCTTTTTTCCCACTTAATCTTTATAATTACTCTGCAAATGTAGGGCTTGATCGTCTGAAGTTCAGCTATTTTAAGTAACTTTCCCAAGGTTAAAAGCTAGTTTTTATTAAGTTGAGATGTGAATCCAGGTCTGGATGACTCTAAAGTCTATGTGATTTTTCTTATCACATCACTCTGCCTCCTCTAAGATGCCAAAAATGCCAGATTAGGCACTAATAATTTTAAAAGACTGTGTTTTTAGAGTGAAGTATTAATTTATCGTTTTATACATCTTAAAACATTTCATAGTAATTTAAAACAAAAATAGATCATGAAATAAATGATTTAGGTATTCGTAATTTCAAAAAGAAAAGTTGACTATATAAATGAGTAGACTAAAAGTATGTAAATTCTGGAAACTACATCTGGGTGAACAGATTCTCTGCTAGATCTCACCACTGTAGAATTTTGCTTTTAGCTATTTGAAAAAGGGGGTGTGGGATATAACACATGCACATGTAAAAAAAAATTATAGAAAGGTGTAAAAAAAAAAAATCTCTCCCATCATTTATTCCTAGTCTCCCCCAAAGGAAATCACCATTAAACTCCTGTTTATATCTCTAGAAACTTCCCTGTGCATATATCAGAATAAATCATATACATCCTTTAAAAATCCCTACTCAACTGGGTTCATTACCTACATTTTATTCTACACTTAGCTTTTGTCACTTAATATATCTTGGAGATCTTCCCACATTAGCACAAAAAGAGCTAACTCATTCTGTTTAATGGCCACATAGCTTTCTATTATATGGATGTATCGTAATGTAAGCAGTTCTCCTCTTACAGAATTTCAGTTGGCAGGGGTTGTAAAATCACAAGCAATGCTACAATAGATATTTTTGCATAACTATCTTGCATACCTTTGGAAATATTTATAGCTTAATTTCTACCAGTGGAACTGCTGGGTTAAGGGGCTGTGCATTTGACATAGCCTTGAACTCTTGGGTCATCAAGCAATCCTTCTGCCTCAGCCTCTCAAGCAGCTGGGTCTATAGGCATGCCACCATGCCTGGCTAATGTTTTTAAAAAATTTTCTGATACATATTACCAAACTACTTGCCAGAAAGCCTGCACCAAGTCACACCCTCACCAACAATCAATGACAGTGTCTACTTAGCACACTCTTACAAGACTGGATATCATTTAACAAGAAAAATAAAGTCTGCCTATCTCCTAAGTGACATGATTCATTCCTGTTCTGATCTGCATTTCCTTAATTATGAATGAGGCTGGCACTCTGTACTTAGTTTACTGGTCATTTGTGGTTTTCTCTTATAAAATCAGTCACATCCTTGATTCAAATAAATTGGGCAATTAATCTTATTGATCTGTGGGGCTTTTTGTAAATTCAGGAAGTTAACTTTATCCTACGTTGTGATAATTTTTTCAGTTAGCTGATTTTATAGATTTTTTTGCCAAGATGAAATTTACATAAAATAAGTACTCTTTGCTTTTACTCTTTGCTCCAGGGTTTGTGTCAGATATAGGAGGGCATTCACACCTCCAAAATAATAATAATAATAATAATAATTATTATTATTATTATTATTATTATTTAGAGATGGGGGTCTCACTGTGTTGCCCAGGCTGGTCTGAAACTCCTGGGCTCAAGCAATCCTCCCGCCTCGGCCTCCCAGAGTGCTGGGGCTACAGGTATAAGCCATTGCACCTGGCCCAAAATTATTTTTGAAAATAAAAATGAAGGCTGGGAGTGGTGGCTCACACCTGTAGTCACAGCACTTTGGGAGGCCGAGGCGGGTGGATTGCGAGGTCAGGAGATCGAGACCATCCTGGCTAACACGGTGAAACCCCATCTCTACTAAAACTACAAAAAATTAGCCAGGCGCGGTGGTGGGTGCCTGTAGTCCCAGTTACTTGGGAGGCTGAGGCAGGAGAATGGAGTGAACCCGGAAGGTGGAGCTTGCAGTGAGCCGAGATCGCGCCACTGCACTCCAGCCTGGGCGACAGAGCAAGACTCCATCTCAAAAAAAAAATAAATAAATAATAAAACCTTTAATACATGGGTGTTTATTTTGGCATGAAGAGTAAGGTTGGGACCCAGCCTTTTTTCCTCCAAAATGGCTAGCCTGTTTTTCTAACACTATTTGTCAAATAACCTATGCTTGCTTCATAAAGTGCAAGTATCTTTGTGGAATTCTTTTTTTTTTGAGACGGAGTTTCACTCTTGTTGCCCAGGCTGGAGTGCAATGGTGCAATCTCAGCTCACCACAACCTCTGCCTCCTGGGTTCAAGCGATTGATTCTCCTGCCTCAGCCTCCCAAGTAGCTGAGATTACAGGCATGTGCCACCATGCCCGGCTAATTTTGTATTTTTTTGTTTAGTGTAGATGGGGTTTCACCATGTTGGTCAGGCTGATCTCCAACTCCTGACCTCAGGTGATCCGCCCGCCTCAGTCTCCCAAAGTACTGGGATTACAGGCGTGAGCCACCTCGCCCGGCCTCTGTTGTGGAATTCTAAATGACGAGAATACATTTAAAATCAGTTCTAAAAAAATAAATGCCACAAGGGAGGTTATGGAAAATGGTGGAGTCAGAAGCTCCATGGGTTGGTTCCTCCACCAATACAATCAGGAAGCTGAAAAAATGATCAAAATCACGATTTCAGGCCTCTGGAAGCGGATCAGACACTCACAGCAACCAAGAGAGTGCTGGATGGAGGGAGGCTGCTGAAGCTCAGAAGAGATCAGTGTGCATAAATCCCCATTCCGCAGCCCTGCCACACACAGCCTGCAGGAAGGTGGCCTGTGTTCCCACAGCAGCTGGCTCATACAAGAGGAGGGGGTGGAGGAAGGACCTTGTCCTCCAAAAATGTGCGCTTGTGCGTTTTGGCCAGTCTGGCAAACCCGCTCAGCTTTGTTTTGGCCCCCTCAGGCTGCAGTGGTTTCCCTGGTGGCACCTACCACAAGATTTAAAACACCTACACCTACATCTGTACACGCACACACACAGATCCAGACATTTAAGGAAATCTACCTGGTCACAGGCTGGTTTGCACGGATAAGAGAGAAAAAAACTTAAGCAACTACATGGAACAAGGAATACAGACTTTACAAAATAGGAAAAGTCATTGTACAAACAGATAACTAACCTCACAAGTCACAAAAGCAATCCCAGAGGAGGCGTAGAATCTGATTTCCAGAGTTACCACAGTATCATACTCCAAATGTCCAGTTCTCAACAAGAAAGTAAAAGCACACAAAGAAAAAGGAATATACAGTACATTCACAGGAAAAAGAATTAGAAACTGTCCCTGCAGAACACCAACACTAGAATCACAAGTCACAGAGGTTAAATCCACTGTTTTAAATATGCTCAAAGAACAAAAGAAAATAATGAATAAAGTAAAGAAAATCAGGACAACGATGTCAATAAGGAGACAGAAACTATAAAAAGGGGCCAGGAGGTCGGGCGTGGTGGCTCACGCCTGTAATCCCAGCACTTTGGGAAGCTGAGGCGTGAGGATCACGAGGTCAGGAGATCGAGACCCTCCTGGCTAACACGGTGAAACCCCATTTCTACTAAAAAATACAAAAAATTAGCCAGGCGTGGTGGCGGGCGCCTGTAGTCCCAGCTACTCGGGAGGCTGATGTGGGAGAATGGCGTGAACCCGGGAGGTGGAGCTTGCAGTGAGCTGAGAATGTGCCACTGCACTCCAGCCTGGGAAACAATACGAGATTCTGTCTCAAAAAAAAAAAAAAAAAAAAAAAAAAAGGCGGGGGGGCCAGGAGTGGTGGCGCACGCCTGTAATCTCAGCACTTTGGAAGGTCAAGGTGGGTGGATCACTTGAGGTCAGGAGTTCGAGACCAGCCTGGCCAACATAGTGAAACCCCATCTCTACAAAAAATATAAAAATGGGCTGGGCATGGTGGCTCATGCCTGTAATCCCAGCACTTTGGGAGGCCGAGATGGGTGGATCACCTGAGGTCAGGAGTTCCAAACCAGTCTTCAACATGGTGAAACCCCATCTCTACTAAAAATACAAAAATAAGCTGGGCGTGGTGGTGGGCGCCTGTAATACCAGCTACTCGGGAGGCTGAGGCAAGAGAATTGCTTGAACCCGGGAGGTGGAGGTTGCAGTGAGCCAAGATCAGTCCACTGCACTCCAGCCTGGGCAACAAGAGCGAAACTTCATCTCAAAAAAAAAAAAAAAAATTGGCTGGGCATGGTGTCATGAGCCTGTAGTCCCAGCTACCCAGGAGGCTGAGGCATGAGAATCGCTTGAGCCCGGGAGGCAGGAGGTTGCAGTGAGCTGAGATGGCACCACTGCACTTCAGCCTGGGCGACAGAGTGATGCGCCATCTCAAAAAAAAAAAAAAAAAAAAATATAAAAAGGAACCAAATGGAAAAAGCTGGAGCTGAAAAGTGCAACGATGCATTACGGGCTGAACTGCATTTCCCCTGCTGCCCCTCAGTTCACACATTGAAGCTGTAATGCCCTGTACCTCAGAGTCTGGCTATATTTACAAGTAGAGCCTTTAGGAGGTAATTAACCTAAATGAGTCCATTTAGATGTGCCCTAACACAGTATGATGGGTGTCCCTATAAGGTGAGATTTGGACACACACAGAGACACTAGGGATGCACAACCACGAAGAAAAGACTCTGTATGGGCCCAGTGAGAAGGAGGCTGTCTGCAAGCTGAGGAAGAAGGCCACAGAAGAACCCAAACCTGCTAACATCTTGATCACAGACTGCCCACTTCCAGAACTGTGAGAAAATACATTTCCATTGTTTAAGCCACCCAGCCTGTAGTATTTTGTTACGGTAGCTCTGCCAAACTAATACAAGCTGAAATTACTTGTTCATAAGAGGGGGTTCAATGGCATGCTTGAGCAGGCAGAAGGAAAAAAAAAATCAACAAACTCAAAGATAAGGTAAATAAAATCCAGTTGAGTAGCAGAAAGAAAGAAGAATGAAGAAAAATGGGCTGGGCACAGTTGCTCATGCCTGTAATCCCAGCACTCTGGGAGGCTGAGGTGGGAGGATCACTTGAGCCCAGGAGTTCGAGACCAGCCTGGGCAACATAGTGAGAACCTGTCTCTACCAAAAATACAATAGCCAGGCATGGTGGCATGCATCTATAGTCCCAGCTATACAAGAGGCTGAGGTGGGAGGATCACTTGAGTACAGGAGGTTGAGGCTGCAGTGAGCCATATTCACATCACTATACTCCAGCCTAGGTGACAGAGTGAGACCCTGTCTCAAAAACAACCACCACCACAAAAGAAAAATGAATACAACCTGAGGTGCCTGTGGGACACCATCATACATATCATGGGAGTTCCAGAAGTAGAGGCACAGAAAAGGGCTGAAAAACAATTTGAAGAAATATATAATGGTCAAACACTTCTAAAAACTGATAAAAGATTTGAATCTACACATTCAAGAAGCTCAACAAACTCTAGGCAGGATAAAGACACATTATAGTCAAACTGTAGAAAGAGCCAAAGCCAAAGAGAATCTTGAAAGCTGCAAGAGAGAAGCTCCTAGTCACGTAAAAGAGATCCTCACTAAAATTAACAGCTAATTTTTCATCAGAAACCATAAGCAGAAACCATATGGAGGCCATAGGCAGTAGGACAATCTATTTAAAGCGCTTAAAAAAAGAAATCTGTCAATTAAGATCTGGCAAAAGTATCCTTTCAAGAATGAAGGAGAAACTAAGACATTCCCAGAGAAACAAAAGCTAAGGATGTTCACTACCTGTAGACTTGCTCTACAAGAAATGCTAAAGGGGTCCTTCAGGCTGAGATAAAAGAACCCTAGACAATGAAAAGCCACATAAAAAAGCAAAGACCGCTGGTAAAGGTTAACTACTTATGTAAATATTAAGTCACCACTGGTTGGGCTCAGTGGCTCATGCCTATAATCCCAGCACTTTGGAAGGCCAAGGCAGGTGGATCATTTGAGTCAGAAGTTGTGATCAGCCTGGTCAACAAAGTGAAACCCCATTTCTACCAAAAAACCAAAAATTAGCCAGGCGTGGTGGTGCGCACCTGTAATCCCAGTTACTTGGGAGGCTGAGGCAGTAGAATCGCTCGAACCCAGGAGGTTGAGGTTGCAGTGAGCGGAGATTGCGCCACTGCACTCCAGCCTGGGCAACAGAGTGAGACTCTGTCTCAAAAAAAAAAGCCATCATTGTTGTACTTTTGGTTTTTAATTCTTTTGTTTCTATATGATTTAAAAGGCTAATGAATGCATAAAACAATTATAAATTTATGTTAATACACATTACACAATATATAAAGATATAATCAGTGACAATGACAACATGAAGGTGAAGGGACAGGAGATAACTTTGCTGTGACTGTACTAAACCTAAGTTGGTACTATTCAAGGTAAGTTGTTAAAAGTTTAAAATGTTAATTGCAAACCCCAAAGTAACTACTAAGGAAATAACTAAAAACATACACAAAAAGAAGAGAATCAAAATGGTTTACTGCCAAACAAACCCAAAACCCCTAAATAATAAAAAGTAGGATGGGGGCAATAATGGAAGAATTGAGGAATAAAAAACATGTAAGACATACAGAAAACAAATAGCTAAATTGTAAAGTGAATCTTTCCTTGTCAGTAACTGGATTAAAAAACGACTCATCTACATGCAGTCTACAAGAGACTCACTTTAGTGTATGTGCTGCCGAGGTGAGCATGAGACTCACTTTAGATATAACGACACAAAGAGGCTGAAAGGAAAAGGATGAAAAAAGATATTCCAGGTAAGCACAACAAAAAATGGCCTGAGATGGCTATATTATTAGAAATGATCGATTTTAAGTCAAAAAAGGTTACAAGAGACAAAGAATTATATGTTGAGTAAAAAGGTTCAATCTATCAAGAAAATATAACAATTATAAACATATACACACCTAACAAGATAACTCTAAAATATATGAAGTAAAAGTGGATAAAATTGAAGGAAGGAATAGACAGTTCTATAATAATAGGTGGAGACTCCAATACCCCACTTTCAAGAATTGATAGAAAAAAGCAGACAGAAGATCTATAAGGAAATAGAAGACTTGAACAACATTATAAACCAGTTAAGCCTGCTATAAAGACATATACAGGCATACCTCAGAGATATTGTTGGTTCAGTTCAAGAACACCGCAATAAAATAAACACCATAATAAAGTGAGCCACATAAATTTTGGTATCCCAGTGCATATAAAAGTAATGCTTACACCATACTGTAGTCTATTAAGTGTGCAATAGCATTATGTCTAAAAAAAAAAAAGTACTCACCTTAATTTAAAAATACTTTATTGCTGAAAAATGCTAACAATCATCTGAGCCTTCAGCCAGTTGTAATCCCTTTGCTGGTAGAGGGTCTTACCTTGAGTGGATGGCTGCTGACTGATCAGGGTGGTGACTGCTGAACGGTAGGGTGGCTGTAGCAATTTCTTTCTTTCTTTTTTGTTTCCCAAGATAGGGTCTCGCTCTGCTGCCCAGGATGAAATGCAGTGATGTGATCACGGCTCACTGCAGCCTTGACCTCCTGGGCTCAAGCAATTCTCCTGCCTCAGCCTCCCAAGGAGCTGGACTACAGGCATGCATCACCATGTTCAGCTAATTTTTGTATTTTTTGTAGACAGGGTCTCACCATGTTGCCCAGGATGGTCTTGAGCTCCTGGGCTCAAGCAATCCGCCTGCCTCAGCCTGCCAAAGTGCTGGAACTATAAGCATGAGCCACCGTGCCTGGCCTGCCAATTTCTTAAAATAGGACAACAGTGAAGTTTGCCACATCAATTGATTCTTTCACAAAAGATTTCTCTGTAGCATGCAATGCTGTTTGATAACATTTTGCCCACAGAACTTCTTTCACAACATTTGAGTCAATCTTTTTAAATCCTGCTGATGCTTTATCAATAAAGTTTATATTCTAAATCAGGGGTGTCCAATTTTTTGGCTTCTCTGAGCCACAGTGGAAGAATTGGACTGCACATAAAACACACTAACACTAACCATAGCAGATGAGCTTTAAAAAAAAAAAAAAAAAAAAAAATCTCGGCCGAGCATGGTGGCTCATGCCTGTAATCCCAGCATTTTGGGAGGCCCAGGCGGGCGAGCACCTGAGGTCAGGAGTTCGAGACCAGCCTGGCCAACATGGTGAAACCCTGTCTCTACTAAAAATACAAAAATTAGCTGGGTGTGGTGGTGGGCGACTGTAATCGCTTGGGAGGCTGAGGCAGGAGAACTGCTTGAACCCAGGAGACGGAGGTTGCAGTGAGCCAAGATCGTGCCATTGCACTCCAGCCTGGGAGACAAGAGAAACTCTGTCTCAAAAAAAGAAAAAAAATCTCATGTTTTAGGAAAGGTTATGAATTTGTGTTGGGTCACATTCAGAGCCATCCTGGGCCACAGGTTAGAAAAGCCGTCCTGGGGGCCACAGGTTAGAAAAGCTTACTCTAAATCCTTTGTTGTCAATAATGTTCACACCATCTTCACCAGGAGTAGAGTCCATTTCAAGAAACCATTTTCTTTGCTCATCCCTAAGAAGCAACTTCTCATCCACTCAAGTTTTACCATGCCTTTGCAATAATTCAGTCCCATCTTCAGGCTCCACTTCTAATTCTATTTCTCTTGCTATTTATTTCCACTACATCTCCAATTAATTCCTCCACTTAAGTCTTGAGCCCCTCAAAGTCATCCATGAGGGTTGGAATCAACTTCTGTTAAGGCTGATATTTTGATTTCCTCCCACCAATCACGAATGTTCTTAACGGCATCTAGAATAGTGAATCCTTTCCAAAACATTTTTTTTGTGTTTCTTTTTTTCTTTTTTTTTAAAGACAGAGTCTTGCTCTGTTGCCCAGGCTGGAGTGCAGTGGTGCGATCCCAGCTCACTGCAACCTCTGCCTCCTGCCTTCAAGCAATTCTCCTGCCTCAGCCTCCTAAGTAGCTGGGATTACAGGCATGTGACACCATGCCACCACACTAATTTTTATATATATTTTTAGTAGAGACAGGGTTTTACCATGTTGGCTAGGCTGGTTTCAAACTCCTGACCTCAAGCGATTCACCCACCTTGGCCTCCCAAAGTGCTGGGAGTTACAGGTGTGAGCTACCACACTGCCACCAAAACATTTTCAATTTACTTTGCCCAGATATCCATCAGAGTGTCAGAGGAATCACTATCAATAGCAGCTACAGTAGCTATAGCCTTACAAAATATCCTTTTTTTTTTTTTTTTTTTTGAGATGGGGGTCTCACTTTGTCACCCAGGCTGGAGTGCAGTGGTGCGATTGTGGCTCACTGCAGCCTCGACTCTCTGGCTCACGTGATCCTCCCACCTCTGCATCCTGGGTAGGTGGGACTACAAGTGCATGACACCACGCTTCACTAATTTTTTGCATTTTCAGTATAGATAGGGTTTTGTATGCTGCTCAGGTTGGTCTTGGACCCCTAGGCTTAAGCAATCTGCCTGCCTTGGCCTCCCGAAGTGCTAGGATTACAGGTGTGAGCTGCTGCACCTGGCTCAAAATGTATTTCTTAAATAATAACACTTGAAAATTGAAATTACTCCTTGGTCCATGGGCTGCAGAATGGATGTTGTATTAACAGGCATGAAAACAATACTAATGTCCTTGTACATCTCCATCAGAGCTCTTGGGTGACCAAGTGCCTTCTCAATGAGCAGTAATGCTTTGTAAAAAATCTTTTTCTGAGCAGTAGGTCTCAACAGTGGGCTTAAAATATTCAGTAAAGCATTCTGTAAATGCTGTCTCCAAGCTTTCACTGTGCCATCTATGGAGCACAGGCAGAGTATACTTAGCATAATTCTTAAGGGCCCTAGGATTTTGGGAATGGTACCTGAGCAGTGGCCTCAACTTAAAGTTACCAGCTGCATTAGCCCCTAATGAGAGAGTTATAACTTGTCTTTTGAAGCCAGGTATTGTCTTCTCCTCTCTAGCTATGGAAGTCATAGATAGCATCTCCTTCCAATAGAAGGCTTTTTCATCTATATTGAAAATCTGTGGTTTAGTGCAGCCATCTTTACCAATTATCTTAGCTAGATTTTCTAGATAGCTTGCTATAGTTTCTACATTAGCACTTGCTGCTTCAGCTTGCACTTTTACATTACGGAGACACTTCTTTCCTTCAACCTCACAAACCAACCTCTGCTAGCTTCAAACTTTTCTTCTGCAGTTTCCTCACCTCTCTCACAGTGTTCAGAGAAATGAAGAGAGTTAGGGTCTTCTTCTGACGGCTTTGGCTTAAAGGAATGTTGTGGTTGGTATGACCTTCCATTCAGACCACTAAAACTTTCTCTCAGCACTAAGGCTGCCACTTTCTTATCATTCATGTGTTCATTAGAGTAGCACTTTCAATTTCCTTCAATAACTTTTCCTTTGCATTCACAATTTGGCTGTTTAGAGCAAGAAGTCTAACTTTTGGCTTATGTTTGCTTTTGATATGCCTTCCTCACTAAGCTTAGTCATTTCTAGCTTTTGATTTCAAGTAAGAAGCATATGACTCCTCCTTTCACTTAAACACCAGGCCATTGTAGGTTTATTAATTGGCCTAAATTCAAGTGGTTGTGTATCACGTAATAGGGAGGCCTGAACAGAGGGGGAAAGATGGGGGAATGGTGGGTCAGTGGAGTAGTCAGAACACACATTTATTGACTAAGTTTGCTGTCCCTTATGGGTGTGGTTTGTGGTGCCTCAAAACAATTACAATAGTAACATCAAAAAATTACTGATCAAAGATCACCATAACAGATATAATAATAATGAAAAGTTTTGAAATATTGCAAGAACTGCCAAAATATGACACAGAAACAGAAAGTAAACATGTGCAACAGGAAAAATGATGCTGATAGACTTCCTTAATGCAGGGTTGCCACAGACTATTTGTAAAAAAAAAAAAAAAAAAAAAAAAATGCAATATCCGTGAAGCACAAAATGAGGTATGCCTGTATAGGACATGTCAGCCACCAAGTGCACACAGTACATTCTCCAGGATAGATCATGTGTTAGACCATAAACGAGTCTTAATACACTTAACAAGACTGAGTCTTTTTAAAAATACAAAGTATTTTTCTAACCACAATGAAATGAATGTAGCAATCAATAAGAGAGAAAACTGAAAAACTAATAAATATGTGGAAATTAAACAATACCCTTAAAGACCTATAACTATCAAGGACATTGACTCAATAAAGAAAAGATCCTAACCTGATGGCTTCACTGGTAAATTCTAACAAACATTTAAAGAAGAACTGACACCAATCCTTCTCAAACTTTTCTAAAACACTGAAGGGGAGGGACCACTTCCTAACTCATTCTATTAGGTCAGGAGTGCCCTCTGATATGAAAGCCAGACAAAAACACTATACAAAAACTATAGACCAATACCCCTTATGAACACTGGAGTAAATATCAACAAAATACTACCAAACCAAATTAAGCGGCATATTAAAAGAATTATACACCACCAGCAAGTGGGATCTCTTCCTGGAATGCAAGGATAGTTCAACATATGAAATCAATCAATGTAACACAGCACATTAACAGAATGAAGGGGAAAAAAACACATAAAACACGTATCATCTCAACTGACACAGAAAAAGCATCTGACAAAATTCAGCACCCTTTCATGACAAAAACACTCAAGAAGCTAGGCGTGGTGGCTCATGCCTGTAACCCTAGCACTTTGGGAGGCCGAGGTGGGCGAATTGCTTGGGCTCAGAAGTTTGAGACCAGTCTGGGCAGTATGGTAAAACCCTGTCTCTACACAACGGCCATGTGTGGTGGCTCTCATCTGCAATCCCAGCTACTTGGGAGGATCACTTGAGGCCAGAAGTTTGAGTCCAGCCTGGACGACACAGCAAGACCTTGTTTCTAAATATATATATATATATATTTTTTAATTAGCCAGGAATAGTGGTGCACAGCTGTAGTCCCAGCTACTTGGGAGACTGAGGCAAGAGGATCATTTGAGCCCAAGAGTTTTAGGCTAAAGTGAGCTGTGATCCCACCAGTGTAGTCCAGCCTGGGTGACAGAGGGAGATTCTGTCCAAAAAGGAAAAAAAAAAAAAAAGAAAAAGAAAAAAACTACAAAACACTGCTGAAATAAATTAAAGGCACAAATAAATAGAATACCATGTTGTTTATGGATTGGAAGACATAATATTGTTAAGATAACAATACTACCCAAAGCAATACACAGATTCAAACCAAGCCCTATCAAAAATCCTTGCCCTTAACTTTGGGTGAATATGGCATTTCTCCATATTCTCTGACCTGCAACATGCTAAATTTCTACAGGTTTTTCTATTACAAACTCATAGGCAATTGTGACCTATACTGAGAGTATAGCTGTTGTTTCAGTTATTTAGATGATGTCATAGAAGTAATTAATTAGCTCACTAAAAAACCTCATGGGGCCAGGCGCAGTGGCTCACGCCTGCAATCCCAGCACTTTGGGAGGCCGAGGTGGGTGGATCACGAGATCAGGAGATCGAGACCATCCTGACTAACACAGTGAAACCCCATCTCTACTAAAAATATAAAATAATTAGCCGGGCGTGGTGGCAGGCACCTGTAGTCCCAGCTGCTCGGGAGGCTGAGGCAGGAGAATGGTGTGAACCTGGGAGGCGGAGCTTGCAGGGAGCCGCAATCACGCCACTGCACTCCAGCCTGGGTGACAGAGCGAGACTCCGTCTCAAAAAAAAAAAAAAAACTTCATGGAACATTATATTCAATGTATTATGGGGGACTTCAAAGACAATCAAGAAATGTCACAGTCCAGCCGGGCATGGTGGCTCATGCCTGTAATCCCAGCACTTTGGGAGGCTGAGGTGGGCAGATCACTTGAGCCCAGGAGTTCAAGACCAGCCTGGGCAACATAGCAAGACCCCATCTCTACAAATATACAAAAATTAGCCAGGCATGGTGGCATGCACCTGACATCCTAGCTACTCAGAAGGCTGAAGAGGGGAAATCTCTTGAACAGGGGAGGTCGAGGCTGCAGTGAGCTGTGACTGCCACCACTGCACTCCAGCCTGGGTGACAGAGAAAGACTCTGTCTCAAAAAAAAAAAAAAAAAAAAAAAAAAAAGATACAGTGGAAATGGGGCCAAGTTGAAGGGAAACACTGGCCTGAAACTCCACGTCCTATTCCAGGCAATTCTGACGGGATCAGTAACACTCTTTCACTTGGGAGTCCCAGAGCTAAAAGCCAAGGACAGACAGGTCCTGCAGACTGGCAAAACTCAGAGGTGGGTGGTATTAGGATACCAAAGGTTGCACATTACCTTGGCAGAAGGAAAAAATATTAACATAAGGGGGTGGGACTCCGTAGCCCCAGGAAGGAGGTAAAGGCATAGCCATCATTTGCCAGTTGGGCCAAAGACAACAGAGGGTCCTAGTATCCCAATTTCACCAACTGCAAAGAAAGTACACAGAGCTCAAGCTCCCCTGAGAGGGCCTAAGGCCTACCCCTCCAGCCCCACTCAACTAATCCCAGATGTCAATGTGGTTCAGCCCTGCATCTAGCTTAAGAACTAAGAGCTGATTCTAACAATATTCGGGTATACAACAAGGGACCCAAAAGCAAATTTCAGACCTGAACAGAATGTTTCCCTCTCAAGAATTAAACAAAATAAAACCAACACAGGTCTGTGGATATATTCCAGAATATCAAAAAGAAAAAATAGCAAGAAATAGACAAAGAGTACATTTTAAACAATTTTTAAAATGTTTTTCACAAACTTCATGAAAACACAGTCTCTGAATAAAGTATAAGGAAGATGAGACAAAACAGTAGAATGATATGAAAAAAGGGCAGACTGAATTAATGATAGGGTATCAGGAAACTAATATAGAGCAGAAATTTACACAGGCAATAAGAAGCAGAATTACAACAGTAAAAAAATGGAATCGATAATGTGGAAGGCACTTTGGGGACCTTCTACTAAAATACAAGAAAGTGAAAACAGCGAGAGAGAAGATGATAAAGCAGGAGAACAGAGAAGAGAGATCGATGTACAGCCCGTTAATGTCCTTGAGAGAAAGAACCAGAGAACGTGAAATAATAAAAAATAAATTTAATTGAAGAAAACTGCCCTGAATGGAAAACCTTGAGTATTCAGAAAAGCCTTACCTCAGTAGTGGGGACAAATTAATTCCAGACAAAATGCAGTTCTGGTCCTGCCAAACAAAGCTTAAAAACAAGCCTCAGAAGGATCAAACTGTTTCTAACTTAATTATGTTCCAGAATGAAACTTGAGAACATTTACATAATACAAAAATATCCAGCACCGAACAAGGTAAAACTCATATCTGACATCAAATTTAAAAATCACCAGGCATGCCAAGAACTAGGAAAATATAACCCAGGATACTGAGGTGGGGGTGGGAATCAATCAACAGAAACAGATCCAGAAATGACAGAAGATTTATACAACTGGTAAACAATTCTATATTCTATATTTTCAAGAAAGTAGAGGAAAGATTAAGCATGTTAGGTACAGACAGGGAAACTATTGAAAAAAAAAAAAAGAGAGAGAGAGAGAGACCCAAATAAAACATCTAGAAATTTAAAAAACAAACATACATTGGGATGAGAATAACAACAGAATTGACACTGCAGAACATTAGTGAGCTTGAAAACATGGCAACAAAAACTTACCCAAAATAAAACATACAGAGGAAAAAAAAAGGCAAATAAAAAGGGAATAGAGTATCAGTGAGCTGTGAGACAACTTCCAGATACCTAATGTAGACATGATTGTTGTGGGGAAGGCAAAAAGTTTTATGTGATAAGCTATCAGACACATGAAAACTATATATATATATATATTTTTATATATTGAAAACTATATATATAGTTTTATATATTGAAAACTATATATATAGTTTTATATATTGAAAACTATATATATATAGTTTTATATATTGAAAACTATATATATATAGTTTTATATATTGAAAACTATATATATAGTTTTATATATTGAAAACTATATATATAAACAATACACACATACACACATACATTTTATACATATGTGAAAACAACAGCCAAAACTTTTTCAAATTTGATGAAAACTACGAACTCACAGACCTAAGCAGCTCAACAAACTCCAAGCACAAGAAACATGAAAAAAACTACAGCAAGGCACATCATAATCAAATCACTTAAAATCAGTGGAGAAAATCTTAAAAGCAGCCAGACAAAAAAAAGGCCCCTTGTGTACAGAGAACCTCAGAAGCAATGCAAGCCAGGAGACAGGAGACCATTTTAAAATACTGAAATGAAGGTGGGGGAGGGGGCGGAAAGGCCTGTCAACTTAGAATTCTATACCCATGAAAGTATCTTCAAAGTGAAGGCAAAATACTTTTTCTTTCTTTCTTTCTTTCTTTTTTAGACAGAGTCTTGCTCTGTTGCCCAGGCTGGAGTACAGTGGTGCAATCTCAGCTCACTACAAGCTCCGCCTCCTGGGTTCACACCATTCTCCTGCCTCAGCCTCCCAAGTAGCTGGGACTACGGGCATCCACCACCATGCCCGGCTAATTTTTTGTATTTTTAGTAGAGACAGTGTTTCACTGTGTTAGCCAGGATGGTCTCGATCTCCTGACCTCGTGATCTGCCCACCTCGGCCTCCCAAAGTGTTGGGATTACAGGCGTAAGCCACCGCGCCCGGCCCAAAATACTTTTTCAGACATAGAAAAGTTGAAAGAATTTATCACCAAAAAGGTCAAAAGTTTAAAAAAAAAAAAGTCACATGAAAACAAAAGTCAAGCAACACAATACTAATATCAAAGTAAATTTCAATGTAAATTTACTTTGTAAATTTCATCTGTAAAATTTTTACAGATGTAAAATTTACATTTTACAGATGTAAATTTCATCTGTAAAAATTTTACAGATGTAAATTTCATCTGTAAAAATCAGGATGAAAGTTTATTGTTAACTGATGAAACCTATAATTCACAATGAAGTTTACTCTGTGAACTTTTATGTGTCAGAGTACAATGTTAGAAAATAAGGCAACAGTAACAGAACTGTAATTGTAGCAGGAAATATAAGTATCCCTCTTTAATTCTTAATAAATCAAGTAGGCAAAGGACAAGAATCTATAGGTTTAGACAGCTATCAATAAAGCTAATTTAATGCAATACCTATATACTCTACAAATAATACTCCTTTTCTACTGTCTGTAGGACATTTACAAAAATGATAATATACGTGGCTACAGAGAACATCAATAAATTCTCCAAAGCGGAAATGCACAGGGCACATTTGATTACATGTGACTATACAATGGATTACACAATATGATAAAACTAGAAATGTAAAAAGTAGAGGGGGAGAAGAGGACAAGGCAATAGGGTAGGAGAAAATTCATAAATTTTATACAAAACTCTGGTATCAAAATTGGCCAACAACAAAAAAAACCCTACAAGCCAATCTCACTTATTAACATAGAAAGAAAAATTATAAATCACATGGCATTCTGGTTTGTATACTTTAATCTCTTGCGGGTTTGGTACATCATAAGTATGATATGTTGAAGACACTGAGTTATTGGTCCAATCACACTAACGGCAAGATCCTAGATTATGGTGAAATTACCATCAGAAAGCCATTTCAGATCTCCCTCGGCTCTCTTTCACTCAAGACTAACCCTGGTGACACACACATCATTACTTGTGCTTCCTTCTATGAGTGACAATGAGTGATGGGAGATAAATCTAGAAAAAGCCGAATGAGACGTCTACATTGGGGCAGCACTGAAAACTTCTAAGTGACGTGCTGTGAGGCATGGTTAAGGAAGGTTGATCTGCTGACGGACTAAAGCAGGAGAAAGTCTGAAGTAGAAGCTAATTATAGGATTTCAATAAGTGTAGTCTAGGTAGTAATAAAAGTAACAGTGGGGCCAGGCATGGTGGCTCACGTCTTTTATCCCAGCATTTTGGGAGGCTGAGGCACGTGGATCACTCGAAGTCAGGAGTTCCAGACCGGCCTGGCCAACATGGTGAAACCCTGTCTCTACTAAAAATACAAAGTTAGCCGGGCGTGGTGGCACACATCTGTTATCCCAGCTATTCGGGAGGCTGAGACAGCAGAACTGCTTGAACCTGGGAGGCGGAGGTTGCAGTGAGCCGAGATCATGCCAAAGCACTCCAGCCTGGGCAACAAGAGCAAAACTACATCTCAAAAAAAAGAAAAAAAAAAAAAGTAACAGTGGGTATGGAAAAGGGGTGGCATTGATGAGACTGACAGAACTGGTCAGCAGGAAGATACAGCAGTAGTACAAGGTACAAATGATACCATCAAGAAAGTGAACACACAACCCACAGAATAGGAGAAATTATTTGCAGATCATGTAACTAATGAGTGACTTGCATCCAGAATACCTCAAGAACTCTTATGACTCAATAATAAAAAGATAAATAACCCAACTGAAAAACAGATAAAGGATCTGAAGAGACATTTCTCCAAAGAAGATATACAAATAACCTATAAGCATATGAAAACCACTCAACATCATTAGTAATTAGAAAAATGCAAATCAAAACTACTAAACATCCCTTTTCACTCACTAAAATGGCTGTCAAAAGACAGACAGACAATAACAGGTGTCGGTGAGGATGTGTAGGTATTATAACCTCCATACATTGCTGGTGGGCATGTAAAATGGTACAGCTACTGTGGAAAGCAGTGTGACAGCACCTCAGGGAGTTAAACATAGAGTTACCACGTTAATTCAACAATTCTCCTAGGTACATACCCAAGAAAAATGAAAACATATGATGTCCACACTAAAACTCGTACATGAATGTTCATAACTGCATTATTCTTAAAAGCCAAAAAGTGAAAACCATCATAAGCTCCATCAACTTATGACTGGATAAACAAACAGGATATATCCTTAGAATAGGATGTTTGGCAATAAAAAAGAACGAAATACTGATAGATGTGACAACACGGCTGGCACTTGAAAACGTTATGCTAAATGAAAGAGGTCGGACACAAAAGGCCGTATCTTGTATGACTCCACTTATATGAAATGTCCAGAATAGACAAATCCATAGAGACAGAAAGTAGATTCGTGGCTACAGGTAGAAGAAATGGGGAGCAACTGCTAACTGGGTTTCTTTGAGGGGAGACAAAAGTTCTAAAATTAGATTGTGGTGATGGGTATACAAATCTGTGAATATACCAAAAAAAAAACCTCTTTATTACTTATGAATTATGTCTCTGTAAAGCTGTTTAAAAAAGAGTAATGTGGCCGGGTGCGGTGGCTCACGCCTGTAATCCCAGCACTTCGGGAGGCCGAGGTGGGTGGATCACAAGGTCGGGAGTTCGAGACCAGCCTGACTAATATGGTGAAACCCCGTCTCTACTAAAAACACAAAAATTAGCTGCGTGTGGTGGTGGGTGCCTGTAGTCCCAGCTACTCGGGAGGCTGAGGCAGAAGAATCACTTGAACCCAGGAGGCGGAGGCTGCAGTGAGCCAAGATTACCCCACTGCACTCCAGCCTGGGCGACAGAGTGAGACTCCATCCCAAAAAAATAGAAATAAATAAAATAAAGAGTAATGCAAGGCAAACTGATGTACCAATGCCGACTTTGAATTTCATGACTGAGTGACTAGGAAAATGTCATCATTAATAGGAAATAACAGCAACTACTATTTATGACATACATATACAAATATATAAACTGCTTAATACAGACATTGTACAAAGTCTATGCAAAGCACTTTATATGCTCTGTCTCACTTAATCTTCACAGCAACCCACTCAATAGGTATTTTTTACTTCCATTGTACAGAATTGGAGATAGACAAAAAAGCTAAGCAACTTAAGGTCATATAACTGGTAAGCAGTAAAATTGAGATTTAAATCCAAAGTACTTGTTCAGGCCCACTATAGCTTAAGAGGTGGAAAGAAAAGGTGAATATAATTTTTTCTTCTTTTTTTTTTTTTTTTTGAGATGGAGTCTCTGTCGCCCAGGCTGGAGGGCAGTGGTGCCACTTCAGCTCACTGTAACCTCCGCCTCCCAGGTTCAAGCGATTCTCCTGCCTCAGCCTCCTGAGTAGCTGAGACCACAGGTGCGTGACACCACGCCCAGCTAATTTTTGTGTTTTTAGTAGAGATGGGGTTTCACCATGTTGGCCAGGTTGGTCTCGAACTCCTGACCCTCATGTGATCTGCCCACCTTGGCCTCCCAAAGTGCTGGGATTACAGGCATGAGCCATCGTGCCTGGCTGTGAATATCACTATAGTTTCAGAGTATGGAAAGTAAACGTGAATATCATTTTCACAAATAATCTATATAATTTTATTATATACAATGCATTCACAAACTTTCGCACGCTGACCATCCTTAGACTTAAGATGGCCCAAGCCAGGCATGGTGGCTCACTCCTGTAATCCCAGTACTTTGGGAGGCCGAGGCGGGCGGATCACCAGGTCAAAAGATGGAGACCATCCTGGCCAACATGGTGAAACCCCTTCTCTACTAAAAGTACAAAAAAAAATTAGCTGTGCATGGTGGCCCATGCCTGTAGTCCCAGCTACCTGGGAGGCTGAGGCAGGAGAATCACTTGAACCCGGGAGGCAGAGGTCGCAGTGAGCCAAGATCTCGCCACGCGCTCCAGCCTGTGTGACAGAGCGAGACCCCATCTCAAAAAAAAAAAAAAAAAAAAAAAAGACGGCTGGGCACAGTGGCTCATGCCTGTAATCCCAGCACTTTGGGAGCACGAGACGGTGGATCACCTGTGGTCAGGAGTTTGAGACTGGCCTGGCCAAGAAGGCGAAACCCTGTCTCTACTAAAAATACAAAATTAGCTGGGCATGCTGACAGATGCCTGTAATCCCAGCTACTCAGGAGGCTGAGGAAGGAAAATCTCTTGAACCTGGGAGGCAGAGGTTGCAGTGAGCGGAGATTCTGCCACTGCACTCCAGCCTGGGCAACAAGAGCGAGACTCCATCTCAAAAACAAACAAACAAACAAATAAACAAACAAATGAACAAACAAACAAAAACCTTAATAAGATACCAGCAGTTAGTGGGCCGGGCGCGGTGGCTCACGTCTGTAATCCCAGCACTTTGGGAGGCTGAGGCCCGTGGATCACAAGGTCAGGAGTTCAAGACCAGTCTGGCCAAGATGGTGAAACCCCATCTCTACTAAAAATACAAAAAAATTAGCCGGGTGTGGTGGCCGGCACCTGTAATCCCAGCTACTCTGAAGGCTGAGGCAGAGAACTGCTTGAGCCTGGGAGGTGGAGCTTGCAGTGAGCTGAGATCCTGCCACTGCACTCTAGCCTGGGCGACAAAGCGAGACTCTGTCTCAAAAAAAAAAAGATACCAGCAGTTTTATGCCACTTTGCACATGTATTTTATTTTTTTAATCCAATAGCAACAGTTCTAAAACAAACACACCGATGCCAGCCTGTTCCACTATGCTTCTTAAAAGCTATTTGGCTTTTTTTAACGCAGATGAAGGGCAACATACTGAAGAAATCCTGAACTAGATGACCTTCAAGATTCCTTCCAACTTTGATGAGTTTAATAACAGCCACTATTTATTATTCGGCTGAGGAACTCCAAGTCAAATTTTATACGTGATTTAAACACCTATTAAACATCCTAAAAACACAGATGACAGCAATATAATAGGGAAGCAGACCCACCAGCTACTTATTGTGAAGTCCTTCAGAGGTTTCTTTAATCAGAGCATATGGTAACTTGCATGCTTACTATAGAAAGCATATTTAAACATAGTAAATGTTGCTTCAGTAAATTTAAAGCCTGGCACAAATGTACAAAAACACCAATACCCTATGCCTACTCTTTACATTAGTGAAATGCTTTAGAGTTCACAAAGCACACTATGTAAACCTGCGTTGTGCAACACTCCCGTATCATTGCATCCTTTTGAAATATGAGTAAACTGAAGCTCAAATTAAAAGACCTGCCAGTGGTTACACGTCTCAGAAATGGCATGTCAGCATTCAAACAGCAGTATAACTCCAAATCTAACATTTTTCTAAGTTAAGAAAAAAAATTCACTTGGCAGAAAAATTTATCTGACATTAAATGTTCTATCAGTGCAAAGTATGGCATTGATGGGCCTTAGAAGGTGTAACATCTCTTCAGAAGAGAAGAAAGAATCTTCTGGTCTAGAGGAATTAAAAATCTTAACAAAATACATTATTATTTTTGCTAAAAGAGAAATGATTACAGTAAGTAACTTTAAAAATGGTATCGTGATCAAGTTGATAGCTTACCTAATGCAAAGCTGTATTCCTGGGATAGAGTTCCTTATGCCATGGCCATCAAAAAGCAACATGAATAGAATGAGGAAGAAGAACCCATTTCAGTTTTGCTTCAAATTAAAATCACATTGACTTCTGGAAGGAAGAGTAACAGTGAAAATGTAAAAGAGATGCTATGTACACGTGTATTTGCTAATAAACACTAGAGATGTACATTAGCGGCAGAAAGAAAAGTAATCAAGACTGGCATTTTTGGTTATATTAAATTCCATTCTGCAACTTCATAGCTCCTGCTTTTGTATTTTTTAAAAAAACAAACTTATTTTGTAATAATTTTAAATTTTCAAAAAAACTGAAAAGATAGTGCATAACTCCCATATACCTCTCATCCATTACTGTGGCATATTCATTAAAACTAGAAAACATGGTCAATGACTATGTAATTTTGCAGAATTAATATATCCTTTGGAACAGTGCTATTGGTCTCCTGACCATTGTCAATCAGTATTCTTCCATTTTTTTCCTAATTAGAACACTTTGGCCAAATCACTTAGTAAAAACTATTTTAAGATGTTTTTTAAAAAAACAAGCCACCTGCTTTATGAAGTTTGATTCATGATTCCCTTCAATTTTAAGCCACGGCTGAATGTTTTACTTAAAAACTTCTAGGACAAACATTCTATTACAGCAAACTCTCTGAGATTCAAAAGAGAAGGTAACGTTCTAGAAACTAACCCCCCATTTATCGATCATCCTTCCATTGAATTTCAATAAAGCCAAGGAAATGTTTTTAACTGTACCCTCACGTGCATTAGAATTCAGGATAAGAAGCTGAAATCAAGAAAGCAGAAGGCAGAAACAGTACTCATTTCAAGAAATTAACAACATATCGACAAATTTTAAAAAATATTTTTTCCTCAATATGTTACAAATAAGACAAAAGCCCCTATTCTAACTGCAAATATAAATAGAGTTGAAAAGGAAAAGTTCAGGCCCAGCGCAGTGGCTCACACTTGTTAATCCCAGCACTTTGGGAGGCCAAGGCAGGTGGATCATTTGAAGTCAGGAGTTTGAGACCAGTCTGGCCAACATGGTGAAACTCTGTCTCTACTAAAAATACAAAAATTAGCTGTGTGTGGTGGCAGGCGCCTGTAATCCCAGCTACTCGGGAGGTTGAAGCAGGAGAATCGCTTGAACCCAGGAGGCGGAGGTTGCAGTGAGCCGGGATTGCACCACTGCACTCTAGCCTGGGCGACAGGGCGAGACTCCATCTCAAAAAAACAAAACAAAACAAAAACAAAAACAAGAAAAAAAAAGTTCATGAAAATGATACTCTTCAATTAATTTTCAGACATGCATTTTTTCACATTTTAAAATTCCTGAAATCAGAATGTGATCACCAGGTGGCAGTTTTAATAGCTGTCACTGCCTGAGACAATGATAGAGAACTGCTGAGGTCCTCATCAATGTTCTTGATGACACAAAGGATGACACTCTAGAAAAAATATGGACACACTCTGAATTGAAAAGTGCACAGAAGAGTAGAACTTGGAATGTTAAGTTTAACGAACACTTTAACCAATGTGTTCTTATTTTTCCTTTGTATATATGCATTAGAATAGGCATTGATACCATGTTTTAGTGTCTAAGTCTAAAAGTGTTTTCAATAATAAAAAGTCTAAACGATAAGAGCGTATTAAGCCATAGTTCAATTAGCAGGGTTTCTCCCTTCCTTGGTGGTACATGAAATAACAGCATCTAGGATTCAATTAAATAAAGTAGTAATTCAGTTGTGATATCTTATTAGAAAGCTTGATAAACTACCTTAAAGGCAAATAGACAGCTTAAATAAGAGATTTTAAAAAACAAAAAAACCACAAAGGCATCCCCCATAACGAAACTCAAGAAATAACACATAATTTTGCATTATAATAAAAGGGCTATTTTTCAACCTTATGAGTTTTCTTCCTGTGAAAAGCATAATTATCAAGTATCCTACTTATGAGCACATTCTTGCACTGATTCCAAGAAAGGCAGAGGGAGGAGAGCCAGGGCAGAAAGTAAGTAGAAAGCCTGAGAAAGATTTTAACCAAATTCATTTAACTAAACTTTTCTAAGAACCTCAGCTGTACCCACTGCTGTAAAGAGAGTAGGAATCAATAAACACAGGTTCAACTGTGTTCCTAACAACTACAGAATGAATTTTGAAAAATTACATGTAAAAGGAGCTTATTGGTTTCAGGAGTCTCCAATGAATACTGTTTTTGTTTTTTGTATTGTATAAAATATACATAAAACTTTAAGACTTAACAATTTTAAGTAATTTTAAGAGTCCAATTCAGTGAAGTACATTCACAATGTTGTGCAATCATCACAACCCATTTCCAGACCTTATTCATCATCCCCCAAAACTCTGTTCTGTAACATTAAGCAATAACTCCTCTCCCCAGCCCCTGGTAAACTATTCTACTTTCCGTCTCTTAATTGGTTTATTCTAGGTACTTCATTTAAGTGCTCTCAAACAACATTTGTCCTTTTGTGTGTGGTTTATTTCTCCCGTGGTGCTTTTATAAAGCAAATAATAAATTCCCAATTATTAGGTTTCTTATAATTTAACTGAAAATGCTGACACAATCTCTGAACTAAGCATGCAGTTATCCCAGAAACCCTGCTACTGTTCCAGTAGCCCCAAAGACCTCAGTCTGATCCTTTCTTAGCCTGTAGACAGGCCTGTTAAACAGCTGTAACTCAAAGAGCAGGCTCCAGAGATCCCTGGAGACCATCCTGTGGTGAGTGGATAGAGCGAAGGCATTTGGGAAGCTGTGCAGGCCTGAGAAACCACAGGCGAGAAAAGGAGAGGACTCATCAAGCTGCTCTGGCCCTAAAATGGGCCTCCTGTCTCCCTGACAGGCTCTCCTGCACTCTGACACTTATGTTGGGCGACACCTGTCAGAGTTGAGGCCAAACTGCGGTCGAGTCACTGAGAGTGTCACCAGTGCAGGGAACTTCACGGGGTCATGAGTCACCTTCCATGGCTCAGAGGTCTGGGCAGCCCTGCCCCACCCAAACTCAGGAAAGAGAGACAAGAGGCAAAAACAAAGTTGGCAGAAAGAGAGAAACAGACAGATGGCCAAAAAGCCAGACTGACAGGCCCTGAATTAGAGTAAGGGCTGAGTGGCAGAGACAGGGTGAACAGACACAGAAGCAAGGTGGAGACAGATATAAAACAGGATCCAGATACCCCGACAAAGACAAAGTGGAGAGAAATATCAGGTTGACAGCGACCTAGCTGAAAGACAAAAAGGGCAGGTTACAACAGGTGACAGAGACAGCAACAGGGGATGCTGAATGTTTTACTTAAACAGAAGATCAGCTAAGTCCAGGCGCAGTCTTTCTCCCAGCTCGGCTCGTCAGGCCTCAGGCATTGGTGGCTCGAACCCGAGGTCGTCAAGCCGCGCCCACCCTACGCCCCGAAAGGCCAGCGGACGGACGGGGGCGGGATCTCTAAGCGCTGTGGCCGGCGGAGCTCCGCCGCCGCGAGGGTGACCTTGGGCGAGAAGCTGCCCCAAAGGCCTCGGTATCGCGGTCTGCGCGCCGTGTGGGCAGAAGACTGCGGGATTCGGAGCTGGAGCGCCGGGACCCCAACCTCCCGCGCGGGGCTTTGGTATGCCGGTCCACGGAATGGGCCTGGCGGGGCCAGCGGCGCGAGCGTCGGGGCCTGCTGAGGAGCCCTTAACTCCCCCACCGACTTCTCCTCCCCTACCCTTGCCGCCCGTGGTCCTGGCCACGCAGTACCTGCCAAGGGCTCAGCGCTCACATCCCCCGCCCAAGATATCCTCTCTGCCGCCGGCGCAGGCCTGTTGTAGCCTCAGCTGCCGCAACAGATTCAGCCTGTGCCTTCAGCCCCCGGAAACGCTTCCCGGTCCCGCCCCCCGAAACTGACAGTGCTTCCGGGGGTGCGTCAGAGAGAAAGCGGAGTGCGCATGCGGGACTTACCGTCTGAGCTGGGCGTCGGGAGAGAGCGCGGAGGTAGCGGGCGCCTGCGCAGTACACTCTGGAGCGGGTCAATTTTAGGGACTGACTACGCTGTTGAAAATAGGGGAGCAGATACTGAGTTCTAAACCTTCTTGAAACCTTGGCATAGGCCAGGCGCGGTAGCCCACGTCTGTAATCCCTGCACTTTGGGAGGCCGAGAGGGGATGATCGCTTGAGGCTAGGAGTTCGAGACCATCCTGGCCAACATGGTGAAACCCTGTCTCTACAAAACATACAAAAATTAGCTGAGCGTGGTTGCGCGCGCCTGTAATCCCAGCTACTTGGGAAGCTGAGACAGGAGAATTGCCTGAACCCGTGAGGCAGAGGTTGCAGTGAGCCGAGATCACGCCGCTGCACTCCAGCCTGAGCACAGAGCAAGACTCTTAAACAACAACAACAACAACAACAAAACAAACAAAAACACCTTGACCTTCTCCGTCTCTTCTCTAAACAAACGAACGAAAACCTTGACCTCAGTATGCCTGGCGGAGATTATCTCCAAATCCGTTTCTGCCTTCACAGCACCCATCTCGCTTTTTGGCATGTAGTAGATGCTCAGTAAATGGTCAATGAAAGGACCAGTGCCTTTCCGTGGGCTGCATTGTGCTGGGCACTGGGGTCACACAGATGGTGGGACAGAAACGATCTCTCTAGCCTCCAATTCTCCCACTCCCTCCCAAAACCTCCATACCTCTTCTCGCCCCTTTCTTCCCCACTGCCCCCCCATGTTAGTGTAGAAGAGAGATAGGTCTTTAGCGGTGGGACTCTTACCTTTGGACCCGTTTACAGACCAAGTGCCCTCTTTGTAGAAGAACTAATTTATACCTGAAATCCAGGCAGCTGAAGCGATGTGGTCATAATGCCTTCTGGATTTAGGGTGGATGTTCTCGTGGGGCCTGACATGCCTGTTTGATATTGTCTGTCTCAGTTTAAGCTGATTGGTTTCCCAGCTGTTATGCCTGTCTTGCTTGTTGTTGGGCCCTAGGACACAGGAGTGTAGCTTTCCTAGAGAATTCTACCAAAAAAATTTTTTTTTCTAGAAAACAAAATGAAAGAAAACAAATATGGAAGCACAGAAATGGGAGTGGATGCAGAACAGCTTGTCAAAGATTCTACTTCAAACATGTATGCTCCAGCTCCCCCGCCTTGTGGTTTTGTTTTGTTTTGTTTTGTTTTTTTTTGGAGACGAATTCTTGCTCTGTTGCCCAGGCTGGAATGCAGTGGCACAATCTTGGCTCACTGCAACCTCCGCCTCCCAGGTTCAAACGATTCTCCTGCCTCAGCCTCCCGAGTAGCTGAGACTACAGGTGCATGCCACCATGCCTGGCTAATTTTTGTATTTTTAGTAGAGACGGGGTTTCACCATCTTGGCCAGGCTGGTCTCAAACTCCTGACCTCATGATCCAACCGCCTCGGCCTCCCAAAGTGCTGGGATTACAGGCGTGAGCAACTGCACCCAGCCTAGTTGAGTATACTCTTTAAGTGTTTTGCCACTTTTATTCCTGCCTCTAAGCAGACCTGAAGTTTGGAAGTTCAACTGCCATCATGTGCCTATGAAGTGGTAAGTAAATGCTAAGGCTGGCAAAGCAGGAAGATTGAGAGAACCTAGGTCCCATATGACATTAGGCCACAGTTCCAGCTTTGGACACCCTTAAGTGTTTTGTTGCATGAGCCAAATAAACTTCTTACTTGGACTTTATTTCTGGCAATATTGAGGACTATATATTTACAAATATTACTACAACAAAATATATAAAATTGCTAGAAGAAATATTTAGAATACCCTCTTAAACGCATGGATACACTTGCAAAAAAAAAGTCAGGAAAATTATCTGAAGCTAGGAGGAAAACAAGAACACAAGCCTGGGAAGTCAAACAATTGATGTTCAGAAATTATGCAGAGGTACCGTCTGCATCTGTTCCGATCCATTGGTGCATGTCCTGTACTGACAAATATTTTCAAAATTATCTCTGGAGATAGGTAAACACTGATACTGCTACCAGCTATAGGAGCGTTCACCTGGGTCCAGGCAGGATAAGAGTCAAATTGCAACATCAGGTTGGAACTCACGAAGAAATATGTCCTCAGGTGAAGGATAAACTATGGTGGAAAAAATCTGCCGTACAGAGGTGCAGCAATTAAAGATGTCTCTCTGTGCCTTGGTTCTGAGCAGAAGGGGAAAACATTCCCCTGGAGGATTCATGGCCAAAAAGTCTGGCTATCAAATGGACACACAATTTGCATAGTTCAAAAGCCCGCAATCGCTTTAATTTGAAATGAACCTGGGTAGGTGGTGCCTACAGTATTTGGCCAAAACAAACACAGATCTTCTCTGGAAGAGCTCACTGGCAACCCAGGTTTCAAAGAATTCCCACAGATAGGGTTCTAAATAAATATGAACTCACAACCAGAAACCACAAACCCCCTGAGGAAATAAGCAGAGAAGACAAGCAGTAGAGGTGGATCCACACCGGCTTTAGATATTAGATATTTTAGAACCAGAATATAAAACAAGCATGCTTAGAAAAACAAAGGGGCTAAAAGCACAAGTGAATATCAAGAAACTCTTGAAAAATTGCCAGGCAGCCGGGTGTGGCAGCTCACGCCTATAATCCCAGCACTTTGGGAGGCTGAGGTGGGCAGATCACCTGAGGTCAGGAGTTCAAGATCAGCCTGGCCAACATGACGAAACCCCGTCTCTATTAAAAATACAAAAATTAGCCAGGCGTGGTGGTGTGCTCCTGTAATCCCAGCTACCCAGGAGGCTGAGGCAGGAGAATCTCTGGAACCTGGGGTGGGGGCAGAGGCTGCAGCGAGCCAGGATTGTGCCACTGAACTCCAGCCTTGTGACAGAGCAAGACTCTGTCTCAAAACAAAACAAAAACAAAAAAATTAGCCAACCGTGGTGGTGGGCGTCTGTAATCCCAGCTACTTGGAAGGATGAAATGGAAACATGAGATTAAAAAAAAAATCAAGCTATATACTGTTTAAAACACAAACCTAAAGAAAATTTCAGGCCAGGTATGATGGCTCCCGCCTGTAATCCTAGCACTTTGGGAAGCAGGTGGATCACTTGAGCCCAGGTGTTTAAGACTAGCCAAGGCAACATGGTGAAACCCCATCTCTACAAAAAATGGTGTGGTGGTGCACACCTGTAATCCCAGCTACTTGGGAGGCTGAGGTGGGAGGATCACCTGAGCCCAGGAGATTGAGGCTGCAGTGGGCCATGACCATGCCACTGCACTCGAGCCTGGGCAACAGAGTGAGACCTGTCTCAAAGAAAGAGAAAAAAAGAAAGAAAAGGAAAAAAAGAAAAATTGAAGTAAAAGAATGGCAAAAGAGATTCTGTGCTGGTTAAATTATATTAACATTGGATAAATAAGGATGGGTATGGCAGCTCATACCCCTAATCCCAGCTCTTTGGGAGGCCAAAGTGAGAGGATCACTTGAGGCCAGGAGTTTGAAACCAGCCTGGGCAATATAGTGAAACCTTGTCTCTATAAAAAATAAAAACATTCAGCCTGGGCAACATAGTGAGATGCTCTCTTCAAAAAATAAAAAAAAATTAGCCAGGTGTGGTGGCACACATCTGTGGCCCCAGCTACTCGAGAGGCTGAGGTGGGAGGATTACTTGAGCCCAGGAGGTCAAGGCCACAGTGTGCCATGATTGCACCACTGCATTCCAGCTTGGGCAATAGAGTAAGACCCTATCTCAAAAAAAAAAAAAAAATGCCGGTGTGGTGACACCTGTAGTCCTAGGTACTCAGAAGGCTGAGGCAGGAGAATCGCTTGAGCCCAGGAGTTTGAGGCTGCAGTGGGCTATGTTCACGTCATTGCCCCTCCATCCGGCCTGGGCAACAGAACGAGATTCAGTCTCAAAAACCAAAAAACATTGGATAAATAGACTCTAAAACAAAAAGCATTTCGGCCGGGCGTGGTGGCTCATGCCTGTAATCCCAGCACTTTAGGAGGCCGAGGTGGGCGGATCATGAGGTCAGGAGATCGAGACCATCCTGGCTACCACGGTGAAACCCCGTCTCTGCTAAAAATAAAAACATTAGCTGGGCATGGCGGTGGGTGCCTGTAGTCCCAGCTACTCGGGAGGCTGAGGCAGGAGAATGGTGTGAACCCGGGAGGAGGAGCTTGCAGTGAGCCGAGATTGTGTCACTGCACTCCAGCCTGGGCAACAAAGTGAGACTCCGTCTCAAAAAAAAAGCATTTCTAGAAATATGTGGTAGCTTATATTGTTGTTTTCAATAATTTTGTGGCTGTTCCTGTGAGAGGGTTTACTTCCCATCCCATGGATGTCAGGCTTGGTCACTGAAATGTGACTGGAGGTTATGCGTGCACTCCTGAGCACAGCTTTCAGAACCATTGCTCTCTCCCTCTGCCACAAGAAGAGCATGTCCTGGATGGGATTGACTATTCTTCCTGCCTGGGTCCCTGGATGAAGAGAATATAGAATGAAGAATGGATAGTGCCACAAATGACACACATAAGTCATATAACGTAAGTGAGAAATTAACCATTATTGTAAGCTGCAGAAATTTTTGAAAGTAGATGTGTTCAGATACCTTTCTTTCACTAATGTATTATTATTATTTTTTGAGATGGAGTTCCGCTCTTGTTGCCAGGCTGGAGTGCAGTGGAGCAATCTTGGCTCACCACAACCTCCGCCTTCTAGGGTCAAGTGATTCTCCTGCCTCAGCCTCCCAAGTAGCTGGAAATACAGGCTTGTGCCACCACACCCAGCTAATTTTGTACTTTTAGTAGAGACGGGGTTTCTCCATGTTGGTCAGGCTGGTCTCGAACTCCTGACTTTAGGTGATCCACCCGCCTTGGCCTCCCAAACTGCTGGAATTACAGGCATGAGCCACTGCTCCCGGCCTCACTAATGTATTATAAAACATGCATCATTTCCAGGTGGGCACTTTAAGAGCGAGTGCATGATTCATGCTATCATGCTGTTACTATGGCCTAACTTAGCAAAAGATGGGTAATACAAATAGGTGATTTATAATGAGAAAAGGTTCAGCTCACCAGGAGGACATAATACTTCTAAATTGTATCCATATAAAAATATAGCTTCAGGCTGGGTGCAGTGGCTCACTCCTGTAATCCCAATGCTTTGGGAGGCCGAGGTGGGTGGATCACATGAGGTCAGGAGTTCAAGACCAGCCTGGTCAACATGGCAAAACCCCGTCTCCACTAAAAATACAAAAATTAGTCAACCATGGTGGTGCACGCCTGTAATCCCAGCTACTTGGGAGGCTAAGGTAGGAGAATCACTCGAACCCGGGAGATGGAGATTGCAGTGAGCCGAGATTGTGCCATTGCACTCCAGCATGGGCAACAAGAGTGAAACTCCATTTCAAATATATATATATATGTGTGTGTGTGTGTGTGTGTGTGTGTGTGTGTGTGTGTATGTGTGTGTATATATGTGTGTGTATATATATGTGTGTGTATATATGTATCTATATACAGCTTCAAACTATTGTATAAATATTGATAGAACTATAAGAAGAAATAGACAAATTAACTCTCGTATGGAGATTATGCAACTCATTATTTGCTATGGTTTCAGTGTATGTGTCCCTCCAATATTTGCATGTTGAAACCTAATCTCCAAGGTGATAATATTAGAAGGTGGGGCCCTTGGGAAGGTGATTAGTCATGAGGGACCCACCCTCATGAATGGGATTAATGACCTTATAAAAGAACTGCATGGGAGCTGTACACCCTGTTTTGCCCTTTCTGCCCCTTCCATCCCTCCCACCATGTGAGGACACCACTGTCCTCCCCTCTGGAGGACTCAGCTTTCAGGGTGCCATCTTGGAAGTAGAGGCTGGGCCCTCACCAGACACAAAACATGCTGGTACCTTGATCAATAAATTGCTCACAGTTATGGACCTTCCAGCTTCCATAACTGTGGGCAATAAATGGATGCTGTTTTATAAATTACCCAGTCTCAGGTATTTTGTTACAGCAGCACAAACAGACTGAGAGAGGAT
Source organism: Homo sapiens (assembly GCF_000001405.40). Classification (NCBI taxonomy): domain Eukaryota; kingdom Metazoa; phylum Chordata; class Mammalia; order Primates; family Hominidae; genus Homo; species Homo sapiens. The sequence continues at coordinate 126,798,877 of NC_000009.12, read as the reverse complement.
ATAGGTAGAACTCTGCACAGAAGAACTGGATAATGTACATCATTTTATTATATGACATGTTTAGAACAGTTATAAAAATTGTGTGCTAGGCCGTAAAGCAAACCCAAACAATTTTCAAAGAAATAAAATCACCTGGGTTATGTCCCTTACCTCAGTGGAATTCAGTAAGGAATTGACGACAAAATAATACAGTCAAAATAGTCTCTATTTGGACACTTAACAACACACATGAAAATAAGTAACAGGTAAAGAATGAAAGAAAGAAAGAGAGAAAGAAAGAAAGAAGGAAAGGAAGGAAGGAAGGAAGGAAGGAAGGAAGGAAGGAAGGAAGGAAAAGAAAAAAGAAAAGAAAAGAAGTAACAGGTGGTTGGGCGTAGTGGCTCATGCCTGTAATCCCAGCACTTTGGGAGGCCAAGGTGGGTGGATCACAAGGTCAGGAGTTTGAGACCAGCCTGGCCAATATGGTGAAACCCCATCTTTACTAAAAATACAAAAATTAGCCAGGCGTGGTGGTGCATGCCTGTCTTTAATCCCAGCTACTTGGGAGGCTGAGGCAGGAGAATCACTTGAACCCAGGAGGCAGAGGTTGCAGTGAGCCAAAATCACGCCATGGCCCTCCAGCCTGGGCCACAGAGCAAGACTGTCTCGGGGGAAAAAAGAGAAAGAAAGAAAAATAAGTAACAGGTTAAAAAAGAGATCCTAATGAAAATTTTGAAATATTTATAATTGAATGATTATAAAAACACTACCTTCCAAATCTGTGTTGTCAGCAAAAAAAGTTTTAAGAGGGAAATTTATATCCAACAATTATGATAAAAGAAGAAAGGTCTAAGTTAATGAGTTAATCACTTGAAAGGTTAGAAAAATGAAACAAAGTAAACTCAAGGAAAGTGAAAGGAAAGACACAGGAAAGGAAAAGATAAGTTTGTATATTAATTAGAAAACAGATACAATAAGGAAGACCAATAAAGCCCAAAGTTAAGTTTTTGAATTGACTAATAAAACTGACAGATCAGGGGCCGGGCGCGGTGGCTCACGCCTGTAATCCCAGCACTTTGGGAGGCCGAGGCAGGCAGATCACGAGGTCAGGAGATCGAGACCATCCTAGCTAACACGGTGAAACCCCGTCTCTACTAAAACTACAAAAAAATTAGCCGGGCATGGTGGCGGGCGCCTGTAGTCCCAGCTATTACGGAGGCTGAGGCAGGAGAATGGCGTGAATCCAGGAGGCGGAGCTTGCAGTGAGCCCGGATGATGCCACTGCACTCCAGCCTGGGCGACAGAGGGAGACTCCGTCTCAAAAACAAAGAAACAAACAAACAACAACAAAAAAAACCTGACAGATCTCAGGCAAGATCGATAAGATACATATAATATAGAGAAAGATTTAGAGATATCTTTGAGATATATATATCATAGATCATAGAGAGTATCTCTCAAAGATATCTCTGTAAATCTCTCCGTATGTATTATCTATCTAGAGAAGAGAGAATAAACAGACCTCCTATTTAAGCCACGTTTTGAGGATTTTCTTTTGTTTGCAGCCAGATATGTTTCCAACTGATAAACCAATCCGTTTGAGAGCATACTGCAGAGGCAAGAGGCAAGTGTAGAGTTAGCTATTGTTAAATAATAACTGCAAACTTAGTGGATTAAAACGATAATAATTTGTCCTTCCTCTGCTTTAAACTGCATCTCTGGCGGAGCTTGGCTTTTCTCTCTGCAGGTTGGGGGCCAAGTCTGCTCCACATGTATTCATTTAGGCAGGTCCAGGCTAAAGGGACAGCAGCTACCCAGGAAAAGCTTACCTCGTGATGATGTCAAAGGGGCTAAAGAGAAGGCCCTACCCTGCAAGCACATTTTAAGCCTTCGTGGATGTCTTATTTGCTAATATTCTATTGGCCAATGCAAGTCACATGATAGCCCAAAGTCAAGGGCAGGAAGTGCACTTCACCTTTAGAGGGAGAAACTAAAAAGTCATGTGAAAGCATGCATGTACACAGGGAGGGGTGAAGGATTGGGAACAATAAACCAATTGACCAGAGTCGCCATCTTACAATTGTTCAAATTCCTCCTGCATGCAAAGCACATTCACCTCAATCCCAAGACCTTCCGAAATCTTATCCGGACTTAAAATCCTCATAAGGATCAAAGTTCAGAGTCTTGTGATCTACGTCGGATCTGGATGTGGCTCCTCTTCATTCTAAAACATCTACGAACTAGAAAGATAAGTTGTCTGCCTTCTCAGCCTCACACAGTGATAGAATAGGAATGAGATAACTGCAATAAACACTCTCATTTGAAAATAGTTAAGAATGGGAGGCACATAGTAGTCAGTCACTGGTCAATAGCAATTCCAAAATCCCAGTGGACAAATATTGCCAGGTATCACTATGCTGAGATGAAGGCCCTTGATTTCTCCTTGAGAGTAGCTCCTCAGTCAGTTCTCTACAGCTGTTGGTTCTACCCTTTTGGAAATCCTTCCTTTTGCAACAACTCCCTTGCTTAATTCTGAAGCATGTCTTGAAGATAGCATTGAAAAATATGCGCTTTTTTTTTGGTGGCTGATCAGCTTTCTCAGGTTGCTACATTCCCAGAGAGGGTTGGGGAGATCTCGGCTGGGCGCGGTGGCTCATGCCTGTAATCCCAGCACTTTGGGAGGTCAAGGCGGGTGGATCACGAGGTCAGGAGTTCGAGACCAGCCTGGCTAATATGGTGACACCCGTTTCTACTAAAAATACAAAAATTAGCCGGGCATGATGGTGTGCACCTGTAGTCCCAGTTACTCAGGAGGCTGAGGCAAAAAAATCGCTTAAATCTGGGAGGTGGAGGTTGTGGTGAGCTGAGATTGCACCACTGCACTCCAGCCTGGGTGACAGAGTGAGACTCCCTCTCAAAAAAAAAAAATAAAAAAAGAAGAAAGTTGGGGAGATCTCTGCCCTCTTTCCATCCAGACTGGTGGCACTTTTGCCAGTACATAGCCCTCAAAGACATTGTAGATTTTCTATGTATTTGATTCCAGTCAACTTCATATGACAAAGGTATACTTATAGTTTTTCTCAACATGTGCCTCTTTCTATAGACTCAATGTACTTACTGGCACTTTAGGGGTATTAAAATTTTGTGGGACCATACCCTTAATACCTTTTAATCTTTCTAGAAGCCTTTTTTGTCAGCTGAAAGGATCCACGCCCTTGATTTAATTTTTGTCCCTAAATCGTATTTTGATATAAGAATCTTGGTTTTTTTTGTTTGTTTGTTTTTGTTTTTTTTTTTTTTTAGTAGAGATGGGGTTTCACTGTGTTAGCCAGGATGGTCTCGATCTCCTGACCTCGTGATCCACCTGCCTCAGCCTCCCAAAGTGCTGGGATTACAGGCGTGAGCCACCGCACCCGGCCTTGATATAAGAATCTTCTACTGTCTGGAGAGGTTGGACATTATTTTTATTTTTCCAACCTAGCAATTTCTGGACTCCATATTCTCCCTAATTATTGCTTGTGAAATTGGCCATTTCTTTTCTGAGCACATCTCTTTCTTATAGTAGTGTCTTTTCAAATTTATCTAACACCAAGAAAGTCCTACTTTTTTTTTTTTTTTTTTTTTTTTGAGACAGAGTCTCTCTCTGTTGCCCAGGCTGGAGTGCAGTGGCATGATCTTGGCTCACTGCAACGTCTGTCTCCCGGGTTCAAGCAATTCTCCTGCGTCAGCCTCCTGAGTAGCTGGGACCACAGGCCGTGCCACCACACCTGGCCAATTTTTATATTTTTAGTAGAGATGGGGTTTCACCATGTTGGCCAGGCTGGTCTCGAACTCCCGACCTCAGGTGATCCACCTGCCTCGTCCTCCCAAAGTGCTGGGATTACAGGCTTGAGCCACCATGGCCCGCCAAGAAAGTCCTACTTTTGACGTTTTGCCTCTAAATGTCTTCTCCCAACTCTAAAACTTCATTAGATACATTTTTCTCATTCAAATCTTCATACACAGGAGTTTTACTAAATGTTTCCCACTACTTAACACAGGCTGCCTTTTCCTGTTTCCTATAAGTTTTCTCACCACTTTCCAGCCCCCCGTAAATATTTCCTTGTTGCTTATTGCCTGGTCCCAAACCCAATGCCTCATATTTGAAGTTTTTATTATGGCAGGCTCCCAGTTTCAGCGCCGATGACTGTGTCCGCCTGCTGTTATTACAAAACAATCCACCGCAAGGCTCAGTGGCTTACAACAGTAATTACCTATTCTCATTTGTGTGTCTGCAGATCAGTTAAGGGCTGGCTGGTTTAAGCTGGGCTCAACTGGGCAGCTCTGCTTCAGGCTGTGGGACCAGCTGGACACCCCAGGAGTTGTGGGGAGCTACTGGAAGAGACACCCTTTTGTTGGATGGTGTGGGAGGATGCGAGGTCAGGAACCATTGCAGCCATTTTATTTCTGTAAGGAGAGAGCCTGGAATTGCAAGAGCCTGTGTGAGGGGGCTGGAAATGAAGTTGACAGCAAGAAAGATATAAAACACAGGTAGGGAAAAGTCAGTGTCTTGGTGAGAATCTGGATCCAGCTTCACCTCACCAGACCCAGGTGAACCAACACATTCCCTTCATTGCTCATCAGTTTGCAATTTTGTTTTTGTTTTTGTTTCTTTACAATCAAGACACTCTTAACTGACACACAGGCTGTGAGGTGGTTGCTCGGGGGAGTGGTTGGAGGAGTCACCCACTCTTTCTTCCAGGGTTCTGGCTTTTGGGACATGTGTGCACATGTCTGGGTAGACATTCTAAGCTGCACAGAACAGAAATGGAGTCTGGCTGATTACAGTAGAAAAAGAATTCACTAAAAGGATCTGATCCCCAAGAGGGCTGGAAAATCGAGCTCTGTGACTATGCAGCCAAGCCGCACCCACAATCAGGCCACAGAACTGGGGTGGCCAGAACACTGCTGCCACCACCATGGCCACCACTTTTGCCAGTGCGGTTGCTGCTGCCAACTGGATCCCCCGTCCCCTCCAGTCTGCACTGCGCTGCCCCTGCTACTTTGGAAGCAGATCTTGCTGCCACCACTGCCCTCATGTGCCACTAGCTGCCGAGTCAGAGTCCTCTGGTTGGCTGAGGCTGGCCAGCGTCTGCTCCCTGGCTGCAAGGGAGGCTGAGGAAGCAACAAACTGGCCCTTTGGGCTTCTACAGTGGGGCGTAGTTTCCGCCTCTCTCCAAGTTTTGGAGAATGGGGAATTCCTCAAACACAGGATGGGGTGTCATGCTAGGGAGTCTCAATACAGGGCATAAGGGATTGAGATCAAATAGAGACAATGGCTTCAGCTTTATTCCTGGTAGATCTAAATTGGAGAATGCAACTGGAACCTGGGGCCAAAATCTTCCCTCCCCGCTCCCAGAACTGAACTTCTTTTCTCTTTTCTTTTCTTTTTTCGTTTTTTGAGACAGAGTCTTACTCTCTCACCCAGGCTGGAGTGCAATGGCACAGTCATGGCTCACTGTAGCCTTGACCTCCCGGGCTCAGGTGATCCTCCCACCTCAGCCCCTTTAGTAGCTAGGTGTGCCATCACCTGCCCAGCTAATCTTTTGTAGAAACAAAAATACAAACACGGGGTTTCCCTGTGTGGCCCAGACTGGTCTCAAACTCCTGCACTCAAGTGATCCATCCACCCTGGCCTCCCAAAGTGCTGAGATTGGGAGTGCTCACAGGCGTGAGCCACCATGCCCAGCCTCCAGAACAGAATTTCTCTCCTGGCTGTAGGAGAGCCCTCTTCCTGGAGCAGGGATGCTCTGCCTTGCTGAGATACTGCTTGACATCGGGAACAGAAACAAGGGACAAGCTGTTGATGAGGGCAGGTCCAGGGGAGGCCAGTGTCTGAGCTGTCACCTGTCCTCTGCCTCCCCACACAGAGGGGCGGAGGGGTAGGATCCTCTAATGCTATTTCCGTTTGAAGATGGAAAGTTCCATCCATTTCCCAAAGAGGAAACAGCACAAAAACATGGTGTGGTGGGGTGAGAGGGGGCATGAAGGGGTCAAGGGGAGGCAAGCTTTCCCAAGAGGTAAAGTCGGTGATGCAAATGAGAACAGTAGACATTTGCACATTAACTGTATAAGGATGCATATTCTTTTTTTTTTTCAAGACGGAGTCTTGCTTTGTTGCCCAGGCTGGAGTACAGTGGCGTGATCTCAGCTCACTGCAACCTCCACCTCCCAGGTTCAGGCGATTCTTCTGCCTCAGCCTCCCGAGTAGCTGGGACTACAGGTGTGTGCCACCATGCCCAGCTAATTTTTTGTATTTTTAGTAGAGATGGGGTTTCACTATGTTAGCCAGGAATTTCTCAATCTCCTGACCTCGTGATCTGCCTGCCTTGGCCTCCCAAAGTGCTGGGATTATACGTGTGAGTCACCATGCCCGGCCAGAATGCATATTCTTAACATCTACACAAAGCTATGCACTCTCATTTGTCCTTAGATATTGGCTCCTCTATGTGTATTTTTTTGTCCTGCCATTTTTTTTTTTTTTGAGACAGCATCTTGCTCTGTTGTCCAGGCTGGAGTGTAGTGGTGCAATCTCAGCTCACTGCAACCTCCTCCTCCCAGGTTCAACTGATTCTCCTGCTTCAAGTCTCCCAATTAGGCTGCTTCACCATGCCTGGCTAATTTTTAATAGAGACAGGGTTTCACCATGTTGGCCAGGCTGGTCTCAATCTCTTGACCTCAAGTGATCCACCCACCTTGGCCTCCCAAAGTGCTGGGATTACAGGTCTGAGCCACCACGCCTGGCCATCCTGCCACTTCTGAAGGACATGTGACAGGCTGGCTGTCTTCCATTTGGCTCTTCCCACAGATCCTCTCTGCCTCCCCACCCCAAGTCTGTGTTTGGGGGGCTGATTCATATGGACTCTTCTGTCTGCTAGCTTCCAGCTGGTGTGGCCCCTGGGATCCCCAGGGGAGACTGGAGGGAAGGAGGAGTACATTTAAAAAATCATTTTCCGGGCTCCCTTCCTGTGGAGTCCCCGTGGGCTGGCCACAGCCCTTGACCCAGCCTCAGCTCCGTCAGTAAATCTCTCCAGGTCCCCTGTCTGCACCGCTTCAAATTTAGGGTGGCAACAGTCCCCAGTGTTCCTAGCCCCAGGGTACTAAATCATTCCTTCCCTGTTGCTTTTCTTAATCCCTGTTTATACCTTTGTAAATAATCTCATTGCTAAACTCTCCTCAATTACTCAACTTGAGTGTGTCATCTGTTTCCTGCTGGTACTGGAATGATACCTATGGAGTCTGGAAATACTTCTCCACCCAGAGAAAAAACAACAGCTCACATGCACCAGCAAATAGGACTTCAGTGCGTCTCAGATTCCTGAGGCGGTAGGGAAGGGTAGAGAGTGTGACAAACCGAAAGCACATGACCACTCATACATACTCCAGCCTTTTGTTGCCATGACAATGACAGCCCAGTGTTGCCCGTTGTTCTCATTTTTCAAGAGTAGTAAAACATCAAGATTTTTAAAGTAGTACCTCCTGATTTTGTTTTTCTTTTCTTTTTGAGACAGGGTCTCACTCTGTTGTCCAGACAGGAGAACAGTGGCACAATCTTGGCTCACCGCAACCTCCGCCTCCTAGGATCAAGCAATTTGCCTGCCTCAGCCTCCCGAGTAGCTGGGATTACAGGCGCGTGCCACCACACCCAGCCTGTACCTCCTGATTTTTAAATGTTGGCTCAGGCCAGGCACAGTGGCTCATGCCTATAATTCCAGCACTTTTGGAGGCCGAGGTGGGCGGATCACCTGAGGTCAGGAGTTTGAGTCCAGCCTGGCCAACATGGTGAAACCCCATTTCTACTAAAAATACAAAAAGTAGCCAGGCATGGTGGCACATGCTTGTAATCCCAGCTACTTGGAAGGCTGAGGCAGGAGAATCGCTTGAACCCGGGAGGCAGAGATTGCAGTGAGCTGAGATTGCACCACTGCACTAAAAAAAAAAAAAAAAAAAAGCTTGGCTCAAATTTTTTGAAATCTTGGTGTGAGCCAGGCAAACAATCAGGTGGCTGAACTTGGCCCTGGATCACCTTTTCAGTCTCTGTCCTCAGTGTACAGTGTCCTGCCAAGCCCCAAACCCTCCATGGTGCAGAGAGCCTATGGGAAGGACCATAGTGACAGGCCATTAGTAAGACCCTCAGGACCTAGTGGTGGGAGTGGAGAGGCCTGGCCATGCCACCTCCTCCACAGATGCTCCACGGTGGAGCCGCAAGCTCCAATTCCTGCAATGCTGTTCCGCAGCCTGCAGCCTTGCTGTGCTTGCCTGGTCCATCATGTCTAATACGGGTGTCAGCAGAAAGTAAATTAAATCCACTAGGCTGTAATTTGCAAACAAAACATTTTGTGGCAGTAACTCAACAGAGCATTATGTTTTAATCGGGTTTTAAAAATGTTTTAAAAATCATTTTATTGTGCAGAAGCTGGTATCCTAAGAGCTATAACTCCTTAACTAACAGTATGCTAATGCAATACCCTCTAGTCTAGAGGTTCTTGCCAGCTGGGGCATTTATCTTGATGCTCTTAAACCTATGTACTTTCAGAGTCAAAGCACTACACTGCCTTCCCACCACTTGAATAGGGAACCCCAGTACCACCTTCTGCTGCATTTTCTCCTGGCTTTGAAAGAGAAACAAATTTATTCATCTTTTTATTGTATTTATTCATTTGTGTGTTTGTGTATGTATGTATGTATGCATGCATATATGTATTTCTTTGTTTAATGAACACTTGTGTACTGCTATCTATGTCTTTTGCAAATATTAGCCCAGTGAATTCTCTTACAATCCATCAAGGGAGGTGCTATTCTTAGCTCTATTTTTACAGATCAACAAATTAAGGCACAGAGAGGTGAAGTAACTCACTGAAGGTCACACAGCTGGTAAGTGATGGGGATGAGGGTCTGGCTCTTGAATCCACACTCCGAGCTACCTCACTGTACTGTCTCATCTTTCTGCCTCTAGCCCGGTTCCTGAAGCCCCCAGCCCACCCATCTTCCTGCCCTCTCTCCTGCCACTCCTCTCTCATCCTCCAGACATTCACTCATTCCTTTGTTTTATAGATGTCAAGTGTCTGCTGTGTACCAGCCCCTAGGCTAAATGCTGGGAACCCCATATTGAGCTGTTCTGACATGGTTCTTGACAGATGGAGCCCACAGTCTAGGAAGGGAAACAGCCTGGTGCCCAGGTACCTCCATCCCCTGAAACAAAAGGACTACGGTCAGCCCCAGGACCTCCTATGAGCACCTGTGTTAGAAAAATATGCCGCAAGTGGGCCGGGCGCGGTGGCTCACGCCTGTAATCCCAGCACTTTGGGAGGCTGAGGTGGGCGGATCACAAGGTCAGGAGATCGAGACCATCCTGGCTAACACGGTGAAACCCCGTCTCTACTAAAAATACAAAAAATTAGCCGGGCGTGGTGGCGGGCGGCTGTACTCCCAGCTACTCAGGAGACTGAGTCAGGAGAATGGCGTGAACCTGGAAGGCGGAGCTTGCAGTGAGCCGAGATTGTGCCACTGCACTCCAGCCTGGGTGACAGAGCGAGACTCTGTCAAGAAAGAAAGAAAGAAAGAAAGAAAGAAGGAAAGAAAGGAAGAAGGGAGGGAGGGAGGGAGGGAGGGAGGAAGGAAGGAAAGAAAGAAAGAAAGAATTGCCCTAAGCGTTAGTCACTTTACTACCATTGGTGGAGAAATTCACGTTAAGGATGTGTGTGATGACTCTGATGACTAGGAGTGTGAACTGTGCTCTTGGAGTCGTGTACAACCTCCTCAACTGCATATCCTGGACCTCATAAAGTGGGCCAGGGAAGATCGGAGGAGGGGCCGGTCCAGGAATAGAGCAAGGGCCAGAGAGCTTTCCTGAGGGTAGCTGAGATTTGAAGAAGGAGTAGGAATGTGTGGGTGAAAACAGAAGTGGGGACCGGGCTCTGGGCAGGGAAATAGCATGTGAGAAGAACCCGGGTGGCTTGGTACTATGTCTGTTTAGCTAAGCTGGAACTTCATGTCCCAAGATGCCTTTCCCTGTGTGGTTGTGGGTCAGGTTTTGTTTCAAGAGAAATGTGTATGAGTCAGGAAGGTGGAGATCAAGCAGCAGCCTTGGTTTTGCTTAGTCAGGTGCTATTGCAGCTGACACATTTAGATGCAGGGCAACAGACAGAAAAACTGCTTACCCATCGACCACAATCTCAAGAAAAATCCTAATGATCTGCTCCTCTGAGCAAAGTGATCAATAGAAGGACTAGCACGGGATGAGGCTGGAGGGGTAGGCAGGGGCTAGACCATGAAAGGTCCTCGGGGTCAGTGGAGCCACTGAAGGTTTTATTTTTTTAAGATTGATACATTATTTCATATACCACAAGCTTCACCCTTTTAAAGTATACAATTCAGTGATTTTTAGCATGTTCATAAAGTTGTACAATCATCACCACTCTCTAATCCAGAACATTGTCATCATTCCAAAAGAAATCCTGCACCCAATCACTTCCCATTCTTCCCTCCCTCGAGCTGCTGGAAACCATGAATTTATTTTCTCTTCAGATTTGCCTGTTCTGGATATTTCATATAAATAGAAGCATTCAGTATGTGGCCTTTTGTGTCTGGCTTCTTTCACTTAGCATATTTCTAAGATTTATCCCTGTTGTCACATGTATCAGTACTTCCTTTTCAGAACTGAAGAATATCCCAGGCATTTGGATCATTTCCACATTTTGGCTACTATAAATAATGCTGCTATGAAAATTCATGTACGAATTTTTGTGTGGACATCATATGTTTTCAGAGCTCTTGGGCATATACCTAGATGTGAAATTCCTGGGTCATATGATAATAGTATGTTTAACTTTTTGAGGCACTGCCGAACTGCTTTCCATAGTGGCTATTCCAGTTTTCATTCTCACCAGCAATATATTAATACAAGATTTCTAATTTCTCCACATCCTCTCCAACACTTGTTACTGCCTGTCTTTTTTGTTATAGCCACCCTAGTGGGTGTAACGTATCTCATTGTGGTTTTGTTTTATTTTGTTTAATTAAACAATTGGTTTTTTTTTAGAATTGGGGTCTTGCTATGTTTCCCAGGCTGGTCTCAAACTCCTTGCCTTAAGCAATCCTCCCATCTCAGCCTCCCAAAGTGCTGGGTTTATAGGCATGAGCCATCCATCATGCCCCACCAATTGGTGGTTTTGATTTGCAGTTCTCTAGTAACTAATTACATTTTGCATCGTTTTATGAGTTTTTTGGCCATGTGTATATTTTCTTTGTAGAAATATCTATTCAGATCTTTTGAGCATTTAAAATTTAGTTGCATTTGTGTTTTTATTGTTGAATCATAAAATTTCTTTATATATTCTGGATACTAGACCCTTATCATATACATGATGTGCAGACATTTTCACTTTCTCAATACTGTCCTTTGAAGCACAAATTTAGAAGTTTTGATGAAGTCCAATTTATCCATTTTTCCTTTGGCTGGTTGTGCTTTGATGTTATGTATGAGAAACTGTTACCTAATCCAGAGTCACAAAGATTTACATCTACCTTTTTTCCTAAAAGTTGTATAGTTTTAGTCCTTACATTTAGATCTTCGATCAATTTTGAGTTAATTTTTGTTTACAGTGTGAGGTAGGGGTCCAACTTCATTCTTTTGCATGTGGATATACAGTTGTCCTGGCACCATTTGTTGAAAAGTCTAAACTTCCTTCCACTGAATCGTTGTGGTACCCCTGTTGAAAATCCATTTACCGTAAATGTGTGGGTTTATTTCTGGGCTCTCAATTCTATCCCATTGAACCATTATCTATCTTTATCCTAGTAACGGAAGGGTTTTAAACAGAGGAGTGGCACACCTACTTTGTATTTTAAGACTGAAGTGGGAGAGATCTGTAAGAAAGCTACAGCAGTTGTCCATGTGAAAGATGTTTAAGGCAGTGGCTGTGGAGACTTAGAGGAAAGGGCAGATTTGAAGGCCATTTAAGAGAAAGAACTAACCGGTCTTGCTGAATAGTGAATGTGGGAGTGAGGGGGCAGTTGTCCAGGGCAACTTTCTGATTTTTGGCATTGGTAACTGGGTCAACTATCATAGTGGCGCTATCACACACTCACTGCAGAGGAACATAGGATAAGAAGACCAGGTTCAGGGGAGGGGGCTGAGTTGAGTTTGGGACATGCTGAGTTTGAGGAGCTAGTGGAATATCCTAATGGCCATGCTCAGGAGGTGTTTTGGTGTGAGATTCCAGAGCAGACCAGGCTAGAACCAGAGATGTGGGGCTCATCTGCACATAGGTGGCTGGAGAGGCAGAGGACTGCAGGAATGTCAGAGAGGAGGGACCACAGGAACCCTGATTAAGAAAGAAAAAAGGGCCAGGTGCGGTGGCTCACTCCTATAATCCCAGAACTTTGGGAGGCCAAGGTGGGCAGATCACATGAGGTCAGGAGTTCGAGACCAGCCTGACCCACATGACGAAACCCCATCTCTACTAAAAATACAAAAATTAGCTGGGCATGGTGGCGGGCACCTGTAATCCCAGCTACTTGCGAGGCTGAGGCAGGAGAATCACTTGAACCCGGGAGGCGGAGGTTGCCATGAGCTGAGATTGCACCACTGCACTCCAGCCTGGGCAACAGAGCGAGACCCTGTCTCAAAAATAAAATAAAATAAAAAGAAAGAAAGAAGGGGGGCTTAGGATGAAGAAGAGGAGTCTCTTATTTCCCATTGGATCTCTAATTCATGATTTCAGGTGCTTCTAGGCCCTGGTGGCATTTCAAATTTTCAGTGGTCGAAACATCAAATTCTCACTTTAGGGCATTAGCCAATCCAAGTAGGTTTTGTTTCGTTTCGTTTCCCTTCCTTCCTTCCTTCCTTCCTTCCTTCCTTCCTTCCTTCCTTCCTTCCTTCCTTTCTTTCGACGGAATCTCGCTCTGTTGCCCAGGCTGGAGTGCAGAGGCACGATCTCAGCTCACTGCAAGCTCTGCCTCCCGGGTTCACGCCATTCTCCTGCCTCGGCCTCCCGAGTAGCTGGGACTACAGGTGCCCGCTACCACGCCCGGCTAATTTTTTGTATTTTTAGTAGAGACGGGGTTTCACCGTGTTAGCCAGGATGGTCTCAATCTCCTGACCTCGTGATCTGCCCTCCTCAGACTCCCAAAGTGCTGGGATTACAGGCGTGAGCCACTGTGTCCGGCCTTTTTTTTTTTTTTTTTTTTTTTTTCACAACTGAAACATTCTAACTGCTTTGGCTAGCCTACCTCCTGGTTCTCCACTTCACCCTGATGTGGCATCCAGTGAGGCCAGATTCTGGCATGACAGGGGAAGATGTAACTGAGCCACTTCTAAGGCCTAAGAGACAAGGAAGAAGGCTGGCAGGAAGCGGCCTGTGTCTGAACAGCCTTCTTGCAGAACTGCTGGCTTGGGGTCCTGGGATGGTCTAAGTGGTGAGGAGGGGACTTGCAGTGCAGGAGCCAGCATGACTCTCTCACTTTCCAATCCTCCCACTCTCTCCTATCTGAAGAAAGAGGGGAAGCTTCCTGGTTGGCATTCTATGCCCTCGATGGTCTGCTTCTACCCCCCTCTCCGGGCACTCCTCCCACCCCACTCCTTCACTTCCAGCCTCCACACCACAAGCCCCCCATCCCAATACCACAGACCCCTATCACACTGAACTTCTGTTTCCAGAAGGGGTGCTGTATTCATCCATTTTCACGCTGCTGACAAAGACATACCCGAGACTGGGAAGAAAACGAGGTTTAATTGGACTTACAGTTCCACATGGCTGGGGAGGCCTCAGGATCACTGTGGGAGGTGAAAGGCACTTCTTACATGGCAGCGGCAAGAGAAAATGAGGAAGAAGTAAAAGTGGCAAGCCCTGATAAACCCATCAGATCTCATGAGACCATCACTAGACTAGCATGGGAAAGACTGGCCCGCATGATTCAATTACCTCCCCCTGGGTCCCTCCCACAACACGTGGGAATTCTGGGAGGTACAACTCAAGTTGAGATTTGGGTGGGGACACAGCTGAACCATATCAGATGCTGTAAAACAGTAGGCCCTGGAACTGGCCTATTTGGGTTCAAATCCCAACCCCACATCCTATAATTTATATACCCTTGGGAAAATGACTCAATCGCTGAGCCTCAGTTTCGTCAGCTGTAAAATGGGGTCATCATACTGGCCTCAGAAGAATGTTGTGGAGACTCAATGAGAATGCAAAGAAGCCGTTAGCACAGTGCCCAGTGTCTAAAATGCGTTCTGTAAGCATCAGGAGGGGAGGGGGAAAAGTGGGCCGGGGACGGCGGAGCTGCCACGGTTCCAATAGCTCTCCAGTTCCTGGTTCCAGACCTTCCGGGAGGCCTGCAGGGAATGGGTGTTGCTGCATATGGCGGAGGTGGAGGTCCATTTCATGTTTTCCACATGGGTACTCAATTTCGTCCCAAAATTACTTACTGAAGACTCTCTCTGTCCCCTACTGCTCTGTGGACCACCTCTGTCATGGATTATGTGCCTGTGTGTTTGAGGGTCTGCTTCTGGGTTCTACCTTCCCCTCTATTAGTCTTTGTGTCTGTCCTTGTGCTGAAACCACACTGTTTTAATGACTAGAGCGTTGTGATAAGGATGGCCTGACCCCTCCTACCTGTTGCCCTTGAGAACCTCTCAGCTATTCTTAGCCAGTGTTCTAAAAAAAATGCATGCCAAGTCTCATCACTCCCAGCCTAGTCTCCTCTGATGGCTTATTAAAAGGAACTAATGCTGGGAATTTGGCAAGGCCTTAGGAAGGGCTGGAATAAGGCCCATGTTGCTACTGGGAGCCAGGCAGTATTCTTTCTCCTTGCCTAAGCAGTTTTTTTCTCCCTAACCTGCCCTCACTCTCAAGTCTTTTTTACATAGATTAACCTCTAGCTTGTTTATGTGAGATTCACCATTCACCCAGAATCCCCACAAGAGAAGGGCGGCCAGGAGCTGAATCAGCAAGCAAGACTCCTTCTCCTTTACCAGGACAAGGGTGTGGAAGGGGAAGGTGGCTTCTCAAACATCGATCATTTTCTCTCTGGACACCTGGCTGGGCACAGTGGCTCACACCTATAATCCCAGCACTTTGGGAGGCCGAGGAGGGCAGATCACTTGAGGTCAGGAGTTCCAGACCAGCCTGGCCAACATGGTGAAACCCCATTTCTACTAAAAATTAAAAAAAAAAAAATTAGCAGGCTGTGGTGGTGCACACCTGTAGCTACTCAGGAGGCTGAGGGCAGGAGAATTGCTTGAACCTGGGAGGCGGAGGTTGCAGTGAGCCGAGATCGTGCCACTGTACTCCAGCCTGGGCAACAAGAGCAAGACTCTGTCTCAAAACAAAAAACAAACAAACAAAAAACTGTGCGTCACTGGCCCTGATTCTTTAGTCCCCCTGCATGTGCACCCTTTGCCATGTAACTTCATGGTCTTTCCCACCAAAGGTGGAGAATGCTCCCACCCTTGACTGCTCTTGGCCAGTGAGATGTGGTGGGAGAAGTATGGGCCTCATTTTAGTGAACGTCACCTCCAGGTGTCCAGTTTTGCAGAAATGTGAGCCATGGATACTTCTTGGGCTCTATTTCCAGCTTCAATCTCCACATCCATCCACTATCTCCACTCCTGTCTCCTCTGCCCTAGTTCAGGCTCCCTCCCCCAACCCCATCCTCTCTCACCTGACTACAGCGGCTTCCAAATTGGGCTCCCTGACTCCAGCCTTCCCCCACCCTGCTCCCTACACTGCGATGCTTCACTGTGCAGCCCGAGGGTTATTTTAAAAACACAAATCCCAGCACTTTGGGAGGCCAAGGCGGACGGATCACGAGGTCAGGAGATGGAGACCATCCTGGTTAACACGGTGAAACCCCGTCTCTACTAAAAATACACAAAATTAGCTGGGCGTGGTGGCGGGCGCCTGTAGTCCCAGCTACTCGGGAGGCTGAGGCAGGAGAATGGCGTGAACCCGGAAGGCGGAGCTTGCAGTGAGCCAAGATTGCACCACTGCACTCCAGCCTATGCGACACAGTGAGACTCTGTCTCAAAAAACAAAACGAAACAAACCCCCAAAAAACCACAAATCTGCTCGTGTTCCTCCCTACCTCTCTTCTCTCCATGGTGCCCCATGCTCTAAAGCTATAGGTTCAAATCCAGTAGCCCCGGACCTTCTGCTGCAGTCTTATCTCAGGCCCTCCCCATTCTCACTCCTTTTCCCTCACACTGGCTTGCTTGCTTTCTCCTCTCTCCCTTGTTCTTTCTTTCTTTTTGTTTTGTTTTTTTTGAGATGGAGTCTTGCTCTGTCGCCCAGGCTGGAGTGCAGTGGTGTGATCTTGGCTCACTGCAACCTCCGCCTCCCAGGTTCAAGCAATTCTCCCGCCTCAGCCTCCCGAGTAGGTGGGATTACAGGTGCCTGCCACCACGGCCGGCTAATTTTTGTATTTTTAGTAGAAACAGGATTTCATCATGTTGGCCATGGTGGGGAGTGATCAAGGGAATCCTCTGGCTTTGGGGTTCTCTCACAGCCTGAGTGTTTTCATCTGTCAAATGAGCACGGCAGCAAGATCACAGCACCTGCAGTGATACAACAAATGTCAGTGATGTAGGCCAGTGCTTGGCACACAGTGAATGCAGGTGAGGGGGCCTCCGTGATTCCCAGGCCCCCATGAACCCCAGGCACACCCAGGTTATCATGCTGGGGTAGGTCCCCAGAGATCCGAGTCTGAGTCCTATTTCTCCCTAGACCCCGGGAGAATGACTGAGTGAACAATTAAAAATCTAAACTGTGTTTTTGGAATGTTTCTGGAAGCTCCAGGCCTGATTGTCCTGGAACCCCTCCTCTCTCTCCCTGCTCAGAACTCGAAATTGGTCTCTAGCTGGCCTCCGGGGGAGCGGCAGTTTAGCATACGGCCAGCAGATGGCGCTGAAAGCTAAGGGAAGACGCCCCCTCCCCTGGGGCTCCTCCCGTCCCCTCCCGTCCCCTCCCGTTTGCCAACTCCAGCTCCCAGGCTGCCCTTCCAGCAGGGGCGAGGCGCCCTCGGCCGTCTCCTGGGAACCCAGGCCCATTTTGGAGAAGCAGAAAGAAAGCCCAAAACCCTGCTGGGATTCCTGGTTGGGGCCTTACACCCCGGAGACCTCCCCGACCTCCGCTCCCTGGCCTCCCTCCCAGGAAATCACTTAATAAATAGGGCGCGAGGATCCCAAGTGAGAGGAGGTTTTCCTCGGAAGAGCCACTTCATCTGTGAACAAGGAACTATGAAACATCTAAGAGCAGTCTGTGACCTCCCCGTCCATCCTGTGTAAAATATGAAATAAGAGTTTTAATTACCAAGCTTGGAAGGCAGCCGACGTGTTTAATATTTAATGTCTCCGATGCTTGTGCCCCAGGCGTGCCAGCACTGACAGAATCGGGGTTTCCCTTGGGTTGGCTCTAAATGTGCTTGGAGAAGGGCCAGGCAGCCCCCTTCCCCATCACCTGGGAGCCTCTTGTAGCCCTGCCTGGACCCAGGCTCGCCCTGGTCCTCCCACTCCCTGAGGGACCCCTGCTAAGGGGGCCGGTCTCCCACCCTAAGACCAGGACCTGGAGCTCTATGAAGGCATCTAGTTCTCGACTCAGTCCAGCTCCTGGCAGGAGTGGAAGTCAATGAAGTCAGGCAGCGAGAACAAATAGAGGGGCCAGACCCATAGACCTGTTTTTCTGTTTGTTTGTTTGCTTTTTTTGTTTTTTTTTTTTTTTGAGACGGAGTCTCACCCTGTCACCTAGGCTGGAGTGCAATGGTGCAATTTCGGCTCACTGCAACCTCTGCCTCCCAGGTTCAAATGATTCTCCTGCCTCAGCCTCCTGAGTAGGTGGGATTACAGGCATCCGCCACCACACCTGGCTAATTTTTGTATTTTTAGTAGAGACTAAAAATGGTCAGGCTGGTCTTGAACTCCTGACCTCGTGATTCGCCCGCCTCGGCCTCCCAAAGTGCTGGGATTACAGGTGTGAGCCACCGCGCCCGGGCTTTTGTTTTTTGTTTTTGTTTTGTTTTGTTTTGTTTTGAGATGGAGTCTTGCTCTGTCACCCAGGCTGGAGTGCAGTGGTGCCCTCTTGGCTCACTGCAGCCCTGCCTCCCGGGTTCAAGCACTTCTCCTGCCTCAGCCTCCCGAATAGCTGGGATTACAGGTGAGCACCACCACGCCTGGCTAATCTTTGTATTTTTAGTAGAGATGGGGTTTCACCATGTTGGCCAGGCTGGTCTTGAACTCCTGACCTCAAGTGATCCGCCCACCTCGGCCTCCCGAAGTGCTAGGATTACAGGCATGAGCCACCGTGCCTGGCCCAAACCTGGGTTTGAATTCTGTTTTCCTGCAAGCTATCAGCCTCTCTGGGAATGACTTTTATTATCCATAAGGTGGAGAATGTATCTCCTATGTTATGGGTTGTTAATGGTAATAGATTGCCACTTTCGAGGCTTAGTATGTGCCTGGAGCCCTGCTAAGCTCTTCGCATTTACTGAGTGCTTGTCATTTACAACAGCTCTGCCAGGTGGCTAAGATGAGATTTGAACCCAAGATATTCTGACTCCAGAGCTTATGACTCTGAAAGCCTATATGCAAAAGCACCAGGGATTTGGAGCTTGAAGGGGACAGGGCCACCCAGTCTTAGGCCCTAGTTTGTCATATACTGTGGCCCCTCCTCCTGTCTCATAGACAACCAAGAAGATTGCAAACGGGGGCTCAGGACAGGAGCCCAAACCAAATCAACCACATTCCTGTTTTTTGTTGCACGTTTCGACTTCCTGAAGAGAGGTGGTGAGCAAGCAAACTGCATTTGATTTTTGTTTTTTTTGTGTGTGTGTTTGTTGTTGTTGTTGTTTGGAGACAGGGTCTCACTTTGTCACCCAGGCTGGAGTGCAGTGGCATGCTCTTGGCTCACTGCAGCCTCGACCTCACAGGGCTCAAGCAATCCTCCTGTGTCAGCCCTTCAAGCCAATCAGCTGGGATACAGGTGCGTGCCACTAGGCTCAGCTAAATGTTGTATTTTTTGTAGAGACAGGTTTTGCGATGTTGTCCAGGCTGATGCATTTGCTTTTTGATGAGTTGATTGGCACCTTCAGTGTGAGTGGAGTTTGAGGGGCCATCTTGGGACTAGCCATGCACCTTGGTTTGTCTTAGACCTATGCACCATCCCTTGTCCAGCTGGCTATAGCCAAGTTAGTGCCCGTGTCACCTCCCTAGCAGAGCACAGCACATGGATGTTATGATGGGCCATGAGGAGGTGCATCAGCAGTTGGAGCCACTTGTGTTAAAAGATAACCAAGGCTGGGGCGGTGGCTCACGCCTGTAATCCCAAGCACTTTGGGAGGCTGAGGCAGGTGGATCACGAGGTCAGGAGACCGAGACCATCCTGGCTAACACGGTGAAACTCCATCTCTACTAAAAATACAAAAAATTAGCCGAGCGTGGTGGCACGCGCCTGTAGTCCCAGCTACTTGGGAGGCTGAGACGGAGAATCTCTTGAACCTGGGAGGTGGAGGTTGCAGTGAGCTGAGATTGCGCCAGTGCACTTCAGCCTGGGCAACAGAGTGAGACTCCATCTCAAAAAAAAAAAAAAAAAAAAAAGACAACCGAGGCTGGGCACAGTGAACCACACCTGTAATCCCAGCACTTTGGGAGGCCGAGGCGGGCAGATCACAAGGTCAGGAGATCCAGACCAGCCTGGCCAACAGGGTGAAACCTCCCCCATCTCTACTAAAAAAGTATAAAAATTAGCCAGGCATGGTGGTACATGCCTGTAATCCCCGCTACTCGGGAGGTTGAGGCAGGAGAATTGCTTGAACCCAGGAGGTAGAGGTTGCAGTGAGCTGAGATCGAGCCACTGCACTCCAGTCTGGGCGACAGAGCAAGACTCTGTCTCAAAAATAAATAAATAAATAAAAAGAGAGAGAGGTGTTGAGAAGCTCATTTGATCCTCATCAGATAGGCTCATGCTGGTGAAGACAGGGGGATGCAGAAACTCTGGTCCTGGCAGGACAGTGAACTGGTGTGGCCACTGTTGAGAGTACGCAACCCATGCCCAGGCAATTCCACTTCCAGGCACAAGCCCCAGAGCAACTTGCACACAAGTAGACAAAGACACTTGCCTGAGGATATCCCTCCTGAAAGCATTTATTTGTACTGGCCAAGGGATGGAAACAACCGAAGTGTCCACTTGTAAAGGAATGGGTAGGTTACCGGTAACATAGCCGAGTAATGAAACCCCATGCCGCAGCTCCATGGAATAAGTGAGAATGATGTGCTTTAGCTCTGGAAGATGGTAAAAATGTAATGCCAAACGAAAAGTCCTGCAAATACTACTTATGAATGCTGCAATCTATGATTTCATGGACACACACACACTGATGACAGAAGAATGTTTGCCTGTGGGAGAGGGGAGAGAGACAGGAGTGGGTGGGAGAAAGTGGGTGAAAGAATCAAAAACAAAAGAAACACACCAGAGGACCCACGTGTGGTCTCTAGTGATTGTGAGCTGAGCTGACGGTCGTGATTGACCTAGTTCCGAGCATCTGAGGTCCAAAGCGACAAAGAAAAGAAGAGGGGGAGGGGCGAGGACTTTGATGAGTTTTTTATAAAGCTCAGAAATGGTTGGATGTTTGGGGATTTTGCAAACTAGGCCAACAAATACATCATCGAACTGTATCAGAATTGGTTACTGGGCTCCTGCTGGGCCAGGCGCTTTCCAGATGTGTAGTGTGGCTGTCTCACTGTATCCTCACAGCCCCGCCTTGAGGTGTTACATCCCCATTTTACAGGGGCTCAGAGAGGTGAGGTGAGCTTCCCCAGGCCACTGGCTTGCAGTGTCAGCCGGGCCCCTGCCACCTGCCTCCCAGCCCAACCAGGTCATCCAGGCACACTGTGGGGTTCTGAAAATACATTTCTCTGGGATGGCCTGGAGGTGGTGCTGCTGCAGCCGGTCCAGGACAGGTGAGCAGCCTGAGCCTGCGAGGTGGGCGTGGAGACAAATCTTCAGGGAATGTTGGAGTGTCCCCCTGGGCTTAAGCAGGGCCCTGCTCCCCAGTTCTGGGGTCAACAGAGATGCGGGAAGAAGATCCAGGCATTGACTCCCAGCCAGGAGAGCTTCTCCCTGGAATTTGGAAGCCTGCGGTCCATTCTTCGCCCTCCCCCAGCTCCCAGGAGGGGGACCGAACATCCTCCAGGAAGGAGACCAAAGACCCGGGCTCTGGCCAGTCGCGTTGGCTCACCCCTGTAATCCCAGCACTTTGGGAGGCTGAGGTGGGTGGATCACAAGGTCAGGAGTTCAAGACCAGCTTGGCCAATATGGTGAAACCCCCGTCTCTACTAAAAATACAAAAATTAGCCGGGCATGGTGGCGAGCACCTGTAGTCCCAACTACTTGGGAGGCTGAGGCAGGAGAATCTCTTGAACCCGGGAGGTGGAGGTTGCAGTGAGCCAAGATTGCGCCACTGCACTCCAGCCTGGGTGACAGAGGGAGACTCTGTCTCAAAACAAAACAAAACAAATAAAAACAAAAACAAAAACCAAAAACCTGGGCTCTGTGAAGATGGCTCAGGGTCAGGATTCCAGGAATGTGTGCAGATAAACCTGGGTCTGCATGTGAAAGGAACCCCCTCCCTAATCCTGTCTTCTTTTCTTTTATCTTTTTCTTTCTTTCTTTCTTTTTCTTTTCTTTTCTTTTCTTTTTTTTTTCTTAAGATGGAGTCTTGCTCTGTCGCCTAGGCTGGAGTGCAGTGGCTTGATCTCGGCTCATTGCAACCTCTGCTTCCTGGATTCAAGCGATTCTCCTACCTTAGCCTCCCGAGTAGCTGGGATTACAGGCGTGTGCCACAATGCCGGCTAATTTTTTTTTGTACTTTTAGTAGAGACAGGGTTTCACCATGTTGGCCAGGCTTGAGGTCCTGAGGGTGGGGCCCTCATTACAGGATTAATGCCTTATAAAAACAGGAGGAGGCTGGGTGCGGTGGCTCACGCCTGTAATCCCAGCACTTTGGGAGGCTGAGGTGGGTGGATCACCTGAGGTCAGGAGTTGGAGACCAGCCTGGCCAACATGGTAAAATCCCGTCTCTACTAAAAATACAAAAATTAGCTGGGAGTGGTGGTGCACGCCTGTAATCCCAGCTATTTGAGAGGCTGAGGCAGGAGAATGGCTTGAATCCAGGAGGCAGAGGTTGCAGTGAGCTGAGATGGCGCCACGGCACTCCAGCCTGGTTGACAGAGTGAGACTCCATCTCAAAAAACAAACAACAAACAAACAAAACAGTAGGAGATACTGGATCTCTCTCTCCTCTCTGCCACATGAGGGCACAGTGAGAAGACAGCTGTCTGCAAGAGGAATTGGACCCTCACCAGATACCTTCATCTTGGACTTCCCTGCTCCATAACTGTAAGAAATAAATATTGTTTAAGCCATCCAGTCTATGGTAATTTGTTATAGCAGCCTGAGCTGAAACACTTCCAAAGCCCCGCCCTTCTATACCAAATCTTACCCCTTAGTTCTAATGGAATAAGATTTGGCATAGAAGGGCGGAGCTTGATGCATTCTAATTATTTAATTAATTTCTCTCATCTGCGATAATTTAAATTAAAATTAAATTTTCTCCTTAGAGGAAGAATAGTGAAAAAAAGGGTGAGAGACGCCATGCTAAACTAGGGTGACACAGAGGCTACCGAGTCAGACATGGTCTCTCACTCCACAGAACCCACATGGTGGCAGGGAAGGCAAACATTACATTATTATATGATGACTAAGTGAAAGTAGCCAGACTCAAAAGGTCATATACTATAGAGTTCACTTATATGGTATCCTGTAAAAGGCAAAATTATAATTACAGAAATCAGAACTGTGGTTCCAGGAGCTGAGCTCTGAGGGGTGAGCAGAGATGGCTATTGTCACGTAGCGAATGTTGGCAGAGGGCAAAAGTGCCTACCAAAAGGCTGTTGAAATGGTCCAGGTGAAATAGGACAATTCCTTAAACTAGGGTAACAGTAGTGGAGATGGACAAATGTGGACAGATTCTAGAAATATTTGGGAACTAAAATCAATTGAACTTGGTGGCCAGTTGGACACATGGGATGGGGAGAACCAGGGGGCTGGGGGCCTCTGGCTTCTGGCTTGGCCAACCAGTTGTATGGTGGCATCTTCTGAAATACAGAATCCCTGGTGAAGTGTCAGGTTAGTCGGGGGAGACCCTGTGTTCATTTTCTCCAAATGGAGTTTGAAAGTGTCGAGGAAGAGAACAAGTGTGGTTAAGGAGGCACCTTCATGCTTCTCTCCATCCAGAGGAAAGTTCCTGAACCCCAGACCATATCTAATGGGATCAGGGATGAACCAGCTGGGCTGGGGAGAGCCAGATCAGCAGCCTGAGGTTTGAAATGAAACACAGATGGAAAGAGAGGAGATGGACACAGGGACCACAGGACAGAGACTCGTCCCCTGAAGGACACATGCTCGTGTTGCTGACACCTCAGCATGGCCCCAGTTCCTGCCCACTCTGGAGTCTGGCTGTCCAGTTTTTCCTTGGATTCTGTGAGATAATCTAACATTCTCCCAAAGTCCCTGTTTTTGATTAAACTAACCTGAATGGGTTTCTACTCTTTGCACCTCCTAAGACCACCACAGAAACATGGCTGTTTGATTTCTGTGCCCTTTTTGAAAGCTCTCTTGGTCTATTTGCCAGATTGTCCACCAGCATTTTAATTAGTTTAGTTTTATAGTATTGAACTTTGTAAGGCAAGCCCCCCATGACTCTCCTTTCACTTCCCGAATTTCTTGACTATTCTGTGCAATCGTTGCACCGGGTGAACTATAGAATCAGTCTCTCGGACAGGTGCGGTGGCTCACACCCGTAACCCCAGCACTTTGGGAGGCCGAGACGGGCGAATCACGAGGTCAGGAGATCGAGACCATCCTGGCTAACAAGGTGGACCCCCGTCTCTACTAAAAATACAAAAAAATTAGCCGGGCGTGGTGGCGGGCGCCTGTAGTCCTAGATACTCAGGAGGCTGAGGCAGGAGAATGGCGTGAACCCAGGAGGCGGAGCTTGCAGTGAGCTGAGATCGCGCCACTGCACTCCAGCCTGGGCAACAGAGCGAGACTCCGTCTCAAAAAAAAAAAAAAAAAAAAAAAAAAAAGAATCAATCTCTCATGATAAAAAAATTCCTGTGGAGATTTTCACTGAAATCACATCAAATTTATAGATTATTTGAGGGAGGATTGACACTTTTACAATACAGTTCAAGAACAAGATCAATTTCTCTATTGATTCAAATCTTGTTTTAATGCCTTTCATCCACCTCCCGAGTATATCTTTGCACATTATTTTGCTAAGCGCATTCTTTTTTTGTTCCCCTGATGCATTCGAACCTGTTATTGCTGGCGTAGAGAACAGGCATTGATCTTGATATATTTATCACCTTGTGTCAGCCTCTATAGTCAATGCCATGATTAGTTCTTATAGGTTTTCAGTTTATTCTTTCGACTTTTCAGGGTGAGCAAACACATCATCTATAAATAATGAGAATTTTGTCTCTGCCATGCCATGGGTTATCTTATTCACGTGGCTGGCACCTCTAGAATAAAGACAAGTGACAGTTGTGATAGCAGACACCCTTGAAATGTTGCTACCTTGAATAGAAAGATCCTAATGTGATATTTCCAAAACTGTCATTTGAAGGACACAGATCAGAGGACGCTAATAGTAGTATTGCGGACAAAAAGTGTTCTGGGTCCAAATAACTTTAGGATATACTGTGTTAAACAAAGACAAATTTGTTTCTTTACTTTAAAAGTAATCAGAACATTTGACATTGACTTGCTTGCAGATGTGGAAGAAGGAGATATACTAAGTAACATGTCTTGAGCTAATTTAACCACTGACATTTACATGATGCGCCCTTCTTGTTCAACATCTCCTGTTAAGTAGTGTTCTACAGGGCAGTACTGGAACTGCTGTTCTAAGAATTCACCTCGAAGTATGATGTTTGCTGTGATTTCTGGAAAAAGAATTGTTGGGTGAATAGACAAGTACTTTCTATAGTGGTAAGACTATTTTCTTCAATTCCTGGTTTATTGAGGGTTTTTTTTTTAAGTTAGAAATAGAAGTCAATTTGATCAAATGGTTGTTAAATGTCTATGGAAATGGTCAACAATTTTCCTCTTCTATTGATTGATTGATTTTTTTTGGAGACAGAGTCTTGCTCTGTTGCCCAGGCTGGAGTGCAGTGGTACGTTCTCTGCTCACTGCAACCTCTGCCTCCCGGGTTCAAGTGATTCTCCTGCTTCAGCCTCCTGAGTGGCTGGGATTACAGGTGCCTGCCACCACACCTGGCTAACTTTTTTGTATTTTAGTAGAGACGGGGTTTCACCATGTTGCCAGGCTGGTCTTGAACTCCTGACCTCAAGCCATCCACCTGCTTCGGCCTCCCAAAGTATTGGGATCATAGGCGTAAGCCACCACAACCGGCCAATTTTCCTCTTTTAAATTAGTATAGTGAAACCCCACCACAATGCATCCTATGTGGTTCAAAATATCCCACAAGATCAGAGAATCGCATGTGGCGGAGGAAGCCCCAGCAGCCAGCAGGTCCCGCGCTCCCAGGGTCTGTCTGTTTGTGGCATCTAATGTGCCTCTGCTTCAGCGGCAGATTGCTGTCTCCTGGTGGTTGTTTGCTGCTATGACTTAAATATCCATGGGGAAGATTCTGAGCTCGGCTGGCTAAGACTTCTAGGATAGGAGCGGCAATTCCACAATCCCCTAGGTAATTTGGTACTAATTTTGTCAAACCAATATACGAAGATTGGCCTGGAAGAATCCCAGGAACACAGGGACTCACCGTGTGGTCCCTGCTCCCTGAATCTGAGTTTCCTGCCCTGTCTTGCCTTCCTCTCCATATCCCTCCACTCTCCCACTCAGAAACGGAGAAATTTAGTTGATTCCGGTTTGAGAACTTGGGCTGGGTGAAGAACTCAAGCCAATTTCCAATTGCATTATCAAGGAGGTTTGGAATTATATATATATTTATTTATTATTATTTGTTTTTATTTTTTATTTTTCATTTTTTTTCTGAGACGGAGTCTCACTCTGTTCTGTCGCCCAGGCTGGAGTGCAGTGGCGCAATCTCGGCTCACTGCAACCTCCGCCTCCCAGGTTCAAGCGATCCTCCTGCCTCAGCCCCCCTAGTAGCTGGGATTACAGGCACGCACCACCATGCCCGGCTAATTTTTGTATATTTAGTAGAGACAGGGTTTCACCATGTTGGCTAGGCTGGTCTCAAACTCCTGACCTTGGGTGATCCATTCACCTCGGCCTCCCAAAGTGCTGGGATTACAGGTGTGAACCACCGTGCCCAGCCTATTTATTTATTTATTTGAGACGGAGTCTCACTCTGTCACCCAGGCTGGAGTGTAGTGGCGTGATCTTGGCTCACTGCAACCTCCGCCTCCTAAGTTCAAGCAATTCTCCTGCCTCAGTCTCCCGAGTAGCTGGGATTACAGGTGTGAACTACCACATCTTGCTCATTTTTATTTTTATTTATTTATTTATTTATTTTTGTAGAGATAGAGGTTTGCCATGTTGTCTAGCCTGGTCTCAAACTCTTGACCTCAAGTGATCTGCCTGCCTCGGCCTCCCAAAATGCTGGGATTACAGGCATGAGCCACCACGCCTGGCCTTGAAATTATTTTTTAAATGAATACTTACAGCTAACACTTGTTGAGTGCTATATACCAAATACTTAACTAAGTTCTTCAAATGAATAATTTAAATTTACTCCTCCCATCCCTCTGAATTAGGTATTATTATTTCCATTTTACAAACAGGAAAACAACCATAGAGAGGTTACATCACTTACCCAGGTTACCCAGCTAGTTCTTAGTGAGTAGTGAAGCCAGATTCAAAACCTGGCAGTTTACCTCCAAAACCCATGCTCTGGAGTGAAACCAACTTTACCCTTTGCTTCCAGGAATAAATCTGATAATAGTTTGCTACCCTTTTTACTCGATTCTGTTTGCTCACATAGTTTTTAGAATTTTTGCATGTAGGTGAAATTTTTCAACAAAGTTTTCTTTTTTTGTGCTTTGTTTTGTTTTGGTGTCAGGATTATCCAATATTCATTAAACAAATAGAAAATTTTCCATATATTTTAGTGCTTTTTAGTACTTCAAAAACTTTTTAAGGAATTTAGGCAATATCTGTTTGTCAAATGTTTGTTACTTCATCTGTAAAACCATCTGGCCTGGGGCCTTTAACAATTACCTTAAACTTGTTACATTATTAATCATTTCTGGCTTCTCATGATTGAGTCAATTTGGGTCATTTATATTTTGCTGAAGTAATTATTCTGTCTACCTAGAGAAGTTCAGATTTATTAGAATAAAAAAATAGTTTTACTTATGATTTTAAAAAAAATCTCTGTATCTTTCCCTCTCTTTTAAAGATCTAATCTTAGGGCTGGGTGCTATGGCTCATGTCTGTAATCCCAGTGCTTTGGGAGGCTGAGGCAGGAGGATCGCTTAAGGCCAAAAGTTTGACACCAACTTGGGCAGCAGAGTGAGACCCCGTCTCTACAAAAGGAAAGAAAAAAGAAAAGAAAAAAAGAAAAGGGAAAAAAGATCTCATCTTACTCATGATGTGTTTTTGTGTTTTATTTCTTTTCATTTCTTCATCAGAATTATAAAAAATGTAATAGTAGCAGAAGTAGAGAAATATAATAGCAAATATTTACGAAGTGTTTCCTCTGTTCCAAGCCCTGTTCTAAGCTATATTAACTCAATCTTCATAACAACTTTATGAGTTAGGGACTACTATTATCTAATTTTACAAATGAGGGAATTGAATCACAAAATTAGTAAGTGACTTGTCTAAGGGCACAGCTAATAAATGTGGAGCTGGGATTTAAACCTAGGCAATTTCTACTTTTATGTTTCTACTTTTATATTAATTTGTTCTTTCTACTTTTTAATTTTTCTTCTTCTAACTTTTTGAGAAGAATGCTTGGTTTCTTTATTTGTAATCTTTCTTCTTTGTTAATAAAATCATTTAAGGTCATAGAGTAAGTATGAGTAAAAATAACCCATGGGCTCTGATATTATTGATCTTTTGAAAGAACCAGCTTTGGCCGGGCAGGGTGGCTCATACCTGTAATCCCAGCACTTTGGGAGGCTGAGGCGGGCAGATCATGAGGTCAGGAGATCAAGACCATTCTGGCTAACACGGTGAAACCCTGTCTCTACTAAAAATACAAAAAATTAGCCAGGCCTGGTGGCAGGTGCCTGTAGTCCCAGCTACTCGGGAGGCTGAGTCAGGAGAATGGCGTGAGCCCAGGAGGCGGAGCTTGCAGTGAGCTGAGATCATCACTGCACTCCAGCCTGGGCGACAGAGCGAGACTCCATGTAAAAAAAAAAAAAAAAGAACCAGCTTTTTATTTTAATTAATTAATTAATTAATTAATTTGAGATGGAGTCTCACTCTGTCGCCCGGGCTGGAGTGCAGTGGTGTGATCTTGGCTCACTGCAACCTCCGCCTCCTGGGTTCAAGCAATTCTCTGCCTCAGCCTCCCAAGCAGCTGGGATTACAGGCATCTACCACCATGCCCGGCTGATTTTTTTCTGTATTTTTAGTAGAGACGGGGTTTCACCATCTTGGCCAGGCTGGTCTTGAACTCCTGACCTCATGATCCACCCGCCTTGGCCTCCCAAAGTGTTGCGATTACAGGCGTGAGCCACTGTGCCCAGCCCAGCTTTTTATTTTATTGATTATCTCTATTGCTTTTCTGTTCTTGATTTCATTGATTTATGCTTATAATACTTTTCTTCCTTTTTGTTTTGAGTTTAATTTGGTTTTTATCTAATATCTCAAGATGGAAGCTTATATATTCCATTTGATACCTTTCTCTCTTTTTTTGAGACAGGGTATCTCTCTGTCACCTAGGTTGGAGTGCAGTGGCCCGAACACAGCTCGCTGCAGCCTCGACCTCCCTGGGCACAGGCTCCTGCCCCAGCCTCCCGAGTAGCTGGGATCACAGATGTGTGCTACGAGGCCCAGCTAATTTTTGTATTTTTTTGTACAGATGGACTTTTGCCATGTTGCCCAGGCTGGTCTCGAACTCTTGGTCTCAAGCAATTTGTCCACCTTTGCCTTTCAAAGTGCTAAGATTACAGGCATGAGCCATGCTACTCAGTCTGCTACCTTTCTTTAGTTTTCTAATATGAGCACTTAATGCTATGAATTTCCCTCTAGGCAATGTTTTAGCTGTATCTCACAACTTTTTTATTGTAATAAAACACATATGTTTCAGAAGAGAAGGGAAGAACTGTTTTTTTTTTTTAAGACGGAGTCTTGCTCTGTCGCCCAGGCTGGAGTGCAGTGGCGTGATCTAGGCTCACTGCAAGCTCCACCTCCCATGTTCACGCCATTCTGCCTCAGCCTCCTGAGTAGCTGGGATTACAGGTGCCCGCCACCACGCCTGGCTAATTTTTTGTATTTTTAGTAGAGACGGGGTTTCACCATGTTAGCCAGGATGGTCTCGATCTCCTGACCTTGTGATCCGCCCACCTCGGCCTCCCAAAGTGCTGGGATTACAGGCATGAGCCACCGCACCTGGCCGAGAAGGGAAGAAATTTTTAAAGACACACACATAGCTTAAGATCTACAGTATTAACAAATTTTTATATATACATAAAATAGTACAGTATTGCTAACCATTGTGGGATAACATATCTCTAGAACTTTTTCATCTTGCATGACTGAAACTCTATACCCATTGCACAGCAACTCCCTATTTCACCTTTCCTGCAGTCCCTGGCAACCACAATTTTCCCACAAAATTTTACATGTAGTATTTTTATTTTCACTAAATTCAAAATATTTTCTTTTTTTGAGATGGAGTCTTGCTCTGTCCCCCAGGCTGGAGTGCAGTGGCGCAATATCGATCTCAGCTCAGTGCAACCTCTACCTCCCGGGTTCAAGCAATTCTCCTGTCTCAGCCTCCCAAATAGCCGGGATTACAGGGGTGTGCAACCACACCCGCTAATATTGAATTTTTAGTAGAGACAGGGTTTCGCCATGTTGGCCAGGCTGGTCTCAAATTCCTGACCTCAAGTGATCTTCCTGCCATGGCCTCCCAAAGTGCTGGGATTACAGGCGTGAGCCACCATGCCTGGCCCAAAACATTTTCTAAATTTCCCTTGAGACTTTCTTTTTGAGCCACGGGTTACTTAGAAGTATGTTATTTAATTCCAAAATATTTGAGGATTTTAAAAGATAGCTTCCTGTTATTGGTTTTTGGTTTAATTACATTATGGTCAGAGGAATTATATTCTCTCTATTCTTTTACAAGTGTTAAGGTTTGTTTTATAGCCCAGAATACAGTTTATCTTGATGTTTTACGCACACTTGAAAGAATGTATATGCTGCTGTTGTTGAATGGAGGGTTCTATGAATGTCAGTTAGGCCACACTGGTTGAGAGTGATGTTCAGATCCTCCATATCCCTGCTAATTTTTGTTTATTTTTTCTATTGGAGTGTTTAACTCACCAATTATAATAGTGGACTTCTCTATTTCTCATTTGAGTTCTATCCGTTTTTGCTTCGTGCTTCTTGAAGCTCTGTTGTTATATGCATAAACCTTTAGGATTTTTATATCTTCTTGGGGAATTAACTTTTTTTTTTTGTTTTTGAGACAGAGTCTTGCTCTGTCACCCAGGCTGGAGTGCAGTGGCACCATCTCGCCTCACTGCAACCTCCCGCCTCCTGGGTTCAAGAGATTCTCCTGCCTCAGCCTCTCGAGTAGCTGGAATTACAGGCACACGCCACTACACCTGGCTAATTTTTGTATTTTTAGTAGAGACAGGATTTCACCATGTTGGCCAGGTCGGTCTTGAACTCCTGGGCTCAAGAGATCCAACCACTTCAACCTCCCAAAGTGTTGGAATTACAGGCATGAGCCACTGGACCTAGCCTTAACCTTTTTATTAATATGTAATATCTCTCTTTATCCCTGGTAATATTGCTTGTTTTGAAGGCTACTTTGTCTGATATTAATATAGCCACTCCAGCTGTCTTTTGATCAGTATTTATATGGTTTAACCTTTTCTATCATTTTACTTTTAATCTATCTATGTAATTACATTAAGGTGGGTTTTATGTAGAGAGCATGTATTGGGTCTTGTGTAAATGTGTATATATGTGTGTTCAATCCAATCTGACAATGTTGTCTTTTTTTTTTTAGACAAAGTCTTGTTCTATCACCCAGGCTGGAGTGCAGTGGCACAATCTCGGCTCACTGCAACCTCCGCCTCCCGGGTTCAAGTGGTTCTCGTGCCTCAGCCTCCCAAGTAGATGGGACTACAGGCATGCATGACCATGCTTGACTAATTTTTGTATTTTTAGTGGAGATGTGGTTTCGCCATGTTGGCCAGGCTGGACTTGAACTCCTGGCCTCAAGAGATCCACCCACAGGCCGGGTGCGGTGGCTCACACCTGTAATCCCAGCACTTTGGGAGGCCGAGGCAGGCGGATCACCAGGTCAGGAGATTGAGACCACGGTGAAACCCCGTCTCTACTAAAGATACAAAAAATAAAATTAGTCGGGCATGGTGGCGGGAGCCTGTAGTCCCAGCTACTCGGGAGGCTGAGGCGGGAGAATGGTGTCAACCCAGGAGGCGGAGCTTGCAGTGAGCCAATTACACCACTGCACTCCAGCCTGGGCGACAGAGCGAGACTGCGCCTCAAAACAAAACAAAACAAAAAAAACAAACAAAAAAAGAGAGATCCACCCACTTCAGCCTCTCAAAGTGCTGGGATTGCAGGCATGAGCCACCGCACTCAGCCAGTGTTGTCTTTTAATTGGTGTGTTTAGACCAGTCTTCTGGCTTCTGCAATAGCACAGGTGGCTAAAACTCTAGATAATCTACTGTATAGCTCCACATGGCTTTGGCCGCCCTCAGGGTAATGCAAAGAGAGAAAAGAAAGAGAAAAAGCAAGGGGGATTCCCCCCTCACACCCCCTATTCCTGGTTCATCCGGCAAGAAAGATGGGTTTTCTTTGGGGGTTTTGGGTGTCTGTGCCACCACCCCTGCCACCATAGTGTAGCTTTCTGACTGGCTCACCCTTAGGACAGGTCGAAAGAGAGAAAAGAGAAGAAAAGATACCCTACACTCTGTAACTCACAAGAGGCCCCTTTTCCAATTATCCGTTCAGGAAGATGGGTTTCTCTTGGAGATTTTGTTGCCTGCACCTGCTACACAGTTCC
Source organism: Homo sapiens (assembly GCF_000001405.40). Lineage (NCBI taxonomy): Eukaryota > Metazoa > Chordata > Mammalia > Primates > Hominidae > Homo > Homo sapiens. The sequence continues at coordinate 126,766,602 of NC_000009.12, read as the reverse complement.
AGATCTGGGCCACCCTCGGGTCAAAGCTGGGTGATAAAAGAGGAACACAACCCTGGAAACTCACCCCATTAGGGTCTTTCTTCAAGTTTTTGCCCCTCTTGCCAATCTACTTGTTATTTCCTGAATCCTCAGGCAGTGCTTTTTGTATTTTGTCCAGATCTTTTAGTTGGCAGTCAGTGGGACAGAGAGGTTGTGGTGGCACACATTGCCTTGGCCAGCATCAGAACTCTGGTGTAGAATTTACAAATTGAATCGGTGTGTGACATAGTTACATATGCTTAAGCTATTAATGCGTACTTCTAAATTGTTCTTTATTTTATTTATGTATTTATGTATTATTTATGTATTTTTGAGACGGAGTCTCGCTCCGTCACACAGGCTGGAGTGCAGTGGCACGATCTCAGCTCACTGCAACCTCTGCCTCCTGGGTTCAAGCGATTCTCCTGCCTCAGCCTCCCGAGTAGCTGGGATTACAGGAGCACGACACCACGCCAGGCTAATTTTTGTATTTTTAGTAGAGACGGGGTTTCACCATGTTGGTCAAGCTGGTCTCGAACTCCTGACTTCAGGTGACCCCCCTGCCTTGGCCTCCCAAAGTACTGGGATTGCAGGTGTGAGCCACCGTGCCTGGCCTATTTTTGTTTGTTTGTTTGAGATGGAGTCTCACTCTGTCGCCCAGGCTGGAGTGCTGTGGTGCGATCTTGGCTCACTGAAACCTCTGCCTCCCAGGTTCAAGCGATTCTCGTGCCTCAGCCTCCCAGTAGCTGGGACTACAGGCACCTGCCACCAGGCCCAGCTAATTTTTTGTATTTTTAGTAGAGATGGGGTTTCACCATGTTGGTCAGGCTGGTCTCGAACTCCTGACCTCAGATAATCTGCCCACCTAGGCCTTCCAAAGTGCTGGCATTGCAGGCGTGACCACTACGCCTGGCCCTAAATTGTTCTTTAAAACGGCATGTCAATTTACATTACACTAGAACTCTAAAAAATCTTCTCTTTATTTTCTTACCAACAACTGATATCCAACTTTCTATTTTTTCCCCAATCTTTTGGGTGAAGAGAAATAGTATTTGTTGATTTGATTTCATGTTCTATGTTTACTAGTGAAGTTGGAGCATCTTTTTATATATTTTCGGCCATTTATATATATCCTCATTTGTAAAAAAGTCCCTTTCAATCCTTTGCCCATTTTTCTATTTGGTCATTTGTCTTTTTATTATTGATTTGTTGAAATTGCCTGTGTAGTTTCTACTGTTTGGAATTTATCAAGGTTTACTTTGAAACTCATTACTTAATCAATTTGTTTTTATGTTCTGTAAGCATTGGTAAAAAAGGAATTCCCTGTTCAAATTCTACCTAGATATATTAAAACAGTCTTGTTAATTTTGTTATTTAGATTGTCTTCATGATTTTAAAAATATCTGACCTGTTAAATTTTGAGTCAGGTGTTTTAAAATCTCCCACTCTGCATGCTTTTGTAAAATTCTCCTAGTTTTTCAATTTTTGCTTTTTTTTGAGATGGAGTTTTGCTCTTGTTGCCCAGGCTGGAGTGCAATGGCACAATCTCGGCCCACCGCAACCTCCGCTTCCTGGGTTCAAGCGATTCTCCTGCCTCAGCCTCCCCAGTAGCTGGGATTACAGGCATGCACCACCACGCCTGTCTAATTTTGTATTTTTAGTAGGGACGAGATTTCTCCATGTTGGTCAGGCTGGTCTCAAACTCCCGATCTCGGGTGATCTGGCCACCTCGGCCTCCCAAAGTGCTGGGATTACAGGCGTGAGCCACCACGCCCAGCCTCAATTTTTGCTTTTTGCTTTATATATTCTTTTCAGTATTTCTGCCCATGTATCTGTCTGATTCAGATTCATGATTACTCAGCCACTCAGTGATTGAGCACAAACTCTGGGCCCTGCGAGGTGGCTCATGCCTGTAATCCCAATGCTTTGGGAGGAGGAGGCAGGAGGATCGCTTAAGCCCAGGAGTTTGAGACCCTGTCTCTACAAAAAAAAAAAAAAAAATTAGTCAGGAGCGGTGGCTTGCATTTGTAGTCCCAGCTACTCAGGAAGCTGAGGTAGGAGGATACTTGAGCCCAGGAGGTCGAGGCTGCAGTGAGACATGTTCATGCCACTGCACTTCAGCCTGGGAATCAGAGTTAGACCCTGTCTCAAAAACAATAAACAAAAGCACGAACTCTGGTGTTAGGGTACATGGGTTCAAATCTTGGTTCTTCCCCTTACAAAATACGTAGGGGTGGAGTAATTACTTAATCTTTCTAAGCTTTAGTTTCCTCATCTGTTAAATGGGGCAAAAAAGATAACATTTACCTCACATAATTGTTATGAGATTAAATGAAATTATTCATGTAAGTGTTCGACAAATGTCTATTATTTTTTCTTGATGATTGGGTATTTTATCAATACAATTATTTAAAAAATCCCAGCCAGGCATGGTGGTTCACGGCTGTAATCCCAGCACTTTGGGAGGCTGAGGGGGGGTGGCTCACCTGAGGTCAGGAGTTCGAGACCAGCCTGGCCAATATGGTGAGGTCCCCATCTCTACTAAAATATAAAAATTAGCCAGGCGTGGTGGTGTGCGCCCGTAATCCCAGCTACTCAGTAGGCTGAGGCAGGAGAATTGCTTGAACCCAGGAGGCAGAGGCTGCAGTGAGCCAAGTTCGTGCCACTGCACTCCAGCCTGTGCGACAGAGCAAGAGTCTGTCTCAAAAAAAAAGAAAAAAAAAAATCCCTCAGTTCCATTTAACGCTTTCCCTCCCTTGAATTACACTTTTGAAAATATGAACACTGCCACACTCTCTTTCTTCTATTTGGATTTCCCTGGAATATATTTATTTTAGATTTTTCAGAATTATTTAACTTTGGAGGGAATCCCTTGTAAAGCATAATTAAGGTAGGCAGTCTCCAAAAGATGGCCACCATAAATCCTTCCTGTGCCTATCTCGTGCCTGATGGCTCTGCCCACTAGGAGGTGGGGTCTGTTTCTCCTCTCCTCCAATACGGGTGGCCTTGTGTCTTGCCTTGACCAATAGCAAGCAGAGGAAGTGATATGATGTCAGTTCTGGACCTAGCCTTTAAGCAGTCAGGTGACTTCAGGTTGTGTTGGGGAAACCAGCAGGCATACTTTAAGGAAGCTCAGGCTGGAATATTAAACTGTGAGGCAGGCTTGGAGAAAGAGAGGCCACAGTGCAGGAGCACGGAGGCACCATGTGAGTAAAATCTTGGACTGCTCAGCCCAGCCGCCCGCAGGATGGAGCTTAAATGAGTGAGCCCAGCCCATGCCCTGTGGAACAAAAGACGCCCGCCAAGCCATGCTGGCATCCCAGAGCTACAAAATCATGAGAAATAACAGTTCATTGTTGTTTTAAGTTTTGGAGTGGTTTGTTACTCATCAGGAAATAACTGGAAGTAGTTTTTCTGTTTTATTTAATCTGAGAATCTTTGTTTTTTAATAGAATTTAACATTAAAATTTTTTTTTCAGTTAATAATTGAGTTTTCCCTCTGGATGCAACAGTATGATCTTGTTTTTCACCCCCTGGGTTACGTTTCTGTTTCTTACACTGTTGTGTGGTTTGCTTTTTTTTTTTTTTTCCTTATTGGCTTGTACTGTAGGGCGTTGATCTTTCTTCTTTTTCTTTCCCCCTTTTTGGGTAACTATATATGCTTTTCTACTAGTTTTATTGATATAAAATTTTAACATATTTAAAATTATGGTTCTATCAATGTCAAAAGTTAAGTGGTGCCTATAACCTCTCTCTTGCTCTTCAGCTAAGAGTTGTCCTTTACAGGCCGGGCGTGGTGGCTCACGCCTGTAATCCCAGCTCTTTGGGAGGCTGAGGCGGGTGGATCACCTGAGGTCAGGAGTTCGAGACCAGCCTAGCCAACATGGCCATACCCCATCTCTACCGAAAATACAAAAGTTAGCCGGGTGTGGTGGCACGTACCTGTAATCCCAGCTACTCAGAAGGCTGAGGCCGAAGAATTGCTTGAATTTGGGTGGCAGAGTTTGCAGTGAGCCAAGATTTCGCCACTGCACTCCAGCCTGGGTGATAGAGAGAGACTCCGGCTCAAAAAAAAAAAAAAAAAAAAGTTGTCCTTTACAATGTCTTAATACCTCTTTCGTTATCATCTACACTTAAAAAGCATTATTAAATTAACAATAAGGTAAATTACACATTATTATTAGTTGTTTACTCTATGCCTCTTATATTTCAAGAATCTTTTTTGAAAGATTGCATAAAATTCCACAACCACATTGTCAGCCATTAGAATAAACTATCAGCTTAACAGTTTTGATTTCTTACTCATGTTTCTTGTAGACCACATTTTAAAACTACCTTATTTTAACTAGATACTTCTTGAAGTAACTTTTTCAGAAAGGATATATTGGTGGTACAGGTCTGAACTGCTTTTGTCTTTTATGAATAGTATTCTGACTGGGTATAGAAGTCGAGCATCGGCCGGGCGCGGTGGCTCACGCCTGTAATCCCAGCACTTTGGGAGGCTGAGGCGGGCGGATCACGAGGTCAGGAGATCGAGACCATCCTGGCTAACATGGTGAAACCCCGTCTCTACTAAAAATACCAAAAAATTAGCTGGGCGTGGTGGCGGGCGCCTGTATTCCCAGCTACCCCGGAGGCTGAGGCAGGAGAATGGCGTGAACCTGGGAGGCGGAGCTTGCAGTGAGCAGAGATCGCGCCACTGCGCTCCAGCCTGGGCGACAGAGCGAGACTCCTTTTCAAAAAAAAAAAAAAAAAGAATTCTAGCATCAAATAAAAAATAAAAATAATTCTAGCATCACAATCCTTTTAATTCCAGAACTCTGTAAAAGATATCTTCTCTCTCACACTTAGTATAGTAAATTTGATATCCGCTGCCAATTTTTTATTCCTTTCCTTGTCAATAGCATGTTTTGTCTGTTTTGTCTGTCACCCACTGAAGTGGGTGAATTACACGCAACATTACTAAACAGCAGCCCTTAGAAAACTCATATCTTGTGCCCCTCTCAAGAGGGCTTGGTGGTGACGTCCAGCCATGGGTCCCTAGAGGTCAGGGAGGAGATTCAAAATATTTAACAAGCAGTAGGGCAGCGGCACTGAAGCTGAACAGCAGGGCAGTGCAGTGCCGCCAGGATGCTGCGCAAGTGTGGCGTCTCAACCCTGACTGACAGCCTCCTTTGAGCTGCTGTCCCCTGGCACGGTCCCCTTGTCTGGCTGCCTTCTCTGTAGTTCTTCTCTTCCCTGACTGGCCCCTCTGTATTTACAGAAACCCGGTTTCTAATGTGCAAGTTTCTATGATTAAAATGCAGCAGCCACTGTTTTGCTGCCGTTACTCCTCTCTCTTTCCTATTAAAAATCATTTCAGTTACACAAGAAATACATTAACAGATGTGCAAAAAATGAAAAGTGATTCCTTGAGCTCACTCCAAGGTAACCACTGTTAGTAGTTTAGTATGTCCTTTAAGAACTTTGGACGGGGCGCAGTAGCACACAACTCTAATCCCAGCGCTTTGGGAGGCCAAGGCAGGTGGATCGCTTGAGCTCAGGAATTTGAGACCAGCCTAGGCAACATGGCAAAACCCCATCTCTACAAAAATACAAAAGTGAGCTGGGTGTGGTGGTGCATGTCTGTAGCCCCTGCTACTCAGGAGGCTGAGGTAGGAGGATTGCTTGAACCCAGGAAGTGGAGGTTGCAGTGAGCTGAGATCAGACCACTGCACTTCAGCGTGGGTGACAGAGCAAGACTCTGTCTGAAAAAAAAAACAAAAAACAACTTTGTTGATGCACGCAACACTCACTTTTTTTCTTTTCCAAAATTGGAATCATACTAATTCTTAAGTTCTATAAATGTGTTGTTAACTGAGTCATATTGTGGGCATTTTGCTAAGTGCACATTCATATCTACCTCAGTGTCCCCACCTTTTTTTTTTTTGAGACAGAGTCTCACTGTGCTGCCCAGGCTGGAGTGCAGTGGCACGATCTCGGCTCACTGCAACCTCCACCTCCTGGGTTCAAGCAATTCTCCTGCCTCAGCCTCCCAAGTAGTTGGGATTACCAGCACACGCCACCACGCCTGGCTAATTTTTGTATATTTAGTAGAGGCGGGGTTTCACCATGTTGGCCAGGCTGGTCTCAAACTCCTGACCTCATGATCCGCCCACCTCAGCCTCCCCAAGCGCTGGGATTACAGGCGTGAGACACTGCGCCTGGCCTACCTCACCCTTTTAAAGCCTGAGTACTCTTCCATTTGTGTTTAAAACGCCACTGTCTAACAGAAATATAATATGAGTATCACATGTAATTTTAATTTTCTTACAGCCACGTTGAAAAAAATTCAATGAAACAAGTGGAATTAATTTTAATAATATATTTTACTTAACTCAATGTGTCCAATATATTACAACATGTAAACAATATACAATTATTAATGACATCTACATTCTTTCAGAACATTAAGTCTTTGAAATCTAGCATATATTTTACACTTACAGCTCATCTCAATTTGGAATAGCTACTTTTTTTTTTTTCTTAAGGGATGAGATCTTGCTCTGTTGCCTAGGCTAGCATGCATTGACACAATTATAGCTCACTGCAGCCTCAAACTCCTGGGCTCAAGCGATCCTCATGCTTCAATTTCCCAAGTAACTGGGATTACAGGGTACCTGACTAATTTTTTTTTTTAAATTTTTTTGTAGAGATGGTGTCTCACTTTGTTACCCAGGCTGGTCTCCAACTCCTGGCTTCAACCAATCTTCCCACCTTGGCCTCCCAAAGTGCTGAGATTACAGGCATGAGCCACCATGCTTGGCCCTGGACTAACCACACTTTAAGTGCTCAGTAGCCATATGTGGCCAGTGCCCACTATACTAGGTGACATAGGCATCAACCATAACTTATTTAACTGTGGGCCTGCTGATGGAAATATAGGTTGCTTCCAATTTTTGCCATTATAAGCAATGCTACAGTAAACATTCTTATGCTTATCACGTTATACATTCATGTGATTATTTCTTTAAGATAGATTTATAGAGCTAAAGCTTCTAGGTCAGAGTTTCTACATTTTATAGTGTAATAGATACAGCCAAATTACTCTCTAATAAGGCTAAACCAATTTATGCTTCCACCAGCAGTACATAAGAATGATTGTTTCCCCACACTCCTGCCAAATTGGAGAGCATTTCTTTTAAACACTTTGTTATCTGTACACTGGTGCAATGTGTTGCGTCACAGAGGGGGAGACCCATTTTCAAAGCTGCATTTTCCCCAGTTGGTTACCATTATTGGTCAGATAGAGATTGTGTTGGGCTGTGTAGATAACAGAAAACCCAACGCACGTTGGCTCAAACAAATGACTTATTTTCTCATGTAAAAAAATGGAGAAAGGTGGTTGCTTATGGTGGTTGACCCTCTCCTCATGCCTTCAAAGCTCTTTTTCTCTTTCAGCTGGATGTGGTGGCTCATGCCTGTGATCCCAGCACTTTGGGAGGCCGAGGTGGGCGGATCACCTGAGATCTTTGAGACCAGCCTGGCCAACATGGGGAAACCCTGTCTCTACTAGAAATACAAAAATTAGCCTGACGTGGTGGCAGGCGCCTGTAATCCTAGCTACTCAGGAGGCTGAGGCAGGAGAATGGCTTGAACCCAGGAGGCAGAGGTTGCAGTGAGCCAAGGTCAAAAACAAAACAAAAAACCAAAAAAACCCTCTCTCTCTTTCTAACTCAATATTCTTAGCAGGTGGGCCTCTCTCTCCTCATGACTGTCAACTTGTTCTCACTTTTTTTATGGTTACAAGGTAGCTGTCACCACTCCAGACAGCATGTCTCTGTCCCTGGCAGGATGGAGGAAAGGCAGATGACACTAGCTGCTTCTTACCCAGAAGCCACCTGGAATACTTACATTTCATTGTCAAAACTGGATCTCATGGCTATCCCAGTTGCAAAAGAGCCTGGGAGAAAAATAACAGCTTTCTGGCCTATAGTGGATGGTGGCAAGGGTAAGTGAGATTGGCAATGGCTGATTGATTGGACAAGAACAGTGTGCTATACCATCTACCCCAATTGTAGGTCTGAGGACTTCATGTAAAGAATCCCATGGTTGAATTTAGGGCCACAGTCCTTGTCCTGGTCATAGCCCCTGGCTGCGCTCATCAGTCTGACACCACCATGCCTGCCTTCTCATTGTAGTCTGCTTCAAAACACAAATTTCAGGGATCCTTCTGGGTCCTGGTTGTGGCTGGAGAAGAGGAGCTCCTAGGAAGAGTGCTTAGGCAAAGTGCGGTGGCTGACACCTGTAATCCCAGCATTTTGCGAGGCTGAGGCAGGTGGATTGCTTGAGCTCAGGAGTTTGAGACCAGCCTAAGGGCAACAAAACGAGACCCTGTCTTTCCAAAAAAAAAAAAGAAGAAGAAAAGTTAGCTGGGTGTGGTGGCACACACCTGTAGTCCCAGCTACTCAGGAGGCTGAGGTGGGAGGATCAATTGAGCACTGGAGGACAAGGCTGCATTGAGCCAAGATTGTGCCACTGCACTCCGGCCTGGGCAACAGAGCGAGATTCTGTCTCAAAGAAGAAAAAAAGGGCCTGGTGCGGTGGCTCACGCCTGTAATCCCAGCACTTTGGGAGGCTGAGGTGGACAGATGACGAGGTCAAGAGATGGAGACCATCTTGGCCAACATGGTGAAACCCATCTCTACTAAAATACAAAAATTAGTCCAGGTGCGGTGGCTTACACTTGTAATCCCAGCACTTCGGAAGGCCAAGGCAGGAGGATCACCTGAGGTTGGGAGTTCAAGACCACCCTGACCAACATGGAGAAACCCTGTCTCTATTAAAAATACAAAAAATTAGCTGGGCATGTTGGTGCATGCTTGTAATCCCAGATACTCAGGAAGCTAAGGCAGAAGAATAGCTTGAACCCGGGAGGCAAAGGTTGTGGTGAGCCAAGATCACACCATTGCACACCAGCCTGGGCAACAAGAGTGAAACTCCATCTAAAAAAAAAAGAAAAAGAAAAAAAATACAAAAATTGGCTGGGCGTGGTGGCACGCACCTGTAGTCCCAGCTACTCAGGAGGCTGAGGCAGGAGAATCGCTTGAACCCGGGAGGCAGAGGTTGCAGTGAGCCGAGATCTCGCCACTGCACTTCAGCCCGGGCGATAGAGCAAGACTCCATCTCAAAAAAAAAAGAAAAGAAAAGAGAGAAAGAGTGCTTGCAATAGGCAGCTTCTGACTTGGTTCCTAATGACCTCACATTCTGATATTCATGCCCTTGGGTGTTCACCTCCCCTTGGGAGTGATCTGCTTCTAATGAATAGAAGATGGCAAAAGTGATGAGACGTCATGCCTGGAACTATGTCACAAAAGACTTGGCTTGCTGCCATCCCCTCTCTATTGCCTTCTCAGCTTGGGTGCTTTGTGATGCCAGCTGTCATGTGGGAAAGGCTTATATAAGGTGGGACTGAGGGTGCCTCTGGCCAACATCCCACGAGGAACTGAATGCTGCCAACAACCACATAAGTGAGTTTGGAAGCAGATCCTTCTCCAGTTAGCCTTAGGATGACCGCAGCCCAAGCCAACACCTTAATTGCAGCCTCTTAGAGACCTCGGAGCAGAGGACCCAGCTAAGCTGCACCTTGTAGGAGTCCAGACCTACAAGAAGCCATGATATAACAAATGCTTTTGTTTCAGGCCCCTGTGTTTTGCGGTAATTTGTCACGCAGCAACAGAGAACTAATCCAGTGCTGCTGGAAAACCATCTCCTTGGGAGCAACCAATTGCTTTCTCGGTATCATTTTCCTGCCCTTTAAAAATTCACTCTTCTCACACAACTTTAGGGCAAGGGCAGTTGTGATTAAGAGGAAAAAGTAATTTACAGGCATTCAGAGGACAGAGAGTTGTTGTGCAAACCTTTCCCATTTTCTCACATTTTCTGATGAGTTTCTTGGGACTTCATCTCAGGAGAGAGGCCAGGGATGGAGCTCCCCTTGTTGCTAGGAAGACTCATACTTCCATGAGGAATACTCCTGACTTTTCTCTGCATCCCTCACTGATTCCGCCCCAAGGGAGGTGAGACTTGACCGTGTATTTGGGAGTAGGAACTGAGCCTGCCCCTCCCAGTCCCTGTGGGGCTCTCTTGACCCATTGGCCTGCCTGCGGGGAGGGTGCCTGCTGCCTGTTCATGACAGGGGTACTGTAGGCAGCCCCAGAGGCCTCTGCCCATGCAGGGGTAGCATGTGAGTGGAAGGGCAAATTCAGTCCAGGAGGAGCATGAGGAAGCCCACTGGGTGGCTCAGGAAGCCGTGTTCTCCAATCTGCTTCATCAGTCACCCAGCCCGTATTTCACCTGTCTCTGTGACTTCTTTCCCATTGCTTCCAAGTTCAGAGGGAAAGAGAGGGGTTTTATTGGTTGTCTCTACCCCCAAATATCAACAGGTGTATTCAATATCACTGAGTTTTTTAATTTTTTATTTTTATTAAAAAAATTTTTTTTGAGATGGTCTTGCTCTGTCACCCAGGCTAGAGTGCAGTGGCACCATTTCGGCTCACTGCAACCTCCACCTCCAGAGTTCAAGTGATTCTCCTGCCTCAGCCTCCTGAGTAACTGGAATTATAAGCGTGCACTACCACGCCCGGCTAATTTTTGTATTTTTAGTAGAGATGGAGTTTCACCATGTTGGTCAGGCTGGTCTTGAACTTCTGACCTCAAGTGATCTGCCGGCCTCAGCCTCCCAAAGTGCTAGGATTACAGGCATGAGCCACCGCCCCCGGCCCCATATCACTGAGTTTTTAATTGAAGATATGAAGCAAGTTTTGACAGAAAGGAAGAATCAGGCCGCTGGGGCACGGTGGGTGGAGGTGAAAGGGGGGTGTGTCTCCTTTGTGCCTTTGTGTCCCTGGGCTGTCCCTGACACAGGGGTGCCTGTGAGCGAGTGGGTGCATGTGTCTGTGTCTACAGCTGCCCGTCTTTCTTCTATACCAAAGACAGGGGCTCCTGGGTCCCCTTCTGGTTCTTGCTTCTCTCTGGGTGGGTGGGTCTCCCCAGAGCTTGGGGAAGGTTTTGACTCGACACAGCGGCCCTTCCCTCAGAGGCCCAGGGCCCCACAGAGCAGGCCCTGCTCCTCCAAAGCACCTGCCGGCCAGCACCCACCGGAATTGCGGTGCGAGGTTCGGAACGGGCCCCCCAAGCTGCTCCTGCCCCTGCTGCTTCCCGACATCCCCCATGTTCAATGCGTGATTTTTTACGATCGATCTTATATCCGGCACAATCAGATTTATGGCTCCTGCATCTTATGAAATTACACAGATGTTGCTGCTCTGCTTCTCTCCAGGACAGTAAAAGGCAATAACGTTCTTGCAGATTTCGACAGCAGGCAATTCAATAAAGGGCCATGTATATTTTATAAGTACAATAAAGACGAGGCTCTGTGCCCGCACTGCGGCCCGCCAGGGCCCGGCACTGCATTGGCCGCCACCCACGCCCCACCTTTGCTGTCCGCTTGTCGATCAGGCCTCTCCCCCGGTCGCACAGGGGACCAGGGAGATTTATCCTTTTTCTGATCCATTACTTAAGTTTGCCTCCAGGGACCCTGCAATGGGGGCTGTTTAAAATTTAAAGGTGTTTGTGGAACTTAATACTTTCCTCCTCCTGATTTGCACTATAAAATTTTATCTATATTTTTGTTGCCCCATAAAACGTTTCTATCTTATCAGGATGGCTTGTCCTTTTATGGGCAAAACCATAAATACCTGATGAGGTGAGGGTTGGTGGAAGGTCTCACAGAGGAGTCCCATGGGGAGGCAGGAGAAGAGAACTCTTCCCAGCTCTGCCCCCGACACCCTGGGTGGCCAATGGTGAGCCGCCATCCCTCCCTGAGACACAGTTTCTTCACCTGTAAAATGAGGAGCACCATAGCACCCACTGCACAGAGCTGTTGCAAGGACTCAGGGCAGCGTGGCACCAGATGACTTCACTTGGTGCCTGGCATAGCCTGTGCAAAGACTCAGAGGAGGGAACAGTCTAGGGGTGTTGGGGGAACACGATGGAGCTCCGTGGAGGGAAATGGCTTCCTCCCCAGGGTCAGGATGACTGTGCCAGGTTGGGCTGGGAGCAAATCTGTGTGTCAGCTTGGCAGTCACTTACCTCTCTGGGCCTTGTGTCCTCATTTATAAAACGGAGATGTCTAAGTTCCCATCTCATTGGGGTGTAGAGTGGATTAGACTTACTGCAATGCAAGTGGCTCAGAGCCCCACACATAGTACCTGCTTCCCAGATATCATGATCACGTGTGGCTGTTTTTGTTTTTTTGTTTATTTGTTTGTTTGTTTTTGAGACAGGGTTTCGCTCCTGTTGCCCAGGCTGGAGTGCAATGGTGCGATCTCAGCTCACCACAACCTCCACCTCCTGGGTTCACTGCAACCTCCGCCTCCCGAGTTCAAGCAATTCTCCTGCCTCAGCCTCCCTAGTAGCTGGGATTACAGGGATGTGCCACCACGCCCGGCTAATTTTTGTATTTTTAGTAGAGACGGGGTTTCTCCATGTTGGTCAGGCTGGTCTCGAACTCCCGACCTCAGGTGATCCCCCGCCTTGTGTTTCTTTTTTTTTTTTTTTTTTTTTTGATACAGAGTTTCGCTCTGTCTCCCAGGCTGGAGTGCAATGGCGCGATCACGGCTCACTGCAACTTCTGCCTTCCAGGTTCAAACGATTTTCCTGCCTCACCCTCCAGAATAGCTGGGATTACAGGTGCCCACCACCACTCCTGGCTAATTTTTGTATTTTTTTAGTAGAGACAGGGTTTCACCATGTTGGCCAGGCTGGTCTAGAACTCCTGACTTCAGATGATCCACCCAAAGTGCTGAGATTACAGGTGTGAGCCACTGTGCCCAGCCCCGTGTGGCTGTTATTGTTATTGTTATAAAGCAGCTTCCCAGGGAGCAAAATATAAGAAGGTGCTCACTCCCAGAAGTATGCAGGTGCAGGGTGAACACCTCCTTGCACTCCGAGGTTTACCTTGGGCCTGGCCCAGCTACCTAGGACTCTTCCACCTTGGCTGGTAGGCAGACGTGTCTGGACAGAAGCAGGCCCCTGGGATTCAGGCAGCAGGAGCAGTTTCACCTTCGATAGAACTAACACCTCCTTGAAGTCTAGTCAATACTGGGACAAGATCAGACAAATCCTGTTGGGGCCAAGCCAGGCCTGTCCCTTGCAGGTGATATTCACATGCCTGCTTTGGGCCCGGTGCTCACTGGGCACTGACAGTATTGAGGAGAATCCAACCTAAGCTCTGCCCTCAAAGAGTGCCCAGTCTAGTCTAGCTGTGTGGGCTGGTGGTGAGAGGCATCAGAAAAGACTTCATGAAGGAGGTCAGTTGAGCTGGACCCAGCAGTGGGCAGAGCATTCCTCATGGGATCCCAGCATGAATCACAGCATGGAGTGTGCAAAGGACCAACCCGTGGGGTCCGAGATTGCAGGTCAGCGTCTGGGTGAGGAATGTTTGTCCCTTGAAGCTCCTGGGATCAAGGTGCAGGTGGAGGTCCTCAGGGAACCAAAGCATAGACAAGAGTCAGTCGGTGCCTCCCAGGGAATGGGAGGAGTATATGTTCCCCAGACGAAGTTCAAAGCCCAGAGGTGTCAGGTTGGGGCCTCAAATGCTGCTGCGGCTAACCTCCCTGTTGTCAGGGGCTCCAATGAGTCTAGCTAGAACTGCTCCAGTGTTAAGTACGGTGGTCCTCAAACTTAGATTTGTCCTAGAATCCCTTGGGGAGACTGTCACATGACTTTATCTTGTCCTTCCTGCTCCCAAGAGCCAGAGCAAGGGAAGCAGGATTGGGCAGAGGGTGAAGGTGAACTGCCATGTAGGAACAGCAGAGACCTCAGCTGATTGTGCCAGGAGCTTTGAAGGTGGGACGCTCTTCAGAGATACTCTGAGTTGAAGCTGGGCCTCCTCTGCACCGACCAGTCACTGAGCATGTGCCATCCTGAGGAAAGGAATGTAAACTTGGAGGAGGCAGGTCCTTCCAGCCAAGGGCAACTCCCAGGGAGGGAGGAGTTTAGTTGTAAGTTGTCAGCAGGTGACACTTCTGGAAGCTGAGTGAGTGCCTTGGTCCTGAGGGTAATCTTGGCAGCTCATCACAGCCGGCATAACACCAAGGCTTGCCCTGTCAGTGGGGATGGCTGGGCGCCCATCCCAATAAAAATCCATTGACCTGTTGATGGACACTTAGGTTTGTTCCATATTTCTAACACAAAAAAAGATAAATGTTCAAGGTGATGGATATCATGCATACAATACACATTGTATGCATGTATCGACACATCACATATACTCCACAAATATGTACAACTATTCTGTATCAATTAAAAAATTCATACCTACCACCTCACACTCATTAGGATGGCTGTTATCTAACAACCCCAGAAAATAGCAGGTGTTGGTGAGTACATGGAGAAATTGTGGTAAAATACCCAAAACAGGCTGGGCATGGTGGCTCACGCCTGTAATCCCAGCACTTCGGGAGGCCGAGGCAGGTGGATCAGGAGGTCAGGAGTTCAAGACCAGCCTGGCCAAGATGGTGAAAGCCTGTCTCTACCAAAAATACAAAAAAAAAATTAGCTGGGCGTGGTGGCGAGTGCTTGTAATCCCAGCTACTCGGGAGGCTGAGGCAGAGAATTGCTTGAACTTGGGAGGTGGAGGTTGCAGTGAACTGAGATCGCACCACTGCACTCCAGCCTGGGCGACAGAGCGAGACTCTGTCTCAAAATAAAAATAAAAATAAATAAAAATCTAGACCTGGAGGGGCAGGAGAAGGCGTGTTCTGGGCACTTCTTTTTCAGGGTAATGCCCCCTTTCCAAGCATGTATCTCCATGAGAGCAGCTATTTTGTGCAATGTCAACCTGATCCCATAAGCTCAGAGGATGGCCAAGGGGTGGGCTGTGTGTAGATTGGGTTCTCAGGGAAGCAGGAACTGAGAAAGAGTTAGGAATGCAAACAGTTTGTTGAGAAGTACACCTGTGAAAGGAGAAAGGAGGAGGAAGTGGGAATGGGCGTGTGAGCCATGAGATGGTGATGCAAACTGACGTAGGCTGTGCCCGCCCAGTGCAGAGCTCCAGAAAACAGTGATCACCAGTTGGAGGAGTCCTGTATTGGGTCCATCCACCACAGTCTTGCACAGTCATTGGTTGAGACCACCCTAAGAGGAGAATGACCTTGGCTGCGAAGCTGAGGTAGACCCGAAAGAATGAATAGTTAGGGCTTGGCAGCTAACTCCCCTCCTTGCAGTAGGGCAACAAGTTCTTCCTTGAAGGGGGATATAAGTGGTAGATCTCCATGTCTGTCTTCCATGGCCAGCTGAGCCAGTGATTTCTTTCCCTGGATTTAGGATCTTGGATCTAGTGAGGGTTGAATCAGGCTCTCTTGATGGCCCGGGCTGTAACATGGCCAACTCTGGAGCCCTTGGTGGACAGGTGTCCTGTCCTGTGGACATATGGGCTGAGGGGTAGGGGAAGTTGGTGTATAGTGGGAGTGGAGGGTTAAGCAGGTATGCAGAGAAGTGGGATGAGCAGAGATGGAGAGAAGCCCACACACAGCACTCCACTCCCAGGATCCAGGGATTGAGATTCAGCCACACCCCTGTCCTTCCTCAATTTGGTTGTTCACTATTTTCTTCTCTAGGATTCTTCCAATAAACCCCCTTTTTTGCTTAAGCTAGTAGGTTGTGTGTGTGTGTTTTTTTTTAAATCACAATAACTCACAGGTTTTTTTCTTTTTTTTTAGACGGAGTCTCGCTCTGTCACCCAGGCTGGAGTGCAGTGGCACGATCTCGGCTCACTGCAAGCTTCACCTCCCAGGTTAATGCCATTCTCGTGTCTCAGCCTCCTGAGTAGCTGGGACTACAGGTGCCTGCCACCATGCCCGGCTAATTTTTTGTATTTTTTAGCAGAGACGGGGTTTCACCGTGTTAGCCAGGATGGTCTCGATCTTCTGACCTCGTGATCCACCCGCCTCAGCCTCCCAAAGTGCTGGGATTACAGGCATGAGCCACCGTGCTCAGCCCTCAGAGTTTTAACTAATACAGGGAAGAGGTGCTGGGGCTGGAGGGAAAGGAAAAAGAACAACAGAAACAAGAAGATTAAGAAGAGGAGATGGAAGAAGCTTCGCTGCCCTGGGGATGCTCTGCTGTCCTGGGGTGTCTCTTGGGGTTCATGATGACCTTACCCAAGCTGTGGCTGCTCCTTCCTGGGCTCTGGGTACTGATTAGTAAAGGTGAGGATGGAACTGCACCAAAGACTCCTGGTCTGCACGAGCCTTGGGGTGACACTTTGGCTAAACACTCAATTCCCAGGGGCCAGGCAATCTGCTTTCCTGGCAGAGACTAAGTGAGCACAAAAATCCTGCCATATTTCATTAAACCCTAGAAATGGTAGGACAAGATTTATAAAGTAAGTTGATGAAAAAAAAAGTGTACTCAAAAACAAAAAAGAGAATGTTCTGAGCAATAGAAATAGAAAAATAATAGAAATAATAAAAATAATAGAAAAAGAATCCCTAAAAGAAGGAAGCAGCTAAAGTCACAGCAGGAAGAAGGAGGCTGTGCCACCACAGCATATATTGGGGGCTCTTCTCCAAAGTGAGTGTCAGCTGAGAATCGGCCAGCACCCACCCAGGGTGCCAGCGCTACCGAGAGTGAAGAGCAACAGTGAGCTCAACAGGTGGGGGACACATCCAAGGAAACAGATGAGTGAGCAATCAGAAAAAGACTTTGTCCCAGCACTTGGGGAGGCTGAGGCAGGTGGATCACTTGAGGTCAGGAGTTCGAGACCAGCTTGGCCAACATGGTGAAACCACGTGTCTTCTAAAAATACAAAAAATTGGCCAGGCGCGGTGGCTCATGCCTGTAATCCCAGCACTTTAGGAGGCCAAGGCAGGCGGATCACGAGGTCAGGAGATTGAGACCATCCTGGCTAACACGGTGAAACCCCATCTCTACTAAAAAACACAAAAAAAAATAGCTGGGGGTGGTAGAGGGCGCCTGTAGTCCCAGCTACTTGGGAGGCTGAGGCAGGAGAATGGTGTGAACCTGGGAGGCAGAGCTTGCAGTGAGCCGAGATCACGCCACTGCACTCCAGCCTGGGTGACAGAGCGAGACTCCGTCTCAAAAAAAAAAAAATAAATAAAAATAAAAATTAGCTGGGCATGGTGGCATGCACCTATAATCTCAGCTACTTAGTAAGCTGAGACAGGATATTTGCTTGAACCTGAGAGGCAGAGGTTGCAGTGAGCCAAGATCGCGCCACTGCACTCCAGCCTGGGCAACAGGGCGAGACTCCACCTCAAAAAAAAAAAAGGACTTTGAACTAAGGATAGCCATGATCATAGAGATAAAGGAGGGAACCCCTTTTATGGAACAATACAAATAGGCATTTAAAAAAAGGATCTGGCTGGGCATGGTGTCTCATGCCTGTAATCTCAGCACTTTGGGAGGCCAAGGTGGGAGGATCGCTTGAGCTCAAGAGTTCAAGACCAGCTTAGGCAATAAAGTGAGACTCTGTCTCTATAAAAAACAAAAAAAATTAACTGGGTGTGTGGTGCCCACCTGTGATCCCAGCTACTCTGCAGGCTGAGGTGGGAGGATCGCTTGGGCCGGGAAGATGGAGGCTACAGTGAGCCATGATCTTGCAGCTGCACTCTAGCCCGGGAGACAAAGTGAGACCCTGTCTCAAAAATAAAGAAAGAAAAAGAAAAGGAAGGAAGGATTAGAGAGCTTGTAAATAAGAAATAGGTAATTGTTGACATTTTTTTTTAAAGTTTGCTGAAATGTAAACTAATGAGCTGGAAGATCAAGCTAAAATAATTTTCTAGAACATAGCACAAAGAAAACAAAAAGAAGAAAAGTATAAAAGAAAAGAGACATGGAGACTAGATTCAAAACTGCAAACATCTATCTACTAGAGCTATAGAAATCCTAACAGTGACCATCCATCCCAAAAGAGATCAATTGCCTATGAAGAACTGAGAATCAAATGGGCATCAGACTTCTCATCAGCTACAATAGACGCAAGACAGAAGAGTAGTAACGTTTTGAATGTGCTGATTGGAAATAACTTTGAACCTAGAATTCTATACCATCATTTAAATGTCAGGGTATCTCAGATACCCAAGAAAGGCCATCTTTTATTAACGCTAAATGGCCATGAGTGATCCACTTATGGCTAATAAAAAATGAATTCCAGAAAGAAGAAAAATCGGCTGTGGTGGCTCACGCTTGTAATACCCCGTAGGCAGGGAAGGGGAGGGGAGGGGAGGGGAAGGGAGGGGAGGGAAGGGCAAAATCCCAGAATACAGTGAGACAGAGAGGCACAATGCAGAGGCATCAATGAAGAGAGAGATGAGACATAAAGAAAGACAGACTGGGATAGGAAGAAAGACAGAGGGAGAGAGAAAGCGCGTGCGAGAGAGGCTGGTTGGGGGAGGGGGAAGAAAAAAGGACAGGAAGAAGGAGAAAGTCATAATGAGAAAGAGGAAACAGATGGCAACAAAAGTGACAGAGACAGAGGAAGAGGAGACTGAGAAAGAAATCATGAGGCTGAGGCAGATGGATCACTTGAGGATAGGAATTCAAGATCAGCCTGGTGAAAATGGCAAAGCTTTGTCTCAACCAAAAATACAAAAAGATTAGCTGGGCTTGGTGGTGCATGACTATAATCCTAGCTACTCAGGAGGCTGAGGCATGAGAATCATGTGAACCCAGGAGGCTGAGGTTGCAGTGAGCTGAGATCGCACCACTGCACTCCAGCCTGGGTGACAGAGCAAGACTCTGTCTCAAGAAAAAAAAAAAAAGAAGAGAGAGAGTGAGAGAGAAGAAAAATAAAGCCAGAAGGAAATAGTGGACTATATGAAACAATGGCAAGGCAATGGAATGATAACACATGCCAGTAATTTTTATTGACTAGTGATAGTCAAGAATTATTTAAGTAACAAGCTGAAACCACAATTCAAACCTGAAAGTCTGTGTATGTGTGTGTGTGTGTGTGTGTACGCATGTGTGTGTGCATGTGTGTAGAAGAGAGAATCAGAAAAATATCCAATTTCTTGGATTTTTTGGGGGTGAATTACATAGACTCTGATTAACTTTAGACATTGTTTGAAAAACGCATGTTTAATAATGGGCATCAAAAATATAAGGGCAGGCTGGGCATAGTGGCTCATGCTTGTAATCCCAGCACTTTGGGAGGCCGAGGTGGGCGGATCATGAGGTCAGGAGATCAAGATCATCCTGACCAACATGGCGAAACCCTGTCTCTGCTAAAAAAATACAAAAATTAGCCGGGCGTGGTGGTGCGCGCCTATAGTCCCAGCTACTCAGGAGGCTGAGGCAGGAGAATTGCTTGAACCCAGGAGGCAAAGGCTGCAGTGAGCCGAGATCGCACTACTGCACTCCAGCCTGGGTGACAGAGCAAGAGTCTGTCTCAAAAATAAAGAAATAAATAAAAATAAAAAATATAAGGGCAAAAAAGTTGAAAGATAACCAATAAAATAACAGATATAGAATGTATGACTTTCAAACTTGAAGAGGCAGAAAAGCTAGGGGAGATGAGGCCAGACAGATGGGCAGGAGGGAAACCAAGATGTGGGAGGAGGGTGATTGAGAAAGGGTGAGGAGAAAGATCACATACAATATATGTGATATGTACAGATATATAAACATACACACACACGTGTGTGTACATATATATGTATGTATTAGGAAGATAGTGGCAGAGAGAGACAGAAATACAGAAAGAGAAGCATTGAAGTGGAGACAGAGAAACTGAGGGAAGGATAGAATGTGAAATGAAGGCTAGGTGCTGTGGCTCATACCTCTAATCCCAACACTTTGGGAGGCTGAGGCAGGCAGATCACTTGAGCCCAGGAGTTCGAGACCAGCCTGGACAACACAGTGAATCTCTGTCTCCACCAAAAATACAAAAATAAAATAAAATAAAATCAGCCAAGCATGGTGGTTCGCCTGTTGTCCCAGCTACTTAGGAGGCTGAGGTGGGAGGATCGCTGAACCTGGGAGGCAGAAGTTGCAGTGAGCTGAGATCGTGCCACTACACTCCAGCCTGGGTGACAGAGTCTTGTCTGTCACCATTTTTTTGAGACCCCATCTCAAAAAAAAAAAAAAAAAAGAATGTAAAATGAAGAGAGAGAAAACAGAATACAGTGAGACAGAGACGGACGAAGGGAGAGACATAAATGCAGAGACATCAATGGAGAGAGAGTTGAGACATAAAGAAAGACTGAGATAGGAAGAAAGAGGGAGAGAAAGAGGAGACAGAGTGAGTGTGGCTGGTGGGTGGGGGTGGCGAAGAAAGAAGGACAGGAAGAAGGAGAAAGTCATAATGAGAAAGAGGAAACAGATGGCAACAGAAAGTGACAGAGACAGAGGAAGAGGAGACTGAGAGAGAAATCATGAGGACTAAGGAGAGGCAGAGGGAAGAGGAGGCAGAGGCTGGGCAGCGTTCCGGACTGCCAGCTCCCTTGTCTGCAGGGAGGCTGACACTGGGGAGTGGCTGACTCCCCCCACCACTGGGGACCACCCTCCCACTGCCACTGCAGCCAAAAAGTCCCCTTCCCCCATCCCCTGGCATCAACCAGAAATCAAACACAGGAGGGAGGAATTTGGGTACAAGTATTCCTCATTCAGAACAGAACCATTAATGTATTCTAAAAAGCTTTTTAGCTGTGGCCTGCTCTGCATGTTATTAATTTCTTTATTACAGATCTTGTTATTTTCAGAGGTCCCCGGGGACCCATTAACAATGGGTTTTTATGGGAAAGAAGTCGGTTAAAGTGGTGGGAATAACTGCTCCTCAGCCCTGAGTCAGTAATCGGAGTTGCACCGAGGATAATGTAGGCTGTTTTAATTTCCAAAATAGCAACAGTTCAGACATTTAATTGCAGTTTTATGCCCTTTTTTCATGCTGCCGAGTGTAAAATATGTGACCAGTAATATATAATGGCTAACCACTGAGCCACAGACTGCCCCAGCCTCCTTATCTCTCCTGGAGAGGGGAACGGCGAGGGAGGAAGGAAGGAAGGAAGGAAAGAAAGGCAAGTGGAAGGAAGGGAGGGAGAGAGGGAAAAAAGAAGACCTTGAGCATATTTCACTGATCTCAAACCACCGTGTTGATTCAGTTCTTTCCAGCATCCTCCTCTCTTGCACGTTCTCCCAGGCCCTTGCTCCATCTCTGTATTAATTTTTTTTTTGGAGATGGAATCTCACTCTGTCACCCAGGCTGGAGTGCAGTGGCGCAATCTTGGCTCACTGCCACCTCCGCTTCTGGGGTTCAAGCGATTCTCCGCCTCAGCCTCCTGAGTAGCTGAGATTACAGGCACCGGCTACCATGCCTGGCTAATTTTTGTGTTTTTAGTGGAGACGGGGTTTCACCATATTGGCCGGGCTGGTCTCGAACTCCCGATCTCAGGTGATCCGCCCGCCTTGGCCTCCCTAAGTGTTGGGATTACAGGCATGACCCACTGTGCCTGGCCTGTATTGCATATTTTAGAAACTTTATATTTTTTCCTGTCGCCTCCACAAACAGGCTGCAGAAAGCACCCTGCCAGGTGACCTGTGTGATAGGGTAGGCTCCTGTCCTCCCCTGACTGTGACCTGGTAACATTCAAATCCACCAATGAAATTCCCTTGCACCTTTTCTTGTGCACTTCACCCTGACCCTTGATAAGGGCACTCAACCACGAGTCCTCCTGCAGTGATTCTGTCTCTCCAGGAGCTGTGAGAATAAGAAACTTTCTTTCCTTGAGCCTCTCTTATGTCTCCCGCTGTGGCCCCACCTAACTGACCATCACCTAAAAGAAGACAGAATAGTCTCCTAGCATGGCAACAGATGTTTAGGAAATCTTTTTTGCTTGTACACGTAAGCTTCTCAGGTGACAGTGCAAGGGGCAGTGGTGGTCCCAATGATGAACATGCCACAGGGGACTGTTGGGCCTGTTGACGGGAAAAGCTACTCGTCTCCTAGCACCAACAAGCTCAATGTCTTTTCTGATCCCTTCTTTTGTGCGCCAGGCTCCAGCTACTTAAAACCTTCTAATTTGTAAGTTCCACAAAAGCTGATATTGTGTTGGTTCTGAAGCCTAATGCAGTGCCTGGCCCATGGGGAAAATCTTTTGAAGATTTCCATTTTCCCTTTGGTTCCTGCCATCCTGGCACCCAGAGTGGAGCGTGAGCTCCTTCTATGCACACAGCCTCTACTTTCTCTTGTGATCAGGGTACCTCACATTAGTAAGCAGCTCTGCAGAGTTCTCAATTCCGGCTGGGTGTGTGGCTCATGCCTGTAATCCCAATGCTTTGGGATGCTGAGGCAGGAGGATCGCTTGTGGCCAGGAGTTCGAGACTAATCTGGGCAACATAATGAGACTCCATCTCTACAAAAAATAATTTTAAAAACCTGGGCATGTGTGGTAGCACACACCTGTAATCCTAGCCATGTGGAAAGCTGAGGCAGCAGGATCTCTTAAGCCTAGGAGTTCGAGGCTGCAGTGAGCTATGAGCATGCCACTGTACTCTAGCCTGGGCAACAGAGTGAAACTCTGTCTCTAAAACCAACCAACCAACAAACAAAAATTCTAGCAAAGTCCTCGATTTTACACAATACCAGTTGAGGGCTGTAAACCAACTCCCTTTCCTTGATTCTCAGGGGAGGGCCACAGGCCATAATGTGACATATGTCCCTTGGGCATAGCTGATTAAACAAGTAGTGGACACAGGACCCAAGCTGAGACCATCAGATTCTCTCTCCATGCCATTTGGAGAATGCTTTGACAGAGCAATCTAGTCTCAATCGGCATCTGAAATAATAACTTGCAAGTTTATGAGCTCTAAAGCCATTATATTCCCTGTACTGCAATGTTCTAGTGCCAGCTTGGTTAAGCTATGAACTACCGCTCCCAGAATCTCCTTCCAGGGGACACTTGACCAAGACAGGAGGTGGCTGGAAGAAGTGCAGGAGTTGCCATGGTTCCCTGATTGTCACTGTGGTCGAGTATGGTAACAGACAGATGCTGAGGTGCAGGGTGGGTCCCAACCTGTCTTCCTTGTTCTCAGTTCCACAACCGGCTCTTCTTGTTCACCAGGAGCAGCTCCATGTCCCCTACAAGATGCTTAACTGTGGAGTCACAGAGGAAGAGCTACCAAGAGGCAACAGCATCCCATGGACCTCCCTACAATGACCCCTTTGCAATCCCATTTTTAGTGGCTCGATTTGTTTGGTTTCGATTCCAACCGAGCCTCCGATGCATCAGGAGGAGGATGACTTAGTGACTTTGCCTGTGATCCTCCAATTCCCCCCATGACCTTCACTTCCCTAGCTCTACCCACATTGTTCAGGCCTAATCTCTGTAATAAATCTGTATCCTGTAACACTCACAGTGGCTTTGCTTCCCTAACCAAACCCTGACTGATGCAGTTATTGATACTAATGATGCTTTCCAGGGAAGAGAATGTTAAGGATGGGAATGTGGTTTGGTTCTCCCATCCGAGTAGATATAGAGGCATTAAGGATACTGCTTTTAGGAGTAAAGGGGATGCCGGTGGTTGATGGCACGTGCTGGAGAAGAGCTATTAAATTATCATCTTTAGACTCTTGGCATCAAGGCCTACAGAAGGCATGACTTTTCTTGACCAAGTAACTACTGCCATAGAACATTTTGGTGGAAATAAATGGTACAAGGATTCAGGGGTTGGTTGGTTGCTTCTTTACTTTTTTTTTTTTTTAAAGATGGAGTCTCACTCTGTCACCAGACTGGAGTGCAGTGGCGGAATCTTGGCTCACTGCAACCTCTGCCTCCTGGGTTCAAGTGGTTCTTCTGCCTCAGCCTCCTGAGTAGCTGGGACTACAGGCGCATGTCACCATGCCTGGCTAATTTTTTGTATTTTTAGTACAGACGGGGTTTCATCGTGTTAGCCAGGATGGTCTCAATCTCCTGACCTCATGATCCGCCCGCCTCAGCCTCCCCAAGTGTTGGGATTACAGGTGTGAGCCACCACGCCCGGACAATTTTTTGTATTTTTTAGTAGAGACAGGGTTTCACCGTGTTAGCCAGGATGGTCTCAGTCTCCTGACCTCATGATCTGCCTGCCTCAGCCTCCCAAAGTGCTAGGATTACAGGTGTGAGCCACTGCGCCCAACAGGTTGGTTGCTTCTAAGTGCACTGGAAAATTTGGAGAGGATGATGATGAGTGCAGGACTTTAAATTCTCAGATGAAGAAATGGGTAAACAATCAAGAAGCACTTCCATATGCTCTGAAAAGAAAAAACTTCACCTCCTGGAGCTGCAGGTTGATTTCTAAAAACCAAACTCTAAATCTAATCCCTTGGGTAGCTAAATTATGATGCTGATTGAATTTACAACCTTGGAAGGTCTCATGTTAAAGTTAGAGGTCATTGATTGAGAAGGAGTGGGACCCTAAAATTTGGAGTGGGGGTATCTGGGAAGATTCCGATGAAGATAAGAACCTTGAACTCCCAATCCCACCAAGCTTTTTGTCAGTGGAAGCATCCCTTCCTCTCCCTCTGGGGAGTTTACTCACCACTTGCCTGGAAAATCTCTAATGGCCTCTCCTGAGGTGATATTCCTACAGGGGAATGGCCATCTTCCTCAGGACCTACACCACCCCCACCCCGCATACACACCCATTGCTTCTAGAACTATAACCAGACTCAAACCCAGTAAGCTTCATGGGATCAAGCACAAAGTGTGACTCATGAGGAGGCATTGTACATACAGAAAAGAATTATAAGGTGTCTCCAACTTGTATCAACATGGGAATGGACCCTAACTGTCAGATTTTGGTGGGAGCAATATAATGTAGAATCTGGCTGAATTTATTGATATTAATAGGTAAGTGAAGACTCTAGATTTATTGCAGTAGTTTGAGTGGCTGAGAGGGACTCTAACAGTTGCTCCGTTGGTTGATTGAAACCTGGATCCATATATGGACCATACTGAATAAGGATGAAATTTCATGACTTTCTTGATATACTATAGACGGAGATATCCAAAACTTAGGGACAGAAAGCTGGAAGAGATTCATTGTTTATGTCCTACTCACCCACCCCCTCTCCATGTCTCCCAGGAGGGCCCTAAGTTTATGCTTATCAAGGCTTTAGGAGATAATTAGCTCACCAATAATTAGTTTTAGGAAATAATATGCTCACCAAGGGTTTTAGAAATAAGGCCGGGTGCAGTGGCTCACTCCTGTAATCCCAGCACTTTGGGAGGCTGAGGCAGGAGAACTGCTTAAAGCCAGGAGTTTGAGACCAGCCTGGGTAACATAGTGAAACCCCATCTCTACAAAAAAACTGAACTGGCCATGGTGGCACATGCCTGTAGTCCCAGCTACTCAGGAGGCTGAGGCAGGAAGATCACTTGAGCCCAGGAATTCAAGGCTGCAATGAGCTTGATGATCAAGTGACAAAATGAGATCTTGTCTCAGAAAAAGAAGAAAAGAAAAGAAAAGAAAAAGCAATGCATTGGTATTGATGAAGGGAGTCTCAGCAACTCCGAAGAGTCCCATAGTATCAGTTCTCTTCAAGAGAGGAATTACAGTGGGAAATGATGCCATGAGCCATGAAACTGAGCTCTCTGGATTCAATAGGGATGATGGGATCCTGGGGTAGCAGGGACCAAGTGGTAGCACTTAACAGAGACAAGGTGGGCATGATTCCCATAATGGACAGCGAAGCCAAAGCAGTATCCAGAATGGTCTGATCTGAAGAATGCTTTAGCATTGGTAGTTGATTATTAAAGTCTTGCTTGATTCGGATAAGCAAAAAAGCTCTAGGTCCAGTGAATGGAAGTCTGACTTGAATCAACACAAGGAATGCTACTGCCAAAAGTGTGCACTGCAACTTTTTCAATACATCATGACTCTTCCTCCTAGACCTTCCTAAGCTACCAGCAGCCATTTCCCAGGATGACTATACACTGGGGAGGGGGAAAGAACCAGAATTTTGGAGATCACTGCATGCTTGGGGACCCAAAATGACATCGTGGTTCACCAATGAAAGAAGGGGATTATGGCAATTGGGTGACTAATGGAGTTTTGGCTTGTGTCAACTTCACTGTGTGCCTGGTGGGCCCACAGACAACTCTGCCGTATCCACACCATCATATCCCATCAATCCCTCAGCAAGCAGAGGTGTTTTGTACTAGGTTGGGCTTGAGTGGATCTGAAAGGCACAAGTGACTCCTGGTTCTCCTACTTTGCCTCCTCCTTTTCAGTCTGTACCTGTGCAGTCATGAGAAGTTTCCCAGTGACCAGTTAACTGAGAAAGAAAACATTTGGACTGGAAAATAAATGGTTCTGCAAGACAGGCTGGAACAATCTATAGGTGGACCACTGTAGTACTAAACCACACTCTGGGGTGGTTCCGAAGAGCAGTGGGAATGGGAAGTCCTCCCAGTGGAGAGTTGAGCAGTGCACCTTATTGTTCATTTCTCCTGGAAGGAGAGCTGGCAAGAGGTATAGATCTGAGGTGATTAATAAAAATTAATTGCAGGAGATGGCTAATGGTTTGGTTGGATGGTCAGGGACTTGGAAAGAACAAGATTGCATAGTTGGTGACAAAGAGATCTGGGGAAGAGATATGTGAATGAACCTAAATTGTCACATGGTGTGAAGATATTTGTGTCCATGCAAATGCTCGTCAAAGAGCAACTTTAGCAGAGAAGAATCATAATACTCAGGTGGACAGGATGCCCCATTCTCTGGATTCCAGTCAACCTCTCTCCCCAGTTACTCCTGTATGGGATGATGAACTAAGTGGCTATGTAGGCAGGGATGGAGGTTATTCATAGGCTTAGCAACATGGACTTACACTTAACAAAGCTGATCTGGCCACAGTCACTGCTGTGTGCCTGACCTGCCAGCAGCAGAGACCAACACTGAGCCCCCAAGATGGCCCCATTCCTCAGAGGCTCCAGTGGGGGGCCCATTCCCCCCATGTGGTGGCAGTTTGGTTATACAGGCTACTTACAGCATAAAGGGGGCAGCACTTTGTTGCCACTGGAATAGATACTCTGGATGTGGATTTGCTTTCTCTGCTCACAATGCTTCTTTCAAAATCACCATCCACACCTGTCTTAGTCCGTTTTGTGTTGTTATAAAGGGATACTCCCGGAGACTGGGTAATTTACAAAGAAAAGAGGTTTATTTGGCTCATGGTTTTGCAGCCTGTACAGGAAGCATGGTGCCAGCATCTTGTTGTGGTGAGGGCTTCAGGTTGCTTCTACTCATGGCAGAAGGTGAAAGGGAGCCATATGTGCAGAGAGCATGGCGAGAGAGGAAGCAAGAGGGCAGGAGAAGTTCCAGGCTCTTTTTAATGATCAGCTCTCATGGGACCAAATAGAGTGAGAACTCACTCGCTCCTAACCCCTGAGGAGGGCATTAATCTATTCATGGGGGATCTACCCCCATGACCTGAACATCTCCTATTTAGGCCCAATCTCCAACTTTGGGGATCAAATATCAACATGAGATTTTGTGGGGACAAACAAAGCATATTCAAACTATGGCAACAGCCTTATCCACAGTCATCGCATTCTGCACAACATCACTTCTAACCAGAGAAAACTCACTTTACAGAAAATGAGTAAGTGTGGCAGAAGGCTCCTGGCTCATGGAATTCACTGGGCTTATCAGGTTCCCCATTACTCTGTGGCAGCTGGCCTGATAAAATAATGACATGGCTTTTGGAAGACTCAATTATGACACCAGGTGTGTGGCAACATCTTGTAGGGCTAAGGCAGAACCTTCTAAGATATGGTATATGCTCTGAATCATTGTGACCAATATGTGGTCTCATTTGTTCCATAAACAGGATTCAAGGTCCTGGAATCAAAGGGTGGAAATGAGAGTGGCCCTTTTCACTTTTACTCCAATGGTTCACTAGCAAAATTTTTGTTTCATGTCCCTGACACTTGGGGCTCTGCTGGTTTAGAGGTGTTGGTTCCAAAGGGAGGAATGCTCTCATTCGTGGGTATAGATGTGGTTTCATTAAATTGGAAGCTGAGTTTGCCAGCTGGCCACACTGGGCTCTTCACACCAATGAACTAATAGGCAATGAAGGATTTATTGTACTGTTTAGGTTGATTGATCCAGAAATCAGTCCAGAATTTGGATTTCTATAATAAGGGCAGGGAGGAGTTTGTGTGGAATACAAGAAGTCTTTTGTGGGTAACTTTTAGTAGTCTCATGTCCTGGAATAAAGGTTAATGAAGAACCACCACATCCCAATAGAGACAAGGCTGCTAGTGGCACAGACCTTCAGAATGAAAGCTAGGGTCAATCCAGAAGGCAAGGAACCACAACGAGTTGAGTGCTTGATGAGTGCAAAGGGACTATGAACTAGGTGGTTGAAAGAAGGAAATTTAAAACACTGACGATAACTATGTCACCCATTGCAGAAATAAGGACTGCAGTATTTTTTAGTACTCCTTCCATACTTTGATATGAATATATGAATATACATATATATTGACCAATTCTTCAGAAGAATTGTACTCTGAATGTGAAAAGTTTTAGGAATTCATTGATTTCACTTATATTTTCCTCTTATATATTCATGAGAGTAATATATGATAAACATCTATGACAAAATAAATCTAATAGATGTTTTTAAAAAGCTTTCAGTAAGTGTAAAATTGAAGCACTGCATCAGAGTTTTGTTAATCTCATTCTTTCTTGTAAAATGCTTTTCTGTATTTATTGACCATGTGGCTTTTGTCCTTTATTCTATTAATATAGTGCGTTACATTGTTTGACTTTCTTATGTTGAACCAACCTTGTATTCCTAAGATAAATTCCATTTGGTCATAGTGTATACTCCTTTTTAAATGTTAGTGGATTTGGTTTGCTAATATTTTGTTAAGAACTTTTACATGTATATTCATAAGGGATATTGTTCTGTATTTTTCTTTTTGTGTGATTTCTTTGTCGGTGTCTCAGTATCAAGATAATACTGGCTTCATAGAATGCATGGTAACATTTCATCTTCTGTTTTTTGGAAGAGTTTGTAAAGGATTTGTATAAATTCTTCTTCAAACATTTGGTAGAGTTCACCAGTGAAGCCATCTGGTCCTAGGCTTTTCTTTGTGGAAAGTTTTTTATTTCTAATTTGATCCCTTTGTTTGTTATAGGTCTATTCAGACATTCCATTTTTAAATTTAGTTTCAGTAGTTTGTGTCTTTCTAAAAATTTATCCTTTTCATGTAGGTTATTTAATTTGTTCATAGTATTCCCTTATATTCCTTTTTGTTTCTATAAGATCAGTAACATTTTCTTCTTTTTTATTTCTGATTTTAATAATTGAATCCTTTCTTTTCTTGGTCAGTCTGCTAAAGAATTGTCAATTTTGTTGATCCTTTAAAGAAACAACTTTTGGTTTTGTTGATTTTTCTTTGTTGTTTTTCTATTCTTTATCACATTTATTTCCAACTTAATTTTTATTATTTTTTTCTTTCTGCTTTTTTGGAGGTTTAGTTTAATTTTTTTTCTAGTTTCCTAAGGTGGAAGTTTAGGTTCTTGATTTGAGGTCATTCTTTTTAAAAACATGCATTGACAGCTATAAATTTCCCTCTTAGCACTGTTTTAGCTAAGTTTGGTATGCTGTGTTTTTATTTTACTTCATCTCAAAGTATTTTCTAATTTTTCTTTTGAGTTCTTCTTTGACCCATTGGTTATTTAGGACTGTGTTGTTGAAATTTCATAGCGAATTTTCCTAATTTCCTCCTGTTATTGATTCATAATTTCATTTCATTGTGGTTGGAGAAGAGATACCTTGTATGATTCATATATATATATATATATATATATACATATATATATATATATATATATATATACACACACACACTTTTTTTGTCTTATAGTCTATTTTGTCTAATATTAGGATAGCTACTCTAGTTCTCTTCTGGTTAATGTTGGTATGGTATGTATTTTTCCATCCTTTATTATATTATCAATCTATTTGTATGTTTAAATCTAAAGTTTGTCTCTTATAGACGGTATATAGTTGGATCTTTTTTTTAAATAAATGGTTCTCCCAATCTCTGTCTTTTAATTGGAGTGCTCAATCCACTTACATTTAATGTAATTACCGATAAGGTGGTATTTAAATCTATCATTTTGCTATTTGTTTTATATATGTCCTATGACTTTTTTGTTCTTCTATTCCTCTATTACTTCCTTATTTTGTGTTAAATATATTTTTTCCAGTGTATCGTTTCATTGTCTTGTCATTTTTTAAACTTACTTGATTTATTTTCTTAGTGATTGCTCTAGGGATTGTAATTAACATTTTAACTTATAACAATCTAGTTTATATTAGTACGACTACAATGGCATACAAGAACTTTATTCCTGCATATCTCCATCCCCTTCCCCTTCTTTGTGCTATTATTTTCATACAAATTACATCTCTATACATTGAGTGTCCATCAGCACAGATTTAAAATTATTGCTTTATTCAGTTGTCTTTTAAATCATATAGGAGAAAAACGTTACAAACAAAAAAATACATTTATACTATTTTTTAATATTTACCTATGTTGTTACCTTTACCAGTGATTTTTATTTCTTCATGCAGATTGAAATTGTTGCTTAGTGTCCTTGCATTTCTGTCCTTTCATTGGAGGGACTTCCTTTAGTTATTTCTTGTACGGTTATAGCAGACCTACTAGTAATAAATTGTCTAGGATTTTTTTCTTTATGAGGGAATGTTTTAATTTCTTCTTCATTTTTGAAGGATAACTTTGCTAGATATAAAATTCTTGGTTGACTTGGATTTTTTCTTTCAGTACTTTGATATGTCATCTCACTGTCTTCTGGCCTCCATGGTTTCTGATGAGAAATCAGCTGTTAATCTTATTATGGATCCTTGTCTGTAGTGAGTCACTTTACTTTTTGTTTTGTTTTGTTTTGAGACAGAGTCTTGCTCTGTCTTCCAGGCTGGAGTGCAGTGGCATGATCATAGCTCACTATAATCTTGACCTCCTGAGCTCAAGCAATCCTCCTGCTTTGGCCTCCCAAGCAGCTAGAACTACAGGCATGGGACACCATGCCCAGCTAATTTTAAATTTTTTTGTAGAGACAGGGTCTTGCCATGTGTCTCAGGCTGGTCTCAAAATCCTGGCCTCAAGTGATTCTCCCACCTTGGCCTCTCAAAGTGCTAGGATTACAGACATAAGCTACCATGCTGAGTCTACTTCTGATGTTTTTAAGATTCTTTCTTTGTCATAGTCTTTTAATAGTTTATCATGTGTCTAGGCGTGGATCTCTTTGATTTTTATCTGACTTGGAGTTCATTGAGCTTTCTGGATTTGTAGATTAACATTTTTAATCAAACTCAGAAATTTTGGAGCCATTATTTCTTCAGATATTATTTCTGCCCCTTTCTTACTCCTCTCCTAGAACTCCCATTTTACATATGTTGGTTTGCTTGATAATGTCCTGGAGGTCTCTGCGGCTTTGTCCATTTTTCTTCATTTATTTTCTTCACTTTATTCTGTTTCTCATACTAGAGAATCTCAGTTGACCTATCTTCAAGTGTATTGATTCTTTCTTCCACTTGTTCAAATCTGCATTAAGTCCCTCTAGTAAATTTTTTACTTCTGCTATTTTACTTTTTGACTATTCTATTTGGTTCTTTCCTATAATTTCTTTCTTTTTTTGAGAAGGAGTCTTGTTCTGTCACCCAGGCTGGAGTGCAGTGGCACGATCTTGGCTCACTGCAACCTCTGCCTCCTGGGTTCAAGTGATTCTCCTGTGTCAGCATACCGAGTAGCTGGGATTGCAGGTGTGTGCCACCATGCCCAGCTAATCTTTGTATTTTTAGCAGAGACAGGATTTCACCATGTTGGCAAGGCTGGTCTCAACCTCCTGACCTCAAGTGATACTCCTGCCTTGGCCTCCCAAAGTGCTGGGATTACAGGCATGAGTCATACTGCACAGCCCTTTCTTATAATTTCTATCTCTTTATTGATATTGATATTCTCTACTTAATAAGACATTATTTTCATACTTCACTTTAGTTTTTAGACTTGGTTTCTTTTAGTTCTTTGAACACACTTAAGATAGCTGATTTAAGTTGCTTTCCTCATAAATTCAATGTCTGGGTTTCCACAGGTACAGTTTCAATTTATTGCTTTTTTGCTGTTTGTGGGCCATATTTTCTTGCTTTTTTTTTTTTTTGGCATGTCTCAATTTTGTGTTGAAAATTGGCCATTTCAAATAATTGAATGTGGCAACTCTGGAAATCCAATTCCTCCTCTCCTTTCTGCCCCCCAAGGTTTGTATTTGTGGTAGCTTTTTGTTGCTTGTTTAGTGACTTTTCTGAACAAATTCTGCAAGGTCTATATTCTTTGTCATGTGTGGCTACTGTGACATATTCCTTGTCATGTGTTGGCTACTGAAATCTCTGATTTGTTACCTTAGTGGGCCAGGTAACAGCTGGACAGACATTTTCTTTTCTTTTCTTTTCTTTTCTTTTCTTTTTGAGATGGAATCTCGCTCTGTCGCCAGACTGGAGTGCAGTGCACGATCTTGGTTCACTGTAACCTCTGCCTCCCGGGTTCAAGTGAACCTCCTGCCTCAGCCTCCCAAGTACCTGGGACTACAGGCACGCGCCAGCATGCCCAGGTAACTTTTGTATTTTTAGTAGAGATGGGGTTTCGCCATGTTGGCCAGGATGGTCTCGATCTCCTGATTGCGTGATCCACCTGCCTCGGCCTCCCAAATTGCTGGGATTACAGACGTAAGCACCGTGCCCAGTCGACATTTTCTTAAATGCCTAGAACCAATAAGTCCCTAAGTCTCTTTGAGGGGCTATATTTGTGTATATGTGTGTTTTGGGGCATGCCTTCAACATCCAGTCAGGCAGCGTACAACTCCGCTTTTGCCTTCACTTCCTGCTGACGCAGAGCTTCAAGGTTAGCCAGAGGTGAGAGTTTAAGGCCTTCCCACATCTTTCCAGAGCATGTGCACAGCCCTACAGATGTGTCTGGCTTTCTTGATTCCCTGGGATACGTCGGAGCTTTTAAAAGGCCCCCTATTGTCATCTCACGCCCCAGATTTTCCTTTTAAGCTTTTTGCTCAGCTTCTTGCTTGCCCCAACAGCTACGGCAGCCTCTGGCACCCAATGTTCAACAATTGCCTCTAATGTTTTGGGCATATGGGCCTGAAGAAAAGTTGTTTTCACTGGGTGAGCTCTGAATCAGGTGGAATAAAGACAGCTTTCTAAGTGGGATCTTCCGTGGAACCACCAGACAAGTCAAATACTGACAATTCTCTGGGAATGGGACTTTGAACTGCTCCAACCCCTTCGGTCCCTTCCACTGGTTACCAGACTGTTGATTTTTACTGTAATTGCAGTGAAAAGGCTACTGGAGAGCTGGGGACGGGGGATGTGGAAATAGGAAAAGTTAAAATGCCACAGAGCTTGCTGTTTTTACTGAGATATAGCTGTTGGCTTTTTTTTTTTTTTTTTTTTTTTTTTTTTTTAGTACTCCCAGATTGCTGCAAGCCTTTGATTAATTTCCGGAGTTCTGTAAGAGTTGTTTCTGACAATTGTTGCCAGTGTTTTCATTGCTTTTATGAAGGAAGGAACTTTCAGAAGACCTTACTCTGCCATTTTTGCTGATGTCACCCCCTTTTTTTCTTAGGGGACCATAAAATAATAGCGTTTCTTACAATTGCTGAAATCTCAGGTTTGATAAAATACGGTAAGCCTTAGCTCTAAAACATAACTAACTAATGGGAGAGTAAAGAATAAGGTGAAACTACCCCGTCTCTACTAAAAATACAAAAAATACAAATACAGGTGGCGGGCGCCTGTAGTCCCAGCTACTCGGGAGGCTGAGGCCGGAGAATGGCGTGAACCTGGGAGGCGGAGCTTGCAGTGAGCCGAGATCGCGCCACTGCACTCCAGCCTGGGCGGCAGAGCAGGAGACCGTCTTAAAAAAAAAACAAAAAAACGTAAGGTGAAACTAAAAGCTAGGCAATAAAGATATGGATGATGGGGCTGACACATGAATTAAATATCAGTTCTCATATTATTAAGGAGATACTGATTATTATCTCTTGGCTTCGTTCTATCAATTATGTTAAAATTTAAGGATAACTATTCAAATAATATAAATAGAATATATAATTTATGAACCAATAGGGGAAAAGGGGAAATGATTAATTCAATGGACGACAGAAAAAAAGAAATAAGGGACAAAGAAAAGTATAGTGAAGAGACCCATGCAGACATAAATAAGATGTTATAAATAGTTCTAAATAAAATGTCACAGTAAATATGAACAAATTAAATCCACCCACTGAAAGACAGAGATTTTCGGATTGGTTTAAAAATTCAGCTATAAGGCCAGGCAAGGTGGTTCACGCCTGTAATCCCAGCACTTTGGGAGGCTGAGGCGGGTGGATCACCTGAGGTAGGGAGTTCGAGACTAGCCTGACCAATATGGATAAACCCTGTCTCTACTGAGAATACGAAAATTAGCCGGGCGTGGTGGCACATGCCTATAATCCTAGCTACTTGGGAGGCTGAGGCAGTAGAATCCCTTGAACCCGGGAGGTGGAGGTTGCGGTGAGACGAGATCATGCCATTGCACTCCAGCCTGGGCAACAAGAGTGAAACTCCATCTCAAAAAAAAAAAAAAATCAGCTATAAGTGCTCTTTACAAGAGACACATCTACAAGAATGACATGGGTTGTAATAAATGTATGGAAAGAGACAAACAGTAAGTAGATAGTAACAAAAAGAGAGCAGGTATAGCAATGTTAATTGTAAACAAACTTCAGGGAAAAGGGAACTATTAAGAAAAGTGGGTGGTAATTAATTATAAAAAGAACTTCCCAGGAACATATAAAACTGAACTTGTTGTAGCCTGAAAGGCATTAAGCAGAAATGGACAGATCCTCAATTATACTAGGAGATTTTAACACTTTTTAGCAGAGGGAATATGAAAAAAAAACTAGTAAAGATAAAGAAGATATAGAACACTAAATAACAGAATTAAGCTAATGTAAAGAATCCATGTAGAATTCTGAATGTAGCAAATGGAGCATATACATTCTCCTCCTGAATGTGTGGAATGTTTGTAAAAATCAACCCATTCTAACACATAAACGAAGAAACAAAAGTAACCAAGAAGCACTATCGTGCAGCCCTCATGAAATTAGCATTTAATTGTAAAAGGCTAACTAGAGTGCAGGACTATCTGTAAATAGTTAGTGGGTTAAAAAAGGAACTGTAACATCCCTTACAAAAATTTACAAATCTTTACCACTGAAGAACAATAAAAGCTCTACATAAGAAAATGTGTGGGTTTCTGCCAAAGTGGAACTTAGAACATTATAGCCTTAAATACCTGTATTAGAAAAAACAAGATGACCAACAACAATTGAACCAAATTTTCAACTCAAGAAGACAGAGAAATGAACTAGAAAACAAAGAAGCAATAGAAATTACCACCAAAGTAAAAAATTAGTTCTCTGAGAAGACTAGTAAAATGGACAACCTCTAGCAAATTTAATGAAGAAAAAAAGAATTTTTTTCAAAGGGATGTATACAGTAAAGATGAAAAGGATCATAAGGGACTACTTTGTTGTTGTTTTTGTGGGGTGTGTGTGTGTGTGTGTGTGTGTGTGTGTGTTTTTGAGATGGGGTCTTGCTCTGTTGCCCAGGCTGGAGTGTAATGGCACAATCTTGGCTCACTGCAACCTCCACTTCCCGGGTTCAAGTGATTCTCCTGCCTCAGCCTCCCTAGTAGCTGGGATTACAGGTCTGAGCCACCACGCTGGGCCCATAAGGGACTACTTTGACTCTTTGCCAAGTCATTTAAAAACGTGTATGAAGGCCAGACGTGGTGGCTCGCGCCCGTAATCCCAGCACTTTGGGAGGCCTAGGCGGGTGGATCACCTGAGATCAGGACTTCGAGACTAGCCTGGCCAACATGGTGAAACCCCATCTCTACTAAAAAAACAAAAATTAGCTGGGCGTAGTGGTGCATGCCTGTAATCCCAGCTACTTGGGAGGCTGAGACAGAATAATCACTTGAACCCGGGAGGTAGATGTTGCTGTGAGCCGAGATTGCACCACTGCACTCCAGCCTGGGTGACAGAGCGAGACTCTGTCAAAAAAAAAAAAAAAAAAGAAAAAAAAATTGTATGAAATAAAACCTTTTTTAGAAATCTAAAAAATGATCAATATCAGCTTTGGGAAAAAATAGAAAATTCAAGTCGATCTATAATCACTTATATAACCACTTAAGAATTTGACCTACAATTAAAACCTCATGGCCGGCCAGGCCCTGTGGCTCAGGCCTGTAAAGACAGCACTTTGGGAGGCCAAGGTGGATGGATTGCTTGAAGTCAGGAGTTCCAGACCAGCCTGGCCAACATGGTGAAACCCCGTCTGTACTAAAAATACAAAAATTAGCTAAGCGTGGTGGTACACACCTGTAGTCCCAGCTACTCAGGAGGCTGAGGTGGGAGGATTGCTTGAACTCAGGAGGTTGAGGTTGCAGTGAGCTGTGATTACACCACTGTACTCCAGCCTGGGTGACAGAGTGAGACTGTGTTTCAAAAAAAAAAAAAGACAAAAACGAAAAAGCTTCAGAACTTGGATTTATTTTTAGGTGAGCTTTACCAAAATTTCAAGAAACAGGTAAATCCTGTCTTATTTAAACTGCTTAGAGAATGAACCCTTACCTCCATCTATACTGTGGCTAAGATAACCTCGATATCTGATTTAGAAAAAACAGTAAGAGAAATAAAAATGACAGGCCAATCTTACTTATGAACATAGATGTAAAAATCCTTTAAAAATGTTGGCAAAATGAACCTTAAATCTTACACTAAAAATACACCAAGACGAAATTGAATTTATCCCAGGAACACAAGAATAGCTAACTACTAGTAAATCTATTGGTTCAATTCACTACATTAATAGATTGAAAATAAAAATAATTTTTAACATCAATAGATGGAGAAAAACCATTTGCAATGATAATAAAATATTTTAAATTCTTAGAAAACGACATATTTATAGAAAAACTATATTCATAGAAAAGCTGATATTAAAGGAAATGTTTTAACCAGATAAAGTGAGCCTATCACAAGCCTATTACAAAGAATATAAGTGGTGAAATCTTAGAAGCAACCCCTTTG
Organism: Homo sapiens; assembly: GCF_000001405.40. Classification (NCBI taxonomy): domain Eukaryota; kingdom Metazoa; phylum Chordata; class Mammalia; order Primates; family Hominidae; genus Homo; species Homo sapiens. The sequence continues at coordinate 126,729,357 of NC_000009.12, read as the reverse complement.
ATTTTGTACCGAAGAGGAATCAGGATTAGGGATAGGAAAGGAAATAATACATTTGATATTATTCATTTAAAAATGATCTATTGAAATAAGCACTGGGAGATACAGAAGTAAGTAAAACAGAAAAACTTTCTGCACTAAATTACATTCTAGTGCAGGAAGCAAGCAAAAATAAGCGAACAATTTATATCAGTCCTAAGAAGAAAAATAACGTAGAATAATGGAATAAAGAGCACTGTATGCATGTGTATTACTTTATATAGGAGGTCACGGAAGGCCTGACTGATTAAATGATATTTGAATAGAGACCTGAAGGTTGTGAAGAAATGAACTATACAGATATCTAGGATAAGTGAGTTCCAGGCAAAAGGAATAGCAAGTGGAAGCATCTTTGATATGATTCTCTACATTGAAAATTTACAAAATATATTAGAATTAAGAAGAGAATTTAGCAAGGTTGCTAGATACAAGATAAATGTTCAAAAATCAGTTGGGTTTCTATACAACAGCAGAAACCAATTAAGACATAAAATGTAAAAAAGAAAAATATTTAATTTATGATGGCAACAAAATCCACATAACTATAATTAAATGTAATAGAAGATACACAGACCTATATATAAAATAAATTATAAATATTAATCTAATAATATTGAATCAAACCAAATCTAATAACATTTAATAATTAATATCTAAGTAAGTGAACTGTGTTTATGAATGAAAAGACTCAGTATTATAAGAATAGTAAGTCCCCACAAATTAATATAGAAATTAAATGGAATTCCAACCAAAGACATAGCAAGTTTTTTTTTTTTTTTAAGGAAGTCCGTCAATTGATCTTAAAATTCCTGTGAGGATAAGAGCCAAGAACAGTCGAGACAATTTTAAAGAGGAGGAACAAGGGGGAGGGTAGGTACACACTTAGCCATGCTGTATTAGGGTAACACTAGCTGCTGAAACAAACAAACCTCAACATATTTAAGGCCCAAGCGTAATAAAAGTTTATTTCTAGGCCAGGCACGGTGGCTTACGCCTGTAATCCTAGCACTTTGGGAGGCCAAGGTGGGTGGATCACGAGGTCAAGATATCGAGACCATCCTGGCCAACATGGCAAAACCCCGTCTCTACTAAAAACACAAAACTTAGCTGGACATGGTGGTGCACACCTGTAGTCCCAGCTACTCGGGAGCCTGAGGCAGGAGAATCGCTTGAACCCAGGAGATGGAGGTTGCAGTGAGCTGAGATTGCACCACTGCACTCCAGCCTGGCAACAGAGCAAGACTCCATCAAAAAAAAAATAATAATAAAAAAGAAAATAATAATAATAATTTATTTCCAGCTGGTGTAAAATCCAAAATGGACATTTCTTTTCAGTGGGCAGCTTTCTTTATGTAGCAATTTGGAGACTCAGGCTTCTTCCATTCTGGGATCCCATCTTTCAAGGTCATTATGCTTGTTTGCATCAAGGTGGTGGGAGGAGAAAGAGGATGAAGGGTCATGCATGGGACATTTTATAGGCAATGCCTAGAAATGGTGTACGTTGTTTCCATTCACATCAGTGGTCAGAACTCACTTAAGTGGCCACATCTACTTACAAGAGAGGTTGTGAGATGGAGCCCAGTTGTGGTACCAAGAACAAGAGGAAATAGGTGTAGTGAAGAGCTAGCCAGTCTCTGTTGCATCTGCCCACGATCAAGATTTCTTATACGGATACAGTCATTAAAACTGTGTGGGTGGGGCAAAGGATAAACAAGTAGATCAGTAGAACAAAAAACAGAGCCCAGAAACTGACTTCCATATGTCAGAGAAAACTCTGTATATACCCGTGACAGCTTCACTAATCAGTGCAGAAGTGGGGAGCCATGTAATATATAGTGCTGGAAGAACTGGCTATCAATATGAAAGCCAATATAAAATAATATGTAATATTTGGAAGATCATATATAGAAATAAATTCTAGGTGATTGAAGGCCTAAATGCAAAAAAAAAAAAAAATCAAAGCATTTAAAATAGAAGAAATCAGCTGGGTGAGGTGGCTCACACCTGTAATCCCAGCAATTTGGGAGGCCGAGGAGGGTGGATCACCTGAGGTCAGGAGTTTGGGACCAGCCTGACCAACATGATGAAACTCCATCTTGACTAAAAATACAAAAATTAGCTGGGTGTGGTAGCGTGCACCTGTAGTCCCAGCTACTCGGGAGGCTGGGGCAGGAGAATCACTGGAAACTGGGAGGCAGAGTTTGCAGTGGGCTGAGATTGTACCACTGCACTCCAGCCTGGGTGACAGAGCGAGACTCCATCTCAAAAAATAAATAAATACAAATAAAAAATAAAATAGAAGAAATTATTAAAGAATATCTCATGGTCTTGTTTAGGGAAAAATTTCTTAAGTATTGGAAAGAAAGAAGGAAGGAAGGAAAGAGGAAAGGACAGAAGGAAAGAAGGAAGGAAGGAATAAAAGGAGAAAGGAAGGAGAGAAGGGAAGAAAGGAAGGAAAGAGGGAGGGAGGGAGGGAGGGAGGAAGAAAAGCACTAACTCTGAAGACTGATAAATCTGACTCTTCATTCTGTTCTATTGTTTTATTTGCCTATCCTTGTGCCAAAACCATTATATATAAAGGCATCCTAAATTTAAAAAAGTTTTTACATCCATTGAAGTACAGAAAAAAATTTATCAAAATTACTGAGTTGATTTTATATGTTTTGACCATGAAAAACTAAGAATGTGCAGTGATGGATTTGTTAATTAGCTTGCTTTGATCATTCCACAATTTAAACATATATCAAAACATCACATTGTACCCCATAAATATATAATATATACGGCTATTTTTTATCATCTAAAAATGAAATAAAATTTGAAATAACACTCTTCAAAAGTATTTTAAAACCACAAAGTCGGAGAAAATATTTTCACAATAAAAAATGTAAAGGATTTATATTCAGTTTATGTAAACAACTTCTTCAGTCCAATAAGGTAAAGACAAACAACCAGCAGAAAAATAGACAAAGGGTGCGAACAGCAAATACGCAAAGGAGAAAATGGGAATTTCCCATAACAAATGAAAAGATGCTCAACTACTTCATTCATAATTGGGTGAAGACCCCCACAGTTAAAAGATTAACAAGATATCATATCACATCCTTCAAATGGGCAAAAATTTAAAAGTCTGGCAGTAGCAAGTATTAGTAAGGATGTGGAGAAATGAAGATTTGCGCACTGCTGGTGGCAGGGTAAATTAGGGCAACAACTTTGGAGAGCAATTTGGAAATACAATTTGACAATATACACACCCTGGCACCAAGCAATTCCACTCCTTAGTGTATGCGCCAGAGCCATTTTGCTGTAATACACAAACAGACATGCATGAGGATGATCATTTGTAATTGCAACAAAACCAGAAAACAATCTGTATGTCTACAAACAGTGGGGTAAATAAAGAAATTTCAGTCGTTTTGTACAACGGGCTACTTATCATCAGATAAAAGGAATGAACAAAAGCTACATATATCAATGTGGACAAATCCTAGAAAATAATGTTTAGTGAAAAGTTGGGAATGATTCTGTTCAGGTAAATATGTACATGATAGTTTATAACAACTTATGTAAATACACAAAATAATGCTACATTTTTACAGGTACCTTTATAGTAAAAGTGTAAACATGAGAACAGGCAGAATAAACACCAGCTAAAAACAGTAGTTGGCCGAGCTTGGTGGCTCATGCCTGTAATTCCAGCACTTTGGGAGGCTGAGGCGGGAGGATCACCTGAGGTCGGGAGTTTGAGACCAGCTTGACCAACATGGAGAAACCCCATCTCTACTAAAAATACAAAATTAGCTGGGTGTCGTGGTGTATGCCTGTAATCCCAGCTACTCAGGAAAGGCTGAGGCAGGAGACGCTTGAACCCAGGAGGCAGAGGTTGCAGTGAGCTGAGATCGAGCCATTGCACTCCAGCCTGGGCAACAAGAGCAAAACTCCATCTCAAAAAAACAAAAAGAAAACAAAAACAAAAAACCGTAGTCACTTCTGAGTCAGTAGGTGTGAAGAAGGTAGTAAAAAGAGACAAGGAAGGCACAATCAGATAGATATAATAAGGCACAAATCTTTTTTCTTTTTTTTTTTTTCTTGAGAAGGGGTCTTGCTCTATCACCCAGGCTGTAGTGCAGTGGCACAATCACAGCTCACTGCAGCCTCGACCTTATGGCTCAAGAGATCCTCCTGCCTCAGCCTTCCAAGTAGCTGGGACTACAGGTGTGTACCACCACGTCCTGCTAATTTATTTTATTTTATTTTCAGTAGAGACAATGTCTCACTATGTTTTCCAGGCCGCCAGGCACCCATATTTAAAAAAAAAAAAATCCAGCAGTGGTTCTGATGGAAACCCTGGATAAAGAACAATCACCTAAGGCCCTGGGTTCCAATCATGGTGTTGAATCCCTGGCTCAGGTAAGCGGGAACAAGCCTTTACCTGCCTAGCATGTGCAGGGGTAGGAACTCCTTCCTTATGACAGACAATCCCTGGTCCTCCAGCCTGCAGCCACACGGAAACAAAGGAGAGGGCACACACAGGTGGACTGGTTCTAGGAAAGCTCCGCTCCCAGACTTCACCCTCCAGTAATAACCTTGGCCTTAACCACCTACGTTGGCTCCTCAGAGGTGTGGCTTAGCTGTAGGTTAGGGAAGAGAGGAACCTGAGCTTTCCTAGAGGCCAAAAGCGTGGCCTCTAGGAAAAAGAATAGTAATGAAAACAATGACTTCCAGAGCACTTCCAAAGTGCCAGACACTGCAGAAATGACGGGCCCAACGTCCCTAAGCCAGGGGGTGGCAAAGTCAGGATTCAAGTCCAGGTCCTTCATTCAGACTCCCTAAGACTGGCTCTTAATCACTGTGCCACAGGAACCTTGGGTCATTAAACCTTCATGGTGTGGCCCAAACCGGTTTCCTCTCCTTACTGCCTGCCCATGACTGCCCTGCTTGCCTGCCCCGGAGAGTGTACTCTCCTCCAAGCACATGGAGCACCCCGTGGTGGCGATGATGCTGTTGACAGCTGCATGCCTTTCTTCTTACTGTGGTCCTTCCTGCCTGGTGCCATCTATGTGGCAAGGCCTCATTGTTCCTCAGGGCTCTACAGAATGCACCAGGCTCTTGGCTGCTTACCTCTGCCTCCCCTATTTCAGCTGTGCGCTCTCAAAGGTGGGGACCGACTGACTTATCTCTCTATCCCCAGCTGATGAATAGAGGGGATGAGTGATACACGAATGAGTGAATGAATGAATGGTAATGGTGATGGGAATCAAATGGCAGCAACGCGGAAGAGGGAGATGCGGTGCCTGTAACCATGGTAACGATGATGTCGCTGAGTGATAATGCTAGGAAGATGGTAACCATGGTAACACTGATGGTGAGGCCTGCTCGGACAGTCCTGGCGCCTCAGCTGCCGTGGTCCATGCCAAGCCCGACCTGCTCAGTGGCCGAACAAGATGCTAAGCACAATTAGCAATTGCTGTTCTGTTCCCTGTCCCAAGACCCCCGCCCAGGGCTGAGTTTCACGGTAGTCAAACCCTCTTCCTGAGTGGCTCCAAGACTCAGGAAAGAACACATGTTTGGGGGGCGGGAGGGGTGGCGTGCAGCTTGCATGCATGTGTATGTGCGTGCGCGGAAGAGGCTGTGTGATGGGCAAGTGGGTAAGGTGTGGTGTGCGCTAAGGGCAGTCCTGCTGGTGCTAGCGCCAGGGGACTGGGAAGAGGAACGGTTCCCTTCGTGCGCGCCGGGCTGATGCGTGGGGGGCGCCGCGTGAGTGCGCCGGTGGCTGGGAGTCCGGCGGCCGCGTGTGTGGCAGCGGAGCGGTGTTTCTGGGAGGGGCGCCAGGTTCCGGGGCTGGGGGGTGGGGAGCTCCGCCCCATCCATCACCCGGAGCGCAGCGAGCCAGGCGGATATCACGGTGTCAGGCGGCTCTGCTCGCAGATCTTATCCTCTTCATTTCCGCCCGAGCCTAGCCCGCCCGCGCGGGCTCCCTGAAGGCTCCATCCATCACCTGGGATCGACGGGGCGGCCCGGGGAAGGGGGTCTCAGACTGTGCGGGGAGGGAGGGAGCGGTGGGAACCAGACCCACCATGGACACCGAGAAAGGAGAGGGACAAGTTTTTAGTGGGGCAGGGGGGTCTGGGTTTGCTTTTCCACGTGGGGGAGGGGACGCTCTCTGCCCTGGAGGGGGAGAGCTTCTCGGGCCAGCTCGGCCCCCGCCTGGGACTGGGGCCGTTGGCTGGGTCCCGATCCCCGAGTGCCTGGGGCAGCGCTGGAAAGGGAGAGAGCCCTCGCCCGCCCGGGGAGAGGCTGCTGTGCGCGGGGCCCGCACCTGGACCCTCCAGGGTGACCTGGGGCCTGGGCAGCGCGGGCGGGGGCGGGCGCCCCGGGGGGAGGCCTTATTTCATTTCCCCGCGCCGCTGAGGTTTCTGCGAAGTGTCTCTCTCACCTCTTTAAATTTTACGGCGCTTGGCCCATGGCCGCCGGGCCCCGCCCTGGGGAGGAAGCGGGTGCTGGCTCTGGGAGCCTCCCCGGCCGAGGGGTGGCCCCACCAGGCCGGGTGCGGGTCAGGCCCGGGGCGTCCGAACTCCGAGGGGCGCCCGGCCTGTGCCCTACTCTGGTTCCCGGGGCCTTCCCGGAGGGGGTCTGGGCTGTCGGGGCCCAGGGGGCGGGGCTGGCCTCGGAACGTCTCCGTCCGGCCCCGCCCCCTTTCTGGGCCTCGTCTCGGGCCACGCCTCTCCCCTGCTCCCGGGGAGCGCAGCGGGGTGGGCGGTGGGAGGGGACTGCTGGGGGAGGGAGTCAGAGGAGCAGAAATCCGGGCCAGCCTGGAAGCCCAGTTGCCACCGCCACCCCCAACTTCCCCTGGGGGCAGAGCGGTGTTCCCAAGACCTGAGTCAGGGCGGAATACTCCAGTCGAGCCAGGCAGGCCAGCCAGGTCCCCGAGGCCGGCCCGGGCTGGCACCTGCCTGGAGACCAGGTTGGGGGCTGGAGGTAAAGGGAGGGGCATGGGGTGGCCTCTGGGTCTCAGCGCTCTTCCTTCAGAACCCTGAGGTAACTGACCAGTATCAATCTGGAGACAGTGGGGAACCTGCCCTAGGTGTGGGCGTGAGAGGCGTGTGGCCTGGGAGTGGGGTCGAAGGAGGAGAGGGGCACATGAACAGGAGATAAGTGTGAACAAGAGGGGCCTGAGGGAAGAGGGGCTGTGAACCGCAGAGGGGTGAGACAGGAGGAAGGGTGAGCAGAGGGCACGGAGGGTCTGAGGAGTCACTGCCTAAAGACACAGAGCGAATAAGTCAGGATTTGAACTTGGTTCTGTCTGACTCCCAAGCCACCTGTCTTAGAGTTGCAGTCATTAACTTGATTCTACAATGTACTCCTTATTAATTCAGCCCCAGGCTACACAGCTAGCTGCCACAGATATAACTTTGTGACATGCATGTAACCAGAACAAGGAAACGGGACACGGAACAGAAGTACACGGAACAGAAATTTGGTTCTACTGGTCCGGAAGATGCAGGGGCCAGTGGCCTGGAGGTGCCTGGGGTGCCCCCTGCAGAGGCTGTGGGATGCCAGGGGTGGTGCAGTGCAGAGTGGGTGGGGCCTGGTGGCAAGATTGCAGCTGGTACTGCCCACAGAGTGACTGGAACCTGCCAGAAGCTTCCAGGCTGAAGAAGGCTCTGGAACATTCTTTTTCTCTATTGACCTGGAGAGAAAAGGTCCTGGATATCACACTCCAGGGAGGTCAGCCCCAGCATCTGTATGAGGAAAACTGGTCACTTTCACATGACCCAGCAGGGGCCTGAATGGCCACCCCTACCCTAGTCCCTCCCTGCTCCTGTGCCCCCTCTCAGGTTGACGCTACCATCCTTTTTGCCCCAATATCTCACCAAGTCCAGCTGCTCTGTCCTAAACATTTCTCCAGTCTGTCGCCCCCCTTTTTTTTTTGAGACGGGGTCTGGCTGTGTTGCCCTGGCTGGAGTTCAATCGCCCGATCTTGGCTCCGCCTCCTGGGTTCCTATGATTCTCATGTCTCAGCCTCCTGAGTAGCTGGGATCACAGGCGTGTGCCACCACGCCCGGCTAATTTGTTTTGTATTTTTAGTAGAGATGGGATTTCACCATGTTGGCCAGGCTGGTCTCAAACTCCTGGCCTCAAGCAATCTACTCGCTTCGGCCTCCCAAAGTGCTGCAATTACAGGTGTGAGCCATGGCACCCAGCCAAATCTGCCCCTTCCTTGCATATCCCCGTAGCTACACCCTTTATGTTGGTTACTGTGATCTCTCTTCTGCATTATTGTAAGGGGCCTTTTGCCGGGTTCCCTGGCTCCTATCCATCCTCAATGCCATGAAGACAACACTCTCCTAAAACCATTTAAGGCTGCCCACTCCTTCCGGGATAAGGCCCAAGTTCACAGCAGTGTCCTGCAAGCTCTGTTGTGGCTCCTCTCTGTGGTCACCTTTTCTGCTTCCGTTCCCTTGTTTTACTAAAGTCACTGCTGTTTCGTTCCTCTGAGCCCACCGCATTGTGCTTCCTTCTGCCTGTAATGCCCTCCCCTCCCTTTTCTTTTCTTTCTTTCTTTTCTTTTCTTTTTTTTTTTTTTATGACAGAGTCTCACTCTGTCACCCAGGACGGAGAGCAGTGGCGCAATCTCAGCTCACTGCAACCTCCAGCTCACTGCAACCTCCACCTCCCAGGTTCAAGCAATTCTCCTGCCTCAGCCTCCCGAGTAGCTGGGATTACAGGTGCCCGCCACTACGCCCAGCTAATTTTTGCATTTTTAGTAGAAATGAGATGTCATTATATGTTGGCCAGGCTGATCTTGAACCCCTGACCTTGTGATTCACCCGCCTTGGACTCCCAAAGTACTGGGATTACAGGCATGAGCCACCATGCCTGGCTCTTCCCTCCCTTTTCTACCATACTAATTTTTTTGCGGCTTGGCTCAAATATCTTTGCTTTGGGAAGCCTCCTTGCAGGGAGCACTCGCTCTTCTGTGCTCTCATGGCCTCTGTGCTCCCTTGTCCCCTGGTTGTAATTGGCTTTTAGGGCCTGTCTGAGTCTTGCACTAGCCAGATAGCTCACCGCAGGCAGGGACCCTCATCTGTCAGAGGATCCTGAGGACCTGGCCAGAGGAGGCATGAAGGGACTGTTGTTGAATGAAAAAGGCAGAGCTGGTATTGTGTGGGACCTAGCAGCAGGCCGACTCCAGCCTGTTTCTGGACTTTCCTGGACCTGGGACTCTGGGGCCATCATAACCGGGGTATAGGCAAAAAGAAAGGGGCTATCAAGTGGTATTGTGGCTAGTTTGAACATGACCCCTTCACACAAATTCTTTCTCCTCTGAGCCTCCCTCACACTGTCCCCAAGGCTGCAGGAGACCCACCTGTAATGAGGGCTTCAGATTCAGGAATGTTCCACTCACTGCCTGTGGCTTTTGCGTCTCATCACACAGGGTGACTGGTTGCCATGGAAACCCAAGTGCCGGAAGCGCTGCTGGCTCTTTCCCAGGGTGGGAGGAGGTGCAGGCGGAGTGCCCCGTGCAGACTGGCTGAGCTGGTGCTGGGTGCCTGGGGCCTGCCCACTCTGGGCTGGGTTGGGTCTCCTCATTCCTTCCTTAGCAGAAGTTTGTGGTTTTATCCCAGAGCGTTGGCCAAGGCTGCAACCCTGAAAATACATTTCCTCTTATTTGGGGAGCATCAGCCTCTGGTTAAACACTCAGCCTGAGTGTTGTGTGGTCTCCAGCAACATATTTGATTTTATGAGTCTCGGTTTTCGATCTGTAAAATGGGGATCCCAGTAGCACCATGGAATTTCTGCTTTTGGCAAGATGGTGGACTAGGGCTCTCAAAGGTCACCCCATGAAAATATAACTGGATTCTGCATGAGTTACGAAAACAAGGCCGGGTGCGGTAGCTCACGTCTATAACCGCAGCACTTTGGGAGGCTGAGGCGGGCGAATCATCTGAGGTCAGGAGTTCAAGACCAGCCTGGCCAACATGGTGAAACTCTGTCTCTACTAAAAAAAAAAAAAACAAAAACAAAACAAAACAAAAAAACACAAAAATTATCTGGGTGTGGTGGCAGATGCCTGTAATCCCAGCTAGTCGGGAGGCTGAGACAGGAGAATCATTTGAACCCCAGAAGTGGAGGTTGCAGTGAGCTGAGATTGCGCCACTGCACTCTAGCCTGGGCAACAATAGCGAAACTCCGCTCAAAACAAAAACAACAAAAACAAGAATTACAAAAACAAAACAAATAAAAAACCATCATTTTAATGCATTGCTGGACTTCCTAGAGAGTAATGGAAATCTGTAAGGACTAAGTGTCCTCTGCCAAGAAAAGCGTGGCAAGACAGTGGGGAACTGAAGCTAAAGCATGGAGCGTTGACTAACAGGGAAACAAGAAAATCGAGCTAAATGATGAAATAAGCACTGCGATAGGCAAATTAAGTCTAGGGCAGAGGCAAGGTGAGAGCACCTGAGACTCCTGCCTTGTGCCAGAGTCATTTAAAGGTGGCTGAAGTCCTCCCAGGTTAATAGCAGCCCCTTGGCTCCTGGCAGAAGCAAATGCAAATGCCTCAGTAGGAATGTAGGTCCAGTGTAGGCCCTCAGGATTCCCACAGATTAAGTTCAACAAAATATGAACTCACAATCAGTGGTCACCAAACTACACGGAAACAAGCCGCTATGAGTGAGAGTCAGCAAATAAAACAATAGGCGTAGACATACCCCTTTAATACTTCAGCTGTTGGAATGACCAAATACAGAAAATAACATAATTATGTAGAAAATATTTAAAGAAATGCAAGATGAATTCACACACACACACACACACACACACACACACACACTGAATGCAGAATACAAACCTATCAAAAATGTCCAGGAAGATTGGAAAATAAACCAAAATAGAACTTGCATAAATGAAAGTTATAACTGATGATACAAAAATCTCATCAGATGATTAAATAGCAGATCAGATGCAGCTGAAGAGATAATTATGAATTATTAGGTTGGTGCAAAAGTAATTGTGATTTTAGCCATTAAAAGTAATGGCCAATACCACAATTAATTTTGCACCAACCGAATAGAAAATGGATCCACAAAAGTACCTATTTCTGCATAATTTTCAACACAGAAAAAGGAGAGGTAAAATATGAAAGATGTTTAGGAGAGAGGGGAGGGAAAGATGAGAAGGTCTACTATTTAACTAAGACCCACAGGAAAGAATAGAGACAGCAAAGGTGAGGTAACATTCAAAGAGATAATGGCTGAGAACTTTTCAGAACTTATAAGAAACATGAATTCACACCTAGGCATATTGTAATAAACTTGCAGAAGACCAAAAGGTAAGAGAAGACCTCAGAATCTATCAGAGAAAAGAAACAAGTTGGCTGCAAAAGAATGACATTTAAAATACTAGTAACTGAGGCCAAGGCAGGTGGACCATGTGAGGTCAAGAGTTCAAGACCAGCCTAGCCAACATGGTGAAACCCCATCTGTACTAAAAATACAAACAAATTAGCTGGGTGTGGTGGTGCGTGCCTGTGATCCCAGTTACTCAGGAGGCTGAGGCAGGAGAATTGCTTGAACCCCGGAGGCAGAGGTTGCAGTAAGCAGAGATTGTGCCACTGCACTCCCGCCTGGGTGACAGAATGAGACTCTGACTCAAAAATAAATAAATAAATAAATAAATAAATAAATAAATAAATAAAATACTAGTGGCTTATCAACAGCCACCATGGAAATCCCTAAGAAATGGAAAAATATCTTTGGAGTCCTAAGACAAAGTAATTATCATCCTAAACTGAAGGGGTGGCCTGCCCCTCCACACCTGTGGGTATTTCTAGTCAGGTGGGACGAGAGACTGAGAAAAGAAATAAGACGCAGAGACAAAGTATAGAGAAACAACAGTGGGCCCGGGGGACCGGCGCTCAGCATACCAAGGACCAGCACCGGCACCGGTCTCTGAGTTCCCTCAGTTTTTATTGATTATTATCTTCATTATTTCAGCAAAAAGGAATGTAGTAGGAGGACAGGGTGATAATAAGGAGAAGGTCAGCAACAAACATGTGAGCAAAAGAATCTACGTCATAATGAAGTTCAAGGGAAGGTACTATGACTGGACGTGCACGTAAGCCAGATTTATGTTTCTCTCCACCCAAACATCTCAGTGGAGTAAAGAATAACAAGGCAGCATTGCTGCCAACATGTCTCGCCTCCCACCATAGGGCGGTTTTTCTCTCCTCTCAGAATTGAACAAATGTACGATCGGGTGTTATACCGAGACATTCAGTTCCCAGGGGCAGGCAGGAGACAGTGGCCTTCCTCTAGCTCAACTGCAAGAGGCTTTCCTCATTTACTAATCCACCTCAGCACAGACCCTTTATGGGAGTCGGGCTGGGGGACGGTCAGGTCTTTCTCATCCCACGAGGCCATATTTCAGACTATCACATGGGGAGAAACCTTGGACAATACCCCGCTTTCAAGGGCAGAGGTCCCTGCGGCTTTCTGCAGTGCATTGTGCCCCCGGTTTACTGAGACTAGAGAATGGCAATGACTTTTACCAAGTATACTGCTTGTAAACATTTTGTTAACAAGGCACATCCTGCACAGCTCTAGATCCCTTAAACCTTGATTTCATACAACACATGTTTCTGTGAGCTCTAGGTTGGGTCAAAGTGGCTGGGGCAAAGCTTCAAATTAGCAACATATCAGCAAAGCAATTGTTTAAAGTACAGGTCTTTTGCAAAATGGAGTCTCTTATGTCTTTCCTTTCTACATAGACACAGTAACAGTCTGATCTCTCTTTCTTTTTCCTATACTAAACTTGTACACTCAATATAACTATCATTTTTTTTTTTTTGAAACAGAATCCCACTTTGTCACCCAGGCTGGAGTGCAGTGGAGTGATCTTGGCTCACTGCAACCTCTGCCTCCCAGGCTCAGGTGATCCTCCCTCTTCAGCCTCCCTAGTAGCTGGGACTACAGGTGCACGCCACCATGGCTGGCTAATTTTTAAATTTTCTGTAGAGATGGGGTTTTGCCATGTTGCCCAGGCTGGTCTCCACCCCCTGGGTTCAAGTGATCCTCCTGCCTTGGCCTCCCAAAGTGCTAGGTGTGAACAACCACGCCCAACCAATGTAACTATCTTTAAAGAATGAGAACAAAATAATGTTATCGTCATATGAACCAAAACTGAGGGAATTTACCACTGTTAGACTTTTACTAAAGGAAATGAAAGGAAAATGATCCCCAAAAGTAATTCTAACATACAAGAAGAAATGATGACAAAAGAGTTGGCAAACATGTAGGTAAATCTAAGTAAAAATTGTCTGTATAAAATCGTTTCAATAGTAATAATAATGTCTACTTTGTGGACAAACAAGGGCAGGACTCAAATACTGGTTATCAGTTGTATGCAAGTTGGAAGGTATGACTGGAGTTAATACACTTTAAGCGCCTTGCATTATTCAGGAGGATAAGATAATTATTAACTTTAGACTTTTTTAAATGTGCAAGGCAAAATTTCCAGGTAATTACTAAAAGAATAGGAAAGGAGTATGAAACTACCAAGTATGTACAGGAAAATAAGTGGAATAAAAGAGAGAAAACCATCATTCTTTTTTCCTTTTTTATATTAATTTTAACTCCTTCCTTCCTCCCTTCCCTTACCTTCCTTTTCTCTCTCTCTCCCTTCCTTCCTTCCCTCCTTCCCTCCCTCCCTCCCTCCTTCCTTCCTTCCTCTCTCTGCCTCTCTCTTTCTCTCCTTCCTTCTTTCCTTCCTTCCTTCCTTCTTTCCTTCCTTCCTTCCTTCCTTCCTTCCTTCCTTCCTTCCTTCCTCCTTCCTTCCTTCCTTTTCTCTTTTCTTTTCTTTTCTCTTTTTCTTCTGTCACCCAGGCTGGAGTACAGTAACACAATCATAGCTCTTTATTAACTTGAACTCATGTGTTTAAGGAATCTTCCTGCCTTAGCCTCCTGAGTAGCTAGGACTACAGGTGCACACCCAGCTAATTTTTAAAATTTTTTTGTAGAGGCAGGGTGTCCCTGTGTTGCCCAGGCTGGTCTCGAACTCCTGGCCTCAAGCAATCCCCCCAGCTTAGGCTCCTAAAGAGCAGGCATTACAGGTGTAAACCACCACACGCCCCTGGCCACCATCAATTTTTTAAAAAGTAAAAGGTGTAACAAAAACTATGAAAAAGATAGGTGAATCAAAAAGAAAGCACAAAGTTGGATGGCAAATGCAAGTCCACATTTATCACTAGTTTTTAGGAAATGTAGATGTGCTACTGAACTCCTTAGTTAAAAAAAAAAAAGAGGATTATCAGATGTAAGATTTTAAAAATTCAGTATAGATTGCCTACAAGAGCCACTCCTAAAATGCAAGGACGCTGAAAAGCTGAAAATAAAGATATTCAAAGTGGTATTCAGAAAAATACCAATCAAAATAAGAGTGGCTTTATTAGCATCAAAAAATAGTCATTAAGGTCAATATTATTATAAGAGATAAAGAAAGTTCCTAATAATGATAGAAGTTTTAGTGCACCTGGAAGATATAACAATTCAACTAATAAAGTAGCCTCAAAATATACAAAGCTAGAAGGGATAGAACCACAGAGCAAAACTGATAAATCTATAATTACTATGGAAGAGTTCAACATATTTCCTCTAATTATTGATATTTCAAAGTAAAAATTAAGAAAGATATATAAGGTTAAAACTACATAATTAACAAACTTGAACAAATGGATACAAATAAAATCCTAAATCCAACAATTAGAGAATACAAATGTATTCATGAACACATAGGGAATTTATAAAAAGTGACTACATATTGTGGTCATAGGACATAATGTAATTCTCAGCCAGGCACTGTGGCTCACATCTGTAATCCCAGCATTTTGGGAGGCAGAGGCGAGCAGATCACGAGGTCAGGAGTTCGAGACCAGCCTGGCCAACATGATAAAACCCCGTCTCTACTAAAACAACAATAACAACAACAAAAATAACATAATGTAATTCTGAACAAATTATAATAACTAGTATACAGGTCATGTTTCTGTGACTCACAATGCAACTAAGTTAAAAGTTAAAGACAAAACAACAAATAAAAAATTCCCATATGTTTATAAGTATGAAAAACATCACATGGAAATTTTTTTTTTTTTGAGACTGAGTTTCGCTTTTGTTGCCCAGACTGGAGTGCAGTGGCACGATCTTGGCTCACTGAAACCTCTGCCTCCTGGGCTCAAGTGATTCTCCTGCCTCAGCCTCCCAGGTAGCTGGGATTACAGGCACCCACCACAATGCCCGACTAATTTTTTGTCCCTCTCTTGCCCAGGCTGGTCTCGAACTCCTGGCCTCAAGTGATCCCCTCAGCTTAGGCTCCTGAAGAGCAGGGATTACAGGTGTAAACCACCACATGCCCCTGGCCACCATCAATTTTTTAAAAAGTAAAAGGAGTAACAAAAACTATGAAAAAGATGTATTAATACCTTTAAAAACAGGCAAAATGGATAAATTATTCGAAACACATAACTTACTGAAACAGACTCAAGAAGAAATAAAAATCCTGGATAGTCTCATAACCATTAAACATAATTGAGGTGGTAGTTTAAATATTTTTACATAGAAAACACCAAGCACTGGCCAGTCATGGTGGCTCACACCTGTAATCCCAGCATTTTGGGAAGCCGAGGCAGATGGGTCACTTGAGGCCAGGGGCTCCAGACCAGCCTGGCCAACATGGTGAAACCCCATCTCTGCTAAAAATACAAAATTTAGCCAGGCATGGTGATGCAGACCTGTGGTCCCAGCTACTCGGGGGGCTGAGGCAGGAAAATCGCTTGAACTCAGGAGGTGGAGGTTGCAGTGAGCTGAGATCGCCCCTCTGCACTCCAGCCTGGGTGACAGAATGAAACTCTGTTTCACACACACACACAAAAAGGTTAAAAAACAAAACAAAACAAAACACGAAGCCCGAATGATTTTAAACATTCAAGGATTAGATATTATAATATTATAATTTTTTTTTTTTTTGAGACGGAGTCTCGCTCTGTCACCCAGGCTGGAGTGCAGTGGCACGATCTCAGCTCACTGTAAGCTCCGCTTCCCGGGTTCACGCCATTCTCCTGCCTCAGCCTCCTGAGTAGCTGGGACTACAGGTGCCCGCCACCACGCCCAGCTAATTTTTTGTATTTTTAGTAGAGACGGGGTTTCACCGTAGTCTCGATCTCCTGACCTCATGAGCCACCTGCCTCGGCCTCCCAAAATGCTGGGATTACAAGTGTGAGCCACTGCGCCTGGCCAGATATTATAATTTTATATAGACTCTTCTAGAGGAAAAAAATGAGGGAACACTCATCAGCTCGCTTTGTGAAACCAATATAACCTTATCACCCAAACCAGAACAACCTTATGCATGTACCTAGGTGCAAAGATCATGAAAGAATAGTAGAAAACTGAATACAACAAAACACTTTAAAATGTATGGCCAAACTGGGTTTATACCGTGGATGCGAGGGTGGTTAAACATTAATACATATTATATATTAACATCATATTAATATCAGAAATATGGCTTATATATTACTTATATATATAACATTATATTACACATTAGAATATCATGTTATATGTCATATAATACTATTTTTATGTACATGAAATGTGTAAATATATTCAGTGACAGTGGGTTGAAGGAGAAAATCTGTGCAAAAATGCATTTAATAAAAATCAATATCCTTTCATGATTAAAATTTTTATCTCACTAGGAATACAAGGGAATTTTTTTTAAGTTGCAAAATTTAGCAAAATCACACCTAGTAGTAAAAAGTAAAAAAAAGGCCGGGCGTGGTGGCTCACGCCTGTAATCCCAGCACTTTGGGAGGCCGAGGTGGGCAGATCATGAGGTCAGGAGATTGAGACCATCCTGGCTAACACGGTGAAATCCCGTCTTTACTAAAAAAATACAAAAAATTAGCCGGGCGTGGTGGCGGGCTCCTGTAATCCCAGCTACTCGGGAGGCTGAGGCAGGAGAATGGCAGGAACCCGGGAGGTGGAGATTGCAGTGAGCGGAGATGCGCCACTGTACTCCAGCCTAGGTGACAGAACAAGACTCCGTCTCAAAAAAGAAAAAAAAAAAAAGTAAAAAACATTCTCCTTAATAGAACAAGGCAAGGATCCCAATTGATAGCTACCTAATCGACATTTTATTGGAAGTTCTAGCCAAGGTGTTTAAAACAAAAGAAAGAAAGAAAAGGTATAATGATTAGAAAGAAACAAAACTATCATCACTTCCAGATTATATGATTATCTACATAGAAAAATCCAAACTAATCTACTGAGAGTTATTAGAATTAATGAAAGAGTTAATCAAGGTGGCAGGATATAAGACCAATATTCAAAACTAAATTGCTTTTCTCCACACTTCTTTATGAAAGTAAACAATCCAGGAAAAGACAATATTTAAAATAGCAATAGACAGAAAGGAATCTAAAAATAAGTCTAATAAAAGATGTGCAAGACCTGATACAGAAAATGATACAACTTTGTTAAAAAATTAAACAGCGTGGTATGGTGGCTCACACCTGTAATCCCAGCACTTTGGGAGGCCGAGGCATGCGGATCACTTGAGGTCAGGAGTTTGAGAACAGCCTGACCAACATGGTGAAACCTCATCTCTACTAAAAATACAAAAGTAGCCAGGTGTGGTGGTGCATGCCTGTAATCCCAGTTACTCCAGAGACTGAGGCAGGAGAATCGCTTGAAGCCACGAGGTGGAGGTTGCGGTGAGCTTAGGTTGCGCCACTGCACTCCAGCCTGGGCAACAAGAGCGAAACTCCATCTCAAAAAAAAAAAAAAAAAAGCTAAAGAAGACCTAAATAAACCTGGGATTTATTCTTTTCAAGGGGGGAAATACTAAAATTGTCCATAATTTTATCAATTATCCCCATATTGATCAAAAGAGTGATTACAATTTCAATCAAAATCCCAATCGAATTTTTCAAGGTACTTTACAAACTTTCTAAAACCTATACGGAAGAGAAAAAGCTCAAGAGTAGCTGTACACTCCTGAAGAAGAAATGGTGGAAGAACTGGTTCTAAGTGCAATAGAGACATTATAAAATATTAGTAGTTAAGACTATGTGAGACTGGCACAGGAATAGATCAACAGAACAATGTGACAGTAATAAACACACTGATGGAAACCTGACATATCACGGGATTGGTATTTCAGATTGCCAGGAAAGGCTAGACTATTCAACCTAGGGTGCTGGGATCATTTGTTATCCACATGGAAAAATAGGACATTGGATCCTTCCTTCATCTCTCTCCAAAAAATAAATTCTCATGAGCTGAGATTGCGCCCCTGCACTCCAGTCTGGGTGACAGAGAGAGACTCCATCTCAAAAACAAAAACAAAATACAATGACAACAAAAACAAATGGAATGTCATTAATATATAGCTTAGTGAATGGTGGCAATGTGAATGCAGCAATGTGGGTGCATGCTAGAAACAATCTTGAGGGAAAAAAGAAATTAGCAGAAGACTGCACATATCTGATATCACTCATATGAAGCTCAAAAACAAGCAAAACTGAACAATATATAATTAGGGGATTAGAAGTTATTTTTTAAAAAGCAGGGCAACTGGCCGGGCACAGCGACTCACACCTGTAATCCCAGCACTTTGGGAGGCTGAGGTGGGAGGATCACTGGAGCCCAGAAGTTAAAGACCAGCTTGGGCAATATAGGGGGACCCCATCTCCCTATATTGTAAAGTAAACATAAATATAGTTAAAGACCAGCCTGGGCAATATAGGGAGACCCCATCTCCCTATATTGTAAAGTAAAAATAAAAAATTAGCTGAGTGCAGGGGTGTGCACCTGTAGTCCCAGCTACTTGGGAAGCTCAGGTGAGAGAATAATGTGAGCCCAGGAGTTCAAGGCTGCAGTGAGCTGTAATTGCCTTACTGTACTCCAGCCTAAGGGACGGAGTGAGACTCTGTCTCAAAATAATAATAATAATAATAATTAGAAATAAATAAATAAAAACAACCCATTGATAAATATACAACATAAGGTAGTGATTATCTTCAGGGGTGAGATAGGAAGACGGGATGGAGTGGAATACACAGGAAGGCTCAATGGTTTTGGCAATATTCTAGTTCCTATGGTTGGCGATGGCATAGGTATTCATTTTATTATGCTTAATAACTTACATCAATTGTATATTTTCTTTGTGTATGTATCAAATATAACACAGTGAAAATAAACTCCAGTATTGTGCTGCTTTTTTTTTTAAAAAAAAAGAAAGATAAGAAACAAAAAAAAGGCAAAGAAAGATTGTTAAATAAAGGACTGGACAAAGACAAAGCTATAGTAGATTAAGGTAAACAAAAAAATAATATAGGAGTATCAACAATATTATCAAAGTGGAATTCAAGGCCAAAAGCATTTAACAGAACAAAGAGGGACAATATTTAATGAAGAAATGTACATCCTTCCCCAAGGAACATAAAACAATCATAAATTTTGTTGTATCAAACAACACAGCAGCTACATATATATCAGCAGCTACATATATATATATGTATGTGTGTGTATATATATATATATATATATATATATATATATATATATATATATATATATGTAGCTGCTGTGTTGTTTGCAAAAACTCCAGGAAAAAAATCACAATAGTTTGTCTTCATAGTTTCCGGCTCAGTGGTAGGACATCCCTCCTGAGCAGCGTCCTGGCCTGAGAAGTCCTGGCTTTGAGCATCTTCCTATCTGTGCTGACTGGTTACGTGAACACTGGGACAGGTTTCTACCTTCTCCAGTGATTTGGAAAGGGGCCAAGGAGTATGGCCAGGCTCCCTAGTGGTCCCAGTCTGGTCTTGTCCAGCCTCCCAATCCCAGCTCCTACATCTGTTCCTATATCTGGCCTCCCCATGGGATGATCCCTGCTCCTTCCTGCTTCTCCTGACCTGCTGTATTAGTTGGTTCTCATGCTGCTAGTAAAGACATACCAGAGACTGGGTCATTTATAAAGAAAAAGGGTTTTAATGGAGTCATAGTTCCATATGGCTGGGGAGGCCTCACAATCATGGCAGAAGGTGAAGGAGCAAGGGTACGTCTTACATGGCAGCAGGCAAGAGAACATGTGCAGGGAAACTGCCTTTTATAAAACCATCAGATCTGATGAGACGTACTCACATCACAAGAACAGCACCGGAAACCACCCCCACCCCACCATGATTCAATCACCTCCCACTGGGTCCCTCCCATGACACATGGAGATTAAGGGAGGTACAATTCAAGATGAGATTTGGGTGGGGACACAGCCAAACCATATCACCTGCCTACTATTGGCCAATTTTTTTTTTTTTGAGATGGGGTCTTTCTCTGTCACCTAGGTTGAAGTGCAGTGGCATGATCTCTGTTCATTGCAACCTCCGCCTCCCCGGCTCAAGTGATCTTCCTGCCTCAGCCTCCTGAGTAGCTGGGACCACAGGTGCATGCCACCACACCTTGCTAGTTTTTTGTATTTTTGGTAGAGGTGGGGTTTTTCCATGTTGCCCAGGTTGGTCTCAAACTCCTGAGCTCAGGCGATCTACCTGTCTCAGCCTCCCAAAAGTGCTGGGATTAAAGGCATGAGCCACCAGGCCCAGCTGTTCACCAACTTTCTAGGCTCCTACGCTACCCAGTGCCTTTTCCTGAAGGGCCTTTATTCTGTAAAAAGTGAACCAATTCTCTTCCCTTCCCTTCCAACTCTGTAAAGCATTTCCTATCTGTCCTTGGTTATGTGACCTTAGCAAGCTGCTGACCAGTCTGAGCTCTGCCCTTCCTCTCTGAACAGCACAAGGCAAGGATGTAAGGAGCCCAGATTGTTCCTGTTTGGGGCTGGGATGGGCCAAGAGAAGGAGTGTGGCTCTCTGGCCGTCAGTCTCCCTCTCTCCCTGTCCTTCTTGTCATGTCTAAACCAACCTGCTGGCTGGTGCCCAGGGAGCAGCTTAGGAGGGGCCACACCTCCCAGCCCTGCCGCTGAGTCCTCACTGTAAAGAGGCCTTTACCGCGACCCTCAAGCCACTCCAAGGCACTCCTTGGCTTAGAGCCTGGGTTGGTGAAGGCTGCCCCACCCCTCAGAATGGCATAGTTGCAGAAAATTTGGGGCTCTTCCTGTCTGGGTCTGTCCCGGCTTTTCTTCTAGGCAGAGTTGCTTGTTTACGCTGGTAACCTGCTCTCAGGAAGTGCTGTCCACCAGCTCTGTGACCTTGAACAAACCCTTTCACCCCTCAGAGCTTTGGTGTCTTCATCTATGGAATAGGGATAATAATAACACTCTGAGTGAGAATTGAATGAGATAATGCCTGGACCAGGCGCGGTGGCTCACACCTGTAATCCCAGCAGTTTGGGAGGCCGAGGCGGGCGGATCACTTGAGGTCAGGAATTTGAGACCAGCCTGGCCAACATGGCAAAAGCCCCATCTCTACCAAAAAATACCAAATTAGCCAGTGTGATGGCGTGCGCCTGTAATCGCATCTACTTGGGAGGCTGAGGCAGGAGAATCATTTGAACATGGGAGGCAGAGGCTGCAGTGAGCTGAGATCGCACCACTGTACTCCAGCCTGGGTGACAGAGCGAGACTCTGTCTAAAAAAACAAAAAACAAAAAAAAGAGATAATGTCTGAAGCACTGACCCATCATGATAAGTACTCAAAGTCCAGCAGCTATCATCGTTGTGGTCATCTTCGTTATTAGCACTATTACTAGGGGTTGGCAGGGCATTTTATAAGCAAAAAGATCAAATGCAATAAGTTGCCTTCATGCAGAATTGCAGCTTCACTTCATTTTTGCAGAGCATGATTGCAGTTTTCTGCCCTTGTCACAATCACTCTGTTTGTCGACATTTTTGTGATGGGTATAAACTGATTATTTGCTTATTAGTAACTCAGCACCAATAATTCACTTTTTCAATTGAACTCTGTTGCATATGAAGTACCCTGCTGCCTGTCCCTGAGGCACAGACTCAAGTTCCAGCTGTGGGTAAATCACAGCTGTCCCTGCTCTCTGTGTGTGAGGGGGACCAGAGGAGACCCCACACCAGGCAGGTGCTGGTGACCACGAGAGCTGTGATAGCAGGAACCTCTGTTGCAGCGATGATATATGTTGTCCACTGCGTATCTTACATCAAAAATCATCATTTTCATTTGTTCCCAGGAAATCTCTTGACAATATCCTGTTGGATGCAATTTGCAGAAAAAATGTCTCCAAAGCAATGCCTCCTCTTAAATACAGGCTCAAAATCCGTGCACAGGTGAGGTGTAGAGTTTTCGCAGACCATGTGTGTGTAAGTGAGACGGAGTGATGTTGTGAAATGTGAAGGAGAAAGTGCAAAGACAGTCATTGTGCTCTGTTGAGAATCATTTTAGCTACTATTTTTTTTGAGCACTGATAAAAATATCTCATTTATTCACCCCAAAACTCTGTGAGATGGTGTGGGGTTTAATCCGGACTCTTTGGTAAGAAGTGACAGAGACTCAAACTAGCTTAAGCAATAAGTGCTTTATTGGCCATGTATTTGTTAGCCCTTCAATGCCTACATAAAGTGAAGCCTTGGGGCCGCCCCTCTCTCTGACTCTTCCTTCTGCCTGTGAATTGACCGTGAGCTCTAGGGCTCCCCCGCGTGGTGAGGAACATGGCTGAGAGCATCCCTGCACTGTGATTCGAGAAGGGGCCCCGACTTCAGCTTTGGACGGGTCACAGGGAATGGGGTGCTCTGGCCACCAGGCTCAGAGCTGGCGGACTGGCAGGCACAAGCTCCCACTGCCCAGGCCTCGATGCCGCCTCTGGCGCAGCCCATGTGGTTCCGGGAGGCCTAAGTGTCTGTTCCCCTGACAGCTGCCCATCAGCCTCAGAGATGGGGCAGGGAAGGCTGGTGTCACAGGAAACACAGCTGGCAGAAGCTTCCCTGGCCTAAAGGAGGTATCCACCTGCTCTGGAGGTATCCACAGGGGACGGCTCATCCCCTGGAGGGATGAGCCTCACTCTGGTCGGGGAGACCCCCTCGTGTGCCTGGAGGCGGTCCTGGGGAAGGGGAAGCTGGCCTGGGGCCTGGGGAGGACCTAAGCCTGCTGACCTTGCTCGAGGGAAAAGGGGCCGGCTGGGCTGGGGCTGCGGGTGAGGGTGGGAGGTGGCAGCTCAGGGGATGGGGGTGGGAGGTGGGGGGTGGCTGCTCAGCTGTCCCCTACTTCCACCTCATGGCCCTCCCTCCGGGCTCGAGGAGCTGCGGGTAAGCGCCGTAGGCAGGGGCCAGGGTGCTGCGGGTAAGCGGGGCCACGGTGCTGCGGGTAAGCGGGGCCACGGAGCTGCGGGTAAGCAGCGCCCCCCAGGCTTTTAGCCTTCCTGATCCTCACCATCTCCAGCAATAAAACGGGGTGGCAACAGTCCCCGCCGCACGGGTCGGCGTGAGGAGTCCGTGGGTCAGGCATAACAAGGCTCCAAAGCGGTTGCTATCGTTTTTGGTTTTTCCCTGCCCATCTCCCTCTATTTTCCTCCTCGTGTGTCTCTGCACTGCCCCAGCCCTGGTTCAGACCCCAGCCTGCCGCTTCCCAGCTGTGTGGCCTCAGGCAGGCTCCTTAACATCTCTGAGCCCGCTCTCCTGTCCTGTGAAATGGGAATGCGCGCTTCCATCCACTCAGGGTTGCGTGGGGGAATCCGCGGTGTCCTCGGTGAGCAGCGCCCACGCAGTGCGGGGCTCACAGAAGCCTCTGCGGAGGCGGCGTCCTCGCTCCTGCCTTCTTTGGCCACGATCAGGAGCCTCCTCAGTCCCCGCCGCCCCTCAGCGCTCCGCCGGCCACGTGGGCTACACCTGACTGACTCCGGATCGCCACCTCGTGGCCTGACGGGTGATTGCAGGTTTGTAGCGAAATTCAGGTCTGTTCTGGGGATTTAACAGCAAAGCGCCCCAAGATTTGATACGGGGAGGGGGATTGGGGGCCACGAGTGAAAGTGGAGTGCTCCTCACAGCAAGCCACCTGCATGTTCGATGCAGAGGGAAGATGCACCAAGGGCCGCTTTCCCTTGGGCCCGTTCCCACGAGATTCTGGGCTTTCTGTGCTGTGGCTGAGCTATTGGGATCAGTTTTCCCAGTGAAGAAATGAAGGCTCTTGAAACTATGGTAGGGGAACACCCAGGACTCTAAGGAATTAAAAATGTACATTTTCTTTGTCTAGTAAGTGGGTAAAGAGGTTTTTGTCATTCCTCTTTGGGCCATGAATAGGTATGTTTGAGAATACATACACTCCTTTGCATTTCCAGTATCTCGTAGTGTGCTCATTTTATTCCCTGCTAAATCAAAGAACAGGATGTGACATGTTAAGTGTCTCTTGCTGCCAAGGACATGAATGACCCTGGCATGCCCAGCGTGGTAGTGCTGGGGCTCTCACCTTCTGCCACCTCCAGCCTTCAGACTGTGAATCCAAGCTGGCTGTGCCCTGCTGCCCCAGACTTCTGCAGCTCCCACCTCTGAGCCTGTGCTCCACCTACCCGCCTCCTCTCACCCCACGCACGCTGACTCATCTTTGCAGGCTCAGCCCGAACGTCCCTCCTTTAGGAGGCTTTCTCTGCTTTCCCAGGCACAGCCATCATCAGCCTGCCACTCGTTGAGTCCTGTAAGTCTTTCTCCTAACTCCTTCTTAGGCTCTGCCCAGGTGGGCTGGGTCTGGGAAGGTTCTGCCAAGCTAGGGCTGAAGGGCAAAGCAAGAAGCAGCCCAGGGCAGGTCTCCCTTCTGTCAGGCTGCAGGGGTTGCTCTGAAGTCAAAGCCATGAACAGAGTCCCCGTGTCCATCAATGCCTGGGGTCAAGGTCTGCCTGGCATAGAGTCAGGGGAAACTCATGCCAAAGGGGGCTTCTGGGGCAGACCAGTGACAGCTGGAGGACAGGTGGTCCTGGGAGGAATGGGGGTTGGAGGGCCATGTCCTCATCTTCCAAATGGACATCATTTGCCCCCGGGGCTGCGAGGTGTCAGTGAGGCAGGACACAGGAGGCTCAGCCAGTGTCAGGTGCGTGGGAGTGCTCCCCGAGTGCTCCCTTCCCTGCTGATGAGGAGCTGAGGGGAACCCAGCAGCCTTCTCCCAACGTTCTGCGTCTCCGCCAGCTGACCACCCTGCAGGCCAGGCATTGACCTGCCACTGCACTGCCTGCATCCAGGGTGCCACTCACATGATGCTAGGGATTGCATGGCTCTATGTGGTGGCCCTCCTCCTGACCGTCCCCCATATGCCCATCTGTCCAGGCTGATTGTCAATCTGTACAGCTGCTGCACATACCTCACCTTCTCCAATCTGGGGTGCGCGACAGGGGCTGGCAGCAGTGAGGGGTTCCAGAGGCAGGACTGGGGGCTCTCAGAGTCATTGAAGATAAGTTTTGTAGGGTGACCTCAGAGTTATACTCCTTGCCTGTGATCTCTCCTTTCTCAACTCCACAGGATCCATGGCCTAAACCTCAAATTCCTGGGAGGAATCATTCCGGAACCAAGTTACTCTCCAAGCCTCAGTTTTCTTATCTGTGCAATGGGCTAGGAGCTGTTCTGAGTTGTCGTGAGGGCCAATGGCCCAAAGTCTGAGACTGGCAGGGGCAGGCATTCCACTAGTGCCCGTCCTGTTTAACACTGGCCCCTGGGCTGGGCACAGCAGCTCGCACCTATCATCCCAGTGCTTTGGGAAGCCAAGGTGGGAAGGTTGCTTGAGACCAGGAGTTCAGGACCAGCGTAGGCAACAGAGACTCCGTGTCTACAGAAAAACTTAAAAAATTAGCTGGGTATGGTGACGTGTGCCTGTAGCTCCAGCTACTCAGGAGGCTTGGGTTGGAGGCTTGCTTGAGCCCAGGAGTCTGAGGTTTAGAGTGAGCTATGATTGCACCGCCGCACTCCAGCCTGGGTGACAGTCAAAATTAAAAATCTGCTCCCAGAAAGGGGGTTCAGAGGGTGACCGCTTATTCCCCGGGACTCAGCCTACATTTTCTCTGCCAACCCATGCCTTTACCTTCTGGGCTAGGGAAAGAAGACAGGCAGGTGACAAGGGAGAGACGGATTAGCACAGCTCCTCCCCTTCACCCCTCACCCCACATTTTTTAGTGACAGGATTTTAAACGGTTGCTGTAGGCAAGAGAGCTGTCAGCCCATTATGGGCGAGGGTGGAGCTTAGAGAGCTCCTCACATGAGCCCAGCCTGTGGCTTGGACAGAAAGCCCCATTAATCCTCCCTCTGTGCTGTGCAGTCTGGGTTGAGCAACTTGATTTCTCTGAGCCTCAGTGAGGCACTCTGAAGGTAGGAGTTTCCTTGTTCCCGGGACCCTGGGCCTGACCTGGAGGACCGGATCGCAGGGCCAGAGAGTCTGGTCTTGGGGAGGCAGCTGGCGTGGTGGCCAGGCCATGGGTTTGCAACTGCACCTGGGTTCGAGCCCTGGTTCGGCTGTCCCTTGCTAGCTTTGCTGCATTGGGCTGGTCGCTTTCGCCTTCCAAGCCTGGGTTTTCCCTTCAGAAACATGGGGACCTGCCTCTTGGGGTTGTTGGAGTGTAGAGGAGGACATGAACCGGAGGTCCTCCAAGTCGTTAGACTCTGAAGGCAGCTGGAACTGCCCGGGGAGGGCTGTGAATGGAGAGCCCAGAAGAGGGTGCAGGGCGGGGCCTGCCCCTAGGGGGCGCTGGTGCCCGCGGGCATCCAGGGATGAGAGGTGGCCTTCGGGTGGTCCCTGCCACAGGTGTGGGGAGAGGAGGTCGGGGAGCAACCAGAGGGCTGGCAGAAGGGAGAGAACACTGGGACGTCAGGTCTGCGGACAGGAGGCCCAGAGGCCTCCCAGATGCAGACATGCAAAGATAGGCAATGACGCCGTGTGGGGTATGCAAACATCTCCACCAGCACGTCGCCACATCAGGGACACGTGTCTCCAGGTGCAGAGACATGCGGCCTCGCCAGGAGACACAGCCATGCACGATGGTCTGACACCTGCAGACCCCCAGCTTCATGCAGGACATATCCAGGCAAACCGGCCCACAGAGCTATTCCATAGACACACACACGTCCACACATGCACACACACCCTGAGAGTTTCAAGGAATGCACCTTGGAAACCAAATTCCCTCGAGTCTCTGCCATCACCACCATACTCCCCATCCCTGCCACCATCTCTAGAGACCCCACAGCCACATCCCATCCCAAGTCCTCACGATTCCTCAGGGTTTGGCTTCAGCTTCTTCCTCCTCCCATGCCGTCCTCCTCTGGGGAACTCATCCATCCCGTGCCTCAGTGGCCAGCCACCTGGTTGAAGACCCGGGTGCTCAGCATCCCGTCTGGTCACTCTGAGGCCCAGCCCTGGCCCAGGACGTCTCCACTTGGATGCCTGGGAGACCCTAAGCTCACACGCCCAGACCACACATGTCCCCACTCCCTGTGCCTCCTGTGCCCCCGTCTCGGTGATCCAGGGACCTAGATGCTGCCTGGACTCCCCCCTCACCAATATCTCCGGGATCTGCCCTGGAGACTGCCACCCTAGTCAAAGCCATCGTCACCTCTCACCTGGTGACCCAACTGACTTCCCTGCTTCCATCCAGTCACCTTGATCTAATCGGATCTATTCTCTACTTGGCAGCAAGGCCCTGAACGGTCTGGCCCTGCCCTCAAACTTTGCTGTTCTTGCAGTTTAGGAGATTCACAAGATTTTGCCTGCCCCTGAGGTTTTGGACAAGTCTGGAATGCTCTCAGACACCCCTTCTCACTCTCAGTCCTCCTGATGCCAGGTAACTTCAGATCACAGCTTAATATGTAGCTTCTTCCAGGAAGCCTTCCATGATGCTCCACCCTCCAGACGAGGTTGGGTACCCGGGCAACAGGGTTTCTTTGTACCTCAACTGAGCTTGTATCACACTGCGATCTCCTTGAAGCAGGGATAGCCAATCCCCAGTTCTCAGCCTGGTGGCTGGCACTTAAGGGGCCTTCGCAAATACTGGTTGATTGAATGAATGAAAGTGTTGGAGAATGGGATAGAGTGAAATGGAGATGGGGTGAATGCATTTCTTTTAAGGTTGGAGATGGCTCAGGGTTGGGATGAGACAAAGGTGGAAGAGAAGAGAATCACAGGAGGGTTGGGCAAGAATAGGGACCTCAAGCCCTCCCGCCTCCGGACCTGCTGTCCCTGGTGGCCATCAACAAATCTGCTAATGTCACGTGCAAAGACCGGCCCAGGCCCAGGACAGCCCCTTCCTCCACCCGGGCCCTGCCCACCAAGGAGAAGACCACAGGAGTGTACAGGTCGGTTTATTTACAAATATACTGATGTCTCATCTTTTTTTGTTGTTGTTTCCATTTTCTGCTGTTGTGGGAAGAGGTGGAAGGTGAGAGTGGAGGGCAGGGTGGGGGTGGTGGTGTGGTAAACGCTAATAAATAATTTAACAATGACAAGTTATTAAATAAAATGTGTCTGGGGATGGCGGGTGGGTAGTGAGAATCTGTCTGTACAAGGAAAACAGGAATGGCCGGTGGCCCATCCCCACACCTGGCTGGGCTGGGCTCCCATGGGACCCCCAGGTGGGGTCGGGGGAACCAGCAAAGAGGCTCATTGGCAATGGTGCCTTCCAAGGGCCAAATGTTGGAGGGGTCTTTCCTGCTCCCCCAGTCCCCAGGCCACATGTGCCTGTGAGTATGGGTCCGCAAGCCTCCGTGTGCGTCCAGGTGTGAGTGTGTGTGTGCGAGCGCGTGCGTGTGAGCGTGGAGCCCTTTCCCCCCAGGGCAGACTTAGCCCCAGAGCTGCAGGCTCTCCCTCACCCTAGGTGGTGCCCAGAGCTCAAGGATGGAGCCAGGCAGGCATCAGGCAATCCTCCTTCCTGAGGTTCCCTGCGTGCAACATGAAAAGGACATTCAGATGGGGGCAGAGTGGGGAATCAGCCTCTTGCTAGGAGGCTGCAGGGCTTCCCAAAGGAGAAGAGGCTTGTCCCTGCCAGGCCCTGCTCATCTGATGCAGCGCCAGGGCCTTCCCACCTTTACCCACCCTCAGGAAGCCTCCTAAGATGCCCAGCCACGTGCACCAACCCCCTTTCTGAGCTCTTTCCAGGCTGTGCTGGCACCTTGGTCTGACTCTTGTGAGCAGTGTCTCTGTGTGGCCTCCCTGTGCGTTTCCCAGGATAGCAGAGTACCTGGGAGGCTTCACGGAGTAGGCAGATGAGGCTCTGGCTGGGGCCATGCCCAGCTTTTTGTCCCTCCTCTGCCCTGTGTTACCTGGGGCAATTATTTCCTCTTTCTGAGCCTTGACTTCCCCAGCAGGGAAGTGGAACTTGGTCTTTTGCCAAGACTCCCCCTGCCCACCTCTCATTCTCTTTTGCTCTGGAGACCACACAGTTATCTCCCTCTTCCCACTCCAGCCCCCTTAGTGATGAAGGTTCCATGTCACGGCACGGGCAAGGGGTGGTCCTGGCTACTCCCCGCCCAGCTCCCAGCCAAGGCTGCAGCTCCTCCCATAAAGTGGGAGAAGGTTGCCCAGCCCCACAGGCTTCTGCTGGGTGGCCCTGAACACATCGCCTCCCTTCTCTGAGCCTCAGGCTCCTCATCTGAGAAACGGGTCCCTGCCATGTCTGGACTCTCTGGCTGGGCCGGAGAGTCTGGCTTTCCTTCTAGGAGACACCCCTCAAGGCAGGCCCTGCATCTTGTTCATCTGCGAGCCACACCCAGTCCGGGGCTGGGCAGAGTGGGCACTGGTGTCTGGGAGCCTGTGGGCAGCAAGGCACAGCATAGAGCAAGGGGCCCCTAGCCACGGCTGACAGGGCGCCTCCAGCATAAGGGACTCTCTGAGGTCCCTTCTGGCTTTAACAGTCTGTGGGTCACAAGCATGCTGTCCCTAGACCAGCTCCTGGCATGGGGTCCCGGCTGGATTCGGGGGTTTGTGAGGCCCCAGAATGGGAATATGTGACCCCAACAGCTGGCAAGTTTACTAAGAACAAGTTGTGACCCCCTGACCTGGAGGTCATTCACAAACCACAGGGGACAGTGGGGCACAACGTCCCTGTTCTCAGCTCAGCTCTGTCACTAACCCGGACCTTGGACAGGCCTCTTTCCCTCTCTTGCCTCAGGGTTTCCAACTATAAAATAAGGGGCAGATGAGATGACCGCTTCTGACGTCCCTTCCAACTTATTGGGTCTGAGAGAGAAGGGCCAGGTCTCCTGGGGGATAGGGCATCTGCCCCTGAATCTGCCCAGGATGTCCCTGGCACGATTCAGATGGTGCATGTGCAAAAGGAGAAAGAGGGGTGTCTCTCCAGAAGCCAGTGCAGCTGCTGCTCAAGAGACCCATGGTGGCACGGACCCTGGTGGGCTGAGGCGGCAGAAGGACCAGAACATCAACTGAGGTCCTTGGAGAGGCTCTGTTTGTAAGAAGAGCTGCAGAAGGGCTAGCTGGCTGCTGGGGCCCAATGGGTGACACGAGGCCACATGTCAGGCAAGGAGGTTGGCCCAGGACATTCTGGGGGGACTGAATTTCCCAGCAAACGGGAGCAAAACCACAGAACAGGTTGAACTTAGAGGATTCCAGAGATCCAGGCAGAGGGCCCCAAAGGTGGAAAAGGGACATTCATTATCCTTACTTGCTCAAAGGTTGGACCAGGCAGACTTTAGGGTGGTGGCCTAGGGCTTGACCTCAGAGTTAAAGGTAGGGTTGTGAGCACCTGAACAAGGGGACACAGTGATCACCAGGGGACAGGGTGGGCTCACCAGTCAGGCCCCAGCAGCCCAGCCTCCTTGCTCTGACAGGGATAGAGTTGAGCAGACTGGGGCTGGGGATGGATCTAGTGCACCTGACTTCCAGCAGGGCGCCTGACACAATCTTCTGCAATTGCCCTGGGAGAAGGGGGCAGGAAATGCAATTGGAATGTGTCCCCCAAAGAGGATGCATTAATGGGCCAATGTCAAACAGGGAGAGGCCAGCCCGGTCCACACACCTCAGGTGAGACCCAGGGCCAACTCCTCACTGGGCAGATGTGCTGGGAGAGAGGAGAGCAGTGGTCACTGAATCAGGGTGCAGAGAAATTCCACAGGCTGGAATGAATCGAGTAAGAAGGAATGGAAAAGGAAAGAGGTCACGGTCCCTCATTCAGTCTAAACAGTAAGTGCAGACTGGGTGCGGTGGCTCACGCCTGTAATCCCAGCACTTTGGGAGGCCGAGGCAGGCGGATCACCTGAGGTCGGGGGTTGGAGACCAGCCTGACCAACATGGAGAAACCCCGTTGCTACTAAAAATACAAAATTAGCTGGGTGTGGTGGCGCATGCCTGTAATCTCAGCTACTAGGGAGGCTGAGGCATCAGAATCACTTGAACCTGGGAGGCGGAGGTTGTGGTGAGCCGAGATCGCGCCATTGCACTCCAGCCTGGGCAACAAGAGCGAAACTCCGTCTCAAACAAAACAAAACAAAACAAAACAAAACAAAACAAAACAAAACAAAACAAAACAGTAGGTGCCCCCATCCTGCATATACACAGAAAACAGATGTGGCTTAGCTGTCACTTGCGTGTGGGGCCCAGGGATTTAGCTACAGCAGGGCAGGGTGAATCTCTAAGGTCATGTGGCCAAATCATTGTCTTTTGGGCCAAATTAACAGAGGAAGGGTGCCACAGCAGGAGAGGTGATGTGCCTGCTCACTTCTGGCCGGCTGACATCAGTGGGAAGGTGAAGTGATACCTGCCCCACACCTTTAGAGGGACAGCCGGAGGCCTGCTGGGGGACAGTGTTAAGAGGGAGAGCTGGGGAAGCCTGGCTCTGGGATGCAGGACAGCACAGCTGCTGTGGGCTCGCTGACCTAGTGAGCTCCTTGTCACTGGAGGTATGTGAGGGGAGGCAGAGGTGGCTGGGGAGAGGACCACATTGCAGATGGGGTGCCCAGCAGGTGCTTCTGAAGTCCCTGACCCCTGGAGGCTCTGTTGTCTGGTCTGATGCTACCTGGTTCTGGGGGCTCCATCTGCCTCTAGAGTTGGTGGGGCCTGGGGCTGCCCTCCCTGCCCAGGCTGCCCCCATTTGGGCCCAGGCTGGGATACAACTGGGTCCGATGCTTCAAGTTCGCCTCTTCCTCTCCCCTTCCTCCCTTTCCAATCGCTCTTAAGAACTGGGGGGTCCCCTGCCTGGCCTCCTTTTCTCTTTCTGACAAGGCAGGACAGACCCGCTGAGCATCCCTGTCCCTTCTGGTGTCCCCATACAGCTGTGTGTGTGTTTGCGTGGGTTTGTCTGCAAGTGTGCATGTGTCTGCACGTGCCTCTCTGTCCCTTTGCGCCTGCCCAGGCTCAGGCTCCGAGCCCGCCTCCTGACAGTGCCTCCCCTCAGGCCCCTCTCCACTGCTGCTCCAGACTCAGGCTGAGGGGTGTGCGGTTCCAGGCAGTGGGCCTGCCCCCAGAGGCCACCCCTGCCCTTGCTGGGGCACAGGTACACACGCTTCTCAGGTCACCGCCTCATGACACCATTGTCCTGGGGCTTGCATGGAGGGCCATGGACACAGAGAGGACATTTAAAAAAATAGAGAGAATTTAAGCTTCCCAAAAAAGAGATGGGGAGGAGGCGATGGAGGCCGAGGTGGGGCTGGGAGGCGAGTGGCCGTCCGAGAGCTCTGGGTCCCTGGGGATGACAAGGTCTCTGTGGGCAGGACACAGCCCCTGCCCAGGCTGTGCCCATCTACCGGTCTGGCTGTACCCAACGGGCACAGTGGTCAGGCCCAGCTGGCCGAGGGGAGGGCACCGTATGGCTGTCTGTAGTCTGTGCGGAGAGCAGGGCGGGGGTGGCCAGGCTGGCCGCAGAGGCTGGCAGTCCCCCCCAGGCCCCTGCCCAAGCGTCCGTGCGCCTGGCTGGCTCTCAGGAGGCGAAGTAGGAACTCTGCATGGAGTAGAGCCGGTCGATGGGGTTCCCCACGCGGGCCTGCAGGGAGCCCACGTCTGAGGAGCCGAGGAAGCAGTCGCTGAGGCTGGTTAAGGAGGTATCGCTGTCGATGTCATGGAAGATGGAGTCGTTCCCTGGGGGGCAGAAGGGGTGTCAGGACCGGGGTACAGGCTGGGGCTCCTGGGGGCCCCCTGTTTGCCCTGTAGGCTGTGTGACTGGAGGCCAGGGAGAGACAGGATGGCCTGCTGACTAGTGCCGGCCAAGAAGGACTGGGGCCCTTCCTGTCAGCAGGGGCAGGAGGGCTGTGCTGGCCATGCTGCCTGAGCCCTAGGGCAGCAGGTGGCTGTCCTGGCCCCAGGCCTGCCTGGCCTGGCAGGGGGCAGGGGCTGTGCTGGGGCGGGCGGGTGGGGGTAGGGCGGCTTACCATAGGGGTTCATGTGGTCACCTGGCATTTGGGGCGGCGTGAGGCCCTGCTGGAAGGGGTCGCTGCTGCCGTAGGGGCTCTGTTCCATGGCCACGATCTGCTGCTGTGGTGGGGCCAGCGGCGTGTAGGAAGCCATCATGCCCTCCATGCGGCTGGACAGGACCTCTGGGGGCACAGTGAGCCTTCACCCCCTGGCCTGGTCCACGCCCTCCCAGCTACACCCCAGCAGCCTCCCCTTCTGATCTCCTTGGGACTCCCCAGGCACCCCACTCTGGCTGAAGCTGTCCAGACACTGACTCCCCAGCCCCTTCCCCAGGTGCACACTCCAGCTCCTCCTCCAGGCTCAGCTTACCAAAAGCCAGAGTCCTCCCCTCCTCATCTTCTTTCCTCCCACCACCCCGCCCCTCCAGGGGATCCAGGGAGGCGGCAGACCCCACACAGGCAATAGTGATTCTGCGCTGCATCTGGGAGCACCAAGGTCCCAGACCCAGGCCAAAAAGGCCCCGGGAAGACTTCCTGGAGGAAAGGGCCCCCGCCCTGATGTGACTTAAAGAACTAGCAGGGGCTCAACAGGCCAGAGCAGGGGAGGCAAGCCAGGCTGAGGGGCGGCAAAGGCATGGAGGAGACAGACCGCCGGGTAAGTGAGGGTGCAGCACGTGGGGCCAAGAGGCAGGGAGAGAGGTCGGTGTGGGGGAGACCAGCTGAGAGGGACCACAGGTCATGGGGAGCCCTGGGGTGCCGAGCTGGGTGGGGGTCCCCGAGGCCGCTGGGAGCCGCTGGAGGGTTTGGTAGACGAGGGTGAGAAAGGCTGGAGGAGGAGACCGAGGCTGGGGCCAGTGGGTGAGGAAGCCAGAGGAAGGGTGGGGTCTCTGTCAAGGTGGCTGTGGGAGAGACAGCTCCTAGGAGGGTGCGAGAGACATGAGAAGACTTCACTCCCCAACTTGGCACCTCAGTGGATCAGCAGTGTGGGATGGGGAAGGTCAGAGGTGACTCCTGGTTCCTGGCTCGGACAGGGCGGATGGTGGTGCCATTTGCAGAGAAGGGTGGGGAGGAGCAGGGCATGCCATGTGCGTGTGGGCAGGATGGAGCATACGGCATGGGTTGGGATGAGCTGGGGGGACTGTGGGACCTTCTCAGGGAGGCTGTGTCCAGGAAGCAGCTAGGAACACTGAGGGGTGAGACATAGCCCAGGACATGGCTGGGAGACCAGAGGCAGTGACTGCAGCCCCAGGAGGGGCAGAGGGGGAAGCGAGGAAGCAGCAGGCACTAAGGCTGTGTCATTAGAAGCCAAGTCCAGCCTGGGACACTGGCCTGGCCCCCAGTGCCCTGGTATCTGCCCATTGGTGCCCTGGCACCTGCCCAGAAGCCTCCCTCTCACCAGGGCGCAGGCAGCTCTGTCCCCCGCCTGCTTCAGCAGTCCCAGGGAGCTCCCTGCTCCTCCCTCATGGCTTTGAAGGCCCAGGAGACCAGCCCTGGCTCAAGATTCTGATGTGGAAACACGATTTTTGGTAAAGCCCAGTGATGAGGGGGCCTGACTCATGCCCCTGCAGCTAGTCCCTCCCGACTCCCCAGGCCCTTCACGCCCTGACAAGCTTTGTCTGCAGAATTCCGGCAGTGGGGTAGTGTCATCCTGTTAAAGGTACAGGCTTGAGCTCCAGGCTTGGGGCTGAGGTCCAGCTTTGCCTTACTGGCTGAGGGATCCCAGGCAGTCCCTCAGTTTCCTCATCTGTGAAATGGGACATGGCAATACCCCCCCTTGCAGTGATTTATGAGGACAGGGTGAGATGGGGTGTGCTGAAGGCTGAGACCCGTGTCTGCACGCAGTGAGTGTGAGTAGACTGTTGCTGTTCTGATTGCAGAAATTCTGCCAACCCTCCAGGCAGCCACTCTGCCATCTCTCCTCCCTGGGTCCCCTAGTCCCCATGGCTTCTCTATTTCTCTGTCTCAGTGGTTTTAAAGCAGAAGTTCCCTGGGATCTGATGGCCTTGGTGGAAGGCTTTTGAGAAGTTTTGTTAAAAGAAACATCCCGGGCCCCTTTGTCCCTAGCCCTGGGACAGGTGCAGCCCCGGTCCCAGCCCTGGCCCAGGCTCACCCAGCCCCAGCCTCTGCCCCAGCTCACCCTGGCCTAGGCCCACCCCTGGCCCCGGCCCCAGCTCACCCTGGCCCAGGCCCTGCCCCGGCCCCGGCTCACCCTGGCCCAGCCGCTGGGAGTTCTGCTGCTCCTGCTGCTGCTGGTGCCGCCGCGCCAGCTTCTTCATCTGCAGGGAGAGCGCAGTTCAGGCCGGTGCTGCCCCTCGCCCCCAGGCACAGCCAGCCCCACGCCCCCTGGACCGTAGTCTTCTGGCTGCCCCCTCTAGTCCCACCCTACCCGGGGCCAGTGGGGATGGGGGGTGGCCTCTTACCTTTGCTCTTTGGTTCTGAAACCAGACCTGGACCACGCGCACACTGAGGCCCGTCTCAGCTGCCAGTGTCTCTCGGACCTGGCTCAGAGAGAGGGGAACAGGTCAGGCCCTCCAGGGGCAGCAACGGGGAGATGGTGGGTTTAGGGGTATGATGGGATGTGCGGAGAGATGGAGGATGGAGGGATGTCCCTACCCCCAGCAGGAGCAGGGGGTGGTCTCCAGAAAGGCAGTGGGTGTGCGGGCATCAGCCTGAGCCCCGCCCCCCGGCCGCCCCTCACCTTTCGGCAAGGCTTCGACGAGACCTCGAAGGAGGCCTTGAAGGCTCTTCGCTGCTGCGTGGTGAGGATGGTCCGGGGTCGCTTGGGCCTCCGCGGGTCCTTCCCGTCATCCCCGCTGCCCTTGCTCTGACTGC
Source organism: Homo sapiens (assembly GCF_000001405.40). Classification (NCBI taxonomy): domain Eukaryota; kingdom Metazoa; phylum Chordata; class Mammalia; order Primates; family Hominidae; genus Homo; species Homo sapiens. The sequence goes on along the minus strand of NC_000009.12, from coordinate 126,693,189 downwards.
CCTGCCCCTTGGCCGGCTTCATGTCCCCATCTTCATCCTCGCTCTTCACTGTGGGGGACACAACCCGGCCTGTGATGAAGGGGCGGGGGCAGCCCAGGCCTCAGCCTTGTCCCCTTCGGCAACCTGCTGCCCGATGGGAGCCTGTCCCCTCTGTTGACACCTGCCGTGGCTCCCCAGTGGCCCAGGATAAGATCTCCTTCCCTCCCGTGGCCCACAGGCCCTACCTCATCTGGGCCCTGGTCTCCTGCCTGCTGTACCCTGCGAGTCCCTTCCCCGGCACACACGCCTCACTCCCTCATCCTGGGCCGCAGGGCACACCTGCACAGGAACTCACACAGGTGCGCCTCGGACAACCACAGCACAGGCATGCACACACGTACATGTGGCTGCACACACTTTCAGGAAGGCAGGCCCACTCGGGGAACAGGCAGACAGGTGCACGCACGGTTGTGCACATGGCTGTGTGGACATACACGAAAGTGTGCAAGCAAAGACACACACCACAGATATTCACACAAGAGTGCTTCTGACCACAGCGTATGCACGCACACACTCGTAAGATGCACACTCACCTGCTGCCACATACACGTGGGCTCACAAAGGCCCTCACGCGTGCAACTCACAGGCGTATTCACACACATGGGCCCATGCTCACGGGCAGGAACGTACAGGCATGCATGCATCTGGACAGACACACACAGCGTGCGGAAGCATGTGCATTCTCCCAGTGCTACAGCCACACCCACCATGCACACATGGCACTTCCCCGCCCCAGGTTTGGGTCTCAGAAATGCCAGCAGCCCCAGATGGATGGCCAAGCCTCCCCAGCCACCACTGGGCCTCCCGCTGCCCCCCAGGCTGGTCTCCTTTCTTCAATCCTGTTCTTGGAGTATGAGGCGGGTGATCTCCTCCCACTGAGACCCCCTCTGCTGGGGCTGGCCAGCCTCTGCTCTTCCTCAGGAGTCCAGGCAGCTGGAAGCCATGGAGCTGGCTGCAGCAGTGCCCTGCCCAGGGATGGGTAGGGACAGATGGTGGTGGGCTCACTGCCTCCACGCAGGCCCTGGCCATGGAAAACCCTTCCCATGTGGCAGATCCTGTTGCCGGAGGGCTCCAGGTTACCCATGGGGCCTGGCAGACCGGGACACCTCCTCTCCATGCCTCCTGCTCCAGTCCTTCCCCACTGTTCCCAGGAAGAACAAGGACCAAAGCCACCTCCTGGGCTTTCCCTCCTTAAGGCTCACTCCTGGCTGGGCTTGCCCTGTCTGCCAGGAGGCCTTCAAATTGGCCTCGTCCTTTTGGGGGCTAGAGCAGAGGAGGGAGGGTCCTTCACCCTGGGAAATGGGGTCTTTCCCTCCAGCACAGAGGGCCCAGCCCCCTCCCTTCGGCTGGGAAACAGAGGCTGGCTCGAGGCTGTTTGCTTCTCACTGCTGAAGGCTCCAGGGGGCTGAGAAGGGGAAGGCACATCATCTCCCTGCCTCTCAGGCATCCCCAGCCTGTGGACTGGGTGCTGGTGAAGACCCCTGTGGAGCTGGGCTGCGGGTTGGTGGGGGGCCATCAAGGCAGAGAGGGTAAGGGGGGTGGGCCAGAGAACAAGAGGTGTGTGTGTGCACACAAGCACAATCCACAGTACATGTGAGCATGTGGACAAACATATATGTGCAGCCATGTGGACCGGTGTTTAGTGCACAAGTGTGCTGTGTCATGTGTGTATGTGTATGTATGCTTAAGTGTGTACACTTGTGTGTGTGGACCTGGGTGTGGCTTTTGAATTCCCGGGTATGTGAACACATATCTCCACATACATGTACATGTATCCATACTCAGGGTAGGGGTATTCCTGCATGCATTTTATGTGCTTGTGTGCACACATGTGATCACACATATGTTTATATGTATGGATGCGTAGGTCTCAGGGGTAGTGTGCCTGGGGGGATGCATGTTCGTATCATGTGCACACAGGTGGACACGTCAGTGCGCGTGTGCATCTGGATATGCATGTACCATCTGTGTGCAGCTCAGGTCCTGGAAGCAGGAGGTGGCTTCTCCAGCCGGGACTCCCCTCCAGGACACCCCAGCAACCCCCGTCCCTGAGGCCTGCCCCCAGCTCAGGCCAGGCCTCACCGGAGTCGGACTCGTCGGGGCTCACGGAGCTGAGCAGGTCCTTCTCCTTCTCGTAGTCACCCTTGCACAGCAGCTGGCCCTCCTTGAGCACGAATTCGTCGCCCTTGCGTAGCTGCCGTTCACACACGCAGCAGCAGAAGCAGCCCAGGTGGTACACGCACTCCAGCGCCCGCATCACGAACTCGGTGGGGGCGATCTTCTCCATGCAGCCGCTGCACTTGGCCGCGAAGAGCCTGCGGATGCACAAAGCGGGCGTGTTGGCGGTGCTCAGAAGTCCCTCCCAGAGGCCACTCCTGCCGAGGGCCTCTCCCTCTTGCCACCCTGACCCTCAGGCCCAGGTGGGAGGGAGAGGCCCTCCTTGGGCACCAGGTCAGACAGCAGAAGGGCCCTGCAGCCCTATTCTTCTGCCTACAGGCCCCCAGTGGCCCTGGGGTGGGTGCTGGCATCCTGCCTAGAGTCACCTGTCCCGGGCGTGGCAGCTCAGGGCCCTTCCAGCTCAGAGACACGGTGGCCACAAGAGGGCAGTGTGGAGGGTCCACTCAAACTTTCCTTGGGGGCCAGGTCAGCCCCTGGCTGGAAAGGATCCTTTCTACCTCAGCTCCCTGGTCTGCCTCTCCTCTGATCCTCCCTCACCAACACATCCAAGCAATTCCCAGCCCTGCCCAACCCACTGCCCAGCCTGGGCCCCTCCTCTCCTGCCCGAGCAACTGCCTGGTCCCCTCTCTGGGCTCCTGGCCCCTTCAATCCTTCAAACCCCAGCCCACACAGGAACCGTCACACACACAGGAGCCAGGGGGATCTTTCTAAAATACAAATCGGATCAAGCTGCTTCCCTGCTCCAGACTCTTCCATGGCTCCCTAGTGCCCTTAGGAGACCATCCGAGCTCCTGAGGCTGGCACTCAAGGCCCTTCATGATCCCGCCTCTTCCCTTTCTACCCTCTGCTTCCCCAGGCTGCAGCCCCAAAGAACAGCCTGCAGTTTCTCCAGAGCACTATCATGGCAGCCATCTTTCGACCCATCTTTCTCTGTCCTTTGGCTTGGCTAACACCTTCCCATCCCTCCGTCTCAGCTTACGCATCTCCATCACGAACAGATATTCACTGAGCACGTATAGAGTGCCAGCCCTGCTCTAAGCATCTTATATGCAGAGACGCATTTAATCCTTGCAACAACCCTGCAAGAAAAGAATGAACATTAACCCCATTTTAGAGATGAGGAAATTGAGGTGCTAAGAGGCAGAGTTGCTTGCTCAGGGTCGCATGGGTAGTAAATGCTGGAGGCAACTCCCAGGCTGGGCCTAATCCAGCTTCCACATGACAACGTGATTCCATCTCCCATCTCCCATCATCTCTGCAGACAAACGAGGGCCGGGAGAGGTGGTCTCCGGGCCCTGGTCAGCACTAGCAGGAGGGCTGGGCAGCACGGCCCCTCCTCTGCTGTGTCTGCTGACCGCTCCTCCCGACACTCCCCCACCCTGTCACGTGTCCTGCTCTGTGGGAACTCAGCTCAACAACACTTTGATGGAAAAATTTATGAAGAATCAAATTATTGCTGCTGGGAGGGAATTAAAACCATTTTTCATTCCCGGCGTCCCCGGGCCATGTCTGCGGGCGCCACCTTGGGAGCGCTGTGCACATCCCATCCCTCTTTATGGCCCACCATCACGGGCACAGATTACAGCTGCAATTCTCTACTAATCGGTTCTGGAACAGAAATGGCCATAAATGGGAGGCACTCGCCTGCCTCCCTTCCTGGAGCTGCCGTCAGAACCGCCCACGGCGAGCTGGTGGGGCGAAGTGGGCAGGGCCACTTGGAGCTCTGCATGCTGCCTGGGCACTGGCCAGAGCACTCAGCAGGGGGCACCCCCAGCAACCCCTGCCACCCACCTCTATTCTACCCAGCAGGCTCCTACTCATCCTGCAATGCCCAACTCCAATGCCACCTCCTCTGGGAAGCCTTCTCTGATGCCCCAGTCTGGGGGAGGTAGCCTCCTCTATGCTCCCCTCAGCGTCCCCCACCTCAGTTTACTCCTGTAAAATGGAGATGTCAAGCCCTTCCTGAAGGCTGTTGTCAGGATTCGAGGATGCTGAGCATGTAACTCAGTACACGGGTATCACAGCAGAATGACAATGCATGTCCCTGTTGGTGCCCAACTCTACCACCTCTACCAGGGTTCCATGAGACAGGACCTGGCCCCATCTGATCCTCAAGGGGGCCTCCGTGAGTGTTTACAGAGTAGGTGAGTAAAGGCCTGGGGTGAGCTGAGGCTGAGGCCAGGCTCTGCTCTGGGCATGCTGGACCCCACCAGCCTGCAGGGCATGGCTCTGCAAGGGGAATGTGGGCTGGATTTTGGCTCTAATTTGGCCCTCTGGCTGAATCCCCTTGTTCAGGGCACAACCTACCCAACTGTCAGTGACAGCTTTAGGCAGAGGCCCTAGGAATCTGGCTGGCTGTCCAGCTCTCCCGAGGGGCTGAGGAAGGAGCCTGGGTTTGTAGAACCCGGTGCTCTGACATGGAGGGTGGTCCTCCCCCAACCCCTACTGCCCCTCTGTCCCCTCCCCACACTCCACCTGACCTAGTGGCCACACTAAGGTCTGCAGCCTGACCTCTGCGGCCTCTGAGTGGACAGACACTGGCCGTGTCGCTGCTAGCGTGGGAGCGCCACGGTCCCAGGGTCCCAGGCCAGGGTCAGCACACCTTGGGTGACTCCCGGAGAGGAAACCTTCTTAGGCTGGGGAAGGGGCAGCAGGGCGGGTGACCTGCATTTGCAGTCAAAGCCACAGTGCTGGCTGTGCTCAGAACAGCCGCGCTAATGCCTTGGCAGCAGGGGGTCGATTGCTACTTTCTCCAAACTCATCAACACAATCTATTATTAATACTTCTCCAAAGGCTCAGTGCCGCCATTACAGAGGCAGCGCCAGCCACTCAGGGTATCATCTGTTATCTAGATTGCAAAAACTCAGGAAATAAAACAAACTGCGCGCACTTTATAAACAGAATGCGCCATCCGTTTGGTCTCCAAGCATCTCTCCACCCAATAAAACATCGGGGGGGATGCATGAAATACTCACTCCCAATTATGGGGCTGCCTTTGTCTACTGTGCTGGGGTGAGAGCGACTAATGGCGTGTATGGGAGGGGTTGGGGATACCAGCGGGGTTCCCTCTTCTCTGTGAGCCCCCATTCCCCCTCTCTTCGTGCCTCCCACCACGGAGGACTATGGAGCCAGCCACTGAGAAGAAGGCCCAGCCACAGACAGGTGGCATTGGAATCACATGGACTTGAGTTCCATGCCTTGTCCCACCACTTGCTAGCTGGTGACCGGGCAAGTAATTTTTCTTCTCGAGCCTCAGCTCACTTATCTATACAATGGGCTGGACAACACTGCCTGCATCTCAGCATGAAGATGTAGCGAGTTGTCAGTGTAAAGCAGCAGGTGTGGCGGGCACAACCTCCATAACTTCCTTGCTGTGCAGCTTTAGGCAAGGCATTTGACCTCTCTGAACCTCAAATTCTTCATCTATAAAATGGGAATGATCAGGCCAGCGCGGTGGCTCACGCCTGTGATCCCAGCACTTTGGGAGGCTGAGGCGGGCGGATCACTTAAGGTTAGGAGTTCAAAACCAGCCTGGCCAACATGGTGAAACCCCGTCTCTACTAAAAATACAAAAAATTAGCCGGGTATGGTGGCACACACCTGTAATCCTAGCTACTCCGGAGGTTGAGGCAAGAGAATCACTTGAACCTGGGAGGTGGAGATTGTGGTGAGCCAAGACCGCACCACTGCACTCCAGCCTGGGCGACAGAGAGAGACTCCGTCTCAAAAAATATATAAAAAATAAAAAAAAAAAGGGAATGATCATCCCCGACCATGGGGTTGTTGGCAGGGGCTGGATGCATTTAAAGCCCTCGGCACCATGCTGGCATGAAGAAGGTACTCCAGGTACCCCACATTTCTTTTGTTCGGTGTGTGCCCAAAACGCCTTTGTTGCTCACCCTTGCTAGAGTCTCCATGATTCCTGGGGGCAGCCTCCCTGACGCTGACTGGGTTTACAGGGCCCCACTGTGCCTCCTTCTCACCACCACCCCGGGTTCCGGCCAGCCCTTCTAGCTTGTTTGGCCTGATCTGGACAGAGCACTCCTGGCTCCGTTATCAGTCTCAGAACATTACTGAGGACTAATAATGCTCAGTTATCAGCTGCCTGCATCACCTCATTCAATCCTCACAGAACCCTCAAAGGAAGATGCTGTTTCCATTCCCATTTTACAGATGAGCACAGAAAGGTGCAGAGGCCAGGTCACTCTTTTAAGGTCACACGGCAGCATCACCAGATACTCCAGATACTCCCTCCCTGCTCTGTGCATCTCCATGTGCCTTTGCTCATAAGCTGCCCTTACCCTGGGCCCTGGGCACCATGCCCATGTCTGTCTCTTCCTGAGACTTGGGGCCCGATTCACCTCAAGTTCTTATTACTCAGCATCAGCCCGGCCTCCAGAAGGTGGGGGTGGCCATACACATCTCCCCTACCTCCAAACACATTTTTCCCCTCCAGGGGATCATCTGATATTATGGAGTAAGAAATTCCATTTTCAGGGATGTCCCTCCTTTGAAGAGTCCCAGGCTGTGAGAAGATATCTCCATATCCTCTGAGTTTTTACGGGTTTATTTGTTTAATGCTCAATTTATTAAACTCATAAGGCTAATAAACAAAACTCTGAAAGCCAATTTTTTCAGGAGCATTTGAACATGGATTACTAATCTGATTAATTTCTTTTTTTTTTTTTTTTTGAGATGGAGTCTCACTCTGTTGCCCAGGCTGGAGTGCAGTGGTATGATCTCGGCTCACTGCAAGCTCCGCCTCCTGGGTTCACGCTGTTCTCCTGCCTCAGCCTCCCGAGTAGCTGGGACTATAGGCACCCGCCACCACGCCCGGCTAATTTTTTGTATTTTTTAGTAGAGACGGGGTTTCACCGTGTTAGCCAGGATGGTCTCGACTTAAATCACTGGCAGCTGCAGAGACACACAGGGTATGGCTGATTCTTTCACCTCCAGTAACATTGGCTTCCTAATGTCCTGGGAGCACTCCAGCTTCTCCAAGCAGGTCTTCATGCCCAGATCTTAAGGTCCAGACTGCATGCACCGGGCTTGGAATCCCAGCCCTATCACTTCCTAGCACTGGAATCTTGCACAAGTCCCTTCTCTTGAGCCTCTGTCCACATCTGTCCAATGGGGATGATGACAGAGGCTGCCTTACAGGGCTGGGCTCAATAAACGGTGATCATGATCACTGTTATCAACTCTCCAGGACTTACCACCCTAACTCTCCGCTTACTACCCTTGCTGAGTCAAGATCTCCTACCCTCCTCTGAGGGTGCCATTCCCACACCCCGTCACTGCCCTTTACAGTTTATGTGGCTCTTCCTTGAGTTCTCAGAACAATTCACACTTCACACTCCACTCAGGTCTCTCTACTCTCAGTAGACCTCTTCCACTCCTCAAGGCAACCCTGTCCAGCCCCTCCGCCACAGCTTAGGGCAACTCCCAGCCTTTGTCCAGGACACTGCTACCTACCACTTCAGAGAGAAAGCAGAAGGTTGGGAGAGAGACACCCAAAGTTTGGTCTTGCCTCCTCATGAAGTTAGATTACAAACCTCTTCATTTCTGAACGTCCAAGAGTACCCCAAAATGTCAGGATAAGCCCAAAGACCTCGCTGTGGCACTCAAGGCCCCACCCACCCCGTGACACCCAGCTCTCTCGGCCAGGCTTCTCACTACTCCCTGAACATAGCAAGTCCCTTCTTGCCTCCTTAGTGCTTAAAATTCCATCTGCTTCCAAGGCCTGGCTTCTCTGCCCCCTTCCTTTGCATCTTGCTAAACTCCTCTTCATCCTTGAAGACCCAATTCAAGTGTCACCTCCTCTGTGAAGCCTTCCCTGATAGCCAGAATCCCAGCCACTCTCCAGTTATTTGTGCGTCTGAAGTCCCTACCAACCCAGAAATCAGATACTGGGTCTAATTTACTGGCATGGAGGAGGTGGTTAGTGTTTGTCAAATGAATGAACAACCATGTGTGAAACTAAATGGGCAGCCAGCTAGCACAAAAAAACACCAGGTATTCTGCTCCTAGGGGTCTGAAACTGCCACCAGGTAACAAGGTAAGTGAACTTGCCCTCCTGCCCCCAGCCCCTTCACAACAACACAACTTGGGTCCGGTTTGTTGAATTTGTATCAGTGGAGTTCCACGCATGCCTCCTGCAGGGCTGGGAGTCCCCCACCCCAAAAGCACCCTCATCCCCTGTACCAAGGGAAAGACCACGGGGGGTACCATGTTTGTACTAAGTGACTCTTGTGACTGGAAGTGATTGGACCAGGCCTGGACATCTGACTCAAGGGGAGCCAACCAGACCCTCTGTCCTGTGTCCCTTCCTTCCCCTGCACACTCAAGAGCTCTGTCAGCCCCTACTCCATCTTCAGGTGTGGCTGCCACACCTCCATCACCAGCTGCACAGCCTCGGGTGATGCACAGCCTCGGGTGATTCACATCCCTTCTCCAAGCCTCAGATTCCTGTTCTGTCAAATGGGGGTTTGACCTGTCCCTCCCTGGTAATTGAGAATCTGGTGATTTTAACCAGTGTGGGAAGGCATGGCCCAGCGTCTGGCACAGGAGGGATCTTAATAGGTGTGTGCTCTCTTCTCCTCCCCAGTCTGTCTCTGGAACTTTCTCTTCCCCACCTCCCTTTTTTGTCTGAAGCCCCGTAATTGCACTGTTGGGTCTGTGCTCTCCCTGTCTGTCTGTCTGTCCCTTTATAGGTATGCCCCGCACTGGGGACCAGGCAGATTCTAGGCTGGTTTCCTTTAGGGCCTCTCCATGCCCAAGCCCACGGTCCCAGCAGCAACCACTGCTGGAAACACCTTCCTCCCTCCATGGGGACCATGAGATTTGGCCCTTGCACTGCAGCCCTTCTGTTCCCACCGGCTACACCCTCTCACATTCACCCAGCAAACACCCATGGAGGCTGACTCTGGGCTGGGCTCATGGACTTGGGGCATGGAGTTAGAATCTCATCCCGTAGGACACGTGCTTGGATGGGGTACTGGGGCATGCTGGGCAAGCAGAGAGGCACAGAAAGCACCAAGAGTCTATCTGGGGACTTCTTGGAAAAGGTGACATAACACATACCTAAGAACCCGGTTCTGGAGCAGAAGGAATGGATTTAAATCCCGGCTCTGCCACTTCCTAGCTGCCTGACTTGGGACAAGCCCTCTCCGCTCTCTGAACTGGTTTTCCCATTTGAAAACTGGTGACCCCAATTCCCACCTTATGGGTAATCATCATAATGTATTGACCTTCCTGTGTCACACCTCCTCCCTAGGCTGGTGGCGAGGTGCCCAGGATGGCAGGCTGTAGAGCATGTCGGACAGTAAGCGCTCAGTGTGGTGGCTGAGGTTATGGTTGTGGGCGGGACGGGGCTCTGATGATGCCGGCTGAAGGATGAGCTGCAGTTCACAGGAGCTAGGCGACAGGACCCTAGACACTCTGGGGGTCACGGCTGCTGCTGCTAGAGTCAGCCTGTCACTTAGAGAGGGAGCCGCCCGGCCTCCTCCCTGCCGGACTCGCTGACATCTCCCCCACGTGCCTGCCGCGTCCTTATCATTCCGGGCGTAGCTGTTTTTTATTTTGAGACAAAAAAGGGCCTGTTGATGGGGATCCAACTCAAACCAGCTGCAAACATCTGCTTTGATGCGGCGGCCGCGGGCCGGGCGGGCGGCGGCGGGAGCCGCGGGCGGGGGCCCCGGTACGCGCGTCAATCACGCGGCTGGAATGCGCGGCGAGACGGGCGCGCTCTGCGGGCCTCGCGGGGCCTCTCCCAGCCTCCCGGCCTCCCCCGGCCTCCTCGCCGCGTCGGGGCCGGGCCTGCAGCGAGGGCTGCCCCTGCGCTTCCTGCGGCCCGCAGCTGTGCGGGGCCGCCGGCCCCTCGGCCCTTTGATCCGCGCCAGGGGCGCTGTCGGGAGCCCCCAGCCGGGGCTGGAGGTCACGGGCCAGGGACAGGGAGGGACGGGCACAGCCGGGAGCCCGGGGAGCCATCCCAGGCCAGCCTGGCCAGGGAGGCCCACATGCACATTTGGCGATTCCACAAATATTTCTTTCTTTCTTTTTTTTTTTTTTTTTTTTTCAGACAGAGTGCCTCTCTGTCACCCAGGCTGGAGTGCAGTGGCGTGATCTCAGCTCATTGCAACCTCCGCCTCCTGGGTTCAAGCGATTCTCCTACCTTACCCTCCCGAGTAGCTGGGACTACAGGCAGGCGCCACCGCGCCCGGCTAATATTTGTATTTTTAGTAGAGATGGGGTTTCACCATGTTAGCCAGGCTGGTCTCGATCTCCTGACCTCGTGATCCCCCCACCTAGGGCTCTCAAAGCGTTGGGATTACAGGCGTGAGCCACCGCACACGGCCCCACAAATATTTCTTTAGCGTCTACTATGTGCGGGCCGGCGCTGTCTGGAGGCGGGGCTAGAGCAGTGAGAAGAGAGACAGCCCCTCCCAATGCCCCCACCCCCAGTTCCTTCTTACCCGTGGAGGACATTCTCATAGGCGGAAGGACAGTAACACTGATCTATTTTAACACGTAGATAAATCCATTTCATACAGAGTATGACGAATGGTGACTACAAGGCAAAGAAGAGTGAAGACAGGGAAGAGAGATGGGGCTGCAGCTTTAGAAGGGACAGTCAGAGGCATGAATGAGACACACATTCCAGCCGACACCTGGGGGATGGTATCTACAATATCGGGGGAAGTGGCTCCTTGCAGAGGGAGGAGCCAGTGCAAAGGCCCTGGGGAGGCTGGGCTCTGTGGCTGACCCCTGTAATCCCAGCATTTTGGAAGGCCGAGGCTTGTAGATTGCTTGAGCCCAGGAGTTTGAGATCAGCCTGGGCAAAATGGCCAAAGCCCATCTCTATAAAAAAAAAAAAAAAAAAAAAAAAAGACCCTGGGGACCAAGTATCTGCAAGTATCTGGGGTGTGGCTGGAGCAGATGAGTGATGGGGACAAGGTGCAGGTAGAGCTGGGGGGCAAAGGGGACAGATCACATGAGATAGGGACCCTGGGAAGGGTGGGGGGGTGTGATCTGATTGGCATTTTATTTTATTATTATTATTTTTTTTTTTTGAGATGGAGTCTCACTCTGTCGCCCAGGCTGGAGTGCAGTGGCGTGATCTTGGCTCACTGCAACCTCTGCCTCCCGGGTTCAAGCAATTCTCCTGCCTCAGCCTCCCAAGTAGCTGGGATTACAGGCATCCGCCACCACACTCGGCTAATTTTTGTATTTTCAGTACAGATGGGGTTTCACTATGTTGGCCAGGCTGGTCACGAACTCCTAACCTCAAATTATCCACCCACCTCAGCCTCCCAAAGTGTTGGAATTACAGGTGTGAGCCACTGTGTCCGCCTCTGATTGGCATTTTAACCAGGTTCCTTAGGCACCTGTAGGGGGGGCACCGGGTTAGAGGGAGGAGCAGGGAGTGGCTTTGGGAAGTTAGCACAGTGAAGGTGTTGGCTCAGAGCCAGGAGGGCAGGGGAAGCCTTGTGAAGGCAGACAGGGCCTGAGAGGACGTGGGAGAAAGGACGGCATCAGGGATGAGTCCCAGATCTCCTGGCTGAGCATCCGGAATGATGGAGTTGCCACTAGAGGACATGGCGTCTGTGGGGAGGCAGGGGAAGAACAGGGAGTGCAGCCCTGGATGTGTTAGGTCTGAGCTGCCTTCTAGGCAGCCATGTGGACAGATAGGTCCAGGGTCAGCTGCTTGTGTGAGGTTGGAGTTCAGGGAGAGGCACAGACTGGAGATGCTGTGTGGAGATGCTGCCAGGATGGAGACACACCCAGAGATACAATCACACAGATACACTTACACAGACACACTGCTACAGGGTGAGCAGCCGTGTCCATGTGGCTTGGCATCTGACAACTGGTTTCCCACCTTTGGGGCTCTGACTTCCGATGGGTGGTGGGGATATTGAGGCTTCTGTGGGGACCAGACCTTCCCTGGTGACAGGCAGGAGCCCTCCTGCCATTGTCGAGACAGGTCAGGTGCAGGTAGGAGGTGGAGCATCACATCCCTCTGACCATCCTTCCCTGCATCGTTTCTGGCTGAACTTGGGACTCTAGTCCAGGCTAGAAGAGCCACAGGAAATCCTGGACCAACCGGGCATCAGGGAGGCTGCGAGCTATGATGTGCCAGGCACTGTGCGAAGGGCTTTACCTGTACTATTTCATGACCTTTGAGTTCACCCTCTTCCCCCTTCTTTCTGCCCCTTCACTAGTGAATTCAATACATTTGATGATTTGGTGATTCACCCATTCATCTAACGTTTACCCGGCACCTACCATGAGCCAGGCCCTCTCCTGGTCTGCAGTAGGAACCTCCTCCTCCCACCTGCTCATCAAACTGAGCTAGTCCCAGGTACCTTTTTGAGCTAGTCCCAGGTACCTTCCCCCATTCTCACTGAGGTCAGCAGCTCCTGGTTGCCAAATCCAACATTCATTATTATCATTATTATTGCTTACTAAGATGTATTGACTGTTGCCCACATAGCAAGCTCTGGGCTTTATTTGCCCATGGACTCCTCCTCTGTAAGACCCCTGCGAGGTAGGCAACATCACTCTCTTTGCTAGAGAGGAAAGTGCTGCTTGCAGAGGGTACACAGCTGCTTAGTGTCTGAGCTGGGGTTTGAGCCTGGCACACTGGGCCTCCCAGCTCCTGCTCATCCTCCCAGTCTCTGTGCTTGGTTTCCTGGACCTCCCTGTTCTTGAAGCCCTTTCCTGCTTTAACCTCATCTGCCCTGGCCACCTCCCAAAACAACTCTGCACTTGCTTCATCAGCACGGAGCTGCTGGGCCTCTGGCCTGGGCTGGGGGCACCAGGGTTATGGGGGGATGATGGCGCCCACAGTCCAGAGGGCTGACAACGCACGTGGAAGGTGAGAAACCCCGGGCCACGGGAGGCAGAGGCCTTTGGATTTCTCTCCGGGGCCCTGCATGGCCAGAATAGGCCAGGCCCAGAGCCAGGTGCCCAGTAAGGGGTGGGGGCTCCACGGCAGTCTGAAGACATTCAAACTTAGCCGGGTGGAGGGCAGAGTGGTGGGGCAGGAAGGACTTTCTGGAGACTTCAAAGAGTTCAGAGGATTCCAATGGGGGAAGTGTTGGGGCTGGGATGGGAATGTGTGTGTCTGAGGCCAGAGTCAGGCTCTGTGTAGAGGTGGAAAAGCAGAGAGCCCATTCTGGGAGGGAGAAGTTGAAAAACCACAATGGCATGAAGGGAATGGAGGCCATTTTCAGGGTTAGGAAGATAGTGGGTCAGGTTGGAGACAGTGGTCAGGTTGGAGTGTGGGCGAGAAAGAAAGGTCAGGCTGGACACCTTGTGTGTTGTGCTAAGGAGGATAGGTCGTACCTCTCTTTTTCTCATAAAATCATCCATTTATCCACCCATCCATCCATGCATCCATCCACCCATACATCCACTCATCTGCCCATCTGCCTACCCATCTATCCACCTGTCCCCCATCCACCCACCCCTTCAACCATCTATCCACCCATACAAACATCCACGCATGCATGCATCTATCCTTCCACTTACCCATCCATCCACCACCCATATATTACCCATCCCCCCTCCATCCACCCTCTCAACCAGCTACCCATACAAACATCCATGCCTCCATCCAGCTCACAAATACTTAGCTACATCCACCCTCTCCACCAGCTATCCATACAAACATCCATGCCTCCATCCGTCCAACAAATACTTAGCTACTTGTTCTGTGCCAAACGCCATGTAGTGACTCAGTTCCTCCTGAAAGGGCTGAAACTTTCACTATATGATTTGTCTATTCTGTAGGCACTAGCAAGCCACCATGACTAAGCTCTGTGCTAGGTGATGGGGAATCAGCAGGGTCACAGTCTTCAGGGGGCTCCTGGTAGAATGGGAGAGCAGGTATTCCATGCGAGCGGAGTGTCAGATCTCCAGGGTACCACTAGGGTGTCCAAGTGGCTGACCCAGCTGATATTTTGACCCCACCATTATGACTTTAAGGATTTTGGACTGCTGCACATAGACCATAGCATTTTAATTAGGGCTGTAACAACACTAATAAACTTTCTTTGAGCAAGTGTTTTCTGGAACAAACTCCATTAAAGCATTTTTTTAAATCAATTTTCTTTCTAGTAGAGTCAAATAATTTTCTACTTTCCCCATTATTTCCCTAAAATTATTCTCATTGAGATAATTATTTTTCATGAAAAATTTTCTATAAAGCTTTCCTCTAGCATCAGGTTTTTGCCTGTATTGGATCCTGCTGATGGACTCTTTGGTTAATTTGTGGCCAGTGACACATCTTACTGTGGTCGTGTCACCGTTGTCAGTTATATTTTGTATGGATTATTTTACCAAGCTAAATTTTCCCCAGGATCAGGATGGGTGGTTTTCAATGTTAACAAAATTACCAAAGTTTATTACTACAAATTTTACCAGGCAGGTGATAAAAACATGCTCAGGGTAAAAAGCATGGGGTTGAGACAGATTTGGGGGTGTCATATGTTGTGTTCAAATGCCCAGCTTCAGCTGGGGCCCCACAGACTAAGTGAGCTCCTTCTTGCCCTTCAGGCACTCAAAGACAGTGACACCTCCCTTTCTTGGTTAGGCTCCTGTGGCAGCTTCTCCGCAGTCTTTTTGTTTTTTTTTTTTGTTTTTTGTTTTTTTTTTTTGAGACGAAGTCTCGCTCTGTCGCCCAGGCTGGGGTGCAATGGCATGATCTTGGCTCACTGCAAGCTCCACCTCCCGGATTCAAGCGATTCTCCTGTCTTAGCCTCCCGAGTAGCTGGGATTACAGGCGCGGGCCACCACCCAGCTAATTTTTTGTATTTTAAGTAGAGATGGGGTTTCACCATGTTGGCCAGGCTGGTCTCAAACTCCCAACCTCAAGTGATCTACCTGCCTTGGCATCCCAAAGTGCTGGGATTACAGGCGTGAGCCACCATGCCCAGCAGTTTCTCCACATTCTAATCACCCTCTGAATGAGCCTGAGTCTGTCCATATAAGACCTTGAGGCATGGTAGCTCTCTCCTCCAGAGGGAGGACCAACCATCTCCTCCCTTATTTCCCATCCTATGCTCCTCTTAATGCAGCCAGAGATAGCACCAACTTTGTTAGCCCAGTCATGGAGGGCCTTACTACCCAGTCTCTTTCCTGAGATCTGGACTAAGCTTCCTCCTCCCCGCAATGCCCTGAGTACATGCCCTGTGCTCCTGCTCGAATGTTTGAACGCAGGCTGTGAATGAAGCTGGCAGACGCTCCTACTAGACGTTACACTCACGGGAACCAGTTCAGCCCTGTGCTCAGAGCTTCACACTCAGGGGCCTCACTGATGCCTCATGACCACTACCGGAGGTAGGAGTCTCTTCCTTACACAGGTCACCCGGCTGGTGAAATGCAGAGCTGGGGCCCCAGGTCAGCTGGGCTGGTAACCACCACACTCTCCTGCCTTCCTGGAGGTTGGAAAGGTAGTTGGGGACTGGGAAGCAAATGACCCAGAGATTTGGGAGCCTGATACCTGCTTCTAGCCAGTGACCTGTTGTGCCGGGCTTTTTGTGGAGACATAGCAGTAGTGGGTGGGCAAGATGAGTCCCCTGGCTGAGTCATCTACAGAGGCCTGAGAGAATATCTTGAGAAGGGGGTGCCAGAGAGGAGCAGGACTCCATGCTGAGCCCAGGGGAGCTCGGAGAGGAGGGGGCAGGAGCAGGAATTAAAAGGAGGTATATGAAAGTGTGGGTGCCACTCATTTCCTGCCAGAGATGGGGACCCTCTCCCAGGGATGGAGAAGAGAATCTGGGGGACCACATCCCTGGGTCTCCTGCGCTCTGGCTGGGGACGGGCAAAGGGCAGGCGAGGCAGGTCAGGGCTCGGCCTTCGGGACAGGCAGGGCACGCAGCCCGCCCATTTAGTGGGTAACTGATCGCCCCATGCCCCGCCCCAGCCGCCCGCTGCCTGCCTGAGCCGCTTAATCACCGCCCGCCCGGCCGCATTAGCATAGTAATGGCCTTTAAATTGAGCCTCTTTGTTTTTTAATTAAGCTCCCAGCAGGTACAGAGAAGAGCGATTATTGAGGAAGCTGCCAGTGCTAATCGCCCGCAGTCATTTGACAATTAAAAAGCGCCTAGCTTTAACCCTTTCCCCTCGCCCGCAGCAGTTCTCCCAGCATTTACCCAGCGCCAACTGTGCGCAAGTCCTCCCTATGGGGATCTGCGGACCCCACCCCTGGTAACTCCGAAAGGTCTGAAAGGTCTCTGCCAACACCCCCATTTTGCTGATGAGCAAACTGAGGCTCAGAGAGGGGAGGTAACTTGTTCAATACACCCAGTTTGGTCATGGAAGAACTGGGGTAGCAGACAGGTTGCTAGAGAAAGCCAGCCACCTGGTCTCTGTACCTTGTCCATGCTCTACTTGGAATACTGTCCCGCTGTGAGTCTGGCAAAATGCTTCTCATCCTTCAAAGGCCAGGTGGGCACGTCCCAAGCCCCATGGCATGGAGTTCCCAGGGTATCCTCCTCTTCCTGCCACTTCATCCATTCCCCCAAATACTGATGCGGTGCTTATTGTGTGCCAGGTGCGGTGCTGGGTGCTGGGGACAGCAGCGAACAAGCCACTGGGAGACAGCCCATCCTGGGGACTGTGGTGGGGAGCAAGTCAGAGAAGGCCACTTTTCGGAAGACAGAGATTTGGGCTGAGACGGGGAGAGGAGGGCGATCAGCCAGGCAAGGATGGGAGGTGACGGAGAGGCCAGGCAGGAGAGAAACACTGTGTGCAAAGGTCCTGAGAAACAAGGAGAATCAATGAGAAATAAAAGGTGCAGAGGGTTGCGAGGGAAGGGCGGGTGCCTGGAGCAAGAGGAAGCTGGGGAGTACAGGAGCCTGCCTGAGTGTGCAGGGTCTTACACACTGTCTACTGAACATTTTTTTTTTTTTTTTTTGAGACGGAGTCTCGCTCTGTCGCCCAGGCTGGAGTGCAGTGGCGCGATCTCGGCTCACTGCAAGCTCCGCCTCCCGGGTTCACGCCATTCTCCTGCCTCAGCCTCCCGAGTAGCTGGGACTACAGGTGCCCGCTACCACGCCCGGCTAATTTTTTGTATTTTTAGTAGAGACGGGGTTTCACCGTGTTAGCCAGGATGGTCTCGATCTCCTGACCTCGTGATCCGCCCGCCTCGGCCTCCCAAAGTGCTGGGATTACAGGCGTGAGCCACCGCGCCCGGCCTACTGAACATTTTTTATCTTTTTTTTTTTTTTAATTTTTTTTTTGAGATGGAGTCTTGCTCTGTCGCCAGGCTGGAGTGCAGTGGCACAATCCCGGCTCACCGCAACCTCTGCCTCCCGGGTTCAAGCAATTCTCCTGCCTCAGCCTCCTGAGTAGCTGGGATTACAGGCGTGTGCCACTACGCCCAGCTAATTTTTGTACTTTTAATAGAGACGGGGTTTCACCATGTTGGCCAGGATGGTCTTGATCTCTTGACCTTGTGATCCGCCCGCCTCGGCCTCCCAAAGTGCTGGGATTACAGGCGTGAGCCACCGCACCCGGCCAACATTTTTTATCTTAAAAATTATTGAATTTGTTTTTGAAGAGGTAATGCATTCCATAATTTAATACTGAAATGTTCAAATACAAAAGGGCGTTCTCTGCATCCTCCTCTACCCCATGCCTAGCCATCGGTCCCCTCCCCAGAGGCAATCCAGGTCTTTCATTTGACCCTCCTCCAGAGACGTATCACACATACACAAGCCCACATACACCAAGCCGAGTGCATCTGTCATTCCCCTCCCGGCCTGGTTTTGGGTGTATTTTGGGGGGGTTTTGTTTTGTTTTGGTAATGAGGACTGATTGGGATTTTTTTCCACTTTCTTTTTTATACAAACGCTAATATGCTCTACAACCGCCACCCCCACCCCATGACTGGAGATGACTCTACGTTGGAACAACAGCACCTGATTTTACAGCTGCCTGATCCTCTATTACAGGGCAAACCCTAACTTATTTAACCCATGCCCTGTTGACGGTCTTGTGGGCCATTTAAAGGATTTTTGTCTTAATCTCAAGAGCCACGGGGAAGTCATTGAAAGGTTTTAAGTAGGGAGTGGCTTGAGTGATTTACATTTTTTAAAGATCATTTGTGGGGAGACTCGCTAAGAGGGTCCAGGCTGGTGCCCTGCAGGTGAGAGGCACAGCGGGTCCTGGCTGGGATCCTGGAGTGGGAGAGGGGGTGGGTTACCAGAGAGCCATGTAGGGAGTTCCTGAAGTGGACAGGGGCTTTGGGGTTGAATGGGAAACCTGGAGTGGCTCCCTCGGCCCTGTCAGGTGCCTGGTGGACGTGGATGGGGGAGCCCTGCCTGAGATGGGAGCACAGGGTGGCAGATGGGGGACCACGTGGAGATGCCAGGCAGGCAGTCACCTGGCTCACTGCACTGACTGCCAGCACAGCATCCGTTCATCTTTGGGTCAGGGATCTCCCCACACCAGGCTCTCTGATGACCAAGAGGAGACAGATGGAGCTTAGCTGCCCCACAGGTGGCCCCAGGCCCCATCTCTGCCTGTTCACACTTAGCAGGGGCCTGTTGCTGGTGTTCCTGAATGCCCCCCCAGCCTCCTCCACCCCACCCTACAAGTGGAGCAGGCGTTCCTGAAGAAGAGCAGCCCTGAGAAAGCCTGGCAGTAACTTTTTAATAAAGGAAGAGGAGCTTCCACAGGGCATGGTGTTGGGGTGAGGAGGGCTCCAGACACTCACTCAGAGACATATTCTGCCCCTAGTCACCACTGGGGAAGACCCCCTTCTCCTCTGTCCTTGGCTCCCTGGTGCGGGGAGGAGCAAGCTCTTGATGCCCTGGAGCCCTCCTCACTCTGTCCCTGACTCAGAACTAGAGGTTTCCCCCCTAGAGAGGAGCTGGGGGCACAGCCAGGACCACCTTCTGGCTACCTTCTACCCCATGGATGAGGCAGGAAGCACATAGCAGTGCAGGCAACGAGGGGTTAACAGTCCGCCCATCCCCATCTATCAGCCAGCATCTCCCAAACAGACGGACAGACAAGGCAGCTGTCCAAACAGGCCTGTGTACCTGGCCACGGCCGCAGAGAGGACAGGGCAGCGGCTGTTTACTCTGCTGCTGCCACAGGCGCACACTCACACACACACTGGCAGGCCATTTCCATCCAATCTCCCCGTGGGGATGCGCCCTCCACCCCGGCCCCTCCCACCACCCCTGCACAAGCAGATTCCTAAATGCTCATCTCCCAGACAGGGGCTGGGAGTCTCCAGGAGTCAGGGAGGAGGTGAGGCGCCCAGGAAGCACAGTGCTGGCCCCTAGCCATGCCCCCGATGCCCCCTCTCTGCCCAGAGTGGAGGTGGAGTGTCTCAGAGCCCGGGGACCTGGTGAAGCTGGGTGCCTGGGGAACCACCCCCTCAAAAACCCCGTGGCCTCATGTTTGGCCCCAAATCTGTGTTCCCTTGTCCATCTCCACCTCCCTGATGGTGCCAAAAGCTACCTTCTGCCCTACCTGAGGGAGCCCTGGGTTAGCCTCTTTCTACACTGGTCCCTGAGCTTGACCCCACTGGCCTCCTGTGCGGCTCTCAGATCTGCCCAGCTCCCTGGTGCGGAGTTGTTTGTGGGGCCTGGTGTGTCAGACGCCCAGGAAGTCCAGCCAGCAGCACGCAGAGCCCTCCCTACCCTCTGTGGGTGGCTCCCCATTCACTCTGACAGGTCCCCTCAATGCCCTTTCCCTAGGTAGGGGCTCCCTGTGGTGTCTGGGGCTCCCCCAGACCCCAGCATGGATACCTGCTGTGAGCCAGGCTCTGGCCCGAGCTTCTGGAGTTCTCATCTCCTCTCGACCCTGGAAGGCAAGGAGAATGAGTCTTCCCATTTCTCAGATGAGAAAACTGAGCCTTGTGCCAAGCCTCACAGCTACAAAGTGCCAGAGCCCCCAGTAAGAGATAGGTCAGCATGTGGTTGGGCAAAAGCCGAAAAGAGCCTCTTGCTTTGTGTGGGCGAGGAGTCCACAGGTGGGCGGCGAGAGGCGCACCGTTCTGACCAAGTCCTGTGCCAGTGTCATGTGCCTGGGCACGTCACTGGCCTCACTTCTGGCATCACTGGGGCCAGCAAGCGATAAAAGCCAACGCTTCCGCTTACCAGTGCCTCTGGGAGGGAAGCTCCTGCCAGGCTCCGCTGGCCAGGACATGGTGCAGCCAGGATTCTGTCCTGGGCTGTGTGCGCCCCCCTCCCTAAGGCCAGGCCCTGGACTGTTCCTCAGCCCCCCGCACCCCATGTGACATCTTTACGGCACATGCTGGGTCTGAGAAGGCCTGAATGGGGCGAGAGGGAGGCAGGACATCCCTCAAGTAACGGATTGTAAATTCCTGGGCCCCGGCTTTCCATCCCTAACAACCCCCTTCCAGGCTCACAGTGCCTGTCCCTTCGCAGCCAATTTAAATGAGGGGTCCCAGACCCAGGGCGTAAAGCATTCCAGACTCGGGAGAGGGGCAACTATTGTTTCTCTGGGAAAAAAAATAAAATAAAATAAAATAAACTGAGTCTCTGCAGCTTCTAATCACTCTCACATGTGCTGCACAGGTCCCGCCAAGGACAGCTCTCTACAGTGTGTGAGCCCCGCATGGGCACAAACCCTGCTTCACCTAGAGCCTGTGAGGGAGGCCCCTGATCTCCATTATTCCGTGGGAGAAACTAAGGCAGGGGGAGCTACCAGACACTGGCTCTCATTCAGTCCCTCTAATAACTGTAACTCATGATCCCATTCCACAGAGGGTACTACTGAGTGCCTTGCTCAAGGTCACCAGCCAGTACTGGGCCAGCCAGGATGGCCTCCAGCAGACAGGCCCAAGGGATTTGAACCCGGTCCTTCCAACTCCAGAGCTGGAGACCTTCACCCCTTGTGGTGTGGCCTCCCTATGTGAGAAGCATCCACTGACCCCTTGGAAGGAGCCCGGCCCCAGCAGCCCTGCCCCAGGCAGGTCCCATCACGGCCACAGCTGGGGCTCGGGAGCATCAAGGCTGGTTTTTAATAAGGAAGATGAATTTACTTGGAAGCCCCAGTCCAGGAGAAGGGGGTGGTGGAGAATGCCGACCTCTATTCCCTCTCTGCCCCTCTGGAGGGAGGGGAGTGGAGGCCTGGCCAAGTGGCCTCTGGGCCGCTGGGGGCCTGGGCTGTGGGGGGCCGCTGCCCTGGCCTGGAGGGAGCTGGCTCGCTCACTCTCCCCGAGTAAGCCCACAGGATATTACACTGCCTTTGTGTGCCTGGTGACCCAGCTGCTGGTTATTGAAAAATTCCACCGCTCGGCACAGGGCAGGCCCGCTGACCTCTCATCCCGGGGTGCGCCTATCTTTCAAAAGATACAGGATTAGAGAGCCAGAGCCGGCCTGGAGCAGTGCCCCGTCTGGGGTGTCTGTGTTTTTGCGGCCTCTCGGGATACCGGCTGGAGTGGGCTCTTGGCGCAGGATTTAATTAGTTGGAATCAGCCTGCGATTACTGCGGCGACTATTTACCCAGCCACTCTGCAGTCTGAGCTCTGCTCGGAACAAAGATGGGCCCCTCGGCCCTGGCTGGCCAGGCCAGGGGCCCCAGCTGAGCCCGGGCCCAGCTGCTGGGAGGGGAGGGCTGTGGGCCTGGCGGGCCTTCTGCTGGCGCACCTCATTTAGCTGATATTTGTGGGTTTTCACAATGCAAAGCATCTACGTGGGGCTTTTAAAAAATTAAAGCATCTCAAGAAATTTATGACCGATTTCCGAGCGGGGTCCCCTCCCCCCAGCTCAGAGCTCGGCGGTGGCGAAGCAGAGCTGGGTTTACTGGGGTGGGATTGAATTCCTGCCAACGGCTGGTGAGCTGGGCATGGGGCTGTGCCTGGGTGCCAAACTCTGGAGAGTATGGGAGGTGTCCCAGCTGATAGTTCTCTTGCCCCCTTCTCTGCCACCTGGCATGGCCCCTGGCTGTGTATCTGTCCTGCACTCCCCTCCAGACAACCACAGTGGTGGCAGCTAGCGTGGGAGGTCTGTGTGTGCTGGGCTCCCAATCCTCATGCCTACCCACAGCTATACCCACACCCATGATAATTCACCTGTGACACGCACAGTAAGTCTTCACTTACCCTTGTGGATGGGTTCTTGGGAACTGCGACTTTAAGAGAAACGCCATATAATGAAATAAACTTTTTTCGTCCGTGTTACATGGAAACGTTATTTGAGGACCTGCTGTCTGTGGTTTCGCTTAATGTCACAGTTTCCAAGAACCTATCCAAGAGGGTGAGGGAGGACTGACTGTACTGCCACCCACAGCACCCAGGTACCACATATGTGTGCATACCTGTATTGCATGTGCCAACAGTCTAGGCCCTCACCCGTGTCCACTCACACATGCCTGTCAATACATATGTGTATGTTGACAATGTGTGCATACGTGTACTCAAGCGTGTCAACCTACTCACACCTACCTGTCCATCTGCATCTGCCCAACCCTGCTGTTTACACATGCCCACACATGCCAGCACAATATGCCGGCAAATCTGAGCGCGTCTGCACCCATATGCACACATACTGGCCACATACACTCACATGCATGCTCATACGCACCAAGGATGCGTACGTACACAACTCTATCTACAGGCTGCTCTCTGAGTGTGCTCACACATTTACATGCACGCACAACTGCTGATGCATTTGTACATGCACATGCACACGTGTCCACCCGTGGGGAGGTCTGCCGCCTCTACTCATGTATGCACATGTCTGGCCATGGGAGGCAGCTGTGGGGGCTGTTTCAGGGCTCTGCCCCTTGGAGGGGGTCACTCAGACCCAGCATCAGGTGACTGCTCTGGGGGCCCAGCTGGTATATTCTGGGAGATTGAGGCACACGCCGGGACTCTCTTGGGAACTGGGATTTGGGTTAGGGCCCTCCCAGTGCCAGGTTTCTGGAAAAGTTGCCAGGAAGGGGGTCTCCTCGCTGTCTGTTGGGTGACCTCACCCCTAGTTGTCCACCAATCCTCCACCCAGGAGCCCTGCCCTCAGCCTCCTCGGAAGGCTTCATTTCTCTCCTACCCCCTCCACTTCTAACCATGGCCACTGTGGTTCCTGTCCTGCCTCATGGCCTGGGGAGTACCTGGGGGCCATCCTGGGGGAAGGGCAGAGGAGCGGACTGCCCAGATCCTGAGGAACTTTGGGCTCTGATGACCTCCTTTTCTGCCCTGCCCTAGAGACAACTGACCCAAGCCCTCATCCCATGGACACATACCTTAACACATGTGCACACATGAGGTGACCAGAATGGCACCTACTTGCACAGAGAAACATACTGCCATATACAGACGTACACACAGGCACCTGGGGTCACACACAGTGTGCACAGACATACCCAGAGGAGCACAAAAGCCCAGGTATACACTCACACACGTGAATGTGAGAGGCTGGACAAACAAGACGCGTCAAAACGAAGACCCCCCAGGCCCACACGGATGCCCAAGCAGGCTGCAGGTGCCCAGGGACACACCCAGACACACGTGAACACACACACATGCGCTCATACAAATACACAATGCAGACCCGAAGGAAACTTTTCTCAGAAGTCCAGGGAGGCCCAGGCAGAGAGGGCAGTGACCCACCCACAGTCTGAGACTGGTTAGTGGCGAGGCCAGGGCTCCCGACTCACAGATTGGCCCCTCCCTCTCCCCAGGCCTCATCCGCCGGGAGTTCTCATATCTACAGGAGCCCTCATCCCTGTCTCCACCCTCCTCGCGGCCAGGCCTTGTTTCAGCCTCACCATCCAGGCAGTCCATGCCCTCTCAGGTGCACCCTCGCCGCATGGAATGCCCTTCCACCTTCCTGCCCATGCCAGCTACAATCTTCCTCTCGTCCCCTCGTCCTCCGCCCTCGGGGTCCAGGACTGCTCAGGGCTCAAGCTGCCAGAGAGCCCCTTGGCAGGGTTGGACCCCAGGCCTGCTGCTGCTTCCGTGTCCATTTCTAAAGAGCAAACGAGTCTGGCCATGACTCAGTTTCCTCACCCAGTCAAGCATTCTTGAAGGCGTAACAAAGGGCAAGTGCGGCATGCTTTTCCCAACTGTGGATACAAAGAGCCAGGTTCCAGAAGGCCCCTCTCCCTGCCTGTCTATCATCCCCTGCCAAGCACCACCCAGGAGGGCCTGGGGGATGTGGGGTTAGGGGGACAAGAGGTGAGTGGGGCCTCTTTGGGGTCTGAAAGATGTGGATTTAAATTCTGCTTCTGGGCCAGGCACGGTGGCTCATGCCTGTAATCCTAGCACTTTGGGAGGCTGAGGTGGGTGGATCACCTGAGGTCAGGAGTTGGAGAACAGCCCGGCCAACATGGTGAAACCCTGTCTCTACTAAAAATACAAAAATTAGCTGGGTGTGGTGGTGCACGCCTGTAATCCCAGCTACTCAGGAGGCTGAGGCAGGAGAATTGCTTGAACTCAGAAGACAGAGGTTTCAGTGAGCTGAGATGGTGCCACTGCACTACAGCCTGGGCGACAGAGCGAGACTCCATCTCAAAATAATAATAATAATAATAATAATAAATCCTGCTTCTGTATTTGTAAAGCTAAAGTCTTAGCTTTGTGACCTTGGGCCCATGACTCCACCTCCAGAGCCTCAATTTCCTTGTCTATAAAATGGGAGGTTATGATCTGCCTCTGCAGCGTTCTGGTGAAGGTGTGATGAGACAGTAAGCGCTGAGTGGCCAGGACTGTGCTCAGGAAGTGACACAGCCTGACTCAGCCACCCTTTCCAACCAGAGGGATCTTTCCCTGCAATGCTGAGGTCTCTGCAGACCCCTGGTCTCAGTAAGAGTGTCTGTCCCTGAGCCCCAAACACCAAAGTACTTCCCCAGCAGCTCTTCTTCTGCCCTCCGTTTCCTAACCTGCCAGGACACTCAGCTCCTTTCAGTCCCTCAACCTGCCCCCCTCTCACCTTCCCTGGCCAGCCCTGCTCTGTCCACACCCAGTGGGACCACATCATCACCTGCACTTTCTTCCTCAATCAACCTGCTTTCAGCTGCCTCCGCTTTCCCTAAGCTACCACTCAGCTGAAAACAAACAACACCTTCCAGACCCGAGTGTCTCGTTCATTGATTGATTGATTTAACTGGCCCTTGCTTACTGAGCAGCTACTGTGGGCAGGCACTGTGCCAGGGGCTGGACAACTAAGCACACACTGCCCTCTGCCACTGGCCACCTTTGGCCATCCCTTTCTTCTGGAAACTCTCTGAAGGCACACGGTCTTGGTCTCTCCCCAGAGACCTGTGGGTTCCTAGTTCTCCACCTGCTCTTAAATGCCAGGACTCTCAGGGTTTTTGTTCTCTTATGGCTTTGAGTGTCACTTAATGTCAAAAGCTCTCAAACCACCACCTCCAGATCTATAGCACCGGCCCCTCCCTCAAGCTCCCAGCCTCTCTGGGGATCCAGACCCCTTTACTGGCCTGCTTCCTGGGCTGCTCTGTGGATGCCCCCAAGGCAGCACCGCCCAGTGTGTTTATACTCCAGCTCCCGTCACGCGGCACATGCGCACAAAGATATATGTACCAGGATGCTCACTGATGTATGGTGTGTGTGACAGCAAAGCACTGGCAGCTGCCCAAAGGGCTGTCAGTAGGGAAATGGGTTCATAAATCAAAGTTCACCCATTCCCTGGACTGTTACGTCGTGGCTGCAAGATACAGCAAATCTGCGTGTACTGATGTGCGCAGGTGTTCTCAGCGTGTTGCTAAGTGGGACAAGCCAGTACAGAGCAGAGCAGTTAGAGGAAATATGGATCCCATCAAAAGGAAAACCAAGTGGATGTGCACAGAACATGCTCCTATGTTGTAGGAAAGGCCTGGAACGTTACGCATCTGTCAACTGACCGCCTCTGGGAAAGGGGTGAGGGAACGGATGAATACTGTCCCATTTTGTTTGACTTCTGCTTTGCCTGAATTTATTTTACAATGAGCAACAACGATTTTGTAATATAAAAAATAAAAAATCTATAAGAAATACAGAGAACAAAAGAGACCGATTTGTCATTTCGCCCTAAGCTCAGTTCCCTCTGACCAGCTCTTCTGGAAATGACTGTTCTCCCAGGGCTGAGAGAGAAGAAACCTCGAACCCTTCGCCCAGGCCTCTTCCTCTCCCATTCTTCCCACGCCGCCCCTCTGCAGGCCCTCATCCCTGTATACCTGCCCTGCCCAGGCCTCCTTGTCCCCTCTGCTGTCTCCTGTCTCTTTCAGAATGAAAATCAAACTGCATCACGGCCTGCTCAGAAGTCTTCAGAGTCTCTCCACTTACACGCAACAGGACAGGGCAGCCCTGACTACCCAGTGTGTTATCAGCGTACAGCACATAGAACATGCGTACGTAAAGCACGTACGTAAAGCACATAGAATGGCGCCAGTGAGGTTATTATTAGCATTGCTATTAACAACCTGTTTTTCTCACTTCCCTTCTTCCTTTTGCCCTCAATTTCCTTTCTTTGCCCTCACTTACTTTTCCACCCTCTTTCTCCCTTCCTGCTTCCCTTTCCTCTTTCCAGAAATGGATCTGCAGCTCCAGCCACACCAGGGCAGGCTCTCCCTAATCCCATCAGCCTCTGTCACCTGGCTCAGCTGCTCTGGACTCTGAGGTCCGTGGCCTCAACTCCGTGCCTTGGCTCTCCCTGTCCCCTCTCCTGGGCCTGCCCCCTGCCCCTCCAGGGCTGTCAGCTGAATGCTTTTCATCCTTCCAGGCTGGATTCGATGGGCACTTCCTTCAGGGAGCCTGCCTGCTCCCAGCATCTTCCAGTGGGCTGCCCCCCAGGAGGTGGTGAGCAGAGCACCAGAGCTGCGTTCAGACCCGTCTGTGCCTCTCAGCAAATCTCTCAAACCTCAGTTTTCCCATCTGTAAAATAGGCCGGCCATAGAAGCTGCCTGGTAGGTTGTTCTGAGGGTTACTGAGGCGCAGGGCAGACCGCCTCGGCACAGCGCCTAGCTCGGGAACCTCTGCGTAGGAGCTGTGATGAGAGGCCTCCTCCTCCGATCTTTGTTCACCAGCACATCTCAGCCTCTCCGCACATGCTGCCTGCTGGGTTCTGGTCAGCGTTTGCATTCACCCTGGAGACAATGGTGTAGCCCTCGGGGAGGGCCCACGCTGGCCTTGTTGGGGCTGTGAGGAGGTCTCCATGCAGAGGGACACAGCTGAGCTGCCCCGGGCTGGCATGGGCTGGCCCCACCGAGGTAGCGGGCTACCCGGGGGGTTGGTAGGGGGCAGCTGGTGCCTACTCTGTTCAAAGGCCAGCGATTCTCCACGGCTGGTGAAGCGGGTGGAAGGCTGTCCTGTGAACCCCTCCTTCCAAAGACACACCACCCAGGGGAAGGAGTGGTCCAGATCAGAGACAGGGCAACCCCGCCCCTGCAGCCCAGCAGAAGGAACACCGGAGGCGCTTTTGTTTCTCTGGTAAGAGGAGCCTCCCGCCTCCTCCAGACTCACCCTCCCAGAGCAGCCCCGCTGGCCGGTGGCCGCCAAGCTCCAAACTGGGCGAGCCTTTTCTCCAACACTCAGTAAATACTCAATACTGCATTAAAGCAATAAATAGTCATTTTAAGGAAACCGAGACTCAATTTAGCCACCAGAGTCAGGAGCAGCGGTTAGCAGGGCTGCGGAATGTCACTGCACAGCTGGCAGCCCCGCCCCCGCCGCCCCAGCCCTGGCTCCAGGGGGAGGCCCAACAATGGCCGTGCCAGGCTGCACCGCCCCTCCCCCCAAATCAGGTTACGATGGACCGTGGAGGAGGGGGACCGGCTCAGCCAGCAGCTAGCTCCAGGGAGCTGGAGGAAGCCAGAGAGGCGCGAAGGCATGGAGGAACACCCCACCTCCACCTGGGGATAATAATAATAAAACTAACAAGAACAGCAGCATTGGCAGGAAGAAGACAAGCAATTCCTGAATGGACACTTGCCCAACGCAAGCACAGCGCTAAGGACGGTACAGGCATCCCTGTGTTTAATGCTTCAGCCTCTCCAATGAGAGAGATACCTTCATCCCAACTTCGTAGGTAGAGAAACTGAGGCTCAGGAAGCTGAATTACTTTGGTCAAGGTCAGGAAATACTTGCACAACGTGTGCATTTATTTATTTTTTTCCAGACGGAGTCTCTCTGTTGCCCAGGCTGGACTGCGATGGCGTGATCTTGGCTCACTGCAACCTCCGCCTCCCAGGTTCAAGCGATTCTCCTGCCTCAGCCTCCTAAGTAGGTGGGATTACAGGCGCGCACCACCACACCCAGCTAATTTTTGTATTTTTTAGTATCGACGGGGTTTCACCATGTTGGTCAGGCTGGTCTTGCACTCCTGACCTGGTGATCTGCCCACCTCAGCCTCCCAAAGTGCTGGGATTACAAGCGTGAGCCACCGCGCCCAGCCAACTTGTGCATTTATTAAGTACCTAGTACGGGCCATGCGCTATCTCTGTGACATGTTCCCATTCTACAGACAAGGGAAGTGAGACTCCCAGCAGGGAAGGGACTTGGAGGTGACACCTCTTGGCTCCTTGCCCACAGGGCCCCTTGGCCTGGTTCAAGGGGAAGGGGTATAACTGCCTCCCCCCCATCCCTGGGGCTGTCTGTTTGGGTGGGGGATTGGGCTGGGCTGCGCTGCGGGGGTAACTTGGGGGGCCTGGTCCTGTGACTTGGTCTCCAAGTTATGCAGGCGAAACAAACAAGGTTCCTCTGTGCAGGGCTGGGGGATTTGTGCTCACCACCATGGAAACGACACAGAGCGTTGGGGGAGGGGAGTATGGCGCGGCTCCCCTTTACAGATGTGAGACCCCCCCGACAGCCTCAGACCTGGGGCCAGCTGTGGGTGGCCTGGAGGTGGCTGGAGGCAGACGAGGGCTGGCTGGACAGGCATCCTCCACCTGGTATCCCCTGGGCTGGGGTTGGGAGACAAGAGCCTGGCACAGGACTCAGACTTGGGCTCCGTGGGTGCAGCTGGCGTGGGAGGGCAGAGGAGCCCTGGCAGTCAAGATGTGCCAAAAATACCAGGCAGAGATAAGAGCAGCAACTTCTACCCACCTGGCTAAAAATAGCCCCATACTGGGAGGCAGAGAGGCCCCCGGGATTCCCCAAAGACAGCCTGGCCTGCTGCCCCGCCCCATGGGTGGCCTGGTCTGGGATGAGCCCATTTCCCAAGCAGGGCAACCAAGGCCAAGGAGAGGGCAAGGGCCAAGCACATCGTCTTGGGAAAAGCATTCTCAAGTACCGTGTGTTGACTATGTGCCAGACACTGCCTGGCAAGCGATCCACAAGCTTGGTATCAACCAAAACAAATTGAAATGGTGATAACAATGGAGGCAGGCATTAATGTTTACTGCATAGTCATTAGGCGCCAGGCACTACTCCAAACATCGTATGTGTTTATCTCATTTTAGAGACAAGGGTTACTATTATCCGCATTTTATAAATGAGAAAACTGAGGCTCAAAGAGGTCAAATTCCTTGCCAAGGTCACACAACTGTGGAAGTGGCAGAGCTGGGATTTGAACCCAAGTCCCTCTGCTCTCAAAATTCTTTTTTTTTTCTTTTTTTTTTTTTTTGAGAAAGAGTCTTGCCTTGTCGCCTAGGTTGGAGTGCAGTGGTGTGTTCTCGGCTCACTGCAACCTCTGCCTCCCGGGTTAAGTGATTCTCCTGCCTCAGCCTCCTGAGTAGCTGGGACTACAGGCATGCATCATGCCTGGCTAATTCTTTGTATTTTTAGTAGAGATGGGGTTTCACCATGTTGGTCAGGCTGGTCTCGAACTCCTGACCTCAAGTGATCCGCCCGCCTCAACCTCCCAAAGTGCTGTGATTACAGGTGTGAGCCACTGCACCAGCCTCAAAATTCTTAAGCCTTAGGTTGTTCAGCTGAGGTCAACAAGGCTCAGAGAGGGACATTCGCTTGCCCTGGGTTGCACAGCAATAGAGCCAGGACTGGAACCCAGAGTTTTCTGACTCCCAGGTCCAAGCTCCTCTCCAGATCCCAAGTGAGCCACCACTGCCAACGCCACCCTCCTTGCCAGCAGTGTGTTTGGATTGTGTTTGTCTGTCTTCCTGACGGGTAGTCCTGCCTCTGCCCCAGTCTCCTCTGTCTGTCAGGTCCCATTTGAGCTGAGGGCACCAGGCTCCCTATATGTCCCCGGTGGCACAGCCCCACCTGGAGGAAGCTTAGGCCAGAGCCTGGGGCTGCCCTGTCTAGACACTTCTTGAATCCCGGCAGCGGTGGCCGCTCTCGTGGGCCTGGCCTGGCTGAGCCCAGCAACAATGGGCCCTCTGTGCCCAGCTTGGGGCCTGCTCCAACAGGCCGCCCACCGGCTCCCAGCCCAGCCCACACTTCCACCCATACCTCTCTGGGCCCCTGTGCCCACCCTGGGAGCAGGCCTCCTTCCTCCCGAGGGCAGGGCGTGGGAGCCTCCCATGGCTAGACCAGGGAACTGGTTCTGCAGAATTCTCAGGGCTGCTCTCCCAGACTGGGCTGGGAGCCAGGAGGTCTCCAGGGGCAGGAACCAGTCCCTGCCACTACCCTCAAGCAAACAGATCCTGGTCCCACTTTACAGCCGAGGAAATTGAGGCTCAAAGGGAATTCCCTGACAAGGATCACTGGGAACTATACACAGATGAATGTCTCCTGAGAAGGTATAGTAATGATAATCATTATTATTATTAAACCACCAGGTACTGAGCAGTCACTTGCCCCAGGCTCATGCTAAGCACCACACAGGGGCCACTACTCTTAATCAGCACAGCCTCCCAGTACAAGGCACCATATTAACCCCATTTGTACAGACGAGAAACCTGAAGCCCAGAGAGGTAAAGACACTTGCATAAGGACACACAGCGGGCAAACAGCAAAGCAGGGACTGGTAGCAGCAGCCCTGTGTCTGTCTGACTCCAGCTTTCTTTATTCTGCAGGGCGCTGCGTGGGGGAGGGGTGCAGGGGGCTCGGCTGCCCCGCAGGTGTCCCATGCCTAGTGGGCCTAGCATGGGAGAAAGGCCCCTTCCTGCTGCAGTTCCGCCTCCACAATCCCTGCATTGTTGATTCATTAGGTAATTTCCCTGGAAGCACCAGCTGTTCAGAGGGTAGGGAGATGACTGATTGAGGCGGCTGAGGGCTGCAGGGGCCACTGGGCCAGGGGGCGCTGCAGGCCTGGCCAGGTGTCCCCCTCCCCTCTGCAGCGGCCACACCTTGCAGGAAACCCTCAGGGCTCCAAG
The DNA here is from genome assembly GCF_000001405.40 of Homo sapiens. Taxonomy (NCBI): domain Eukaryota; kingdom Metazoa; phylum Chordata; class Mammalia; order Primates; family Hominidae; genus Homo; species Homo sapiens. Next base: position 126,661,772 of record NC_000009.12, on the reverse strand, counting down.
GATAGAGAGGGGCAGGCCAAGCCCCTCCCACTGGGGCCTGGCATTCTCAGGTGCCTGCTCAACTCGGGCCCCGCAGCCACACTGCAGGCTGGCAGGTGGGGAGGGGTGGGCGGGGCCCCACAGGGCTCCACAGAGCCCCAGGCTCCTGGTGGCCCAGCTGAGCTGGGGCAGTTGGGGCAGGAGGGAGGGGCCTCCCTTGTCTGGGGTTCCTCTGAAAGCCGCCTCTCCATGGCCTCCGGGGCTGGCCCATTAAACCTGCTCCTGCTGCCCCACAAACAGACAGCGACCATGTGCTTCGGCTCAGCCTCTGTGCCCCCTACAGTGGCCCTCCACCCACCATACCCAGAGCAGCTGCCCCATCCTGGCTGCCTAGTCTGTCCAACTGCTCAGAAACCCACTCTGGCCCCGACAGACAGAGTTCCTGGAGAGAAGCCAACAGGGCCTTGAAGGGGGCCAGGCATGAGGCGTCCACGCTGGCCTGAGAGGTCGCCCTGCGTGGGGCGTCCACGCTGGCCTGGGAGGTCGCCCTGCGTGGGGCGTCCACGCTGGCCTGAGAGGTCGCCCTGCGTGGGGTGTCCACATTAGCTTGAGGGGTCGCCCTGTGTCAGGGCATCCACACTGGCCTCAGAGGTTGTCCTGTGTATGGGCGTGTCTACTACGGTTAGAGGCTGCCTTGTGTGAGGCTGTCCCATGTGGGATGTTTTCCAAATTTCCATTCTTCTTCCCCTGGCTACCTCTTACCCATCCCAGATCCCAGCTCTAAGTTTAGACGTTGCTTTTGTAGGGACATCCTCTGTGGGGTCCCTTGACTGGTTGAGCACTCCTGTTCTGACTCTCCAGCAGCTGCCTGTGGGTCCCCTATCATGGCGTCTCCCAAAATGCCCTGTCACTGCCTGTTTCATCATTTGTGTTGAGTCCAACCCAAGAACCACAGTAGGCATTGACTTCAACTGGCTTGGTTGGAGCTGCCGCCACAGCCACACTACGGGCTCAGGGAATACTGTTGTTAGGTGAAAGAAGGGGCAGATAAATAGTAGAGTTCAGTGGAGATCACCCCAAGGGTTCACATCAGCCTTTGCAATCCCCCTCACATGGATTCCAAGCTCTTCTATGGGTTTACCATGTTCTAGGCTTTGATACAAGCCTTTCACAATGTTAACTCAGTTAACTCTCACAGTGACCAGTGGAGGTGGCTACTGCTACTAACTCCAGTTTACAGATGAGAAAACTGGGGCACAAAGAGGGTAAGTGTCTTGTCCAAAGTCTCACAGTAGTCGAGCTGGGGTTTGACCCCAGGCCACCTGGCTGCAGCATCCACATTCATTGCTATACTATTTACACTGCCCTTAGAAGTCACTTCTTGGGCAGCTCCAAGCAGTTGTACACGGACCACAGAAAGCTTACATTGCCTTGGCCACACCAGGACAAACTATAAGGCCAGCGTAGACACACACATAGGACAACCTCTGAAGCCAGTGTAGACACCCCCACACAGGACAATCTCTAAGGCTAGGGTAGACACCCCCACACAGAACAATCTCTAAGGCCAGTGTAGACACCCCCACACAGGACAACCTCTGAAGCCAGTGTAGATACCCCCACACAGGACAATCTCTAAGGCCAGTGTAGACATCCCCACACAGGACAATCTCTAAGGGCAGTGTAGACACCCCCACACAGGACAACCTCTGAAGCCAGTGTAGACACCCCCACGCAGGACAACCTCTGAAGCCAGTGTAGACACCCCCACACAGGACAATTTCCAAGGCCAGTGTAGACACACACAGGACAACCTTTGAAGCCAGTGTAGACACCCCCACACAGGACAATCTCTAAGGCTAGTGTAGACAAACACACAGGACAATCTCTAAGACCAGTGTAGGCACCCCAGATAGGACAATCTCTAAGGCCAGTGCAGACACTCCCACACAGGACAATCTCCAAGGCCTGTGTAGACACACATACAAGATAATCTCTGAAGCCAGTGTAGACATTCCCACATAGGACAATCTCTAAGGCTAGTGTAGACAAACACACAGGACAATCTCTAAGGCCAGTGTAGGCACCCCCAGATAGAATAATCTCTAAGGCCAGTGTAGACATCCCCACACAGGACAATCTCTAAGGCTAGTATAGACACACACACAGGACAATCTCTAAGGCCAGTATAGACACACATACAGGACAATCTCTAAGGCCGGTATAGGCACCCCCACACAGGACCACCTCTGAAGCTAAGCCAGCATCATCAGAGCCAGCAGAGCCCCTGGCCTGAGAATGTGTGGAGAGGCTGGATGGGCCATGCCCGCCCTGCTGGGATGAGGAGGGATGGGGGCCTACAGGGCCGACCTAGCCCTGGCCCAGCTGGAGCACAGGACAGCCTCCTGGGGACAGCGTGAAATTGCCATTCTCCACTAAGGAGCCGCTGCTGGAGGGCGCCTTCCCAGCCCAGCTGGGAGAGGGTCAGCAGTGCCCCTGGACACGTTCTGCCCAGGCCTGGGACCCTCCTCACCACCTGCCCAGCACTGGTGGCCAGGACAAGAACCAGACAGGCTTGGGGCATGAGTTGCCTGAAGCTGTCACTCTCTATGGGGGAAGGGGGCCCATTCAGGCCTGTGACAGGGCCCTTCTGGGGCTAGACAAAAGGCCCTGGCTCCCAGCAACAGACAGTAAGAAGTGTGCCTGTGAGTGCGTCTGAGCGTCTGCATGCCTCTCTGTGCGTGCATGAAGGAGAGGATACCTCGGCAGACCCCAGCCCCAGAACACCCGCCTCTCAGCCCCCTGAAGGGTCCCTCCCACCCTGTATCCCAGCCTTGGATCAGGCCTGCCCCATCCTATGTGGGGCTTCTGGGTGCCTCTTGCCTCCAGTATGGACTTCTCATGTCCCCAGGAAGTCCTCCTTCTCTCCACAGCAAACCAGGCCTGATACAGGCAAGGGGGCTTTCTGAATTTGAACCCCCGGTCTCTCCTGCTGCAATGAATGCAAATGACTTTCCCAGGTTTTGGCTTGATAATTTGATTATTTGTTCGGCATTTATCTTAAGCAAAGTGGATGACAAATAACTGCAAACTAATGTGATAAAAGCCATTTATAAAGCTGCCTCGTTCGGGGGCCTTCCCCTAACTATTTATGACAAGGTAATAACGCTGCCGGGTGCGGCCGCCTGCCTTTAAATTGGTTACTTAGAGGCATGATGGATGAGGGGCGAGGCCACCTTCTTCTGAGGAGAGCTCCTGATTTCTGATCTCATTTTTGAGGATAATGAATTATATCTAATTAGTCCTTCCCAAATCTAATCAGGAGCTGGGAATGTGGACCAGAGGGAGGGGGCTGGCAGGCGGCAGGGAGGGCAGGGGGTCAGCAGCAGGGGTGCCCGGGCCCGGCAGCCAGGGGGAGGGCCAGCCGAATTTGAGGCTGGCTTGCTGTTACCCACTCCCCACACCCTGGCCAAAGGGATCCAGAGCTAGTAAGTCCCTCCCTCATTTTAGAGGCTTGACTCCCTTTCTCCAAACCCCAAGCCTGACATTTGGTACCCTTTGTAGACTCACCCCCCTCCTGCCCTGTCCCACTCCTACAACCCAGCCCCCACATTCCCCAGACACAGACCCCTGACCTCTGCACTTGGCTGGGGATTCCCTCTCTGCCCTTCATACCCAGGAGTCTCCGGCTTGGTTGTTCCCACTCAGGTCCCTTGGCCCCTCTTCTAAGACCTCCCCATCCCACTGCTTATTCCCCCAAGCAAGGACCTAAGTAGGGCCTCTTGCCCAGCCTCTTCTGGAAACTCTGATCACTGGACGGCTAGCCCACCCTGGACTGTGCTGCTAAGTGAGGCAGGCACCCCTTCTTCTGGCCAGACAAAGGACTGTGCCAGGTCCAGTCCCCAACTCACTCCTAGGCTGGGTGCCCTCATGCAGGGAATGTCCTGCATCACAGAAATGGACAGCCCTAGGTGATCTCACAAAACTGGGAGCTCCCTGCGGTTCCTTGACTTATCTTGGTATGTTCTTCATCTCATACGCTGGCTGGCGCATAAGCAAGTCCTCACTAGTGGCCGAATGCTTGCCTGAATGAATGAATGGATGCATCAAGATTCTCCCACTTCCAAAACTCTGGCCCGGGAGCTGCAGAGCCAGGGCATGCGTGCCCCTGTGGAAATGGCAAGGGCTCTGTGGTGAGGATGCCCAGCCAGCCTCCCTGAGGAGGCTTCCAGGATCCAAAGTCTGTGGATCTTCTCCCCCCAACCCCAGTCCTGACCCCAGATGCAGGCAGGCATCCCCTGCTCCCAAGGATAAGGTGATCCTGGAAACATGTCACCATTGGGGAACAGACTTGCACATAAGCAGAGTTCTGCTTGCAGAGAACTGAAAGTAGGGTCAGATTCTCAAATATGCTTTGCCTATTTCATGCATTTTGTGCGTCATATCAGATACCTGACCAAGAAAGATACTTGCCAGCATTTTATGCTCTACCATATTTATGTGTTTAAATGTCATTATTTCTCTTCACCATCAGACAGTCTTATGTTCACTTTGCCAAGCTGGTGATGTCTACCTTTGTGGGAAAAATGTTTCTTCTTACTAGTAATAGTGCTTTTATTTTGCCCAGTTCTCACTTATTTTACTTTTTCAAAATCTCAGAACAAAATGCAATAAAATATTGAAAAAATTGCACAAGTGCTGCTTAAAAGGTGGCAGTAGGGCCAGGCAAGTGTTAGGTGACCAGGGCCACCCCTAAGAGTGTGAATCCTTCTTTCATCAGGCAATAGGAAAAAGCCAGATCTGGGATAGAGGGAGTTTTGAGGGTCTGGCACATAGAAGGTCAGAGGGCCTGGTGTCTTTCCCTACTCAGTGCTTCTCAATTAGAGGTGATTTTGCCTCAAGGGGCATTCAGCCATGTCTGGAGACATTTTTGATGGCCATGGACTGGGGGATGCGGTGCCAGTGGCATCCTGTGAGTGGCAGCTGAGATGCTGCTGAACACCCTACATGCATAGGACAGCCTCCCACAACAAAGCATGAGCTGACCCACCACATCAACCTGCTGAGCCTGAGAAACCTTGCAGTCAACTGTTTTAGACTCATATGTCAGAGAACTCAGCTCTCACCTGCTGAGAGCATGCAGGCTTGAGGGATGGGCAGGAGGAACACACCACTGCCCTCCAGCTAGGCTCCCACCTCTCCCCATGTCCCAAGAGTTCCCTGAGGCATCACATCCCTTCCTTCCTCGGTACAGTGGCCTTCAGAAATGCCTCCTCCAAGTGGCTTCTGAGGCCTTCGTCCTTGTCTGTCTGAAACCATGAGCCTGGGGAGATGGCCTCTGAGGATCTATCTATCCTATCTATCTATCTATCTATCTATCTATCTATCTATCTATCTATCTATCTATCTAAAGACCAGATCTCACTATGTTGCCCAGGCTGGTCTTGAACTCCTGAGCTCAAGTGATCTGCCTGCCTTGGCCTCTCGAAGTGCTGGGATTACAGGTGTGAGCTACTGCATCCGGCCTGAAGATCTTGTTTAATATTTCACTTCAACAGAGGTGCTCATTGACACCTGTCTGTTTTCCATTCCTCATTTAAGGAAACTGCAAAAAATAAATTTGGTAAAAATATATCTATTCTCCCAATGAACTCATCAGCCTCCTGTGGTCAGACAATGTGAATTCTCTCTCTCATCCCATTTTTCCTTCCACCTGGGCTGCTAGGATGCTCAGAGTTCAATTTAATCCTCTACTTCAGTGGAGATTGGCCTGGGCATTTGACATACTTCCCCCGTACACTCTAGGGATTTGATCCTCTGCTTTTATTTTTGAGAACCTGACTGACTCTTCGCCTCCTCTTGGAAGCTGTCTATACCCTTTTGGGAAGTAGCAGGTGTGCATCATAAACGAAAAGACGACCTGACATCCATGGCGCAGCTGTGAGCCAGGCACTACTTTCAATGATCAAAACAGCAGCACCCAACTTTGTGAGCATACTAAAAACCACTGAATTGTACACTTCAAAATGGTGAATTTTATGTTATGTGAAATTTTATGTTATGAAAACAATACCTAAAACAAAACAAACAGTATCATTGTATCTCCATTTCCAAGGGAAGCTTAGCAAAGTGATTCACCCAAGGTTGATTCATTCATTCAACAAGCACTTTTTTTAGCCCCTACTACGTGCCAGGCATTGCTCTGGGTCTAAGAATACATCCGTGAACAAAACAGGAGAAACCTCTCCCTCCTTGCTGCTTACCACGTGGAGGGCCTCTCAGCTAGTAGGGGACAAAGCCGGGATTCCACTCCATGACACGGTCACCTTAAAGCTCCCCTTACCATCTGTTTGTCTTCCCTCTTGAGACAGAATTCCTCTGTGCTGGGCAGGTGTCCCTGGCCAGCTCCCTCACCCCCACCGGCATTCTCCTCCAGCACCTGCCACTGCCTCCAGTGCTGGAGGGGTGGTCTAGGGCAGCCAGGACCCTCAGATGCCCTCATCGAAGGGGGCCACCACATCGGGTGAGGCGGCAAGGCTCACAAGGCCTCTGAGGCCAAGCAGTGGTCAGGGCTGAGCTGCGGACAACCTCCTGACAGTGGCCCCAGGCCAGGGCATCTTTGGGCACCTCCAAAAAGTTGATTATCCCATGGCAAAAGCACAAGTCTTCGTCACATTCACTCTCATCACCTCTTCCTTTGCTCCTCCCAGGAGTGCATGAGGAAGATCCTAACACCACCGCCCCATTTCACAGGGTAAAGGGACTTGCCCCAGGTCACAACAGGAAGCAACAGACCCAGGACTGGGTGTCACAGCTGTGGGGGATGGGGGTATGGCAGTGAGTGCTGGGTAGGTTGGCAAGACCAGGCCTGGGGGCTGGGAGCCCAGGTCCAGTGGAGAGAAGGGGAGAGTTCCAGAAATGATTAGTAGGGTGAATGTCTAGGCCTGGATGGCCAACCATTAGCCTGATGCAGGGGGTGGGGAGTAAAGATGAGAGATACCAAGCCTACCCTCTCCTCTTCTCATGGGCCCACCTGGCTCTCCGTGGCATGCTCAGAGTCTGGCATCCAGCAGGCACTCAGCAGTTGCTCCTCGTTTCCTTCTCTAGAGCCAGGTGCTCAGACCTCGGCAGTGGAGTCACTGGGAGAAGACAGAGGGCACATGGGGAAGGCTCCATTCTGGGATGTGTGGCTACAGTTTGGGCAAGAGAGAAGCAAACAGTCTCTCCTTCTACCTGCTCCAGCCCCTGGCTGGCTGCCTCCACCCTAAGTGGGCATGCCAGGCCAACCTGGTACCTACCACCAACCTACCTGTTCATCATTCACACAAACTAGATTCAGGTGCCCGTTCCCCACCTCATAGACAGGCTCACCACACTAAACCAGACACAGTCTCTGCCTCCAAGTTATTTGCTGTCTCTGGGGAAGGCTGCTGAGTAAACAGACCATGACAATACGTGAAATCAGGGCTGGAGTGGGGGAGGCATGGGGGTCTGTGGGAGCCCAGCCAGGGGGCAGCAACCCTGAGCAGAGTGTCAGGGAAGGTTCCCGGGATAGGACGTTCAGCTGAAACCTGCGCAAGGGCAGGAGCTGCCCAAGAGGAGGAAGCCTGAGTGGGCGCAGCCAGGACAGTGTGGCATCTCGGGAGTGGCTCAGAAGGGCTGGAACAAACACAGAGAGTGGAGACTGGTGGGATGAGTAGGGCCCCAGCAGCGGCATATTCCACATTCTTATCCTAAGAATGGTGGAGCTGTAGGGGATCGGGGTATGGCAGTGAGTGCTGGGTGGATTGGCAAGACCAAGCCTGGGAGCTGGGAGTCCAGGTCCAATGGAGAGAAGGGGAGAGTTCCAGAAATGATTAATAGAGTGAATGTCCAGGCCTGGATGGCCAACCATTGGCCTGATGCAGGGGGTGGGGAGTAAAGATGAGAGATACCAAGACAACGTCCTAATGTTCAGCTTGGGGGCCTGGGAGGTGGAGGTGCCATTTAATAAGATTAAATAACAAAACAACACAACACAACCCAGGGGGCTGGGGATGAAGGGTGGGAGGGAGCTGAGTGTGGTCATGAAAGGGCAACAGGAGGGATCCTGTGGGGGCAGATCCGGGAACGTTCGCATGTGATAAATTGGCACAGAGCTCCATGCACAAACGCACCCAACACTGGAGAAGTCTAAGTGCAGTCGGCACTGTGTTGACGTGGACGTCCTAGCTGTGATGTTGTCCCGCGGCTGTGCAAGACTGGGCAAAGGGTACAGGGACCTCTCTATTTTTTGCAATTGCCTATGAATCTACAATTATCTCAAAATAAAAAGCTGAATTAAAAAGCATCTACTTAGGGCCAGGCATGGTGGGTCAAGCCTGTAATCCCAACACTTCGGGAGGTCAAGGCAGGCAGAGCAATTGAGCCCAGAAGTTGGAGACCAGGTTGAGCAACATGGCAAAACCCCATCTCTACAAAAAAATACAAAAAATTAGTGGATGTGGTGGCATTCACCTGTAGTCCCAGCTCATCGGGGGTAGCTGAGGTAGGAGAATTGCTTCAGCCTGGCAGGTCAAGGCTGCAGAGAGCTGTGATTGTGCCACTGCACTCCAGCCCGGGTGACCAAGTGAGACCTTGTCTCAAAAAAAAAAAAAAAAAAAAAAAAAAAAGCATCTACTTGAAACAAAACAAAACACAGAGGGGAATGGGTTTGGGTTTGGGATGGGGGGATGTGTTTTAAGCTAAATCAGCTCCTAGCACAAAAAGACCCAGGCACCGCTCTGTTCCTATCTTCAGGCAACCCTGGGCCCTTTTGCTGGGTTTGTTTTCAGTCTTGCCCAGCCCTCAGCTGGCCCATCCTGCTCCCCTGATCTGGCCCGTGCCTTGGCCTCTCCACAGGCTCTTTTCTTCTCCATCAACACCCGCTGGGGCTACACCTCAGCATCCATGGAGCCTCTTCCCCATTGTCCCTGCTGTGCCCACAAGTGAACTGTGATGTCACAACCTCTGCTCCTGACCCATCCCCTTGTTCCCACAGGCTCCAGGTACTTCACTCTGGAGACAGGACATGGGTGGGATTGGCAGGGACCCCCATCATGTGGACGCCAAGCAGTGCCCAGTCCAGTCCAGGCCCAGATCTGAGTCCCTTCTTTCTCCTGTGCCGAGGGCAGATGTACTCTGTGCCCATCCACACACACACACAGTCACGCACAGGTGGGAGCACAAACTGGCCTGGAGATGTGTACACACGGAGGACAGACCTGCACACACGAAGACCATGGGATGCACATTCACGTAGCATTAGCGGTAGCCACGTTCCCGTGTGGACACACACACCCTGGAGCCAGCCCCGCCCATGCGGCCGCACCCCCACCTGCAGGAAGGCTTCCCTGCCAGGTGCAGTTATCGTTCCAAACAAACCCCCAGCTGATAAGGAGACTGCCTTTGAACGGGAGCCCTTCCCTCCTCTGTGATCAGATAAGCAGGCCGGGAAGAAAGAGAAAATCCCCCCCCCCTTCTCCTCCTCAGACTCCTGCTGCTCCACACAGGGGCTGCCTGGGGGCCTGCAGCCCCCTCCTGCCGCGCCCCCTCTCAATCATGCCTCGGATCACAGGATCACAGGCACCGTGACAGGCAGCTCCTCCGGTTTGGGTTTCAATCGGGAGAGCTGCAGCCTCAGGCAGCCAAGCCGGGCCCCTCCACCTGGGTCTGAGGGGCCACTGGATCTCTGTTGTGAGGACCCTGCCTCAAGGGTCCTGGCTGTTGGGACCCCCAAGCCTTGGAGTATCCCACCGCAGGCAGGCCCCCCCCCATCTCTGGCCACTACCGAGGCTTGTGGTTTGATTTGGGTTTCTTTTTGTCTCGATGGCCCTGGCTGGTAGGGTCCCTGTTCAAACTAGATTGTGGGATCCTCCACCTAGGCCCCTGGCTTGTAGGGTCCTACTCATAGGGGACTCACCAGTTTGTCGGATTCCTCAGAGCAGACCCCGCCTGTTGAACTCCCAGCTCAGACCCTGGTCTGTGGGATCCTCATCTCAGAGATGCTGGGGACAGGGACCCTGTTCTCAGAGGCTCTAATTTCTGAGCACCCCATGTTCCTGAATCTGGGTCTGTGGGACCCCTCTCCTCCCTGCAGTGAGAACTGAGTCGGCCTCAGGAGAGGAGCGGGGCCCAGGGGAGAGGGGTCAGGCAGTGGGTTACAGGGCAGCGTTCCCATGGCCCTGCCTGGGGCTAAGGCGTAATTAGAGGTCTCAGGTGTGTGTGTTGTTGGGAGGGGGGGAGAAGAAGGTGGGCTCCAAGGCCCTTCGTTTTGTTTATCCTTCACAAAGACCCCCAACAGGAGGCCGCTGTCCCCTTGAGACAACCCTGCAGTCTCAGCTCTGGGCTGACCCCCGCCCCCTGTGCCCCACCCCTTGCACCTGCCAGCTGCCTGCTGAGGAGGATGGCAGCCCTCGGGGTCTGGGGACAGATAGGCCAGGCTGCCCTTCCCGGGGCAGCTTGGAGCCACCCCCCCCAGTCCCTCCTTCCAGGTGCCTCCCCCACTCAGCTGACTCAACAGAAAACCCCATGATTTATTTATGCCCAGGAGCAGCCTCTGCCCGGGATGGAGGAGGATCAGTCAGCCCCAGCACGGAGAGAAGGAGGGAGAGAGAGAGAGATGGGGAGGGAGAGAGAGAGAGAGATGGGGAGGGAGAGAGGGGCAGGCCCTTCTCCTCCACCCTGGAGCCCCATCCAGGACCTGTCCCCATGTCCCCACATCCTAGGAGTCCTTCCCCATCACCGCCTCATCTGGGCCTTAGCAGACTCAATTACTTATAATAAACAATTCCGTTTATCTTTATCAGAATCATTATCTAAATTGGCTACATGACACATACTGTTCTCTAAGTGTGCCCCGGGGAGGAGGGGCCATAAAAGCTGGGTTCTGCACTCCGTAATTATCCCTCTATGGGCCATAAACCATTACACTGGTGTTTAAAATAGGTATGGCGAGCAGTTTCCCTGCCTGCCGAGGGCCGCCCAGGGCACCCACAGAAAGGATGCGCAGCAAGTTTTGCTGCAGCCAACAACTTCCAGCGGCTTGGAGGCTCCTAGCGGGCTCCTGCCTGCCCCGGCCACACTGGCCTCAGGAAGGGAGAGGGGCTGGCCTGAGTGGTGGGCAGTGCCGAGAGGCCAGGAGCGAGGGGGCCACCAGGCCTGCCTGGGGCTTTCCCGCTGCCCTCCGGTGTCATTAACATCCTCTTTCCAGGACAACTGGTCCTTCTCCCTGGCCGCTGCTGACTCGGGTTTCCCTCGCTGTTTGCAGAAGCGCCTCCACCGCCCATGGGGCTGGCCTCCCCTTTATCGTCCCCAGGGAGGGCCACATCAGCATCTCACCCATGATTAAAACAAAACAAGGCTGCCCCCTCGGAGCTCCCGCCTGCCTCTCAGCTGACCGGTCAGAGCTGCAGCTCTGGTCTCGGCTTCCCAGAGGCCTCTGCTCCCTCTGGCCCCTAGAAAAGATGACCAAGGTCTGTGACCCTACAGATGGCCCACATCCCTGGCGGCCAAGTCCCTCACTTGACGTGCCAGAACATGCCACCGACTTCGGGGCAGGGCAGGAAGCTCCTTATCTGAAGTCTCCTATGCCCAGCCCTCCTCAGTGGGCTCAGGAGTCCCCAGCATGTGGGACAAACAGAGACAAAAGGCTGCTGAACAGAGGGGCTCCTGGCTGCTGCCTCTGCTGGGGGATGTAGGAGAGGATGAACAGGGGCTCACCAAGCTGAGAAGGGGAAGAAGGAACATTCTCAACAGCAGGCACAGCAGGTGCCAAGCTTCGCAAGCAGGGATGGAACTGATGTTTGAGAACAGTACAAAATTTGTTGTGCTTGCACCAGTGGTTCTCTGCCAGGCTCGGTGGCTCACACCTGTAATCCTAGCACTTTGGGAGGCCAAGGTGGGCAGATTGCTTGAGCTCAGGAGTTTGAGACTAGCCTGGGAAAGATGGCGAAACCTGGTCTCTACACAAAAATACAAAAATTAGCCAGGCATGGTGGCATATGCCCATAGTCCCAGCTACTTGGGAGGCTGAGATGGGGAGGATCACTTGAGTCCAAGAGGCAGAGATGGCAGTGAGCCAAGACTGCGCCACTGCACTCCAGCCTGGGGGACAGAGCAAGACCCTGTCTCAAAAAAATAAAAATAAAACAACAGAGGTTCTCAAGATGAGGTTCCCCCATCAGTGGCCTCAGCATCACCTGGGATCTTGTTAGATATGCAAATTCTTGGGCCCCAGCCCAGACTCACTAAATCAGAAACTCTGGGAAAGTAGCGGTGCCAATCCATAGTTGAACAGGCTTGCCAGGGGATTCTGAGGCCTGCTTGAGTTGGAGAACTCTGGTTCTAGAGCACACAAGGGACGGGGCTGGGAGGACGCAGGGAGGAAAAGCAGGAGAGATGCCTCTGGAAGATTCCTAGAGGTCTTGAGTCCCTGAAAGGGTGATAAGAGCATGGAAGGCTTTTAAGCAAGCAAGTGACAGGGTCAGACCTTAAAAAAGTTCACTCTGACTTCAGGGCCGGGGAGGCAGACAGCAGGCAGGGAGGCCAGGAAGAGGTTGATGCAGTTGTTCAGAGGAGGGATGGGGAGGCCTGGGATAGGGGAGGTGAAGGGGACGGAGAGAAGGGGACAGATTTGAGTGATGGTCAGGGGGTCAAATGGTCAGCCTGTAGGTGAGGGAGAGGGAGCAACAAGGAAGATACAGGTAGCTTAGACCTAAGTACCTGGGAAGATGGTAGGTGCCTCTCACCAAGACAGGAAGCAGGCAAGCAGGCCAGGTTCTGGATGGGCGGGTGTAAGGACCATGACTTCAGATCATGCTGCTTCTAAAGGACCAGCAGAGCTTCCCGTGCGGCATGGCCTGATCCGGGTGGAGCTCTGCCTCTGGGAGTTGACCACGTGCAGAGGAGGCTGCAAGCCATTGCCTCCCTCCACCCAATTACCTGGTCCCAACTTTCAGTCCCTACTGTCACAGCCCCCTCAGTCCTGGTAACCTCTATGGTCCTAGGCAGCCTTGCCACCCCTGGTGCCTCCAACGGGCAGCCCAGCATCCCCCAGATTCCAGGCCTCATCTTCACCTGAAGAGTCATCACTCATGTACCTGTCCATCGATCTATCCATCCAGCTTGCTGTGCCACCAACATGCCCAATCTCTGTGCTCCTTGCTTTATATTAATGATCGTCCCCAGTCCTCTCATGCCCCCTGAGATGGATAATTAACACCATTTTACGGATGAGAAAATCAAGACTGGGAGAAGCCAAGTCACCTGCCCTGGGTACCACAGCTCACAGGAGGGAGGAGTTGAGATTTGAAGCCGGGTCCCGCCCCCAACACTCCATCAAGATGGTGCTTGCATTTTTCTCTAGCACAGAGCCTGGCCTGGTTCTCCCAGGGCAGGAAGGAGCCAGTGCCAGGGTGGGCAGACCCGCAGGGCTGGGACCTGCCTTCGAGGGAGGCTAGGGAGCCTCGAAGCCTCCTTAATGCGCCTATAACTCATTCCCTGGGTTCACTAATGTTCCCGGCTATTAGTGCCGAGCACAGCTAAGCAAACTTTCCTCTGACTCAACGATCAATTTCCATATTGTTACAAATGGAGTCCACGCCTGCCACGGTTCATTTTTCTTATAGGCCCTTTTTCTCCCCTTCCCTTTTCCCAGTTCAGTGAGGAAGTCATTACTGGGAGTTATGAATTTCACAACGTGCTGAAAAAATAAAAATGCATTGTGCATAGAGTCAGGGCCACCAGCTGGAAAGCTGCCTTTCCCATCACCCAGGGAGCTGCCAGGGTCAGGAGAGCAGAGTGGGAGGGCACAGACGGCAGCTCCCTGGGGACAGGAGGATGGAGGGTTGGAGGCAGATGTCGGATCTCTGGGGAGAGAGGTCTGTGTCCCTGTGAACTCACCCAGTCCATGCCTGGAACTGCCTCAGGCTGGCTGCTCGAGGCTTCTCATTTCCCAAAGGACACAGTGTGGGCTTGCGGAGTTGGGCCTGGTGTTGCGCTAACATCCCTGGGCTTCCCCAAGAAGCTAGTAACCTCATGCTTGGGCCAGGGCTCCACACTGCCCTGTGCAGGAGCCATCAGTTCCAAGGGTCCTCCCTGCGTGGCTTCCTGGAAGGAACTGCTGGGTCATGGATTTCCCCCTGAAGCACACAACACTTCAGCACCCTGAGCCACTGACCATTCTTAAACCAGGCAGATTTGAGTGAAAGTCAAGGGGTCAAAAGGCCAGGATGCAAACCCCACTGTCCATCATCAGGGGACTAGTTAAATGAACACTATGCCGGTGCACAGTGAGGAGGAGCTGAAGGCGCCAAGGTGAAAGGAACGGGCAAGTGAAAAATGCAAGCTGCCAAAAAGCATGTGCAGCACGGTCCCGGCGTGTCCCAAAGTTATGCATGTAGAACAGAATGTAAATGTGTCGAACGATGTCCAGAGGAAGTTATTCCACCTTCTAAGGGAGTTTATCTTCAGGGACTAGGCTTGGAGTAGGGGGAAGGATCTTTCATTTCTTTGCTTATATAGTCTGTATTATTTGAATTTTTCCTAGCATTTTTTTTTTCTTGAGATGGAGTCTCACTCTGTTGCTCAGGCTGGAGTGCAGTGGCTATTCACAGGTGCCATCATAGCACACTGCAGACTTGAACTCCTGGGCTCAAGCGATCCGCCAGCCTGTCTCCTGACTGGCTGGGAACAGGTGTGCACCATACTGCTTTTGTAATAATTTTTAAAACAATATTTGGTCAAAAGAGTGATCTCATTTGTTTCCTCTTACATAAGACCTTCCCTGATCCACCAAAGCAAAATGTGTTAGTCTTTCCTTTTAACGACCCCTTGAACCTTAATGCTAGAGCACCTATCACATTGTGTGTTCCACCCCCTACCCCCTTGTTAGACTGTGACCTCAGTGTTAGGAGCCGGTTGTTCAATGTACCTTAGCGATTCCAGAGCCAGCACAAGGAGCAGAGGGTGAGTATGAACAGGAACCTTGTCTGCTGTGTCTCAGTGAAAGGGCAGGGTCTGCACAGGGCAGGAGCTTGACAAAGATTTGCTGATTGGACCAAGAGTCTGGTTCTGGGAACACAGTCTCTGGCAGACTCTGCTCATCCACCAGAAGTAGAACCCAGGGGCTGAGGGGCTCATCTTACAGGGGCGCAACCTGGCTCTGGCCCCACGGGAGAGGGGCAGGCTGCACCTGGCCACCTGGACAGTCAATCTCTCCCCTGGACTGTGGGCCCCCGAGGGCAGGTGATGCCTGTAGGTTTCACTGTATCTTTATTTGCCTAACATGGGGTCTGTATGAAGTGGATCCTGAGTGACTACTGCATGGATGGAAAGACAGAGGGAGGGCTGGATGGATGGATGGATGGATGGGTAGATTGATGGACAGGTAGGCGGATAAGCGGATAGATGGGTGGATGGGTAGGTAGATGGATGGATGGGTAGGTAGATGGATGGATAGGTAGGTGGCTGGATGAGTAGGTAGGTGGATGGACAAATGAGAGTGGGAGGGATCAGGCACACCTTCCTGCTTTTTTAGATACGCAGACTTCCCTCTTGTCATCCATATTTTACCCTGACATGTCACTTCATATCAACATAGAGCAAAAACAGGTTTTCTGAGAGGAGGAACAGAGTTTAGCCCAATATTCTGCCCCTAATCACACTGCCAAGAAGGCAGGGATCTCAGGCCTTAAATGAGGAGAAGTGAGCTAGGATTCTAACCCTTTCCCCTGGTTTAATAATCGGCTCAGGAAGTATTTCTCGAATGCCTACTAGGTGGCAGATATGGTACCAAGCATGTTCTGAGAGCCAGAGCAGGCCCTACCCTCACTGGACTTCTATCTCAGGGGCACGGTGGGGCTGTTTTCCTGACCTCCCTCCCTCAGCGGCTTCTCCCCCACCCCATCCTCCACAAAGCAGTTGGGGTTCCAGAGCTCTCTTGCTGGAAATCCCCTGTGGCTCCCTTTGGACTCGAGAGTCAACTCCAACTCTTAAACATGGAATCCATGAATTCCGAGGACAAAGCCCACTTCCTCGCTAGCTCCTCCTGGAATGGTTCTCCAGAGACATCATCCCCTGACCTCCCTCCTTGTGTGCTCAAGGCTCCTGGAGGGCAGGTCTTCCACCCTCAGCCTTGCCAGCAGCATCTCTGACTTAAGGGATCTACACTGTTGACTTCTCCTCCGAGGATCTTCCCCCAGCAGGCTGCCCTATGTGGTTGTGTAGGTTGTTCACTGAACAAGATGCTCCTCGGAGGAGTGAGTGGGTTGAAATTCAGTCTGTGCTCAGCTTGGGAACGATGTCCCTTGCAAGAAGGGGTGGGTTAGAGATGGCCCTGCTCCCTGCCTGGCTGGAGGACAGACCTGAAGTACAGCAGGGATTTGGGATCCCATGTATGTCTCCCTCACAAGACTGACAAGACTGGGTGCTCCCCAAGGACAGGCTCCGGGTCTGAGTCCTTCCTGTGTCCCTCCACAGGGCTGACTAGGCCCAGGGGAGATGCCAGTGAACGGGTCTGCCAGGGATCAAGTGCAGAGTTCTGGAGAAAGGTGCCCATCTGGAGTGGTGTCTGGGAGAGGTGGTCTCTGGGAGGTGAGATCCCTGGTCTGAGCGATGGTCTTCCACATGGACCTCCAGTGGGGCGGTGGTGGGTGGTAGGGGGGGAACCCAGCCAGATGAACGCGATTCAAAGCGAGCTGGAACAACACAGCGTGGCAGGACGCCTATGCCGCTGGGCCAGGTGGGACAGGGGAGCCGAGTGTCTCCATAGGGTGGGGGCTCTATCACGGCAGACTGACAGCAGGTGGGCTGGGAGGGCAGGAGAAGCCCCCAGGCCCTCCGTCCTTGTCAGCGCTTGGCAGGGATTCTGAGGAACTCAACAGAATTGCTGAAAGGGCCTGTCTTGGTTGAGAGAATCCCAGGTGAAACACGCCTGTCTCCACCAGCTCCCGCCTAAGGAAGCTGCAGCCAGGAACTTCCATCAGCTTCAACCCCCGACTACATACCCTGCGAAGGTGGTGGTCCCATTTTACAGACAGGGAAGCCGAGGCTCAGGGAAGGGCAGGGACACGGCCAGGAAGTGGCAAAGTAGAGTTCTCACTCGGCTGAGCCAGAGGGCAAAGCCATTATCTTCCCCGAGCCCTGTTTCATGGAGGGACCACTCTGAGCATTTCACTCTATAATCCCACAATGCAGGGGGCCATGGGGCTTTGCAGAATTAAACAAGGAGCCTTAGACTAGGGAACAATTGATCCCCAAAGATAACTGTCCTAAGGCTGCGGGAAGGGCGGGCACTCCCTACCCCCGTCCTAGAGAAGGGAGCCAGTTATGCGGGAGAAGAATAGTGTGGGAGAGAGTGAACTTTCCCCCCTCCCTCTTCTGAGCCTGACTCCACCATCCTCTGCTGGCCATTAAAGCTTAAATGCTGACTTGGGAAGGGCCAGTCGGTCGATCAATAGCTCACCCAACAAACAGGTTTTTCCAAACTCGCACTTTATGGATTTCTCTCCTCATCTCATTCTTTAATCCTGACAGCTGCTGAGCTGATGGGGGAGACTCTCCAGCCTGGGAAACGACTTCAGCAGATACCCCCCGGTGGGGGCACAGGACACCGAGGACCCGGAGAGACCAGCGCGGGCCCACCAGCCCCGTTACCTGGCAGGGTGAGATGACTCCCACCTGGCCTCCAGATGGCCTTTATCAGCCGGGCCTCTTCTCCTCTCTGCTGCTGGGCAGTGCGGGCCAGTGACTGAGACTCCCTTGGTGGAGCTGGCCAGACCTGTTTCTAGTTCTGCCACTTTCTGGCTGTGAGACCTTGGCAAGTCACTTGACCCCGAGCCTCAGTTTCCTCATGTGCAAAGTGGGCATGAAAGTGGCGTCTACCTGGTAGGGCTACTGTGACAATTCAATGAGAAAACACAGTGCCTGGCACACAAGAAGTGCTCCATAAAGGTTATACAGTATTGATTCGAGTTAATTCCTTTTCAAGACCCCAGAAGCCCTTCAACCACCACCAAGTACTGGGGAAACACAAGGGAGTCCACGGACACACCCTGTGGCCCTGTACTGACAGGTGACCAGAGATCCCAGGATGCTCAGGACAGTCCTGGCTTATACTTGTGGTCCCAGCATAATTACTAATGACATCCCCTTTTGCCCAAAAGTGTCCCAGCTGGGATAATGAATGATTGCTATGTACACCTAATTTGTTGAGCTGCTCAGCTGTGTCAGGGACAAACAGGATATCACTAAATCTTGTCAACAATCTAGGGGAGTACAGATTGTGCTCCCCAGTTAGAGAGGAGGCAACGGAGGTTCAGAGAGGTTTTGTGAGTTGCCCAAGGACTCACAGTGGGCAGTGACTGAGCCAGGGTCACACTGCCGAGTCTGCATGACCCACTGCACCATGCCATCCCCATTCATCTGTTCTGCTGGCTCTATCAAAGGTGCACTTGAGCCTCAAAGAGAGTTGGCGCTCCCAGGGGCAGACAGAGGCCCTGAGACCCCCAGTTCCTCCTGCAGCTGTCTGGAAAGTACCCAGCTCCTCACCTCACCACAGGCAGGTTACTGAGAGCTGATCCAGCTACCTGGAGAACTGCCCCCCAGCCTCCACCCCTAGCCCCCAGCTGTGCACACAAGTCAGCCTGACCCGGGATAACAAGCTGTGAAGATCTTATCAGGCCCCTGATGGCTGATACTGACACCAGCAAGCTGTGCCCCTGCCCACTGCAGCCTCAGCTCCTCCCAGGCTGGGGAATCCTGTTTTCTTTCCTAAGTGGAACATCAGATTATTCAGGTCTGATTTCACTGACTGGGGGTGGGAAGAGAGCGCAGTCCACTTAACACCCAGACACAGGGTGAGGCCAATTCCCGATTTCCCGGGCTGCAGATCCATCATCCCTGGACGGGGTCCCTGTCCACAACCAGGGCTGACGGGGTTTCAGTCCATTTTCCCTTCCACCCCAGGGTGGGAATTTCTGAATGAGCAGAAAGGTAGTCTGTCTCATGCCTCCAAGACAAGGAGAATGATCTAAGATGATCAACAGAAGCATTTCTTCCCCCTTGTTTCACTCCATTCACTCAGCAGACCCTCCCCAGTGTCTATATTATGGCAGTAGAGACCCACCCTCCGGGAACACCCATGCAGTGAGGGAGACGGTGGCAAAGCCACATGACAAGGGCTGGGACAGCTGGGGGTGCCCAGAGGAGGCAGGGCCAGCCCCTCCAGGCAACCTGGGGTGGCTCTTCGGGGGATGACCTGGGAGAAGCAGAGTTTGCCCGGTGAAGAGAAGGAAAAAAGCATTCTTGGTGGAGGAAACAGTGTAGACAGGGGAAGTGGGAGTGTGGGTGGCACTGAAGCTCTGGTGATAGCACCGAGGGCGGGTGGAAGAAAGACGGTGAACCACCTGAAGCCCTGGCATCAGGGCTGCAATCTCTCTGGAAGGGGCCAGGAGATCTTGGAATGGCTGTGAGGAGAGGTTTGGGACACAGGATCTGGGGACTTCACTCACACACACATATGCACTCACAGGTCCGCTCAGCCAGCTGCGTGCTCAGGAATCTTTCCCAGGCCCGGGTGTGCCAGGCCCTGTTGTAGCAGCAGCAGGCAGACTGCGAGCAGGACAGACTCAGCTCCAGCCTCCTAGGCTGGCCAGGGACACACATATGAGCACAAACTGCCTTGGCATTAGGTGCCACGAGACACACCAGAGCTGTGGGGTGGAAGAACTGTTCCAGGTGGGGGCTTCGAAGGGGTTGTTGGGGGAAGCTGTGAATCTTAGCTAGGACCCCAGCAGGAATGGGTCTGCTCTGAGGCTGTTGCGTCATCTGTAAAATGGGGATAAGCTGGTCCCTATCTCACAGAGTTCTGAGAGAACGTGGGTGAAGTGCTCTGCCCAGGGCCTCGCTGGGATGGGGGCACATCAGCTGTGACCACAATTGCTCACGCGTGAGTGGCAAGAGGCTGGGTGCTGTGGACAGCAGCTGTGTGGAAGGTGGATTGGATCCAGCAGAAACCTGGGAGAGATGGTGAGACTGGAATCCCCCAGGAGGAGGGAGAAGAGAGTCCCCTTGAAGAAAGAGCCTCCCCAGTGCAGCTCAGCAAGCAGCGTGGTGGGTTCCAGCGGAGGGACTGGCTCAAGGACAGAAACTTGAGCTGCTGAACAGAAGCGGGAGGTGGCAAGACAGGGAGGAACCCAGCTGGGTGGGGGTGGTCGCCTAACCCAGCCCAGCCCAGCTCAGGCCCGAGAAGACCATACTATCAGGCACCATGGCTAAGTGCAGGGCCCATGAAGATATGCAGACATGGGTTCATGTCCTGTTCCTGCTATTAGCTATGACCTCAGGCAGGTGACATAAAACTCTCAGAGCCTCAGTCTGTGCCTCCATAAGATGAGGATACTGATGGTACCTATGCTTCCTGAGGATGCAGAGAGATGATGGTTGCAAGGCACTTAGTACAGTGCTCAGCACACAGAGAGTGTTCAGTCAACAGCAGCTTTAATTATGACTATCATCTCAGAGGCCTGGACTTCAGGCTCCCCTGTGCTCCAGGAAAGGGGACCTTCCAGACCAGAACTCGGGGCCTACAGGCCAGAGGAGCCTGCACAGACCTCCCCAGAAGGCCCAAGGCTGTTTCCCACAGCTCCTTCCACATGCCCCCGTGCCAGGTTGCCTACTCAGCTCTGTGCCTCGTGGAGAAACTCGGTGTACTCGTCTTGGACCGTTTCCCCTGGTCACTTCCAGGCAGGTCACTTGGAAGTGCTTCTGGAGTCTCTCTCAACTCCTTTTCCCCAGAGGCTGTTTTAGAAAGTCCAGAACAATTGCTGGTAGTCTGGCCCGAGCTGTCCTGCTATATGGCTCTCCGAGTGTCCCCTCTGACCCCACCCTGCTATCTGAGGGCAGAAGGCCACCCCTGGCTGGCCACCCAGCCTGCGGACTCACTGTCAGGAAAGCAGGAAGCTTAGCTTGGGGGAACTGCCCGAAGAGGTGGGAGCCTCCAGCTTGCTCTGGGACGCCAGCATCCTGTCTGCCCTCAGTCCAGCCTGAAAAAAGGACCAGCACAGCCTGGAACCGAGCTCTGGGACAGTGATCAGCCCTGGCCTATCCTGGCCATGCTCCCACACCTACCCTTCCCAAGGAGGCCAGGACAAGAAGGAGAGGTACAGGTGGGTACAGAGGCAGAGATACCCTTGGCCTGGGAACTTGGGAAGAGGACACATCTGGTGAACATGGTGAGACCCCACAAGGACTTGTCACATACATGACAGGCATGTCACAGAATCACCCCCACCCTCAAAGGCCCAGGACTGGTGCAGCCCCTGCCCTCAGATACAGGTCACAAAAACTGGTGCCAGTGGAAGGACTGGCCTTCTTGGCTCTGCAGCTGCCCAGACTGGGTAGGACAGTCACCTGAAGCCACTTGGAGGGGTCCCATACCAAGGCCTACAGGGTGCAGAGCTCAGGATACCTGAGGCACAGGGCTGCCCGCTGGTCCCTCTGACTGAACCTTGGTACCACCACCAGCACCCCCACACCTCAGCCCCAGCTCCCTAGGCCAGTCCTCAGAGGTCCCCGCTCTGGAAGCAGCAGGCATCTGGGACCCAGGGCCCAAAGGGCTCCCCCTTCAACGGACACATCTTTAAATATATACAACGGGGTGTTCTCTTTTTTTCCTCCTCCCTTCTTCTTTCTATACATTGGGCTCTAAAATCTGGGCCATCCCGCCACCCGCATTAACTGCGTTAAGGAGGAATTATAAAAAGAAATCAAATTTCCCATAGCATTTGAGCGCCATTAAAATGCCAAACAATAAACTACCAGGCTGCAAATTAGATCAGTGGAAATATCAAACACATTGAGGTATAAAATCCATAATTGCATTTAGTGGCAGCCGTCCCTGGAGAGGCCCTGCTAAAGATCATCACAGCCCCACATATGAGAAGCTATTGACAGAAGAATAAAAATCGACAGGCCAACCAAATAAACCGCATGGGCCTCATTAAATATTCAGCAATGGAAATTTGACTATCCTGGGCCTCTCCCCTTGGTCCCATCCTGAGCCCTCCTCTGCCCCCCTCCCCAGTCACTAACAGCTTGCACAGGCAGGGCCAGGGGAGACTGTCAGCTGAGGTTGGTGGGAAGGGGCCAGGCTGCGGCAATAACAGGGGGGCTCCGCTGGGATTATTATTGTTGGGCGTGTGTTATTAGCTTTCACCCCAGAGTAGGTGGCCCGAAGTCTTTAATTAGGTCATTACAGGATAATTTCCAGGGAGGTTTTAACTCCTTAGCAGCTGAAGAGCCTCCAGCCCGAGCCCAGTGGAGCTTAGGGTGAGACCCTCCAGGCGGGTAGAGGGGTGGGGCATGGGCCCGGCTTTGTTCGAGGCCCCTGGAGAATCAGATTCACCTGCTCCAGGCCAGACAGATGATGGAGGGGCAGGCTGGCTGGGAGCCCCATTACCGAGCCCTCGGGGACCGGCCCCAGGATGCAGAGGGACCCTCACCCGGCAAAGCGGGACCCCAGCGCCACTGGGCTCCAGCCCATCTGGGGGCCCCACCCTCTAGAGATAGCTTCTGGCTCTGCCCCTGCCTCACTGTCTCTCCCTCCCCTCCTCTCTTTCCTCTCCTTTTCTCTTGTCCAATTATTCCCTTCCTTCCCCTCCCCTCCCCTCTTCTCCTACCAGCCTCTTCTCTCCTCTCCAATTCTCCTTCCCAACTCTCCTTTCCCCTCCCCTTTCCTCCTCTCCTCCCCCTTCTCTCTCCTCTCCAATTCTCCTTCCCAATTATTCCCTCCCTCCTCACCTAGAGCCCGGCTATCCGCCCCTCCCTCAGTCCGCACCTAGGAGCTGCCATGTATAATGCATGCAGTGGAAGCGCCCAATAGGATTAGGCACCTCCGCCCGTCCTGGGGAGAGAAAGTTTATGTAAATGACTGATGACAGCGCTATTGTGTGAGGAATATCAATGGAGTAATTACAGTTACATCGGGCGCCCGCGCCGCCGGCCCGTGTTAATTTTTCACCGGCTCCCCCGGGAGAGATCGGAGCGCGCTCCGAAGAGCACAGCTAATAATGGGAGCTCCGAGCCGCCGCTGCGCCACGCGCCCCGAGGTCTTTCTGAGCAGACTGCTAAGCACTGGCTGTCTCCCCCGAGAGCCGAGAACAGAGATAAAATGATTAAAAACTGCCAAGCGGGCCTGGCAATCACTCGCTCCGCTGTCAGCCCCAGACAAGACAAATCTCTGCGATTTTGCTCTTCCCTCCTCTCCCTTTGTGAGCCCCCGAGCTGGGACGTGGGGGGCCGGGTGGGGTCGGGGTCAGCTCCCCAGGGTGGCAGGGCTGCGGGCAGGGCAGCCAGTGGCAGCAGGGAGGGCACTGGCCTCCTGGGCTGCAGGGTGGTGCAGAGGCTGCAGGGAGTCCTGGGGAGCCCTGGAGGCCCCGTCGTTCACCTTGCTCCTCCCAGGGAAACTCCATCCGGGCACACCTGTCAGGGCACACCTGTTGGGAGAGATGGGCAGGTGCACCTGGGAGGGCACAGCAGCAGGGCACCCCCACCGGAGCATTCCTGTCGGGACCCACCTGCCAGGGACACCAGCAGAGAGGGGCTCACCTGGGCCAGGAGCTCCTCAGGCTTCGGGAACCTGCCCCCTGCCCTGGAACTGCTGCCCCCTCTCCCCATGCTTCCCCAGGCAGCCTGGGCGCTTCCAGACCCTGAGATCCCAGCCTGGACAAGGCTGCCTGCCATGGGCCAAAGCAGGTCCCCGGGCAGGGCTGCGGAGCGGGAGGAGTGGGGATTGTGCGTCCTCTCGGGGTTTAGGGCCCATGGTCGGAGGGGGCCCTGGGTGTCCATCCCTTTGGCCCTGAGGCTACAGCAGGGCCAAGTTCCTGAGAAGACAGAGAGGAGGGGAGGGTACTGTACTGTTCCCAGTACAGAGAGCGGGGGGCGGGGGGGGGGGAGGACAGGCACCACAGTCCCTGAAGGCAGTCACCCATCATCACCCCGCCCTCCCCTGCACGTGATAGAGGTGAAAGGAAATTCCCGCCGAAACCTGGGCTGGCTCTCGGAGCCTTGGTCATGGACGTCACAGGCCAGGATTGGCCATCTGCTGCTCTGCCTGTCACACCCAGCCCACATCCATACATCACACCCGCAGGGCCCACAGTGACACAGGTGCACGCCCTTCCCATGCCCTGACACATTAGCCCACAATGGCCAACACCACACGGACACCCAGACTCACACAGCATCCTCAGGATGAACCTGTATGCCACACACCACAGAATCACCCACAACCCCCCACCCCCACACACAAATGCACACGCAAATGCCTGACTGCACCAGTGCACACAGATACAGGGCACCCTAAGCTGTGCTCACAAAGTGACAGGTGGGCACCCTCAGCCACAGGCACAGAGGGTGACGTGCAGGCTCAGGGACACACCCACAGCACACACAGGGACACACACACTGACACACACACACTGACACAGGCGCTGCTCCTGCCGTATGCTCTGGCATCTGAATTCAGAAGAATAAGCCAGAGTCCCCAAGGAGGAGCTGAGCCTGCCTCTCCAGATGCTGCCGGTTCCAGAGCACAGTGCCACCGCCCACCACTGCCTGTGATCAGCTCAGCTGCAGTGAGTAAGGCAGGTATGCTTGCAGCAGCGATAACTCCCTGACTGATAGCACTGGCACAAAAGCTAAGCAGAGCTTATGCTGGTGGCCTCTGGCTGGGTGCAAGGTGTCCTATGCCAGGCTGGGCCAGTCCAGACCAGGCCAACCGCTGCCTACCCTCTTGCCCAAGGCTTCCTGGGTCCCACCCAGGGAGTATGGCCAGAGAGATGCCACCTCACCACTTGTCATGTGCACATACATCTCTAGAGACACACTCGCACATACATGTGCCTGCATGCACGCACACACAGCCACGGACGCCTGGTGCCCACTGAGATCTGAACTGCACATATTCACTGAGTCTCTACCATGGGCCATTCCCTGTGCCGGATGCTGGGTGAGCCCTGACCTAGAGGACAAGGTGGGGCTCTCATTCAGCTCAAGTCCCTGACACCCCCTACACACACCTACGCACACGTGTACTTGCAGTCGTGTGCACTAGGGTGCACACACTTGAACACTACCTTGTAGCGCCCCTTTCCCCGTGTCCACAGCCTCCATCCACTCTCTTTTCTGGCCCCCCACCTCCCCTTGCAATCCACACAGCAGCCAGAGTGCATGTTGTAACCTCAAATCTGACATGACACCCCCCTGCTTAGAACCTTTTCATGGCTTCCAGGGGCCCTGGAGTAAAGGCCAGACTCTCTAGCACAGACTTCAAGACCTTTTGTGACCTGACCTCTCCAGGCCCTTGTGCATGCTGATCTTTGCCTGAAACCTGCTCTCCTGCCCTCTTTCCCTGGATAATTCCTCTGCTCTCAGCTTCAACAGCTCTCCCTCCAGGAAGCCCTCTTCCAGCCCCTAAGTCTGGGTGAGGAGCCCTATCCTCTGGGACCACAATGCCCTGTGTTCTCTCCATCAGGGCCTTTACAAGCTACTGCCACTGGGGAGGGCTGTGTCTGCCTTGTGTCTTTAGTACCCAGGACAAGGCACACAGCAGCCTCAGCAAATATCAGAAAGGAGGAAGGGAGGAAGCTGCTTGTGGTGTCCTAGCCTCAGTGAGAGTGGGGCCTGCAGTCTTGGGTCCAAAAGGCTCATAGAGGGGAGGGCTCCAGGGTAAAGGACACCCAGGGAACTCACTGGGCTGTCTTCTAGCAGGAAGTGGCTGCCACTCCCATCACTCGTCCCCAGTGCTCCTCCCTGGGCCATGGGAGTGGGACGCCTCTCCCTGCACACCCCTGAAGGCCTGGCAGCCCACAGGGCAGGTTCTGGCTCAGCCTGCAAGTGTTCAGTTAAGCCTCAGGCCCTCCCCTCCTTTCCTTTGAGAGGCCACAGCTCATGGCACCTAAGATGTGCAGTCCTTGGTGCTACTTAGTCAGGCCCTAATCCAAACAACTCACTCCTCAGCTGGGTGGCCTCGGAGCAGGAACTTAACCTCTCAGAGCCCCAGTTTCTTGAGCTGCAATTTTGTGAGACTTGGCTAATCATCATCTAGCAGCTATCATTTCCCCGTTTGCTGGAACCCCTGATTTGGGTTTTTAGAATAACAATTTTACAGGTGAAAAAAACAGGGTAAGTGGCAGAAAATGATGGAACCAAGGTTGAGACCGCCAGCCTCCTCCGAAACAGTTATTCCCCCGAATCTCAAAGGTCATGTGTGTGACTGTGCTGTGACATCAATCATCAGCGTGGCTGGGCTTGTCAGCCTCCATGCCTTTGCCCAGGCAGTGCCCTCAGCCTGGAGTGCCCTCGCCATAGCATCTCCTCCGACTGCAACTGGTTTTGCAGAAGCTTCTCGTGCCCGCCTCCTCTATGTAGCTGTTCTCAGTCTTCCAAGTCCTAGCCGTCTACCTCCCTTGCCTTTGTGTAAGCCCCGGGCCTGCTCCCTGTGTGGGCAATGAGCGAGTGGGGGCAAGTAGCTGACTAGAAGAGGAGTGGGAGGGCTGGGGGAAGGGTGAGCAGGAGCTGGAGTCAGACCTGGTGGTGAAGCTCCCCAGCCGTGTGGCCCTGGGTAAGTGGCCTCTGGGTTTTGGGTGTCAGTCCCCTCATCTGTGAAATGGGAATGACAGTAACACCTGTCTCCCAGGCCATCAGCAGGCTTCATATGGCGCTTGTGCCTGGCTGGCATGCAGCGGGTGCTAGGGCTTAGAAGCAAATCTGCAGAGCCACACTGGCACCGGCTTGAGGGTGAGAGGACAGCCAGGGGCAGAGAGGAGAGGGGAAGGAGCGGGGAGCCCTGTGCTTCTAACAGGCCACAGGCTTCCATGTCTCTGGGCTTTGGCCCACACTGTACCCCACACCTGCAAAGCCCTCCTCCTCCCCTTTCGTGACTCCAAATGTCACCTGCCTGGTAAAAGCTCTCCCACCTCTCCAGGCAGCACCCCTTCTTCCAGGTACACTCGCAGCGGGGCCCTCCCCTGGATTAATCGCTACAAAATTAATCCCTACAACAACCTGGACAGTAGGAATAGCTGTACCCATTTTATAGATGACTAACTTCAGGCTCAGAGAGGTCAAAGGACTCAAGACAGTGGCTCATGGATGTGGCATTGTGGGGGGGGTGTGCAGAACCTGGCACCAGAGGCTAATGCAGGAGGTGGGTAACTGAAAATCTCCATGGGGACAGTCCCTGAACACCTACTGTGCACCGGGTCTGCTCCTGGCATCTCCTTGGCTAGACTCACCCTGTTCAGCACCATGGTGGCAGCCGAGGGCAGGACCTGGAGCGTTTTCTTCCCCATGCCTCCCTGATACCCACACAGGGCGTGGAGGGAGGAAGTTCCACATGTATTTCTGGAATGCCTGTATGAAACTGACGCTGGCTTCAGAGACCTGCCCGGTGAGGCCTCTCCATGGCGACCCCGTCACTGCTGGGCAAGAAGGCTTTCCAGTCCCGGGCTTCACCACAGTGCCTTCCAGGTGCCCTCACATGCCCCATCCTGCCAAAGTCAGTGCTTCTCCTCTGGGTTTCCCTGCCCGCTCCTTATCCCAGGCAGGCCAGGCTGGGACTATCTTGCTCATTTGGAGTCCTGGCGTTATTCCAGTCCTGCCTGGAGCAGGGGTCCTTCCGGTTGGATGAGTGAGCTGGGCTTCCTTCTTCCCTCCCTCCTGCCTTCCCCAAACATTCGCTGAGTACATACTGTGCCAGGTGTATCCCCGAGGCATCAAAAGCGGGAGGCACAGGGGGAATGAGGCATCTCGGAGGCCAACTGGCAGAGGGGTCACACAAAGCTGTGTGAATTTGGACTGCCGACTACCCCTTTCTGTGCCTCAGTCTCCATATCGCTGAAATGGGGATAATAACAGGCTCTGCCTCACAGACTATGAGGCTTACGGTTGAATGAAATAATGTGATCCTTAAATCAGTGGCTGCACAGGGTAAAGGCTCTGGAAATAACAATCAAATTCTCTTCTTCCATCATGCTGTATAATTATGTGCGTGCTGTATAACCATGTCAGGAGTGGGTAGTCCTTTCGGAGGAGGGGACAGCTACAGGGAGGATGTGCTGGTGGACTCCGTGGCCTCTGCCCACTTCCCATCTCCCGGAGGGTACTAATTTTGCCCTTCCATCCCCCAGCCTGGCCCCCATGTCCCGAGGTTTCAGGAAGAAGAAGAACCCTGCCCCAGCCAGTCCCCAGGATTGGCCAGGTGTCCTCCCAGTTGTCCTGTGGAGACTTGCTGCAACCCACCCACCCATGCCAGGCAATGAGCTAGGCCCAGGGAGCTTCATCCATCCAGATGGACAGGTAAGCACCGTTCATTCATTCCTTCACAATGACATGACACACGGATGCACCTACCAAGTACCAGGCCCTGTGCCAGGCTTGGAGGTACCCTGGGCAGAGGTTGTCATACCTCAGCAGGCAAGGCTTCCCCCAGGGGCCATCTGGAAATGTAGACTCATGGGCTTCACCTCGAGAGTTCGAGTTCCCTCACAGATCTAGGATTCTGCACCTCTAGCAAGTGCTACAGGACAGATCCAAGCCTGGAGGACGGGGGTGGGGCTCAGAGCCAGAGAGACTCCATGAAACCGGTGACTCTTGTGCCAGGCCTTGGGAGTAGGGAGAGTTTTCCAGAAGAAGAAAGGATGATGGAGGCCAGGGGACGCCTCCTGGGCAACCACCACAGCCTGAGTAAGACCTTGATGTGGGCAAGTGTCTGGGACATGTGGGAATGGCAGGTGAGCTGGGGGCTCGCCTGCGGGGCTCAGCACAGAATGAAAAGGCAGGGGCAGAGCCACTTGTTCAAAAGTTAAGAATCTCAAGAGTGTGACAGCAGGAGCATTAAACCAAGCTAAGGGCCCTTCTGGGTGTGGGGCCCAGTGGGGCTGCACAGGTCAAGCCGGCTCTTCCAGGGACCCAGCTAAGTGGGTCACCCCTGCTGGGACCAGCCCAGAGTGCTCAGGACCTCAAGGCCTTAGCCAGGCAGCTGAGTACCTGGGGTTCCAGCCACCCCAGCTCCAAGCCCCAGGCCTCTGTGACCCTCCCTGTGCCCTGTTCCCTCTCTGGTTCCCGCAACTACCCTCACCTCCAAGGTGGCAATAGCCTCCTCCCGCCGGTCTAATCCCAGGCACATGTTGCCAGCATCAGCTCCATAAAGTGCCTCTCCAGTTCCTGTCACTCCCCTGTCCAATAACCTTCAATAGCTCCCTCCTGCCCACAGGATAAAATCCAAACGCCCGAGCACAGCCACAGGCTCCTGCCCTGCTCTGCAGCCTCCAGTCCCAGCAGCCCCTCGGCAGCCCCTCCGCCAGACTCACTGTCCCAGCCCACCCATTTAACCCCCAATATTCCTGCTGCCAGGGCCCCCTCCTGGAATGCCCTCCCCAAATCCTCCCAAGCTGCAGCCTCCCATCTCACGGGCACCTGCCTGGCGTAAGCTGGCACACACTCTTGCTGCCTTCTTGTGTGACTAACGAGGCCCCTGCCCACAACTCTTCCCTCTAAGAAAAACGGCTCCCATGGACTGGTATGGCTCTTTGAACACAGCATCTCATCTCGCTCTCCCCACAACCTGGAAGGTAGGTTCTTTACGTGCATTTTGCTTGCGAGAGAGTGGAGGCTCTGAGAAGCTAAGGAATTTGTCAAAGGTCACACAGCTAGAAAGAGGCCAAGCCCAGAGTCCAGCCCAGCTCTAGACCCTTATACTTTCTTTCAGTACGAACTGCGCACCTACCGTTCCCTTTTCTAGCTAAGACCCAATACATATGGTCAAAGGTGGCCCCCTTTGAGGCCCAGCACAAAGGACTGTGGGAGCATCAGTAACAAAATCGGCAGGAACCACTCACCTAAAGAGGAATGGCATCTGCTCCCTCTGAATCATCCTTACCCGGAGGCAGGGGTCTGGTCCTTAGTAAACTTTGAAGAAACTGAGGCACAGGGAATTTAAAGCCTCTAACCTAAGGTCACACAGCGGGAAGTGGTAAAACCTGAGGTTCCAAAGCACTGGTGAAAAATCTGGTTAAGTTCTCGGCCTCTCAAGGAATCAGTTCTGGGGTCACAAAATCCAAGAGCCAATAACTGCAGGCACAGGGACTGTGCTGGCCTCATTTCTGCTCAGCTCTGCCCTCGCCCCTATCCCCACCTCACCCCACCCACCCACTTAGCCTGGGAGCTCTCTGTGGGCAGGATAGGCCTGCCCCATCCCGGCCGGCCGAGCTGAGCCAGGAAGCTGAGCAACTCAAAAGGCCCCCAGCTGGACTCCTGGGAATCAGCAGCCCAGACCTAATAGGCATTAGGTCTCTTACCTAATACCTCTTCTTCCTGACCTCCTGCCACGAGCACTCCCCAAGCAGAACACAGGGTTGAGTCCCTGATGCTCCCTGTGCCCCAAGGCAAGATGTTTCCTTTTACAAATCATTATTATTACTATCATTACTGTTATTTTAATTTAAATCTTTTGACGTTCAGGCAGATGTTTCTCTGCAGCCGTAAGGGCATGTCTGTGGGAGGATGGCACCTCGGGGACTGGCCTGAACTCTTGCCACGTGGGACAGCCCAACCAGTGGGCGGCCAGCTCCATCCTCCTCCAGGGGTCTGTCGCTGCTCACTTATCAGGCTGACATCCCACAGGGGGGCCACTGCCCTGCCCGCCCCTTTGGCTCCAGGCCTGCCGACTAGAACCAGAGCTGGAGGGGTGGGCAGGCGGGGGCACGTGGGAGGGGGCCGAGCCCTCACCACAGGCCCCTTTGCAGTTCAAAGTGACACACTCAGACAGCCGTCCCTTCAAAGGCCAGACAACGCCTGCCCTGAATTGCTGCACCGGCAGCCCGGAGCCAGGAAGGCACTGCAGGGGTAAAGGTGGCCCTGTGAGGGCTGGCCACGCTCCCATCCATGGCATGGACTTCCACTATCCTGGGCAGGAGGGCAGACCCTGGCCGGCCCCACCCTGTGGTGTAATCCTTGGAAAATCACCTTCCCTCTCTGAATCTCGCTGCTTTCACTATATATTTGCAAAGTACTCAGAAGGCACTCAGGGGTGGTCATGCATAAAGCTGACAACACTGAGGACGAAGATGATGATTCAGAGCCTCTCTCTGAGAGGCACCGCCCCAAAGACAGGCCACCTGAGTGTGATTCCCATCAGCTGCTAACTAGCTGTGTGACCTAGGGCAAGACACTTAGGTTCTCTGTGCTTTAATTTCCTCCCCTGTAAAATGGGGTTTGGAAGGGATGACGCCATGCCTGTTTGGCACCAGACAGGTCACAGATAACAACCCTCCCCCCCAGTGATGAAATGTGCCCTGCCTACTGCCAGGAGAGTTGTTCAGGCCAAGTCAGACCCACTGAGAAGGCTCAGTGCAGGTGCTCCCCCAAGCCTGGGTTCCCGGGAGCTGAGAAGTGGTTCCAAGGGCAGGTTGTGGCACCCGCAGATGCTGACTCTGTGCTGCATAGCCCCCCACTGGCTGTGTGGCCCTAGGTGTGTGGCTTCACCCCTCTGAGCCCCAATTCTGTCACCTGGAAACCCAGGCAAACAATAGTGCTTTTTTTTTTTTTTTTTTTGAGACGGAGTCTTGCTCTGTCGCCCAGGCTGGAGTGCAGTGGCGCAATCTCGGCTCACTGCAAGCTCCGTCTCCCGGGTTCACGCCATTCTCCTGCCTCAGCCTCCCGAGTAGCTGGGAGCTACTCCCGAGTAGGTCACAGGTGCCTGCCATGACGCCCAGCTAATTTTTTTGTATTTTTAGTGGAGACGGGGTTTCACCGTGTTAACCAGGATGGTCTCGATCTCCTGACCTCATGATCCACCCGCCTTGGTCTCCCAAAGTGCTGGGATTACAGGCATGAGCCACCACACCCGGCCAACCACAGTGCTTTTAGGAAGTCTCATCAAGATCTAGGGTGCCATCTGAAGCTGGCAATCATCAGCTTGCCACCTTGGGGAAATCACTGCACCCAAGTCAAGCTTTGATGTTGGCAAAATGGGAAATAATATTAATAAAACCTGCCCCCAGAGCAGTAAGAAGATTCAGTGAGTGAATCCCCATCAAAGCTTTACCACAAGCAGCATAAAATGAACACTGGCCATTCATTAGGAGCCATTTCTTCAACAAACAACATTGGGTTGCAGTACCAGCCCACCATCGGGGCACCAACCCCAGCCAGAGGCCAGACTCCACCCTCCCAAAAGGCTGCTGAAAGTTTTCTCGTGACACAATGCCTGGGTTCCATTTACTAGCTGTGTGACCTTGGGCAAGTTACTTAACTTCTCTGTGCCTCGGTTGTCTTACCTGAAAATGCAAATAATAATGGAAGCCATGTCGTAGTGTCATTAAAGAATGGAAAGTGCTGAGAGCAGTGCCTGATGGACCACAAGTGCTAAACAAGCATCAGCTGGCGTTATTATTGCTGCTGCTGTCGTGCATGCTCCAGGTCTGCCCGGCCCGTCAGAAAGCCCCAAGCAGCTGGGCTTCCTTCTGCGGCTCACAAACTTGGGAAGTGTTAGGTCCTGAGAGGTGCCCCAAGTACCGTGCAGAATGGAGGCTTCTGTGGGCTTCCTCTCTGGTCTGTTTCCCTAGCAGCTGGAACGCTTAGAAAAAAAGCACCCAGCCTGCTGGGCTTGTCAAAGCAGGACTGGCTTTACTAGAACCAGGTTTGGATGGTAATTTTGTGGTCATAACTATTTTCCTTACATACTGCTATAGAAAGGGGAACCCCTGCTTTTTTTTTTTTTAATCTAATTGAAGACACCATCAAGCGTAAATATGCTGGAGTTTTTAATAAAAACACGATGGAGAAAAATATTCAAAGCTCAATAATCAGAAGCAATTTGCGTCGCAAGCAGAGATGTGTCATTCCTCCCACACCCCCCTCCCCGCTTGGCTGTGCTCTGTGCGGGACTAGCTTTGGGGATGGCAACTTTAGACCTATGGCAAAAATAATGAACAGCAGTGAGGCTTAGAGATAGCCTGAAAAATCTCCTGGAAAAGAAAAACATATGCCAAAGAGTGTGGTATAAAAGTCATATTTCATGCCTGACTTTAGAGAATGTTAATAAGGATTAGAACCATACTCCAACAGAACAACTATCAGTCAAGGCGGGGTAATTAATTTCGCTTCAGATCTCTGGGAAAATGAAAGCGGTTAAGTGTTGTTTCGCAGCGTAGAGATTCCATCGCTCTAAGACAACCCAAAGAACTTCCAAAGCCATGTCCTGAACCCAGCTGAGACCTGGCTGTTGCTGGCGGCCTCTCCTGATCTGTCGCCTTGTAGATTTGGGGACCTTTTCCGAATCATAACAATATCAAACTCTTTTTTCCCCCAGGATTGGCTAATAAATATGATTAAGATAACACGACCCAAACCACATGTCCTCTGCTCGGCCTGCAACATGTGGAGGACAGATGTGTCTTCTGTGCACAGATGACCCAGCCGGCTGCTCCCCTGAGGCAGGGACCCTGGGAGATGGAGTCTTGAGAGGTCCTAGCAGCCCACTGGCCCTCTGAGTCCCCAGCCAGGCCTCTGGCCTCCCCATGACCCACTATAGACAGGAAGGGCCAAGCCCAGGGTATGCGGGAGTCAGAGACAAGAAAGATGGTGGGATGTGGCACTGTCCTCACCTGGCTTTTGTCCCCCAAGGTCCCAGTTTAGTAGACCGCATTCCCAAGCCACGTGGCCCCGTGTTATCCAGAAAACTCTCAAAATCATTTCATTGTCCAGGTCCACCTGTCACCCCTTCTTAAAGAGCTGGGATTGAAGAACCTTCCCATCCCTGAGACCTGGGCCCAGGGAAGACAGAGTAGGCCAGTGTTAAAGCCAGAGTCTGGGAGAGGGTTCTCAAAAGGACTGTGGAGTTGCCACACAGCCCCCAAGCCTGGTAGCGTGCAGCTTGGGATTTCCGCCTCTGCTCTGCTACAACAGGACAAGTCCTAGCTGCACTTGGACCTTGGTTTTCCCATTTCTACTGGGATCCTGAAGAGCCCTTTAGCTGGGATATCCTAAAGCAGCCCAAGGTCCCTGTGAGTGTGGCCCTGCTGCACTCAACTGTGGTCACTGGAGGCCACGCAGAAGGCCAGGCCCTGGAAATCAGGCCAGGGAGGCCTGGGACTGCTGAGGTTGACAGCCCTGCTCCAGCTCTGGGGAAAGAAGGGGAGCAGGCTCAGAGGCCAGGGCTGGTGGGGGAAGAGCCCCTCCCACCCTGACCAAGCAGGGCTCCCAGCACCAAGGCAAGGCTCTGGGCCAAGGCATGAGTGAGCCTCCTTCTCTGCTTTCCCTTGGGGACAGGAGGGAGAAAATGGAAGAGTCCCTCAAAGTTAGCTCAAGCCAAGCAGAAGGGCTCCAGCTGGCAGGAAGAAGCAGGGCATTCTATCACTGCATAGAATCAATGAAGTCAGAAGCAAGCAGGCTGAGGGCAGGGCAGGGCACCTCTCTGAGTAAAAAAGGGAAGAAGGGTCCCTGGGGGAGGGGCACTATATCGTGGATGAGCCTCAGCTGCCTGCAGGGCAGGGACAGGGTAACCCGGCCACGGGGAGGAGACCGGGGGGTCTCTCTTCCTGCTGGTCCCTACTCAGAGGCCACTCTGGTGACCAGGCACATCAGGCTCCTCCTGAGCCCAGTGAGGTCAGGACAGCCTGGCCAAGGAACCCTCTGACACCAGTCTCCGAGGCCTCCTTTCCACTGGAGCCGACTGGGCGTGGGCTGTTGCGTCCAGACCCTTATCAATGCTCAGGCGGGGGCCTCCCCCAAGACCAAGGCCTCTTCCCTGCAGAGGAGCCCGGACGGACCGGCGGACGCTGCGGGCCCGGCCGGGCTGATAGGAACCATCTGCGTTGTCTTAGGCCGCCCTTCGGCCCACTGTCCCTCTGAACTCGGCCGGTTCCCGCGGGCCGTTTGATGCTTGCAGGGTCACAGACCCCCGCACACAAATCACCGCCGCGGGGCTGGGGGTGGGGCGGAGGCGCTGAAACCTAATCCGCAGAGTTTGCTCCGCCGCCGCCTCCTTGCTCCTTCCCTCGCTCGCTCGACGCCCCCCACCCACCCCTTTCCAAACAAGGCTTATTTTTCTTGCCAAAAAAACAAAGTTGGTATCAAGTGTTTCGAGGGAGAAAGTCTCTCCCCCACCCCTGACCTGGAAGGAAGGGCCGGTTGCCGACTGAGCCGGGATTGCAGAGGGGGCTCCAGGAGAGGACGGGCGGGAGGTGAGCTCAGGGCTTCTGGCTCCATCGGTCCCCTTCCCCGCTCTCGCCTGCCCGTCCCATACTTAATGGCAGCGAATCCCATGGTCCCCGGCCATGTCCTGTCCCTCTACTCGTCCTGCCCGGAAAGGGTTTCCTCCATCGGAGCTCCCGGTCCCTATGCTGTCAGAGATGGAAGCATCACTTCCTGCTCCTTCTCCCTCCCCATAAAACAGTCCTTGCCTGTCGCTTTTACGAGGTGACACCCTGCTCTCAGCCCGATCCTCCCTGCGCCCGGAGCCTGGGCTCGGCGCGCAGGAGACTGCGTGCACTCTGGCGTCCCCGACCTCTGCCAGGGCGCACGGGGACTCCAGAGCGGATCCTCTACGAGTTCTAATAGGAGGCCAGGGAGCCGGGACATCAGAGACAAATTCCTCCGAAGTCCCCCTCCGGTTCCACTGACTGGAGCCTTTGGGCTGAAACCCCACGAGCTCCCCACCCCCATGTCCATGAGGGGAGCAAAACGGAGCCCCCGGGGGCACGCAGGCTTCGTTTCTGGGTGTTGGTTTTGCTTTTGGTTTTTTCAGCCGGTGCAGTGACCCGGAACAGCGCGGCCGCTTCTCCGACGCCCGCGGCTCCCCACTGCGCCGAGGCGAGCGCCACGGCTAAAGCCCAAGCCTCGGCGCCCGCTGCGCCTGCCGGAGTTCTGCTTGTCCGAGCAGGCAGCGGGGCTCAGGCACGGCGGCGACGTCGAAGGGCCAGTCGGCAGACAGGGCTGGGTCTCTGCGGCCAGAGCGCCGCAGGAAAGCCCTGCAAACGGTGGGACGAGGGTGGCGGCGGCGGCGGCGGAGGTGGCGAGAAAGGCGCCACGGGCCTGGCGGAGAAGAGGGTTTCCGTGGGGGTGGAACAAAGGAATTCACCCTCGGAAGAAAGGGGCCGAGCATGCAGCCGGGAATGGCCAACCCTGGAGACCTGCAGGAGTGCGAGCGCTGCGACATTAGTCCCAGGGATCCAACGAAATCTGCCCCGCCGAGGGCCCCAGCCTGGCATCTCCATTCGGCCTCTCTCTTCTGGTCAATCCCGCTTTAATGGGGGTGGTGGGTGTGCACCCGGAGTGCCACCTTTCCTGGGAAGAGGGGACAGAGCAGGACCCGTGCTCTCGGTCAGAGGAGGCAAACACATCCCACTAACCCTCCCCCCATTCATCCTCTAGTCGTGGGGTCACTGTCCCCATTTTCCAGACGCTGCCAATTAAGGCACCCGCAAAACCACCCCTTCCCCCGCCCCCACGGCAACGCTCCGGCTCCTGAGGCCCAAGCGCGCTCGGAAACGAAAAGCGTCAGGGGGCTACAGGGCCGGAGCCCCCTCTTCCCGCCGTCCTCGGAAGGGGTGGAGGGGACACGGTTGTAAGGTGCTCGGCTTCTTTTCTGTGCTTGACATGAATAAGGGGATTAGGATGGCAAGTTTCCGTCGTTCACTCCGTGGGACAAAGGGCCCCGCGGTTTGAGCGGCACAGCCTCTGATTAAACGACAGAGCCCTGTCACTCAGCACCATCCTA
Organism: Homo sapiens; assembly: GCF_000001405.40. Taxonomy (NCBI): domain Eukaryota; kingdom Metazoa; phylum Chordata; class Mammalia; order Primates; family Hominidae; genus Homo; species Homo sapiens. The sequence goes on along the minus strand of NC_000009.12, from coordinate 126,624,994 downwards.
GGTACTTGTGTTCGTGACATAATCTTATTAGAAGATAAAACCGGCGAAATCCTTTTCATAATGAAAAGTTACATTTAATGGCCGGACTCTCCCCCCACCTCCCTCCCCGGAGCCTGCTCGCCTTTCCCCGTTGCTGTTGGATATGGCTCGCCTATAATTGGCATTTAAAGCACCAAGTCCGGGAGAAAAACGGGGTTTAGGGTTTTTGTAATCCCCCTAAACTGTCTTTGTTCGAAATCTCCACAGATACAAGTCTGTTAAGAGTAAATATTTGTGGATTGATACAACCACATTTCCCCCCTGCAAACCAAATCCAAAAAAAAAAAAACAAGATAAAAAAAAACCTGCCACTCGCCGCCCTCGGGCTGGGGCGCAGGAGGGAGGGGGCTGGGGTCGGCCCTAGCATCCGCGCCGGGAACTCGGCTTTCGGGCCGCCTGGTTGCCTCCAGGAGCTGAGGGACTTCGCACGTTTCTCAGGCGGGAAAAGGGTCTTAGATTCTCCCCCGCAACCCCTAATTTTCTGTTCTCTCAATAAACAAACCTCCCGAACTTGCTGCTTTTGGCCAGCCCGAGGGGGTCGGCAGGAGGGCTTGGGGAGGGGCGAGGGCTGTGCTCAACAAGGAATGAAAATGCCAGCTCTCCCCGCCAGTCTTACTCCCTCCAGCGGGAGCCTGCAGTGGCTCCAAGGAGAATCACTGGCTCTTTCTGGACCGCGTAAGGCCCCACCTGGCGGGGCACCCCGACCCCAGCCCAAGAGAGCCCCCGAGCCACCAAGGGTCCCCGAAACGCTGAGAAGCCCGAAAGCTGCTGCAGGGCCCTGGACTCCGGGCTTCAGCCTAGCGCGTCCCAGGATCGAATTCCTCCATAAATCAGCTGCTGGGTGAAAGGGCTGCGCTTTAGAAAGGGCAGGACCGTGTGCGCGTATTAGAGCGCGCGGTTCCCAAATCCGGGCTAAACCCCTGGTGACACCGAAATTCATCAACCGCCGCTGGTGCCCGCGGCTCGGCTGCGGAGCCCAGGAGCCTATGCATGGTGTCATCCCACTCCCAGTAAAGAACATGCTGCACGAACCGCCGAGAGGTGGGCCTGGAGGGGTGCGCGGGTGGAGGCCGCTGAAAGCCGCCCCATCCGCGTGTCCGGACGTCGAAGGAAGCTCTCCCGCCCAGGGGAAGGCAATTATTCTAACCTTTTTCTTCCGCTGGCCAGGGCTGGCCCTACAGGGGGCAATCCGCGCAGAGGAGGTCAGTGACACCCTGCTCCCAGCCCTCGGGTAGCGACTCCCCCTCCCCACCCCTCCCAGGCTGGGCGTTCTGGGGGAGATTAGCAACAATGTAGAGCCCGCACCTTCCGGAAGGTCGGTATAGGAGGACTTAGAGAACCCATCCGGCTTTGGGAGTTGGACCCGCCTGGGGGGGAAATCTGCTACAGGGTAACTCTGGGCCGGGAAAAATCTGCTACAGAGTTAACTCTGGGCCTGGGGAAGTTGTTCAAGCTGCTCAGCCTCAGTTTCCTCCCCTAACCACAGGGTTGGGACGGTACAGACAGTGAACTTCACAGGGGCTCAACAAACGCCAATGCCTTGCCCTTCTAGAGGCACTACTGCAGGCTGCCTCCCTGTTCAGTAAGGCGCTGCTCCTGCAAGTTCACATCTACACTGACCATGCTCAGGAGTCTCTTGGAAAAAATGGGACCTACGTGTCTCAGTAGTAATGAGGGCCCATCCACAGGCTGGCCTTGGCTCCGAGGAGCAGCCTCTGGCATCCAGACCGGCCCCATGCCCTTTTCAAGGGAAAAAAAATAAAAATAAAAACACAGGCTCCCAACCTGGGTGAGGAACAGAAGGGTGGGCAAGACCCCTCTGGGAGGCCTGTTCAGGAGGCTGCACTTTCTGGGCCTCCCACGCAGGACAGACAATGCATTCCTGCCAGACGGGGCTGCCTTCGGCTCATTTCCCAGCAGGAAGGAAGAAAACATACATTGACTGCATGCCCAACACTGGCTGGCATCTGGGTTTGTTCCACTTTATTCTCAGAGCAACCCTGTAAGATTGGAATTACTACCCCCTTTTCACAGAGAAGGGAACTGAGGCTCAGGAAGAGCTGTCAGTCCTTCCCTAAAGGCCCTTGGCCTTTGTCACTGGGAGATGGAGACATTCTGGATCCCCATTCTGTAACTGCCAACAAGCTTGCTCTTCCTTTGAGAAAATGTGCCCCACCCAGGACCCCTCCATTTGGAGGAGGTCACCCCAGAGCACCTTGATCCTCTGGAACCCCAAAGGCCTGGGCAGCTCAGTCCTGGTCTGGCGCCCACACCCAACAGCCCAGTAACTATAGCAATCCAGGAATCACACGACAAGAGTCACAGAGTCCCCTTGGAAGGCAGGAGGCGGGAGAAGGGGGAACAGCAGTCACACCCAACTTGTCCCATCCCAACCCAGTGCTGCTCCTCCCCTCCCGTCACCGCTGCTGAAGTTCCTGGGGAGGCGCTTGGGGGAGGGACCCCTGGCGGCCCTGTGTCTCAGCATGCTCAGCTCATCTTCAGCTACCCAGCAGCTCGGTGGCCTCCTCATTCCTGCCAGCCCCAGTGGGCATCGCTGTTGCTCTGGGTGGCCGTCACAACCTTCCCCAGCTAGCCACCTCCCCACAGTTCCCGGGGAAGCCTCTCTCACAGCACTGGCCCGGCCAGGAAGCAAACATCTTTGTTTCTTCTGGAACCAGGCTCCAGGAACCGGGTTTTTCCTTCAGCAACACTTCCCCCCAGTTCACCAAGTGCCAAGGCCAGCCAGGTGCTCTGCCATCAGCCAGGACATTCGTCCAGGGCTGGTCCGAGCCAAGCTCCCAATTGAGACAAAGCCTCCCCACAAATGTACCCACACATCCCCAGATCCCCAGCCCCTCATCCTCCCTTTGGGGCCCCAAGGTCAGCAGGGCAGGTCCAGCGGCTGCCAGTCAAAATGCTGAGCAGAAATGGATACAATATTATCCAGGGAATAACAAAGGAAGGGCCCACGCAGAAATTTATTTGTACTGATCAGGCAAAGCAAAGGTAAAGGGCAGAGAGGAAGTGCTGTCAGCCGGCCTGAAACCCAAGAAAGTTGCCATTCCGAGCACAGTGGCCCCTTATGCCCCACCACTCCTCACCGCAGCAGTAGTTAAAGCAAACACAAGCCCTTCACTGCCCCGTCAGTTACACCTTCCCCCCAAAATTACACAAACTTTGAAACATTTTTCTGAGAGAAGATGGATGCTTCAGGAGACTTGAGGTCAAGGCTAGGCTGTTTAAAGTCTATTATCAACAAATAAACATTTACTGCAAAAAAAAAAAAAAAAAAAAAAAAAAGAAGAGAGAGAGAGAGAAAAACCCTATAGGCCACCGGGGAACCAAATCATGTTGCTTTTGGCATCAAATGACAGGAGACATTTATGACATGAATGGAGAACACCAGCCGGTCGATGAAATGGCAAACGTCTGCCACTTTGCTTCCTCTACCTTCGTGAATCAACTTTTTCAAATATGGTTTTCAGCCTTAGCCCTCTCTCACTACCACCGTCTCTCCACTTCTGACTGCAGTGGTAATAAATATATATAATTTTGGTTTTGCTCTTTGCTGCCATCAGCACAGAATCTGGTTGGAGAGGGCCAGAGGAACTTCCGGCTGGGTCAGCCAGACAGCCAAGGGCCCTGGGTCCTCGGGCACCCCCAACTGACTGACAGCTCACACGCGGCTCCTTGGATGAGTAGACTATCCCTCCCTTCCTCCCTCCCCTGGCTGAGGCTTGACTGTGGTGTCCAACAAATTGGAAGTTATAACTCATGTCGGTGAGAGTATCCTCCATCCTTCAGCCTAACTGATGCCAAAGTAGGACTGGTTTTTTTCCTCTTCCTTTTCTTTATTTTTTAGAAACTCCAGAGCCTCAGGACAAAGGCGGCTCCTTGGAGAAGCATCGCCAGCCACCCATGGGTGGAAACCTCACAAGGCCACAGAGCCCGAGCTGGAGGGGCCTTCTGAGTTCCTGGAATGGTGTTTCTCCACCTTTTAAACCTCATCTTCCTTCTGAGAAATAGACAAATCCCCCAGACCTCTCCTCCACCTACCCCCTTCTCCATTGGCTGAGCTTTATTTTCTGTGGCTTCAATCACAAAACAGTAAGTACAAACAGTTCTTCAAATATGAATTATTAAGCTTTTCCAAGCTATATGGAGGCCCTGGAGATGCCAATTGTTTCCCGGTGGAAATACTGTTGCTCTGGACCACCCTCTGTTTGCCACCAAAGGAAAAAGAGCCAGCACACCCGGCCACCCTCCGTCTGCCCCCAAGGAGAAAGAGCACAGGACACCCGGCCACCCTCCGTCTGCCCCCAGGGAGAAAGAGCACAGCACACCCGTCTGCCCCCAAAGGAGAAAGAGCCCAGCACAGCTGGCCACCCTGTTGTGGCCCTTTCTGATAATGCAGTTGGCACCTGTGCGCACCCACACAATCAGGTTTTCCACCTCTCTTGAGGTGCAGGAGAGGATAATGGATCCCCCGGAGAATGGAATATTTATTAAAGTTCCACCAGGTGCCTGTGTAATCCTCACAACCACCCTGCAAAGTCACATCATCACCCCCAGTTTGTTGATGAGGCCCCAGCTCAGAGATGGGCAACCACTTAGCGAAGATCACACAGCTGCTAAGACTTGGGGCTGGGAGGTGAACTCAGGTCTGACTCCGAGTCTAAAGCTCTTTTCATGGCTGAGGAAGGCAAGACTTTTACAGTGTCCTACGAAGGGAAAGGCAATGGCTTCCCCAGGGTGCTCCTCATCCTCCCTGCATGGAGAGGCTCATGGTAAACCCTGTGTACCATGGAACCTGGGTAGAGAACCTGTTGGCAGTGTGGTGTGTGTCCTTGGAGACAAGGTATTCCCTGCCATGCTCATGGTGAGAAGAGTAACAGCAATAACTTCCAGAGTATTAATAACAAGCCAGGCAAGATGCCAGGTCCTTTGGGGCACCTTATCTCAAGTCCTTATAAGAATACTTGCCCCCAGCAGAATAAGTCCCCATTTCACAGAGGAGGATCAGGTAGGTGCCACGGCCGTGGGTCTCTAAGCCTGGCTCCAATGGACAGGGCAGGAAAGAGCTGACAGTCACCAATCACATACCCCAGAGGAGATCCTCCCAGCCTGCTTCCCCCACTCAAGAAAAATAGGGCAAACAAATAAGGCCACACCAGCCCAGCGCCCGGGGAGTCGAGGGTGAGCCAGGAGTCACTGTGAATAATGCCTCCGTTCAGCAGCAGGGGACTGCAGCCTCAGGAAGGCCTGTGCTTACCGTCTTGCACACAGCCAAGGTGCCGGGGTTAAATGGAGAGGTACCCTCCAAAGGGCCAGAGGGTCCCCAGACTTGGGCTGCCAGGGTGAGCCCTTTGGGCCTCAGCCCCCAGAGACAGCACCATAGAAGCCTTTTTGTAAGGCAAAGTCCTGGCTCCTCCTCCCAAGCAGTTTCCAGGACAGGCGCTCTGCAGCCCTGAATGAGTTTGATGGTTGGGGCAGGGGGGCTCGCTGGTTGGGGTACACACTGGGGAAGGGGTGCTGCTTGAGACTGGCACCCTGCAGGAGGGCCTATGGGAGGCCTTCCAGGCTGGCAGAAGAAGTAGCCAGAGAAGGCCGGAGCCTGACTGCTCTCCCCCTGGGCCACACCCGAACGCGGGAGCTGGATGGGGAGTGTGGGGGGAGAGGTGAGCCTCCCAAGAAGGTCTTTCCCGGGGTAAACACTTCCAAGGAAAGGAATGCGCAGGGCAGAGCGGTTGGGCCACTGGAGCCACAGCCAGCTGGGGGAAATTTTTTAAAAACTCACCCCAGGACTCAAGAGGGCTTTCTGTGAAACTCAATCAAAGCCTCGATGCTCCCCTGCTGCCAACGTAGGCACATCCTACCTGGACAGGCGAGCCCAAAGGGCCCCCAGCGGGCCCGGCGGAGCCCTGAAGTCTGTGTCGCCGAGAGGCTCGGCCGCCCGGGCAGGCCCTGCGGGCGGAAGGACGCCGCGGCCCCGCCGCCGAGGTAGGAGCGCGGCCCGGGCCGGAACCCCGCGTCTCGCCGTGCACAAAGGCGCCCGCTTGCACCCCAGCGGGTCTCGGGTCGCCAAACCTGGGAGCTGTCTTACAAGCGATTAGACTCCATTTTGTGACAGATTTTTGGACTCTCCCACCGACCCTCCCCCCTTCCGGAGCCTCCTCCAGGAATTCTCCACCTCTTCAGGATAAAAACCCTTTCCAGACGAGCGACAGACGGCAAGAAAAGAGAGTTACATAATTCTATTCGGCCAAGCCGCCAAGATAAAAACATGGGAGGGGGGAAAGTGCCTTATTTTTCATTTGTTCTCCGGTGGAGGACGGTGAGAGGTGTTCTGATTTGGGGGAGGCTGCGTTTCCTCTCCGTTTCCTAACTGGTTTTCTGTCCGAAAAGGCTGCTTTTTCTTTTTTTTGAAGGAGCCCCCAAAACTCACACATGGGGAAAAAGGAGACTTTTGGAGTTAAGAGTGAAAATGCCCAAACTCCACGGCCGGCGCTCTGCTCTGCCCGCCAAGGATGTACAAGAGGATTTTTATCAAATTCGGCTCAATGTGCCCCAGTGTCAATTAATCACCCCCGTGGTGCGTAAGACAACTTGGCACTTCTGGGTGTCTGGGATCTTTGAGAACAAATCGAAAGGAAGAAGAGACATTTACTAAAAATGGCAACCTCTTTTTAAGGACGGAGCCCTGCAACTCAGCCAGGGGTGAGGACACATTTTTCAGAAGTTGTGTTTGGTGGGGGGATTGTTAATTTCTCAATACCGCTGACGCACAGACTCGACAATATCAAGAAGGCACGTTTCTGCGCCCGCTTGCTTGGATTCCTGTCTGAAAAGCATTTACGCACAGATGAAATAAATATGCATCTGCAATTCTCAAAGAAAAAAAGAAATGTGAATAAAAAAATTTTTATTGTGCAAAGAACATCCCTTTCCAGTGGCTGCTGCCTGCCTGGAGCGGCGCTCCATCTCCCTGTGAAACGACTCACTGGCTATTTGTCCTGATAACAATCACCCCACCCCCCACCCCCCACCCCCAGCACATCCTGCCGGCCGGCCTAACGCAGATACCTAATTGGCGTTATTGGAAAAAATAGAATGAGGGTGGAGGAATGAACTGTCCACAGCTAGAATAATGCACTCCCCACCCCAGGCTTCAGCCCCACAGGATCCAGACTGAGTGAGGTCTTCGGACCTGAGATTCGCCCTGTGCCAAAAATCATTCTCAACACACCGGACTGCACTGAAGAAGCTGGCTGTTAGGTGACTCTTTCCTTTTCTTTTTAAAACAAATATACTTTGGACAAAGCAGTAGCAAATGCTTAACGTTTAATTGTTTTGTAAGATGAGGGGGTGAGCCGCTCATCTCTAAGGCAACATCCAGCTGAAATTTCGTGACTTTACCATTCTGTGCCTGAAGAACCAGGGGTTATCCTTTCCTTTTTTTTTTTAAAGAGAAGCTCCGTAAATAATTATGGGGAGTGGGGGGAGGGCAGAATATGTACACGCGATTCATAAGTCTTTTCAATATATTAACAAGTTTTTTTCTTTTTTTTAAGCTGTGCAAATGATTTGGAGGCCGGTTTTAGTTTCCTGGGCCCCCTTCCCCCATGTGTTGTCGTAAAGGCTGGTGGCTGAGCTGGGTGTAAGTGGCACTGCCAGAGCTCGGGATCAGGCAAGCAGAGTGAGGCCAGGGGTGCAGGGCGTGGTGGGGAGGGGGCTAGAGGCTGGTGCACCCTACAGAGGGGCTCCTCTAGCCAGCCCAGAGCCCACAGCCACATCTACCCCAAACTATTTTCCCCATTCAATTTGTGCTGCTCTATGCTTGGGCTGTGACTGAACGGACTGGCGTCTCCCTCTCCCGGAACTAGAATCATATTAGTTCAGAGCACAGCACAAAGCCGACCTACGGCAGTGTGCCTAAATCTGGGGTGCTTCCTACTGAGAGGAAGGCCTCAGCTGCACTCTGGGACCAGCAAAACAGCTGAACCTCTGAATGGACTCCAATCCCTACCCAAAGATCCCTCAGCCGGAAGAAAGAGCTAGGTGCAAAAAGCAGCTCAGGCTCAGCCCCCAGACCACCAGGCACAGCCAGAGCCTTTTGGGGTAGAATCCGATGCCCTCTCTAGGGCTCTGGCCTGCACTGTTTCCAGGCCTCAGTTAAACAGTTGGGCTGCGCTGCTTTCCACTAGGCCCTGGACTGGGGACAATCCCTGGGCAGAACAGGTAGGTTGCACTCACCACGAGGCGCCGGCAGCCCAGCTTTTCCTTCCCTGGAGGCTTGGGCATACACAGCCCTCTCTGAGCACCAAACCACCTAAGCAGCCTACCCGCTCTGCAGCCTCATCCAGGACGGTTTTCTGGCATCACTAAAGTTTTCGCAGGCACCCGCTGTGTCTGCAACAGAGCTTTGGGGATCTCCACACCCCTCTTTCAGTTGTGGCTCCTCACTGCCTCCCTCCCAATTGCAGTGCCAGGCAGAAAACCCAGGAGGTCAAAAGAAAAAGCCTGCATGTCCTGTTGTCTGTCCCCAACCCCGGCCATACAAATCCAGTCTCAGCTAAAAACTAGTTAGCAAGAAGGGCTCAACCCACATCTCTGGCCTCAGCCCTGAGGTTTGGGTTATACCAGGGCAGAGCGGGCCATCTCCCTCCTCAATACACACTACCAGAAAGGAGGCCTTGTGGGAAGGGCTGACTCAGTCAGCTCCTCACTCCCATTGGGAGCCCCAAATTGTAACTTGCCACCTTTTGAGATCCTCTTCCTAGAGTGCTTCTCCAACCAAAGAAAACTGCAAGTGCAAAATTCCCGCATGGAACGGTTTGGGGAATATGGACATTCTTTTCTCTCCATCAGGGACTAAAAGTGCAGCAGTGAGCCTGGCAGAAAGGGGGCCTCCCTTGCCGCTCAGGCCGTTCAGTGTCCCAGCACTCCACCTCCTGGCTCCTGGCTCCAGGCTCCAGGAATCCCAAACCCCCACACACCAGGCCCTTGAAGCAGTCCGCCAGGCCTGGCTCCCTAAAACATTATTTTCCTTTGGAAATCAATTTTGGGTTCCCAATTCAGGCCTCCGTAGCGCCAGACCCTATATCCCAGGACCCAGGCACCAAATCCCTCGGCCGGCCCAGCGCAGGATTCCGGGACAACGGATGGCAACTGGGGGCCGTCCGGAGGCTCCCAGGACCCCATCAGTGCCCGCTGGGCTGGGCTGGTCCGCCCCAGCCCCAAGACGCGCAGCTCTCGGAACCCTTGGAGCTGCCCGGCCCAGCCGCGCACAGAGCCGGCGGCAGAGCGGGCGCGGGCCGGGCCCGGCAGGGGGCTGACCGGGCTCGAGTGCCGGGCGGTGGCGGGGAAGGAGGACGAGAAGCGCTTACTGTTGGTAGTCTTGTTTGCAGTACAGTTTCCGATCCCGGAAGTAGCAGCTGGTGGTGAGGGCTTGCTGACACGCCGCGCACTGCAAACACTCCTCGTGCCAGGACGACTCGTTGACTCGCATCAGGAAGCGGTCGGAGATGGGCCGCTGGCAGCCCTCGCAGACGGCGGGATGCGGGCAGTCGGAGCCTGTAGCGCACAGGGCGAAAGCCCGGCCGTCAGCGCCGCCCGGCCCAGCCCCGGCGTCCCGGTCGCACCGGGCCCACAGCCCTCGGCCCCGAGGGCTCGGGCCGCCCGGGATCACCGCCTGCCGCCTGCGCTCCCCGGACCGCCGCGCCAGGGGCCGGGCGGCCCCGGCTAGTCCGTCCCAGTCCTCGGGCTCCGGCGTGGAGAGGCCGCGGGCCTCGAGCCTTGGCTCGGCGCTGTGCTCTCCCCTTCTCCGGAGAATCCGCGCTCCGTGTTAAGACAAATGACAACGAGCACGGCGCAGGGTGGCCGGCTGGGACCAAGACAGGCGAGGTGAGGCTGGGGCGCTCGCTGGCTGACACGCCCCACGGTGGCGTTCGTGGTCTTCTATCCCCGATCTCCCCAAAATCTGTGGTTTGAGTGACCAGGGAGACGTTTTTCTCTTAGAATCTCCCCCACCCCAGGTGACCTTGCGCCTCTCCCAAGCTCGCCAAGGTGATTGCTAGGTCCTCCATCACCCCTGCCACCCGCCACCTACCACATCGGAGTGGCAGCTCTAGAACCTAAGCCTGGAAAGGATGGTGGGTGGCGACTGGAGCTGTCCTGTCCCCTCAGGACGCCTGCCGGAGGCGTACTTGCGGCCCTCTGGCGATCACTCCAGGAGTCCTGTCTCTGCCTCCTCCCCATGTCCTGCAAACCCATTTCCTTTATCCGTTGGCCCCAACGCCCGTGTCCACAGCCGGACGACGCCCCATCCCACGCCCGAGACCACTCGGGCGTTCCGACCCCGCACTCACCCAGCAGCACCCCCAGAGTGGCGGGCCCGGGGCGCAGGGCGTGCTCCTCCATCTTGATGCCGTCCAACATCTTGGCGCAGTCCGTCTGCCCGCGAGGGAAGCACCTCTCCAGCGACTCGGGACCTGTTGCTATATCCATGGGACGCGGGGCGCGCTGCGGACCCCGCCGGCCGGGCTGCTCGCCCGCCGGCCCGTCCACCCGCTCTCCGCCGCCGCGGCCCTGGAACCGGGGAGGCGCGGCCCCCGCAGGGCAGGGGTTGCGCCGGCCCCCGGCGATCGTGGAGCGGCGACGCGCTGGCCCCGGGCCCCGGCGTCGTGCGGGCGGGCCGGGGCGGCTGCAGCCCGCGCCGCGCTCTCCCGGACACTTGCAGCCACGCGCGCCGGCTCCTCTGTCACCTGCTTGTCAGTCCCGGAACCCGGCGGCGGCGGCTGCTGCAGACGGAGCCGCGGGGAGGAGGCGGCGGCGGCGGTGGCGGTGGCGGCGGCGGCAGGCGGGGGAGGGGGTGGGGGTGCAGGGGCGGCCCCGCGGGCCGCGGGGGGGGCGCGCGGCGCAGCGGGGTCCCGGGCGGGGCGCAGCGGGCCGCGGGGCTCCGGGCGCGCTCCCCGCGCTACTCCAGTGCCATGGTGCGCCCGCTGAGCCGCCGGGTTTAGAGCTGGGGCTGGCGGCGGAGGGATACGGGCCGCCTCACCTCCCGAAACTTCCTGACATTTGAACCCCGCGGCCGGTATCCCTGCGCCGGGATGCGCCGCCGGCTCCACGTCAAATAGTGCCGTCCCGCCCCCCCGCGCGCCCCGGGGCTCCGCGCCCCTGGCCCGCGCCCCGCGCCGCGCCTGGCCCCGAGCTCAGGCCCCGGCTCCCCGGCCCGGCCGCCCCGCGGGCCCCTCGCAGAAGTTTTGATCGTCTTCGAAACAAATCCCTCTGCTCCACCCCCTTGAAAAATTGATTTGGGAGTTGGGGAGCGAAGGCTTTCTTTTTTCTCCTCTGCCTTCTTTATTATTAATATTTTGTAAAGCTCCAGCGCTACGAGGAGTGGCCCCGAGCGAGGCCAGACTGCGCGGACGGCAGGGAGCGCGGCGGCTCCGCCAGGGGACGGCGCCGGCCGGGAGTGGCCGCTTGGGAACCCCCGACTGTCGGCCGAGGTAGGTCGCGGGGGCTGAGTCGGAGTCCCCCGGGCGGCGGCGCCTGCTCGGGGCCGCTTGGTCCGCGGAGAGGGCCGGCTCCCAGGAACGAAGGACGGGGGCGGGCAGAAGGCGAGGACGGCTGGCCCTGGACTCGTGCAAGGGGGGCCCAGGCCCAGGAACGGGGAGTGAGCCTGGAGTGTGGGTGAGGGGTCTGGGAAAGCTCCGGGCCTGGCAGAGATTGGGCGGGGGACTGAGCCGATGGGAGGTTGGGGCCCCGGGATCGAGAATGGGGGACACTGGGACGACAAGGAAGGTCAGGCCTGGGTTCAGGCGACCGAGAGTTTAGAGGACAACTAAGGCTGGAAAAGGGGTCCCCGGGCAGGGGCAGGAGCAGTGGGCAAGACCCGGGCCTCCTAGGGTTTGCAGTGAGGGGCGCTAGGAGGGAGTGGTGGCCCCAGGGTAGCGGCTCTGAAGAAATTAGGTTGGCTGCCAAGATCGGGGTCCTTTGGCGGGTCGGGTGCCCGGCCAGGGGTCGCTGGGACGCGCGGATCAAGGACAGTGCTCTAGCCAGCCTGGGCAAAGTGGACCTCGGCAACGGGACGCGAAAGCTGGCGAGATGGAGCTGCCGACTTCCGCGCCAGCCGGGCCTGGCACCCGCGTCCGGTGCGAGAGGCCACAGCGTCGGACCGGCTGTCTGCGGCCCGTGGTCCCCACCGACGCGCGGCTCACCGGGGAGCAGGGGGGCGGTTGCGGCCCGGGGTAGCGGCGGGCTGACCCCCCGCGATCCGCTGCGGGGCGGCCCCGGCCCCTCCCGGAGCGAGGCAGCGGCGCGGAGCCGGGCGGGGGCGGAGGGCATGGGGGGCGGGTCCCCTGACCTCGCTGGAGGCGAAAGGGCGGATCGGATTTGGAACCTGCGGGAGGCTTGGTCAGAAGTGGCCCCCTGCGCCGCGGGGCCCCGCGGAGGGGCCCGGCTTTGTGGAGGATTAGAGGCTCCCGCCCTACCCTACCTGCGTGTGTGTCGGTGGGTATCTGTGTGTGTCTGTGCGTGTCGGGCCCCCGCCTCTGCGGCTCTTGCCTCCGTGTGCTCCTTGGCTCTGCACACACGGTATGTGTGTCCCTGCAACCTTCCAGACTCCCAGGGGTGAATCTGTGGATCTGTGTCTGAGTCCCCTGCACCCGTGTGTATGTGAATGTGTGGGTCCTTCGTGCCTGTGTCTGGGGTGTGTGTCCGCATCATTTCATGCGGGGGCCTAAGTCTTTGTGCGTGTCTCAGCCTCTGTGTTGTGTCTGCGATCCTTTTCTGTATGGGTGTCTCTGTCAGCTTTGCGTATCTGTGCTTATCTCCGGGGTTCTGAATGCTTCTGTGTGCTCGCGTGTCTCCTAGCGTGTGTGTGTGTGTGTGTGTTTGTGTGTGGTGGGGGGCTTTGTGCCTTCGTGTATTTCTAGGCGCCTTTGTGTGGCTAGGTCGGGGAGAGTGGACAGTCAATGTGGAGTTTCTCTCCCACATCTCGGTCCCCTCTTTGCTTGACCTGGAAACCCCAGGCCTGGACCCGCGAAGTTGGGCTGGGCCTGAGCCGCCTTCTCCGGGCATCTGGGGCGGGGGCGCGGCTGCTGCAGGGAGAAGCCGGGCGGGCAAGGCTTCGGCGCACAGAGCCAGAGTCCCGAGGCGCGGAGCGCGGCTCGGGGCCGGCGGGCGGACCAGGCACTTTCTGCCCTCTGCTGGTCGCGGTCCATCCCTGCAACCGGGGCTGGGCGACTGCCTGCAGGCGAGAGTCCTCGTTCCAGGCCCAGACCCTCTCCCTCTCCTTCAGGGTGCACATGGTAATACTCTCTCGTCACAGGCCCTGCACCCCCAACTCCTGGCGCAAGGCTCCATCCCCTCCCCACCTTCCCTGTGCCTGGCCTCTCCTACCCTACAGCTCTCCTTTCCCCCTCCTTGGCTGAATGAGGGCCCCTGCGATCCAGTCTCCCAGGCTTCTCTAACTCGGGTTGGCGTCCAGTGCCGATCTGGGGCCGCTGGCTGTGCCCAGAGGCGCATTCCCCGGACCACTCGAAGGCCTGGTCTCAAGGCAGGAGGACTTGTGGGAAGTACCCCCTCCGTGCCGCGTCTGGTCTGTCCGGGTGCGCATGCATTCTCAGCGCCTCTTCCGCGCTCCTGCCAGTCATATCCCACGCCACCAAGGCGGATATAGGGTGGTCTGCCGCCATGCGGCCCGCGCCCAGATAGGGGCGCTGGCTCGGTGGACGCCAGAGCCTGGCTGCCTTCTCTGGTCTGGGGTGGGGCTGCTGAGTCCACACCCCTTGGGCCCCTCTGCATGCCTTCCCCGCTGTCCATTCATTCCCCCTACACACACACACACACACACACACACACACACACACACACACACACACACACACACACACACCCTCCCTATAGGCCCCGTTCCTTGCCCTTTGTCCTCACTCCTCGTGTCCCGTGCTCCCAGCTGAGTTGGCCGGTCTCGGGTCCTTCGCACGCAGACGCGCAGGGGTCCCAGATCTCTCCAGCACAATCGGGGCTCCCGCGCCTCTCCACCGCTTCCCTTGCCGAAGAAGCGAAGAAGCGGCCGACTGGACGGCACAGCAGGGGCCGAGGCCCAGAGCCGGCTCCTGCCCGCAGGCGGCGAACGGCACCTTGCTCCGCCAGGCCCCTGCGGGTGTGATCCGTGACCCGCAGATTCTCCCGGGCGCCTCTGGCCCATGACGCGGGGGCTGCTCGCTCCACGCAGGCGGCTTCGGGATGCTCTCCCGCTCAGATTTCAGCGGCAGAAACAGCCTCGGATTCTCTCTACCTGGGGGAAAGACTGAGTCGGGGGCTCGGAATCACTGGAAGAAGCGAGAATGGAAAGGGAGGCTCTGGAGCGGGGGTCCCGGCTCCTTCCAGTCTGCGGACGCCCCAGCTCCATTGAGCCCCGCCCTAGTCCCCCCGCTCCTCTTCTTAGGGCCTTGCACCCTCTCCTCTGCGCTACCCGCCTCCCTCGAGCACGGCTCTATGAGCTGCCCTCCCCCACCCCACCCAGCCCTGTCCATCCCGCTCCGGGCTGTCTGGATTGTTTTGTGCTTCTGACCAGAGCCAGAGCCACACTGCCCCCTCCCAGTTTACCATTCCAGCTGGAGGCACGGATCTGGGGCAGCGCAGGGTGCAGTCCTGGCCGGGTTCGGAGGAGTGGGAAGGCAAGGACCAGGAGCTGCGAGTGTCTCTATTCCACTCTGCCCGGAGAACCAGGGCTGCAGAGAGCCTGGGCCGTCCCACGCTGTCCCGGCGCCATCAGCCCTGCCAAGCCTCAGATCCTTGACAGGCGGCCAGATTGGGGGGACCAGAGCCGCCCAAGCAGTGGGCCAGGTTGGGGGCTGATATTCCTGGGAGGTGGCCCCGGGTCTAGGGTCCTGGGAGAACCACACTGACTCCGGAAGTGGAGCGGGAACACCCAGAGACTGAGTGCTGGAAACTTTCCAGCCAGCAGTGACCATGTTATGCTTTTTGGACCCCAGCGGGGCTGGACCCCAGGGCACATGGGCCAAAGGGTCAGGCCCTTCTCAGCTAGAGATGGCCGTGTGTGATCGTCACAGAGTAACACAGCCACCTTGCCGCAGAGCGGTGCAAATGTCTGTGGTCTTGCTGTGCCGGTGGGAGACCTCACAGCGACCTTGAACCCAGGTGGAGGCCCACACACAGGAGTAAAGTGATGGCGCCCAGCTGGGGTCCTTTGAATCAGGGCTGGGAACTGGTTCTCTCTCCCATTGGGGTTTTCCAGCCTGATGGGAGAGGGGCTGCAGGGAGACAGGATTTGTGGCAGAATTTGCTGGTGAGGCAGAGCTGGGGCTCTGAGGCTGCATGCAAGTGTGTGTGTCTGTGTGCAGTGGGGAGACAGCCAGCCCCAGCAAAGCCCCTAAGTCCTTCCTGTAGCTTCCCCTTCAGTGGGTAGGGGCTCTGGCCACAGACCCATGACTTTCCAGCACAAGGTCTGGGTCTTTAGTCATGGGATTCCTCCACATTGGGTCAGGAGACGGTGCTCCCTTAGAGCCCAGGCTGCTGTCAGCTCTCGGGACTGGAGCTCTGAGGGAGACGGTGCCCTGGCGGGGTGGCCCAGTGCTGAGGTCTCGCAGTGGCTAGGAGTGGTCAAGAGCAGATCTTGGGGAGCCACCCAGATCTGGTTCAGGATCTGGCCATGGGACCTCAGGAAGGTCCTGCCCTACTCTCTGCACCTCAGCTTCCTCATTTGTCCCACAGGGTTGTCGAGAGGCTGAAACATAAGTGCTCACCACAACACCCAGCACCTACCAGGCCTCTATACATATTTGGTAAATAATTGGATGGACACTTTGGGAGGGTGAGGCTGGTGGATCACGAGGTCAGGAGTTCAAGACCAACCTGGCCAACATGGTGAAACCCCATCTTTACTAAAAATACAAAAATTAGCTGGGCATGGTGGCACGTGTCTGTAATCCTAGCTATTTGGGAAGCTGAGGCAGGAGAACCACTTGAATCCGGGAGGTGGAGGTTGCAGTGAACCGAAATTGCACCACTGCACTCCAGCCTGGGTGACAGAGCAAGACTCCATCTCAAGTAGTCATAATAATTGGATGGAAGAGGGGCCATGCTACCAAGACTTGGGGAGAACACAGCTCCCTGCTTCTCCTTCAACCAGGGCTTGAGGGCAAACAGACCCCCTGGGCTCACCTGCGTACCTTCCTCCAGGGCAGGCGAAGCTTAGCTCCAGGAAGGTGTGAGCTGGGCGCAGGAGACCTCCAGGCAGTGCCTAGAGGCCCGGCACAGCCTTTGCCACTGGCCCTGCTCTAGAGCCTGGGCCTGCAAGTAGCTGCTCAGAGCTGGACCCTGGCGGGGACACAGAATTAGGGGCGTTAGCCCATTACATCAAAAGCAACCACGTGGGATTCTCAAGATGTCACATATTTTAAAATTTATTTTCTTCAAGAATCTTTGGCTTTCTTGCCAAATGGATGGGCTGGATTATTTCTGCAGCCTGTCTGGAACCGGGAGCTTCCCCAGCTGAGGACCACAGTGAGAGCAGAGAAGACCCAGGATCGTATTTGAAACCATAAAAGCCACATGAAGACACTAAGAATAACTTGCAGAAAGACATTTTCTATGAATTGAACACAGAGTCCCAAAACCCAGAAAGTTCCCTGGTCTCTATCTCATGGGCCCGTGTCTGGGGAAGGGGGCCCGATGTGAGGCTGGGGCCAGTGCCCATCCTATTTGATCTTTATCTTAAATCCACTTCAAAATGCTGTGGCTTGGTGGATTGAAGGTTCGCCCCTTCCTGTAATTATTTGGTGTCTGGTAAAGTTTTTATGAGTGTTTGTGCAAATACATGCATTTGATGTGCATTTGTTTTGGTTAGTACCGCTTTATGTAGGAGGTGTGTGCATCTCCTGTTGGCCCTCAGAAAAGAAAAGAAAAATAAAACCGAGACTTCTGGACCAGGCAGAGGGGTGGAGCTGGGGCAATTCCACTGCCAACCACAACCCCTGTGACGTCAGGGGCTCCTGGGCACCAGTGACGATACAAGTTGGTAGCCTTTGGGTTTACCTTGTGAGGGTGATCAGGGCTGGCAGTCGGCTGGTGAAATCCAGATTCTAGGAAGCCTTTTTTTGAAACATAACTGGATCTGCCTCTTTTGCTTTTTTTTTTTTTTTTTTTTAAGACACAGTCTCGCTCAGTCAACCAGGCTGGAGTGCAGTGGTGCGATCTCAGCTCACTGCAACCTCCTCCTCCCAGGTTCAAGTGATTCTCTCACCTCAGACTCCCAGGTAGCTGGGATTATAGGCACCTGCCACCATGCTTGGCTAATTTTTTTGTGTATTTGGTAGAGACGGGGTTTCACCATATTGGTCAGGCTGGTCTCGAACACCTGACCCCAGGTGATCCGCCTATCTCTGCCTCCCAAAGTGCTGGGATTACAGGTGTGAGCCACCACACCCGGCCTGAGTCTGCCTTTTGATTACTGTCCTCTGGGCATTCTTGGTAAAGTAAAATGTATAATAAGTAAGGGTGAGTTTTTGGGGGGACTTTATCATGTAAGTGACAGAACTTGTCTGTTTCTCTAGAATGTGAGCTCAGCAGATCTGGCTAAGAGGAGCTGTGGCTGTCCAGCCTTCTCTGGATAAGGCAGCAGGGTGGGGCAGGATGGGTGTTCCTCCTGTGTGGCTGAGGAAGCACCTGCCCCCTAAGGGTGTCAGGGGCCAAGAGCACCCATGCCTGCCTCACGTCCCCAGCCCAGAGTCAGAAGGCAGCCTGCAGGTGTGTTCAGCTTGGCCCCTATAGGTAGTCTTTTCTCCCAGCACTGCAGCCTTGATTTATTTGCTTTAAAATTATTCTAGCATTTTTATTGAAGTATAATACACAGTAGAAAAGTGCACGAAGCATAGGATTACAAAGAGGACATGCCCATGCCACCAACACCCAGATTAAGAGAGAGAATGTTGCTGGCTTCCTGAAATCCTTCATGTTCCCTCCCAGGCACCACCCACCTCCCTCAAAGGAAACCACTATCTTGGTTTTGCCTGTTGTGAATTTTCTATAAATGGAATCATCCTATATACTCCTTACCATACTTTAATCATGAGATTTTGCGTGAAAATTTTGCGTGGATTTTTCTCCTGAATAATCAGAGGTCTGATCACTTTGGACCCTCATTCCAGCAGCATGCTGACAAGCTGGACCTAAATTTGTCCTTCCCACCTCCATCCTAGGCAGGACACCCACTGGATTCCGTTTGCCAGGGAGCATTTGTCTTGGTCACTCCAGCTGTCAACCTTTGGCTCCTCCCCTGGTCTTCAGCCCATCCCCAAAAGGAATCACTGTATGTACACTGGGGAACTGCATCCAGAACCTTCTCTCACCCCACCCCTCCATCTGCATCCAGTACCCTTTGAGGCAGAGATCATGAGACCTTAAAGAGGTGAGGAAATTGGCACCTCAGAGAGGTGAAGTCACTTGCCCAGGGCCACACAGTGTTGTAAAGGTCAGATCCTGGATTCAAACCCTACTGGCCTGACTCCAAACCCCAGGCTCTTGTCATCTCCCCACAAGGCTCCCTCGGGCATCCAGACCCAGGCGTGAACAGTCCCCTCCTGCCTCCTTCCAGTGGGGAGGAAGCTGGACTTTTTCCAAAGGAAACGCTGGGAAACACAAAGCCCCAAACAGAAAACAGGGCAGGGATGGTTCCCAGGCCCTGGCTGCCTAACCTTGGGTGATGCAAGGCTAGTCTGGTCTAGGCTGGTCTGGACTGGTGCAGCCTCCCCAGGTGCGTCAAGGGAAGGTGGCATCATGCCATGCACTGAGTGTCCACCACGGGCCGGGCACTTCATCTGTCATTCCCCAATACTCACAATGTACCTGTGAGGTTTGTATTATTATTTAGCCCCATTTTACAGATGAGAAAACTGAGGTTCAGAGAGGTTGAATGTCCTGCCTTAGACCACAGCGTCTGAGTGGCTGAACTGGGTTTTGAATGCGTTGAGAATGGCTTCCATGCCGTGACACTGTGCTACCCTGACACTGTGCTACCCTGGCCCTGTTCTCCTTGGCCTACCTCTCTTCTCGAGCGACCTCCACTCTCCTGTGGTCGTGAAGCTGTGACCAGGTGCTTGGTGATTTTGCAAGTGGCTCCTGCAACTAAACCTCAAGCCAGGCCAGCTAGACTCCAGGCCTGAGGTGGATGGCCTCAGTCTGCTTATCTGGAAAGTGGGGATAATATTACTGCTTTCTTTTATTTATTTATCTACCTATCTATTTATTTAGATTTTTGAGACAGAGTCTCACTCTGTTATCCAGGCTGGAGTGCAGTGGCATGATCTCAGCTCATTGCAAATTCCACCTCCCAGATTCAAGTGATTCTCCTGCCTCAGCCTCCCCATTAGCCGAGATTACAGGCACCTGCCACCGTGCCCGGCTAATTTTTGTATTTTCAGTAGAGACGGGGTTTCACCATGTTGGCCAGGCTGGTCTTGAACTCCTGACCTCAGGTGATCCATCCAGCTTGGCCTCCCAAAGTGCTGGGATTACAGGTGTGAGCCACCATGCCCGGCCTACTTTCTATTATTATCTGGAAGTTTAACAAAGTCTGTAGACTTCTGAATCTGGAAGAATTAGCAGTCGCCTGTTAGAGTGGGAAGAGGGCTCACGGATGTGCAGGGGTCCTGAAGCAGGAAAGAACTTGATCCGCTGGAGGCCCATGTGGCTGGGTCAGAGCAGGCTCTGGTGTGGCTGCAGGTATGGACAGTGGCCTGACCACAGGGCATTGTAGGTCACAATGAGGCGTGTGGACCTGATCCTCAGGGGGAACCTGAGTAGGAGCCACGGAAGAGTTGAAACAGGGCAGTGTCCTGGTCAAGTTTGGTTTTTAGGAAGATCTCTCAGGCCGCGGTGAGGGCGAGACCATAGTCTGGAGGCCAAGGGATGAGGCCTTTGGGTTTCAATATCCCTTTTGTATGGAATGAGGTTGGGCGGTCCACAGACCAGACCTTATCCTCCAATTTCCCATAGAGGCTGTGTTTCCAGATTCAGGGTTTCATGTTACACAGAGTTATTCTTTCTGGAATGTGTCCCCCAAGCAACCCCGCTGGACCCTCTGTGGAAGGAGGGGCTCTTCTGAATGCAAGATTCGCATGTATGCAAAAAAGCAAACATGCCAGCCCTGCGCCTTGCTAGTGTCTGTCCCTGAAACAGAACCAGCAACCAGCGGACAAAGCAGTGCCCAGGAGTTGGGCCAGGCTGCAAACATCATCAACAACAGTAATAGTAATAATAATAACCTTTATTAATAAAGCCTCTGACCTAGAATGATCTCATGGAATCCTAGAGTAAGGCTGGGACGTAGCTGTCATTACAATTGTATGAATAAAGAGACTTGTGGGTAGGGGGGCCTTGTCCAAGGTCGCTGAGTGGCAGAACCAGGCGGGTGGCCGCAGCCCTGACACTGTCACCTGTGGGCTGGGCAGCCTCAGAGGGGTGGTGAGTCAGGCATATTGTTGAGCTCTGTGGGATCTAGACAGCCCTGCAACTGTCCCCAGTGTGCAGAAAAGCCAGAAAATTCCATCTTGGCGTCCTGACCTCCACCTCCGCTCCAGCTCACACAATCTGCCCAGTTGAGTTATTCTCCCTGGAAGAGCTTGGTAATTTGGGCTTTTCCAAACTCAGGAAAAGCCTCCAAGTCTAGAATCCTCCCCGTGGCCTCTCCCTGGCCTCATCTCTTCCTCCCTCCCCTTGGCTCTCCATGCTACGCTGAGTGCCGAGCACATTGGCCTGATTTCTGTTTCTCAAGCAGCTCATACTCTGTCCTGCCTCCAGGCTTTGAATGGGTCGTTCCCTTCACCTGGAAAGCCCTCTTCACTCCCTCTTCCTAGCTTATTCCTGTTCATCCTTTCTGTCTCAATGTAAAGGTCACCTCCTCCTGGAAGCCTTCCTTTACCTCCCAGGCTAGCTTAGAGCTACCTCTTACATGTTCTCAGCAACCCGTGATTGTGATTCTCCTTCATGGTGAGATGGGGTTGCATGTCTTTTTCATTCCTCATTCTACGCCCTCGCAGTCTCAGAGAGAAACCCAGGAACAATGAGAAAGGAGTGATGGGGAGGTTGCTCTTCAGTGTCAAGGCGGTGGAAGGGGATCTATGAGATGGAGAAGGGACATATACCCTTGAATATTACATAGTCCACGTTGTGCTGGTTCTGTAGCTGGGGATATGCCTTTCCCATGTAGATCAGCCAAAGACTCAAGGCAAAAAACAACAGGCCAGCTTCCCACTGGGGCCCATTGTGGGGGCAATTGTAAGGTGACAGTCCCGAGGAGACTCTGCCAAAGGAAAACTGCATTTTCAGGATATGGGGGTACAAGAGCTTTTAAAAATATATGTTTTCTACCATTTCTTTGAGCAGCTCTTCCCATTTATTTATTTATTTAGAGACAGAGCCTCCATCTGTTGCCCAGGCTGGAGTGCAGTGGTGCCATCTCAGCTCACTGCCACCTCCGCCTCCTGGGCTCAAGTGATTTTTGTACCTGGGCCTCCCGAGTAGCTGGGATTGCAGGCGTGCGCGACCATGCCCAGCTAATTTTTGTATTATTAGTAGAGATGGGGTTTTGCCATCGTGGCCAGGCTGGTCTCGAACTCCTGACCTCAAGTGATCTGTCCGCCTCGGCCTCCCAAAGGCTGGGATTACAAGCTTGAGCCATTGCACCCAGCCACCTCTTAACGTTTAAATAAAAGAATATTAACAAGTGCAACAGAGCCTGGCTTGGTGACTTATGCCTGTAGTCCCAGATACTCAGGCGGCTGAGGTGGGAGGACCTTTTGAATGCAGTTCAAGGCCAGCCTGGGCAACATGGCGAGGCCCTGTCTCTGAAAAAAAAAGTGAGGTGGGGGGCAACAAAATACAAGCTTTTTAAACAGTAAATATTCTCTGCTTTTAGGAAGTGCCCTATTGGAGAGGAGAGAAAGCTTTGTGAGAATCTTGGAGCCCTGAGCTCTGGATTCTCGTCTGTGTGGACCCCAGAACAGTCCAGGAGTTCCTGAGAGAGCCAAGGGTGTCTGGGGGAGAGCCTGGTGGTGATGGGAGATGATTCCACACATGCTCTAAACATGCCAGAAGCAATAGGAGGTACCTTTGTATTTTCCTAATTAAAAGATTACCCCCTCCGCCCCCCACCCACCAGGACTGGGCACAGTGGCTCATGTCTGTAATCCCAGCACTTTGAAAGACCGAGCTAGGAGGATAGCTTGAGGCCAGGAGTTTGAGACCAGCCTGGGAAACATAGAAAGACCTCATCTCTACAAAAAATTTAGAAGTTAGCCAGGCATGGGAGCATGTATCTATAGTCTTAGCTACTCAAGAGGCTGAAGTGGGAGGATCGCTTGAGGCCAGGAGTTTGAGGTTACCACTGCACTCCAGGCTGGGCAACAGAGCAAGACCTTGTCTCTGAAAACAAAACAAAAAACCCCAAGTATTTTTTGGCCAATTTAAGTTTATAAAAACCCTCAAAAACTCAAGACAATGAAACCGTCACATACCTACTTAAAATATTAAATTTATGAGTTTGGTACTACCTGCAAAATTACAATTTTTATAGTAATTTTGGGTGTTTGTAGCAGTAACCTGAAAAATAGGTTTAAAATAAGATCATATATATAAACATTGGTTTTTCTTTTTCTTTTCTTTTCTTTTTTTTTTTTTTTTTTTTTTTGAGACAGTCTCATTCTGTCGCCAGGCAGGAGTGCAGCAGCATGATCTCGGCTCACTGCAACCTCTGCCTCCTGGGTTCAAGCGATTCTCCTGCCTCAGCCTCCAGAGTAGCTGGGATTACAGGCACCCGCCACCACGCCTGGATAATATTTTGTATGTATTTTTAGTAGAGACAGGGTTTCACCATGTTGTCCAGGCTGGTCTTGAACTCCCGGTCTCAAGCGATCCGCCTGCCTCAGCCTCCCAAAGTGCTGGAATTACAGATGAGAGCCACCGTACCCGGCCTGAAATATTGCCTTTTCTTGCAGTTTCTGAAACAATTTAATTTCAAACCCTTCAGCTGCATTTTTTTGTTATTATCTTTTAATTTTGGTGAAGTATACATAACATGAAATTTACCGTCTTCACCATTCGTATGTGTACAGTTCAGTGACAGTAAGTACATTCCCGTTGTTATACAACCATCACCACTATTTGTCTCCAGTACTCTTTTCATTTTGTAAAAC
Source organism: Homo sapiens (assembly GCF_000001405.40). Taxonomy (NCBI): domain Eukaryota; kingdom Metazoa; phylum Chordata; class Mammalia; order Primates; family Hominidae; genus Homo; species Homo sapiens. The sequence continues at coordinate 126,601,736 of NC_000009.12, read as the reverse complement.
AAACTGTATGCATTAAAGGATAACTCCCCAGTGCCCTCCCCTGACCTAGTCCCTGGCAGCCACCGTTCTGCTTTTTCTGTCTCTGCATTTGACTACTCTTAGGTGCCTCATGGAGGTGGAATTGTACATATTTGTGCATGTGTGACTGGCTTATTTCACCTAACATAATGTCTTCCAGGGTCATCCATGTTGTAGCATGTATCAGAATTTACCTCCTTTTTAAGGCTGAATAATAGTGTATTATGTGTATATAGCTCACATTTTGTTTATCCATTCATCTGACAGTGGACTCTTGAGTTGCTTCCGTTGCTTCGTTATTGTGAATAATGCTGCAGTGAACATGGGTGTGCAAATACCTCTTTGAGTCCCTGCCATCAGTTATCTTGTGTATATACCCAGAAGTGGTTTGCTAGACCTATAGTAATTCAATTTTTAAGTTTTTTAAGTAAACTGCCGTACTGTTTTCCATAGTGGTTGCACCATTTTGTATTCCTTTCAATGGTGCACAGGGTTCCAATTTCTCCACATTCTGTTTTTTGTTTGTTTGTTTGTTTGTTTTTGATAGTAGCCATCCTAGTGGGTATGAGGTGGTATCTCATTGTGGTTTTGATTTGCATTTCCCTAATGATTAGTGAAGTTGAACATCTTTTTTATGTTCTTATTGGCCATTTGTATATCTTCTTTGGAAGCATATCTATCCAAGCCCTTTCCCCATTCTTTATTTATTTATTTATTTATTTATTTATTTATTTTGAGATGGAGCCCTGCTCAGTTGCCCAGACTGGAGGGCAGTGGCACGATCTCGGCTCACTGCAACCTCTGCCTCCCAGGTTCAAGCCAATTCTCCTGCCTCAGCCTCCGGAGTAGCTGGGATTACAACTGTGCACCACCACGTCCGGCTAATTTTTGTATTTTCGTGGAGACGGGGTTTTACCATGTTGGCCAGGCTGGTCTCGAACTCCTGACCTCAGGTGATCTGCCCACCTCAGCCTCCCAAAGTGCTGGGATTGCAGGCATGAACCACCGTGCCTGGCCCCCTTTCTCCATTCTTTAATTGGGTTGTTTGTTTTTTTGTGATTGAGTTGTAGGAGTTCTTTATATATTCTGGATATTAACTCCTCATCACATATATGGTTTGCCAATGTTTTCTCCCATTTCACGGGTTGCCATTTCACTTTGTTGACTGTATCTTTTGATGCACAGAAATTTTACATTTTGACAAAGTCCAATTTATTTTTTCGTTTGTTGCTTGTGCTCTACCTACTGCGTGCATGTGTGTGTCTGTGTAACAGGGTCTTACTCTGTCTCCCAGGCTTGAGTGCAGTTGTGCAATCTTGGCTCACTGCAGCCTTGATCTCCTGGGCTCAGCAATCATCCCACCTCAGCCTCCAGAGTAGCTGGGACTACAGGCGAGTGCCACCACACTGGCTAATTTTTGTATTTTTAGTTGAGACAGAGTGTTGTCATGTTGCCCAGTCTGGTCTTGAACTTCTGGGCTCAAGCAATCTGCTGGCTTCATCCTCCCAAAGCGCTGGGATTACAGGTGTGAGTCACCTTGCTCAGTCTCTACCTGCATTTTTGAATCTGTGTCCTTTGTCATTACCTGGCTACTTTTTGAGACGTCCATCATTTTCTAGCGTACCTGTCTCCAGTTCTCTAAGTTGTTTGTTACAAATTCTTACACGGTGCTAAAATTATCCCAAGCCAAAAATAACTGTTTGCTGAACATTAGGCTACTAGGTTACTTTTATTCTTCTGGTAAGTATAAATTCATACTCTGCACACCTTTTTTATTGTGTTACAAAATGGGCAGTAAAAGGCTTGTTTGCAACAATATCCATCCCCTGTGTGCATGAGACCACACTCCCTGGAGAAATTCTAAAGCTACAACAAAATTACCTGATCTTTCTTTTAGCACATTTGTCAGGTTACTGCCATTAGCATCCAAAATGAGCATCTAGTGAGGCCATTTCAGGCTAATGCGTCTTTCCCAAATAGCATTCTATTGGTCAAAATGAAGTAATTGGGAATGTGTCCCATGATATAGCATACTCTCTAAGCGGTCAAATCTAAGGAATAATTTTTGGGGAAAAGCCCTGCTTTATATTCTGGCTAGGCCTAACAACGATAACAATAACAGCAGTAGAAATAACCACCATATGTTGGGTATCACTCTAGCCTGGCGCTGAGCTCAGTGCTTCACACATACTCTCACACTGAATCCACAAAACAGCCTGATCGGAAGATTCTCATTGATATGGTTTGGCTGTCTGTCCCCTCCCAAATCTCATCTCCAGTTGTAATCCCCACGGGTCGAGTGAGGGGCCTGTAATCCCTACGTGTCGAGGGAGGGAGGTGATTGGATCATGGGGGCAGTTTCCCCCATGCTGTTCTCATGATAGTGAGTGAGTTATCAGGAGATCTGATGGTTTTATACGTGTTTGGAAGTTCCTTCCTCACTCTTCTCTCTCCTGCCGCCTTGTGGTGAAGGTGCCTGCCTCCCCTTCGCCTTCCACCATGATTGTAAGTTTCCTGAGGCCTCCTCAGCCATAAGGAACTGTGCGTCAATTAAACCTCTTTAGTTTAAAAATTATCCAGTCTCAGGTATTTGTTTATAGCAGTGTGAAAACAGACTAATACACTCATACTGTTCCCAATCTACAAGTGGGGAAATTGAGGCTCAGGCAGGTAAAGGCACATGCCCACCAGCCACACAGGTTCTGATGGGTAGATCTGGAATTTGAACCCATGTCTCTCAGAGCCCAGGCTCTTGTTTGTTTGTTTGTTTGTTTGTTTATTTTTGAGACGGAGTCTTGCTCTGTCACCTAGGCTGGAGTGCGGTGGCGTGATCTTGGCTCACTACAACCTCTGCCTCCCAGGTTCAAGCGATTCTCCTGCCTTAGCCTCCTGAGTAGCTGGGATTACAGGTGCCCATCACCATGCCCGGCTAATTTTTGTATTTTTAGTAGAGACGGGTTTTTACCATGTTGGCCAGGCTTGTCTTGAATGCCTGACCTCAGGTGATCCACCTGCCTTAGCCTCCTAAAGTGCTGGGATTACAGGCATGAGCCACTGTGCCTGGCCTATTTATTTATTTATTTATTTTTATGGACGTGGAGTCTTGCTGTGTTGCCCAGGCTGGCCTTGAATTCCTGGGCTCAAGTGATCCTCTCGCCTAAGCCTCCCAAGTAGCAAGCTTTTAATCATCACATGACTCTGCTTTTATCCACATGATTTATGCCTGCTGTGAGTGCCCTAGCACCGCACGTGCCCCAGAGAGAAACCTGCCCAGGTAGCTGGGTTTGCAGTGCTCCTACCTTGAACCTGCCAAGTCAGCTGCAGTGCTGGGGCCCAGACCCAGCTTTGTTCCCTCTGCCCCATGGTTGGTGGTCCTTCCTGGGAGGCAGGCTGATCCAATGAAGGCACATCGTATGTGGCTCCTCCTCACCCCTTATCAGGCAGTTTAGAACCAACTCACCAACATACTTGGAAGGAAGGAAAGACTACTGGGAAGAAAGCTGCCACTCACTCTGGCCACATGTTACACACAATGGTGACAACATAAAAACACCTGAGGCACAAGAAATCCTGGTTGCCTCTGCTTTTGTTTTGGAAAAGGAGCTTTCCAAAATGTTTATTTCTGGTAAGCTTTTTTTTTTTTTATCATGGAATATTTCAAACATATATAACAGTAGAATAATGTACCAGTTACTCAGCCTCAGAGTGACAACTCATGCCCAATCTTGTTTCCTCTACTTCCCACCCCAATACCCTTATCTCATTGGGTTATTTTAAAGCAAATCCTAGACACCATAACGTTTCAACCATGACTATTTTGGTATATATTTCTAAAAGATAAGGGAATCTTCAAAAGGTTATAATAGCCAGAATGCCATTATCACTCCTGGAAAAATTATCATCAAATTGATCTAGTCAGCGCCTACAATTTCCCTGATTGTCTCCTACATGTTTTGTACATCTTATTAAAAAGGCCATGTGTGTTTTAAGTCTCTTTTAATCTATAGTTTCTCTCTCCCCACATCTCTGTCTCTGTCTCTCCACCTCTCCACTCTTGCTGTTTATTAATATCTGTGGAAGAAACCCATTGTTTGTCCAGCAGCATTTCCCTCAATCTGGATTTTGCTGCTTGTATTCCTGTGGGGTCCTTTAACATGTTCCTCTGTCTTCGGAATTTCTTGTAATTAGATCTAGAGGCTTGATCAGGTTCAGGTTTGATTTTTGGCAGCAATACTTCACAGGAGGTATCGCGCTGTGTCCTTTTGTCAGGAGGCCCATAATGTCTTGTGAGCTCTTTTTTTGGGTGAAGTTTGTAGCTGTGGATGTTCACTGCCTAGATTCACTATCTCATTAAGGCTTGCAAAATGATGATGCTTTTTTTTTGTTTAGCCAGGGTTTTGTTCTGTCACCTTGGCTGGAATGCAGTGTGGGATCTTGGCTCACTGCAGCCTTAATCTCCTGGGCTCAAGTGATCCTCTCACCTCAGCCTCCCAAGTAGCTGGGACTACAGGCATGTGCCACCACACCCAGCTAATTTGGTGTTCTAATTCTATCTTCCTTCTTCATTTATTAGCTGGAATACTTGAAAAAGGGCATCTCCTCATTAACTCTTTAGTTACCCCAAGGCGCAGTATGCCCTCTTTCAGTATATACACTATAGACAGTGCAAGACTTGGCTCTTTAATGGCTTTCAAATAATGAGTTTGTTTCCTAGCATCCTGAGAGGTTTTTTTTTAAAATTGATTTTTAAAAAAGTATCATTATGGGGCCGAGCTTGGTGATTTACACCTGTAATCTCAGCACTTTGGGAGGCTGAGGTGGGAGGATCACTTGAGCCCAGGAGTTCAGGACCAGCCTGGGCTGGCAAGAACCTGTCTCTACAGAAAATACAAAAATTAGCCATGGAGCACATACCTGTAGTCCCAGCTACTTGGGGAGCTGAGGTAGGAGGATTACTTGAGCCCAGAGGTCCAGGCTGCAGTGAGCCAAAATCGCGCCACTGCACTCCAGCCTGGGCAACAGAATGAGACCCCACCCCTCAACCTCTCTCAAAAAAACAGTATCATTATGAATATAGGGACTGAATGCTATTTGATGTGTTTCAGTCCCCTGTGATTCTTATTCTTATTGCTGTTCAAATGATCCTATTCAGCCAGAGAGAACCTCTTTGGATTGGTTCCTGATGTCTTTGACCCCAGTTGGCTTTGATGGCTTCCTTGCTTTCTGGAACAGCAAGGTGCCCCAGACTCATCTTGTACACTTGCTGCTCCAAACCTGGAATCAGCCATCTGTCTAAGGAGTCCTGGTTCCTTTGAGTGAGGAATATTATTTAGAAAGCACGATCTTGTTTTATGCAATGCTCATTACTATTGGGTTGGTCATTGTTTCTGGGCATTTTGAGTGAATAGAGCTCAGAAATACATTTTTTAAAAGGTAAAATGCATCACAAATTATGATTACCAAAACTTGGAAGCAGCAAGATGTTCTTCAGTAGGTGACTGGGTAAACAAACTATGGTACATCCAGACAATGGAATATTATGCAGCGCTTAAAAGGAAGAGTTACCAAGCAATGAAAAGACACAGGAGAACCTTAAATGCATATTGTTGGGTGGAAGAAGCCAGTCTGTAAAGGCTACACAGATGATTCTAACTATACAAAAAGGCAACACTATCAAGACAGTAAAAGATCCATAGATTCCAAGTGTTTGGGGGAGGGAGGGCTGGACAGGGGGCACACAGGATTAGTGAAACTACTCTGTATGATATTATAATAGTAGATATATGTCATTATACATTTGTTCCAACCCATAGAATGTAAATCAAGAGTGAATTTGAATGTAAACTGTGGACTTTAGTCAATGTCTCATTATTGATGTATCAGTTGTAACAAATGTATGCCATTATGCAATGTCACTGGTCTGATTTTTAAAAAAGAGCCCTCCATTAATGAAAGATGTTCACAACAGGGGAAACTGGGAGGGGGTTGGGGAGATGAAGGGATATACGGGAACTCTCTATTTTCTGCTGAATTTTTCTGTAAACCTGAAACTGCTAAAAAAATAAAGTCTACTAATGTGCTTAAAAAATCATGAGTTCATATTGACACTTCTAATTTAAATTCAGGATCACCATGTTTTTACTTAGCCTTGTCTGTTCTTTCTCCCATGAGAAATGCCCTTTCTTTTCAGTTCCCAGTGAAAGATAAACTCATCTGTTGAGTCTGACCCACTTCACACTCTCAGATAAGAATGCCAGTACTATCATGTCTTAGTCCATCTGGGCAGCTGTAACAAAATACCTTAGACTGGATAATTTGTAAATAATAAAAACTTATTGCTCAAGTTCTGGAGGCTGGAAGTCCAAGATCAAGGCCCAGCAGATTTGGTGTCTGGTGAGGGTTTGCTCTCTGCTTCAAAGATGGCGCCTTTGGCTGGGCACCTTGGCTGGCGCCTGTAATCCCAGCATTTTGGGAGGCTGAAGCAGGTGGATCACTTGAGGTCAGGAATTTGAGACCAGCCTGGGCAACATGGTGAAACCCCATCTCTAGTTAAAAAAAACACACAAAAATCAGCCCAGCTTGGTTGTGCGCACCTGTAATCCCAGCTACACAGGAGGCTGAGGCACGAGAATCGCTTGAGGCCAGGAGGTGGAGGTTCCAGTGAGCTGACATTGCGCCACTGCACTCCAGCCTGGGCAACAGAGTGAGATCTTGTCTCCAAAAAACAAAATCAAAAACAAACAAAAACAAAAAACAAAGATGGCACCTTCTAGCTGTGTCCTAACATGGTGCAAGGGCAAAGGGACGAACAAGCTCCCCCAGAAGAGCACTAATCTGATTCATGAGGGCAGAGTCTTTATGACCTCATCACCTCCTAAAGGCCCCACCTCTTAATACCACATCAGATTAGGTTTCAACATAGGAAATTTTGGGGTGACACAAACATGCAGACCACAGCGCCCCAACAGTATGATTATTATTATTTTTCTTTTGTAGTTTATGTCTTTATTTTTGCTTTTTCTTTAGGGAATGTCTTATTAGGGAGGGACAGTCAAAATGACTGCGTTTTAGTGACCTGGGGTAATTCTTCTCTGTGTGGTGATGTCACCAACTTGCCATAAGTTAGCCTTTTGGGTTTGTTTTGCTTTTGATATTAGAAATTTCTTTTCCAAGCATTTCACATTAGTTTATGATTATATTAAATATTTGCCTGGTTTCCAAGTCAGGTCTACAAAACAAGAAATATTATGAAGGGTCTGTCTCCCCCTCCACCTTGTTTCCTTCCTCTCCCTTTAGAGAAATGTTGCTGCTTCAAGTTTTTGTTTTGTCCTTCCATTTTAAAAGTTAATGCCTCTACTTTTCTTAGAGAAATGGGAGTATAAGCTACATACTCTTCTCCCAAATTATAAACCAAATTTTTTTTCTAGTCAAGTTCCCGATGCTTGTAGAGGAAGGTCTGACCTCAGACTTTGCACGTCATCATCATCTACCCAATTTGAAACAAGTTATTTCTGCTTTTTTGTCAAGGGTCTATTACTATTTGTAGGCATTGCTTTTGTTTTGTTTTATTTTGTTTTGTTTTGTTCTGTTTGGAGACAGAGTCTCTCTCTGTTGCCCAGGCTGCAGTGCAGTGGCACAATCTCGGCTCACTGCCACCTCCGCCTCCTGAGCTCAAGCAATTCTTGTGCCTCAGCCTCCCAAGTAGCTGGGATTACAGGAGTGTGCCACCACACCTGGCTAATTTTTGTATTTTTTGTAGAGACAGGATTCCACCATGTTGGCCAAGCTGGTATCACACTGCTGACCTCAAGTGATCTGTCTGCCTTGGCCTCCTAAAGTGCTGGGATTACAGGCGTGAGCCACCGCGCCTGGCCAAGGCATTGTTAATTGAGCTTTCAAACAACCCCATGCCCATGGGATAGGTATTACCTCTGGTTTTTGTAGAAGAGGAAACTGGGACTCAATGAGCTGGGATTTGAACAAGTGCCTCCCTGATTTCACTTACTTGTTCATAAATATTTCTGCAGCACCTAACTGTTTCAGACCCCATCCTAGGTACTAGGATACAGAGATGACCCACAGAGGGTCTTGTCCTCCTGGAGCTCACATCTAATGGGGTCATCATGTCTGAGCAGACAACTGTGGTATGGGACTGTCTGTCTGCCCACCTACTGCAAGGCAGCTCCTCAAAGGAATCTGCATCTGATCCACTCTGGGTGACAGCCCAGCACAGCTGAAATCAGCGGATGTTTGTTGAATGAATAAGTAAATAAATAAAGTTAAAAAAAAAACAACAAAGCTTGAAGTTGTTAATGGAAGTCTAGTGCCTCTGAAACTAGCAAACCTTTGTAAAAAATTTTAATAACATTTAAGTTATGAATATAATGTACTTCATTTTAGAAAAATTGGAAAGCATAGAAAAGCACAAATGAGAAAATAAAAATAATCCATAATACCAGCCCCCAGAGTTAGTCTTTTTGTTTTTCATTTTTTATTTTTTAATATTTATTTATTTATTTATTTGAGATGGAGTCTTGCTCTGTCACCCAGGCTGGAGTGCAATGGCACAATCTCAGCTCATTGCAACCTCCATCTTCCAGGTTCAAGGGATTCTTCTGCCTCAGCCTCCTGAGTAGCTGGGATTACAGGCACACATCACCATGCCCAGCAAATTTTTTGTATTTTCAGTAGAGATGGGGCTTCACCATGTTAGCCAGGCTGGTCTTGAACTCCTGACCTCAAGTGATCAGCCCGCTTTGGCCTCCCAAAGTGCTGGGATTACAGGTGTGAGCCACTATGCCTGGGCTTATTTTGTTTTTTCTGCATAAACATCCTTTAAGAAAAAAATTTGGATCACACCATCTACATAGCTTTGTTGTTTGCAATGAGAAAAATCTCTAACAATGCATCATGACCATTTTCCTAAGCGAATATCCCTTTAAAGCTAAGCGTCTACTTAGAGGTTGGATTTATTTTTTGCCAGTGATGACATTCTTCACCACATAAAATACTTATAAACTCAAGATTAAGGCTGAAATCACAATGGGAAGAATAGCAGGCTTTCAGGCTGCATGCTGTGCCTCAGTCTCGATTACACAATCCTTCCCCAGCAAACGCCAGGGAAATTCGACGAAGACATCAGCCTGGGGGGATCAGTCTTCCTTGGACCCTTTAATACTAGGAGTTGTATTATCAGCACAACCGCTTTCTGCAGTTCCGATCTTTGCAGGTACTACTAAAATTTCCTCTTGGCTGCAGAGAGGAACTATCATACAGTCTTTAGAGCATGTGATTAAGGGCTGGCTCTGGAGTCGGACCTCCACCTAAGTCCTGCTGCACCTGAGATGGTCGTGTGACCTTGGCAAGGGACTTCACTCTGTGGGCTCTAGATCCCTCATCTGTAACTCAGGGCAGCTACTGTACCCACCCCTGCAGGCAGTCATGAGGAATCAATAGCACAGTGCCTAACACATAAGCCACCCATAAATATCAGCTATTATTATGACAACTTGTGTGTTTGGAGCTTCTGCTCTTATTTTCTGAGCTGCGCTTGCCATTCGCTGGTATCAGGGCTGCTCTTGGCAGCTTGTCTTGATGGGAAGATAATCCAGGCCTTATGAAGTATCTGGATGGCTGCCATCATCTTGCTTGGAGGCACTGGGCATGGGTGTCTCAAGCATGCTCTGACCCCACCTGCACCTTAAGCAGCCACGCACCACAATTCCACTGACAGAGGCTTATGATTTTATTTTATTTGTTAACAAGTTCATTTATGACATGATTACATTCATTATGATGTGATTACTGTACAAATAATCAGGGGAGGCAAGATCACATCATAAATAAGTTTATGGTCTTTGGAGTTGGACAACATGGGTTCAAATCCCAGCCCTCTTACTTAATTTTTTTTGCAACACAGGGTCTCACTGTGTTGCCCAGGGTGGAGTGCAGTGGCCCAATCATGGCTCACCACAGCCTTGACTTCCCAGGCTCAAGCCATCCTCCCATCTCAGCCTCCCGAGTAGCTGGGACCACAGATGGCATGTGCCACCACGCTTGGCTAGTTGTTTTTTATTTTTGGTAGATACAGGGTCTCGTCATGATGCCCAGGCTGGTCTCGAACACCTGAGCTGAAGTGATCCATCCACCTCAGCCTCCCAAAGTGCTGGAATTACAGGCGTGAGCCACTGCACCAAGCTATTTATTTGACTTTGAACAAACAATTTCCCATCTCTGAACTTATCAGTTTCCTCATCAGTAAGTTGGAGATCATAATTGTGGATGGCTTTATTTTCCCCCGTCTAGCATCCATTACCATGATTTTGCTTTTCCTTTGGGAGAACCAATTCTCTCCCACCCTGAACCATGATTCATTCCTGGACTCTGAGTGGGGCATGTGACCCAGGCTTAAGCCAATCAGAATACTCCAGCATCTGACTGCGGAGATTCGTCTGTGGGTGGTCATGTGACTCAAGCCAGTCCAATAGCAGGAATCTCCAGGCTTTTGCTTGAAACACTTCTTTCCCATGGCCTTGCAGGTCAGAGGATGTTAGAGGAGCTGCTACAAAGCCATCTTGCTCCCAAGTGGGACTGATTGTCTGAGAATGGGGCTGCAATAGAGGAGGTAGAACCAAGAGAACCCACAGTATGTGCATAACTTTTGAGCCCCTGCCTGAAGCTGATCATGATTTTCTATTGATACAATCTAATTTTTTTTCTTTGCTTAAGCCAATTTGAATTGGGTATTCTGTCACTTTCAGCTGAAACAGTCCTGGCTGATAAAACAATAGTATGTATTTCTTAGAGTTAAAAGGAGTAGTCAAGGAAACATATAAATCTAAAGCCCTCGATACACAATGCCCTTGGCACAAAGTAAGTGCTTAATAAATGGGAGTTGTTTATACTGTTGTTATAAATTTAACTGTAGAAAAACAAGAAAGGGAAGATAAAACAAAAAGCAATCAGGAAAAACATTGCTTTATTTTTTATTTTTATTTTTTGAGACAGGGTCTTGCTCTGTCACCCAGGCTAGAGTGCAGTGGCGTGATCACGGCTCACTGCAGCCTTAAACTCCCAGGCTCGAGTGATCTTCCCGTCTCAGCCTCCCAAGTGGCTGGGAACACAGGCACGCACCAACATGTCTGGCTAATTTTTTTTAATTATTATTTTTTGCAGAGACAAGGTCTCACTATATGGCCCAGGCTGGTCTCAAACGATCTTCATGTCTTGGCCTCCCAAAGTGCTGAGATTACAGGCATGAGCCACCATGCCTGGCCCAGGTTATTCTTAATCTCACCTTTTAGAGGTAGGTAAGTATTTTGAAATATTTTTATTCCAGACATTTTCCTATATATGTGTATTTATATAAGTGCCAAAATAGGATTACTCTGTAATACTGTTCTGTAGCCTGTTTCATTTGGATATAAATCAAGCACATTATAAAGATATATCTGTACAGCACAGCCATTCGTAATGGCTGCATAGCATTCCATGTTTTCGTTGGCTCTTCAGATGATCTCTAAATTATTTTTGTACAAATAACTTTGTGATGGCATTCTCATCATCAATCTATATCTTTGTGGATTTTATATATATATATATATATATATATACTTTTTTTTTTTTTTTTTTTGGAGACTCAGTCTCGCTCTGTTGCCCAGGCTGGAGTACAGTGGTGCAATTGCGGTCGACTGCAACTTGAACTCCTGGGCTTAAGCAATCCTCCTGCCTCAGCCTCCTGAGTAGCTAGGACTACAGGTGCATGCCACTACGCTCAGATACTTTTTAAATTTTTTTGTGGAGATGAGGTCTCACTGTGTTACCCAGGCTGGTCTCGAACTCCTGGGCTCAAGTGATCCTCCAGTCTCAGTCTCCCAGAGTGCTGGGATTACAGATGTGAACCATTGCTTGCCAGATTTTATAATTGTCTAATGATAAGTTTCTAAGGGTAGGATTGCTGAATCTGAAAGTTTTAAAGATGGAAAAACCTACAGTGTAATTTTTATTGAAATGTTTAATATTTGAATAAAGTACATTATTAAGAATTTAAATGTCTTTCACAGAAAGTGGAGAGCCCCGCCCTGTGGGCTTTAAATCTTGTTCCACTTCAGACACTTTCACAGCTCTGACATCATGAATACTGTAATCACCCAGCACAGGAGGGACTGCGATTCCCAGAACTCTGACATCAACAGCCTGTGAGGACAGCAAGCTGGATGTGGCTCGCTCTGAACATCTGCCTCTCCACTCAGGAGACCTAGCTCCTTGCAGAGCCTCATTCTTCCACGTGTTTCAGGGCGACCCCAGCGGGTAGATAACATGCACCCATAGATGAGTCCTGGTTGCCACTTGATTTTGAAAGGAAAAATAAAATTGCATTTATTTCCAAATGACATGCTTATCTAGATAGAAAATCCATCATAACCTTCAAAAAAGCAACTAGAATTAATAGGCAAGTTTAGTGAGGTTGCCAGATACAGGATCAATATACAAAAATCAACCATATTTCTATCTTCTGGTGATAAACCATCATTAATTCAGTTTTTTTAAGCAGTGTGATTGAGGTTTTCACATAAGTTCTGGTTGCATTTTACACTGCCTCTATCCTCCCTCACCAATGCTGCCGTTGCACTGCCAAACAAAGTTCACCACCACGACCACTGGCCATGCCAGAACTCGCAGCTTGTGGCTGCCTCTGAGCCTCCTTGGCCTCTTAGGGACAAGCGATGCTGCTTCTGTCATGATGGCTGCCACTAATCCACATGGCTCCACTTGGCCTGCTGTCCATGTGGAGCTGCTCCTCCCTGTGGACTTCCTGTGCTCTGATGACCTTGGAGGAAACGGCAAGGTCACTGGCTTACGCTTGGTTAGGGGGCCCCACAGCAGGACAGCTTGGGCACACGAAGGGCTAGAGTTTAGAGAAACAGGGCTTCCTTCTGCACAGCCACTCTTCTCTCCACATTGTTAGGAGACCTGTGTCCACACTGCCGTCAAGACTGCCATCTGCCCCCCAGAGCACCACCTTGTGTCCACACTGCCCTCAGCTCCCCAGCCTGGGCTGAACCCAACTCACTGTTGCTGGCTCTCTTCTACTGGGGTAGATCTTTTTCAGGGGCTCTCTGCTCCTCCTCAGAACCCTGCCTTGTCACCCAGCTCTCTTGTCCTCCTAGGCTGGCACGTGTCTGAGCTCCCTGTTGCTGTGCCTCATGTTCGACCCCAGTAGGCTGCCCAGTCCTTGGCCAGATCGTCCATTCCATGACAGATGCAGAAATGGAGACTCAGGGGGCCCTGACCTGCCCAAGGCCCCAACAAATAATGACGGAGCCGGAGTTTGAGCCCATTCCTCCCTGATATACCAAGTTTCGTGCTGGTTCTGCCATGTCCTCCAGGGCCAGCTCACTTCCCACCAGCTCCCCAAATCTGGCATCTGTCAGGCTCTGCACAGGGAGGCTGGTGGGCAAAGGGGTGTAAGATAGATGAATGGGCCCTGTGGCACTTTGTGCAAGGATAACCAGGCGCTGCCCCTCTCCGCATCCCCGGCCTCTAATCCCTGCATCCTCCATCCCTAGTGTCCTAGAGCCCGCAAATCCTGCCCCCAGGTCCAACTTCCTGCCCCCAAGGCTCCTGAGCCTAGAGCCCTCCACCTGTCTCAGCAGGGTGGTGTTGGTCTGGGGCTGGGTTTTGACAGGCAGCTGAGCTCACCACGCTCCAGGCCTGGCCCCCTCCATCCCCCGCCCCCATCCCAGCTGGTTCCAGAAGGGAAGCGGGGGTGGGGGCAACTTCACAGGGAAACTTTTGTTCTTGCCTAGAACAGACACGGGCTGGAGACCGAGCTTCCCCTTGGCTGCCACGGAGACCGGGGCCACTTGAGTTCATGTTTATTTTCACAGTGTGGATTCCATGGAGATAATCAGCCCGGACAGGGAAGCCCTGGGAAGCGGGCTTGGGCCTCCTTGGAGTGCCTACTATGTGCTAGGCCAAAGACAGGCAGGAGCCAGTGGAATCTACGAGACAGTCCTGGGGACTAGACACTGGGCCGTACTTGCCTGCAAAAGAGGCAGCCAAGGTTCAGAGAAGGGAAGCCACTTGCGCAGGGTCATACAGCAGGTTAGCAGAGAGCTGAAAGGGAAGCTACCTGCTCCTGGGGCTCTTCCTACTTTGTGCCTGAGTTACAAGCAGAGTAATTCACTCTCCCTGAGGCTTCACAGAGAAAGTGCTGCCCAGAGCTCCAAGCGGGCCAGGGTCGCTGGAGCAGGATGGACTGGAGCGTAGGTGGCTCTTCCAAGACAGAGGCTGAAACCTAAGCTGAGGCCTTGGGCTAACAGTGTAATTCTCTGAGCCACAGACTCCTCCTCTGTGAAACGGGGCTATTAATAGTATTTGTTTCATCACAGGGCTGGCATACAGTAAGAACTCAACGATAACCATTGCTAATGTTATTATTATTACTGTTGCTAATGTTATTGTTATTACTGCCATTCTTCTATTTCACCCAGTCCCAAGACCTTGGGCTCATCGTGGGCCCCAGTAATCTCCAATAAGATGTATCAATGCCTTTCTGAGTGGAAGCTTTTTCTGCTGAATCTGTGAGGGATGGGAGAGGAGGGCCGGTCATGTCTGAATCATTGCTGCTGGCTGCCCCTGAGGAACAGTCCCGGATTTCTCAAAGAATCACCCCTAGCCCTCCTGGGGGGCCCACTGCCCCTCACTCTGAGCCCTGCCAGCCCTTGTCCTAGTCCTTCCCCAAAATCCACCCTCCATGTTATTTATTGATTTTTCTGGATTTACTTTTCCCATCAGTTTATTTCATGACTGAAATACACCTCGAAGCCCCGTTGTGTCCAACTCACCGAGCCGGACTTGCCAGGTCAATGATGAACACGCCGGTTAGACCAGCGTCTATGCAGGAGGACCCAAGGAAACGGCCGAATCAAAACCCAAACATGGAACCAATAAAATCCTTAACCTGACACTACAAACTTCCCACAGACTTCAGAGAAATACCTCAAGAAGGGCACGACCTTTTAGTTTCTCCCCAAGGCTACCTCCCCCTCCAGCGAGGTCTTTCTAAAATACAGATTTGACCTCGTCCCTTCCCGGCTTCAAAAACCCTTCGATAGCCCCTCAGTATTTATTATTCTTATTCGCTAACATTTATCGAGGTCTTCTGCTCGCCGGATCCTGTGCTGAATGCCTTTTGTGAGTTTGTTCCCGTGGGGCAGGGACCACTGCCCTTCTGGTGTCAGGGATGAGGGAACGGTGAGGTGGGGGCACCGTTTGGGGTCACACAGCTGGCGAGTGGGATGCAAACCCAGGTTGGTCTGGATCTGAAGCTCATCTACCTTCCACCTATCTGCTGCCTGGCCAGACGCCTCAGCCTGCCCTTGGGGACCCCCCACGACCGGGGGCTGATGTCTCCCAGCCTCACTTCACATCATGCCTCCCTCTGCCTTGTCTAGGTTGACCCTCTCACTCATAGCTTCTCTCCTCCAGTCTCAATGTGGAAGCTCCACCATCCCCAGTGGACTCCAGACCTCAACCCGATGTCCTCCACAGGGACCTCCCTGCCTCCAGTAACCTGACTCAGACTTGAACTTCTGAATCACAGCAGCTCTTCATGTCTCCCATTTGGAAATGAAAACCCTCCCTGGACTCCAAGCCTCCTGCTAGCTACTGTCTTCCATCTCTCTTTCCATTTCCTGCCAAGCCTTTAAAAGAGGGGTGTACAGCCCCTGCCCTTGTCCACCTCCTCACCGCCCCAACTCTCAGCAGCTTACTACCATCTCTCACCTGAAACGGCGGCTGGCTCGGCTGCCCCCACCCTACGAGTTGTCTGGTCCCTTTGCCAGGCTTTTTGGCCTCATCCTACACCCTTAATGTTCCTCTTCCCTGGCTCACCACCTACCCCCTGGCTCCTCCTTCTCCAGCTACATTTTGGCATTTCTTCTTTTGCTCTGTGTCCCCATACTGGTGTCCCCCAGCATTCAAACCCAACCTCCATGGCCAGCTGCCTCCTGGTGTCCTCACTGGGACACTCCCCAGGCCCCGGTGGCCTTCTCCCCATCAGGCCTCCTCATGGGTCCCCATCTCCCTGGGAGGCATCACCATCAGCCACCAGCCAGGTGGGACACCCGAGCGTGCTGCAGACTTCCTCCTCTTCTTCTTCATTTTCCACTCCTCCTTCTCCAAGTCTGGTGCCGAGTCCTGTCCATTCTACCTGTGTATCTTGGGACACCCCTCGTCAGCCCCCCATTCTGGCTGCCATATTCTTTTAGCTCCTTTCTGGTCTCCCATCTCTAACCATCCCCCTTCAAGTTCTGCTCCCTGCTGGGCACAGAGTGACCTCTCTCAAAGGCAAGTGTTATCCTGCCACGTCCCTTCCGTGGCTCCTTGTCGCTCTCACAAAAAAACCCACCTCAATAAAGCCCATCGTAATCTGGCCCCTGCCACTTCTCAATCCTACTTTCTCACTGTGGCATCTTGGATCGGTTCATTAACCTCTCTTGCCAGTCTCTGATGCTCCATAACAGAATGAGCTACATGCAGATCCCCTGACACTCCAGGCTTTCATGCCGCCTGCTTTTTTTTTTTTTTTTTTTTTTTGAGACAGAGTCTTGCTCTGTCGCTCTGGCTGGAGTACAGTGGTGAAATCTCAGCTCGTTGCAACCTCCACCTCCTGGGTTCAAGTGATTCTCCTGCCTCAGCCTCCTGAGTAGGCAGGTTCACAGGCATGCACCACCACACCCGCTAATTTTTGCATTTTTAATAGAGATGGGGTTTCACCGTGTTGGCCAGGCTGGTCTCGAACTCCTGACTTTAAGTGATCCACCCACCTCGGCTTCCAAAAGTGATGGGATTACAGGCATGAGCCACCGTGCCTGGCCTTCAGGCCTTGTACTTTTATGTGAGCCTCTCCTTCTGTCTCCAGTACCCTTCCTCTCTGGCCATCCAGGCCGACCGCTGTCCCTCCTCAAGTCTTCATGCAAATGCCACCTGCCTTTGATTCCCCCTGGGAGACTCAGGGCCCCTTCTCCTGTGGTCCTTTCAGAGCTTATAAGGCACCCATTAAAGTGAGTATTTATGATATTGTAATAGTCTTGTCATATCTGTCTGCTGCCCTTGCCCCCCACTGAACTGGAAGTTTCTTGAAGGTAGGACTCAGGGAGGATTTCATTCTGGGTCTTTTTGTGCTCAGCTCAGGTGTTGGCATGGAGGAAAAGCTCAAAAAATATTTGTTGAATTCCCTTCAAAAAAAAAAAAAAGGGCCAGGTGTGGTGGCTCACGCCTGTAGTTCTGGCACTTTGGGAGGCCAAGGCATGTGGATCACCTGAGGTCAGGAGTTTGAGACCAGTCTGGCCAACATGGTGAAACCCCGCCTCTACTAAAAATACAAAAATTAGCTGGGCATGGTGGCACACGCCTGTAGTCCCAGCTACTCAGGAGGCTGAGGCAGAAGAATCACTTGAACCCGGGAGGCAGAGGTTGTAGTGAGCTGAGATCGCACCACTGCACTCCCGCCTGGATGACAGAGTGAGGCTCCATCTCAAAAAAAAAAAAAAAACAACTGAACTGAAAGTTTGAAGGGCCCCTTGGGTGGGGCTGGAAAGACCAATAGCCAAGGGCTGGTCAGTTGAGGCTTCAAGCCAGAGCCAAACTTGGGGTCTCCTGGGCAGTATCACTCAACACACTCCTTTCCAACACACATCCTGGGGAGCAGAGTTCTGTGAACTCTGAAACTAGAACCCGGCTTCCAGTGTCCTGGATGAATTGAGGTCAACCTTGCCTGAGGCTTTTGGAGCCAGACAGGACTGGCTTTAAATCTCTACTCTGGAGGCTGAGGCAGGAAGATCACTTGAGCCCTGGAGTTCAAGTCTGCAGTGAGCTATGATTGCACCACTGCACTCTAGCCTCAGCCATACAGCGAGACCCTGTCTCAGAAAAAAAAAAAAAAAAATCAGCCCGTCTGCCCTTCTTCCCAGCTGTGTGGTCTTGAATAAGTTTCTTCACTTCTCTGAACCTGTTTCTCCTCTTGCAAATTAAGAATGATAATTTACACCTGCAGAGCTGTGTGGCTTCAATGAGGTAGATTCTATGGAGTAGCTGGACCCATAGGGGGCACCTCGTGGGTGCTCAGGAATTGCTCATTCATGCAGTCACGCAGCCTCAGTGCCTCCCTGCATGGCCCACACCCTGGCCTTTCCCCACCCCCAGGGAGATCTGGCTGGCCAGAGGATAATTGCTGATGAGGACACTCAGGTTCCGAGAGCTCAGGCTTTTTGCCCAAGGTCACACAGCCAGTGAGTGATGCTGGGATTTGCATTGAGCCGATCTCTTAACCATGGGTCTACTCTGTGTGTCCTTCCCGGGCCAGGCTTACCTACGCATTCCCAGTGTAGGTGGACTCGGAGCATCCTGAACTCGGAGCGGCCTCTCTCACAGCTCTGGGAGCCAGGCAGGCTTTCCCGCTTCCCCGCCTCCCCTCTGCCCACCGCTGGATCTGTTTAAACTAGCCGAGCAGGGTGAGGTGGGGAGGCGGCGGAGAAGGTACGGAGATGTTTGTTTTCCTTGGGGGTTTATATCAACATTGGTCTTGACATTTCGCCTGTTATTATGTGTGGCTCTTTAGAGGGTGAAATAATATTTTCTTTTGCTTGAGAAAAGGACAAAGTTCAGACAGAGCTCTTGGCCCCAAATGGATTTTCCTCCTTCTCTGCTTTCCATGTGCCATAGCTACTTGGAGTTCCGGAGAGCCATTTCTGTGGAGCGGACATCCTCTCAGGGCCATGGGTGCGATCCGGGGCTGCAGACAGCCACCGTGTGCTGTAGACACAACCTGCACTCCACAGGTTCACTCCGTCCTCTAAACACCATCTGCTTCCCAAGGATGAGGTTTGTGGGTCACTGGTACCTTCCATGGGGTCACCCCCGGTGTTCTCTTGATATCTACAGTGTGTGCAGGCTTGCTGTGTGCTGTGTGAGTCCTCCAGGAGGCTCACCTTTCCTTAGACACACTTGGGGAGCTGCTGTCAGTACACTGGCAGTGCTGTGGGTATGCTCTCTGTGCTGCTGGCACCCTGGACACGTGTAGGGGTGGCAGATACAGGTAGTGCAGATGGCTTATCATAGGCAAATCGCATAGGCCCTAGGGGTCCCCCGTGAGCTCCAGAGAATGTAGGTAAACATCAACCGGGTGCCTGGAGATGTAGACATTCTCCAACATCCGTGGAGAAAGTCCTGAGGTGCAGGTACACCATGGGTGTTAGGGTTCTGTGCGGCAAGTGGGAGGGCAAACACCTGCCAGTACTCTCAGGGTACGGAGACCTCTGTGTGCTCTAGAGATGCCCACTGGGTATGCCACAGATCACTGTAATGACAGTCACCATATGGCCACAGCCCTCATCCTAGTTTGTTAGGACTGCCATGAAAAGTACCACAAACTGGGTGGCTTAAGACAACAGAAATTACTCTCCATTCCTGGCGACCAGAAGTCCAAAATAAAAGGGACAGCAGTGTTGGTTGCTTCTAAGGCTCCAAGACAGAATCGGTTCCATGCCTTTCCCCCGGTTTCTGGGAGTTGCTGGCAGCCCTTGGTGTTTCTCGGCTTGTGGCCTTATCACTCCGATCTCCACCTCTGTGGTCACGTGGTGCGCTCCCTGTGTGTGCGTCTCTGTGTCTGAATCTCCTCCTTTCTCTTATAAAGACATGAGTTTTTGAATTTGGGGCCCACCCTAATCCGGTATGACCTCATTTTAGCTTAACTAATTACATCTGCCAAAGACCCTATTTCCAAATGAAGTCACATTCTGAGATTCCAGGTGGATGTGAGTTTTGGGGAGATGCTATTCAACCCAGTACATTTCCCATTGCTTGAGTTCTGACTGCAAAGAACTGAGTTAAATCCCTTATACATATGACTTCATTTAATCTTCTTGCACCCTGAAGAGGTGGGTGTCATTGGCCCCATTTTATAGTCGAGCAATTGAGGCTCAGAGGTGAAATTTCACTTGTCCAGGATATACAGCCATGGTAAGGGGGTCTAGGATTCATGCTTAGGCCTGCTGGGGTCCCCCACCACACTGCCCTGACAACACCCTTGGGGGCTGAGGGCACATTTCTTACATACTCTGCGCCTTCTAAACCAGGGTTTCTGTTGACATTTGGGACTGATTAATTCTTTCTTGTGAAGGGCTAGCCTTGCATTTATGATTAAGTGTCCCTGGCCTCTACCCATTACATGCCAGTGGCACCCTCCCTCCAGTTGTGACAACCAAAAGTGCCTCCAGACATTGCCAGATGTGCCTTGGGGGCTAACACTGCCCTGGGATGACAGCTGCTATTCTAGGTGAACTCTTTCTGGGGCAGATGTGGTCTGTGTAGGAGGATCAGGGCTTGCCTCTTTGGTCTGACAGTGAATGTTCAGGGTCAGAGATGGCAACAATAATGAAGATGATGGTGATGATAATGTAGATGCCAGGCACTCTACTTGCAGTATCTTATTTAATCCCTGCCCCAACCCCAGAGGGACCCACAGTGTGGAGTTGGTGAATGAGATTGTGGAAGCTCAGCACCTGCTTAGTGCCTGAGAGGCACTTTGCAAAGGAAAGCCTTTCCCATTTTGCAAAAGAAAGCCCATGTCCTCAACACCCCCAGCCTGCTCTTGGGGCCTGGGAATCCTTCCTGAGATTGCCTGGTTGATTAAAAAGTTCAAAGCAAGCAAAGCTCCTGGGGAGGAAGATTTGCTCGTGGATTGCTCATACTGCTCGATGACTGGTGGATTTCAATATGTGCTTCTCTGTTCACCTTCACCATCTTTAAGGGCAAGCTTCTACCTGGGTAGATCCAAAACGGTAACATCCTAGTTTTATTATTTATTATTTATTATTTTAATGGAGTCTTGCTCTGTAGCCCAGGCTGTAGTGCAGTGGCACGATCTCGGCTCACTGCAACCTCCATCTCCCGGGTTCAAGTTATTCTCCTGCCTCAGCCTCCCGAGTAGCTGGGATTACAGGCGCACGCCACCATGCCTGGCTAAATTTTTTTTGTATTTTTAGTAGAGATGTGGCTTTACTATGTTGGCCAGGCTGTCTTGAACTCCTGATCTCAGGTGATCTACCCACCTTGGCCTCCCAAAGTGCTGGGATTACAAGTGTGAGCCACTGCGCTTGGCCAATTTTAAAATATTTATTTATTTATTTATTTATTTATTTATTTATTTATTTATTTATTTTGAGATGGGGTCTTGCTCTGTCGCCCAGGCTGGAGTACAGTGGCACTATCTTGGCTCACTGCAGCCTCAACTGACTGGGCTCAAGTGATCCTCCCACCTCAGCTTCCCAAGTAGCTGAGACTACAGGTATGCACCACCATGCCCGGCTAATTTTTTTTTTGTATTTTTATTTTTATATATTTTTTATTTTTTATGTTTTTGAGATGGAGTCTTGCTCTGTCACCCAGGCTGCAGTGCAGTGGTGCAATCTCGGCTCGCTGCAACCTCCACCTCCTGGGTTCAAGTGATTCTTCTGCCTCAGCCTCCCAAGTAGCTGGGACTACAGGCACATGCCACCACACCTGGCTAATTTTTGTATTTTTAGTAGAGATGGGGTTTCGCCATGTTGGCTAGGCTGGTCTTGAACTCCTGACCTCAGGCAATCCGCCTGCCTTGGCCTCCCAAAGTGCTGGGATTATAGGCGTGAGCCACTGCACCCAGCCATTTTTTGTATTTTAAGTAGAGACATGGTTTCACCATGTTGGCCAGGCTGAGCTTGAACTCCTGATCTCAGGTGATCCACCTGCCTTGGTCTCCCAAAGTGCTGGCATTACAAGTGTGAGCCACTGCACTTGGCGAATTTTTAAATATGTATATATATTTTGAGATATTTAAATATATATATATATATATTGAGATGAGGTCTTGCTCTGTCGCCCAGGCTGGAGTGCAGTGGCACTATCTTGGCTCACTGCAGCCTCACCTACCTGGGCTCAAGTGATCCTCCCACCTCACCCTCCCAAGTAGCTGAGACTACAGGTATTTGCCACCACCCCTGGGTAATTTTTTTATTTTTTATTTTATGTTGCCCAGGCTGGTCTCGAACTTCTGGGCTCAAGCAATCCTCCTGCCTCGGCCTCCCAAAATGCTGGGATTGTAGGCATGAGCCACTGTGCCAGGCCATATCCTAGTTTTAGAAAGAGCAGCTTCTCTCCCCAGAATAAAGACTTGTCGCCTTATTAGGTCATCTCTTCTAAATATGTCTGATCCCAGCTGATAAACAGAGAAGCTGGGTGGCTCAGTCTAATGTTCTGAGAGGACCGGGCACTGTGGTCAGGGCTTTAACAAATACTTACTGCGCACCAAGTTCACTCCAGGCCGGGTTTCAGACGCTGGGGATGGAGCCCTCAAGGAGCCTGCAGTCTAGTTGGGCAGAGAGGAAAACAGAAGCCAATGAACAAATGCACAAGATCCTTAGGGGCATAAAAGACGCAGCCAAAAAAGTGAACCAGGTGCTGAGATGGGGAAATGGGGGCTGGGGCTGGGAGCAGGCGGCCCGGGAGGGCCTCTGCTTAGCCTGGGCTCCCCAGAAAGCAGGGCCTGAGGCAAAGCTGTGAGTGCAGGCACTTCATGGGGTGTGTGATTCCAGGGAGAGGGTATTGGGAAAGGAGGTGGGCAGATTGCCTGAGGTCAGGAGTTTGAGACCAGCCTAGCCAACATGGTGAAACCCCATCTCTGTGTGAAGGGGATGTGGCATCAAGCTGGCCACCGCATCTAGGGACAACTGGCTGCTCAGTCCCACAGGACAAGCTGTGGTGGTGTGTGAAGGACATCTCAGGACTGTCCAATCTGGGGGAAGGTGCAGAAGCATTGTCCACTGGCACCAGCCCCTCATGATCAAAAGTTAACTCTTCTTGGCCGGGTGCGGTGGCTCATGCCTGTAATCCTCGCACATTGGGAGGCCGAGGTGGGTGGATTGCCTGAGCTCAAGAGTTCAAGACCGGCCTGGGCAGCATGGCAAAAACCCGTCTCTACTAAAAATACAAAAAATTAGCTGGGTGTGGTGGCATGCTCCTGTAGTCCCAGCTACTTGGGACACTGAGGCATGAGAATTGCCTGGGAGGTGGCAACTGCAGTAAGCTGAGATCGCGCCACGGCACTGCAGCCTCGGCGACAGAGTGAGACTCTGTCTCAAACAAAACAAAACAAAACAAAAAGTTAACTCTTCTAGAATGTCAAGGCTGCATACTTGTGACCTCGGAGTGGGTTCCACTGTGCAGTGTCCCATGGTTAGCTCCAAGGCAGGAGGTGAGAGGAGCACGGGCCCCACCCGACGGAGGCACTGTCCTGTGGCCTCTGCATGGAGCCGGGTGGATCCTCTGCAGAACCATGAGCCACAACAGACACAAAGACTGGAACAGGCGGAAGATCTTGTTGACATCCAGAGTGCTCAAGAGTGTTCAAAACAGCTCACTGACAAGGTGCCATTTGGGCTGGGACCCAAGATGAGAGTGAACGAGCCTTGTGCCTGACCCCCTGAGCCACCTATGAGGAAATCTTCCAGAAAGAACATTGTGGTTATGGCTTTTATCCATCATTTCTTTTAAAACATTTATTTAGTTTTTTTTTTTTTTAAGAGATAGGGTCTTGCTATATTGCCTAGGCTAGTCTCAAATTCCTGGTCTCAAGCAGTCCTCCCTCCTCAGCCTTCTGAGTAGCTGGGATTACAGGCACAAGCTACCACACCCAGCTATTGGTCATTTCTTTTTTCTTTTCCTTCTTTCTTTTTCTTTTTTTGAGACAGTCTTGCTCTGTTGCCCAGGCTGGAATACAGTGGCATGATCATGGCTAACTGTAGCCTCGATCCTCTGGGCTCAAGCAATCCTCCTGCCTCAGCCTCCTGAGTAGCTGGGACTACAGGTGCTACCATACCCAGCTAATTTTTAGTTTTTAGTGAATATGGGGTTTTACCACATTGCTCAGGCTGGTCTCAAACTCCTGGGCTCAAGAAATTCTCTTCCCTCAGCCTCCTAAAGTGCTGAGATTACAGGCATGAGCCACCACGCCTGATCAACTGGTCATTTCTCGACCTTTGGGGTGACCTGGGACCAAGCCGTGTGAGCCTAGCAGGTTTCAGATGCCTACACAGAACCAACTCTGGATTCTGTAGAGTCAGACCCAATAGGAGGTGGTTCTTAGGAAATCAGATAAAGACCAGGGGTGCATTCTGGTTGGGACCTTAATGATTTGATGATGATTGTAGATGATTATAGATGCTTGTGGTTACTCTAGAGCAGTGCTGTCCAACAGAAATAAAGAAAGTGTATGTAGTTTTAAATTTCTTGGAGCCACATTCAGAAAAAAACAGGTGAGATTCATTTTAATAAAATATATTATTGGCTGGGTGTAATGGTTCATGTCTGTAACCCCAGCACTTTGGGAGGCTGAGGTGGGTGGATCACCTGAGGTCAGGAGTTTGAGACCAGCCTGACCAACATGATGAAACTGCATCTCTACTAAAAACACAAAAAATTAGCTGGGCATGGTGGTAGGTGCCTGTAATCCCAGCTATTCAGGAGGCTGAGGCAGAAGAATCGCTTGAACCCGGGAGGCGGAGGTTGCAGTGAGCCAAGATCGCGCCACTGCACTCCAGCCTGGGCAACAAGAGAGAAACTCCGTCTCAAAAAAAAAAAAAAATATATATATATATATATATATATATATATAGTTTAATCCAATATATCCGAAGTGTTATCACTTTAATATGTAGTCAATATAAAAAAAGTGCTATTTTATATTGTTTCATTTTCACTATGTGTTTGAAATCTGGTGTGTGTTTTACACTAACAGCACACGTCAATTAGGACTGGCCAGATTTCAAGTGTTCGATAGCTACAATGTGGCTAGTGACTGTACTGTTTGACAGTACAGCTCCAGAGACTAGAAGCACAGCTTATTTTGTATATTTGGATGGCATATTTCTATTGTCATAACTAGAAGAGTCTTAGTGAACAACTGGCCCATTGGCCAATCACTTACCCAGGAGTCTGCTGCCGTCAACAGCTGAGGCATCATCACTGGTGGGCATCCTGTGCCTTTGAAACAAATTTAACATTTTATTAGGTTAGTACAAAAGTAATTGTGGTTTTTGCCATAAAAGCAACAGCAAAAACAGCAATTATTTTTGTACCAACCTAATATTTTGAGATAACCGTAGATTCACATGCAGTTGTAAGAAATAATATGCCTTTTACTCAGTTTCCCTCAATCTTGCAAAACTATGGTACACTATCCACCACAGGAAATTGACATTGATATAATCCACAGAGCTTATTCGGATTCCCTTATTTTACTTGTATTCATTTGTGTGTGTGTGTGTGTGTGTGTGTGTATCTTTAGTTGTGTGTATCACCTGTATAGGTTTGTGCATCCACCACCACAGTCAAGATACAAAACAGGCCAGGCCTATAATCCCAGGATTTTGGGAGGACAAGGTGGGAGGATCACCTGAGGTCAGGAGTTCCAGACCAGCCTGGTCCAAATGGCGAAACCATATCTCTACTAAAAATACAAAAAAAAAAAAAAAAAAAAAAAAAAAATTAGCTGGGCGTGGTGGCAGGCACTTATAATCCAGCTACTCGGGAGGCTAAGGCAGGAGAATCACTTGAACCCGGGGGCGGAGGTTGCAGTGAGCTGAGATCACGGCACTGCATTGGCCAACAGAGCGAGACTCTATCTCAAAAATAAATAAATAAATAAAAATAAAAAATAAAAACAAGATACAAAACAGTTCCATTTTGGAACAGAGTGATTCTAGAGGAACACTGAACCGATCTCAGCTCACCGCAAGCTCCGCCTCCCAGGTTCACGCCATTCTCCTGCCTCAGCCTCCCAAGTAGCTGGGACTACAGGTGCCTGCCTCCACGCCTGGCTAATTTTTTGTATTTTTAATAGAGACGGGGTTTCACTGTGTTAGCCAGGATGGTCTCGATCTCCTGACCTCGTGATCCACCCGCCTTGGCCTCCCAAAGTTCTGGGATTACAGGCGTGAGCTACCGCGCCCGGCCAAGGAACAGAATTTTAAGGATGGGTTTTCTAAATTGGTTCTGAGGTTTCTGAAATTGGCTCTCTAACCCGATTACACTTAAAGATGGTAATGACTCTATTTCTAGTAGTAAAGAGAGCACTGAGAACTGTTCATGGAGATACACAAAATATTCCAATCAACCACTTACAAGAAGCAAGGAGCTAGGTGACTCTGTATATGATACTTGCAAATATTTTTGGAAAAATAAGGAATATAATGATGTTGATTCCCTGCCCCTAATGATGCAGGACAAAGTGTGAAAGAAAAGGATGAGCTCAGGGATTTGAATTCCCAGCCCAAGAGCTGCATAAATGACCTAAGAGCTTCTAACTGTGTCCTAAATAAGAACCTCACCTCCTGCAGCCATAGTGCTGAAATTGCTGAAAATCAAATGCAGAACCTTATCCTGTAATTGGCTGAATTACAGCACCAATTGAACTCCCAGCCTTGAAAGGAGTTTACTATTAAAGTGAGGGCATTTGTTGGGAAAGAATGGGATCCTGTGTTGGGATGGGGACATGAGGGAAGACTCTGGTGAACCTGGGGACATTGAGTCTCTCAAATTCTCGAGTCTTCTTTGCCAGTGGAAGAAGTGTCCCTATCCCCAGCCAAATTGACCTCCCTACCCCCAGTGAAGCTGGCTTCCCACCCCTAGCAATAGTGGCCTCCCCACCTCTAGGGACAGTGGCATCCTCATCCCCAGTGGTATCAGCCTCTTTAGCCACACTGGTGTTGGCTGCTCTACCTCTGTCTGAGGGGTTTCACCCTGCATTGCTGGAGGAAATGATAATGGCCTCCTTAAGTAGTTGCTCTGCAAGACAGTGCCATCCCCACTACCCCTCTTTGCTTCTAGACCTGTAACTAGACTCAAGTATGAAGTATGCTACATTCCAAAAGAACTACTTGATTTTTCTGATTTAGACAAGTAGAAATCTGGGGAACATGTATGGGGATGGATATCAAGGGTATGGGCTAATGATGGAAGGAACAAAGTTGGATCAGGCAGCGTTTATTGACATGGGCTCACTAAAGCAGAGATTCTGCATTTAATGTTGCAGCTTGGGGAGTTAGAAAGGGCTCTTACAGTTTGTTTGGTTAGTTAGCTGAAACATGGACCAAAAGATGACCCACTGTGAGTGAACTGGAAATGCCTGACCTTCTTTGGCTTAATGTAGAGGAAGAAATTCAGTCTTGGCCAGGCACGGTGACTCATGCCTGTAATCCCAGCACTTTGGGAGGCCAAGGCAGGAAGATCACCTGAGGTCAGGAGTTCGAGACCAGCCTGGCCAACATGGTGAATCCCCGTCTCTACTAAAAAAAAATACAAAAATTAGCCGGGCATGGTGGCATGCACTTGTAATCCCAGCTGCTCAGGAGGCTGAGGCAGGAGAATCACTTGAACCTGAGAGGCAGAGATTGCAGTGAGCTGAGACTGTGCCACTGCACTCCAGCCTGGGCAATGTAATTTTAAATTTCTGGGAGCCACATTCAGAAAAAAACAGGTGAGATTCATTTTAATAAAATATATTGGCCAGGTGCGGTGTAATCCCAGCACTTTGGGAGGCAGAGGTGGGTGGATCACGAGGTCAGGAGATTGAGACCAACTTGGCTAACATGGTGAAACCCCGTCTCTACTAAAACTACAAAAAATTAGCCTGGCTTGGTGGCGGGCGCCTGTGCGCCTGTAGTCCCAGCTACTTGGGAGGCTGAGGCAGGAGAATGGCGTGAATCTGGGAGGCGGAGCTTGCAGTGAGCCAAGATCCCACCACTGCACTCCAGCCTGGGCAACAGAGAGAGACTCCGTCTCAAAAAAAAAATATATATATATATGTATATATATATATTTGGCTGGGTGCTGTAGCTCACGCCTGTAATCCCAGCACTTTGGGAGGCCAAGGCAGGTGGATCACTTGAGGTCAGGAGTTTTAGACTAGCCTGGCCAACGTGATGAAACCCCATCTCTACTAAAAATACAAAAATTAGCCGGGCGTGGCAGTGTGTGCCTGTAATTCCAGCTACTCAGGAGGCTGAGGCAGGAGAATGGCTTGAACTCAGGAGGCGGAGGTTGCAGTGAGCCAAGATCGCACCATTGCACTCCAGCCTGGGTGACAAGAGGGAGACTCCATCTCAAAAAAAAAAAAAAAAAAAAAAAAAAGAAGAAGAAGAAGAAGTAAGGTGCAGGCCAGGCATGGTGGCTCACATCTGTAATACCAGCACTTTGGAAGGCCAAGGCTGGCAGATCACTTGAGGTCAGGAACTCGAGACCAGCCTTGCCAACATGGTGAAACCCCATCTCTACTAAAAAATACAAAAATTAGCTGGGCATGGTGGCATGCACTTGTAATCCCAGCTACTCATGAGGCTGAGGCAGGAGAATCACAAACCTGAGAGGCAGATGTTGCAGTGAGCTGAGACTGTGCCACTGCACTCCAGCCTGGGCAATGGAGCAAGACTCTGTCCCCCCAAAAAAAAAAAAAAAAAAAAAAAAGAAAGTCAGAGCTGTAGGCAGATGGGAATGCTAGAGTGTATTTGTCATTTAAGACCTACTTATCTACACTGGGAGAGTCTAGGATATACCTGTTATGGTTTGAATGTTTATGTTCCCTCCAAAATTTATGTTGAAACTTAATCCCTATTATGGTGGTATTAAGAATTGGGGCCTTTTGGAAAGTGATTAAGCCATGAAGGCTCTGTCCTCACGAATGGATTAGTACCTTATCAAAGGGCTGGGGGAACTAGCTTAGGTTCTTGTTGCCCTTCCCACTTCCACCATGTCAGGACCAGCATTCTTCCCCTCCGGAGGATAAAACAACAAGACACCATCGTGGAAACAGAAAGCAGCCCTCACCAGACACCAATCCTTCCAGCGCCTTGCTTTTGGACTTCCCAGCCTCCAGAGCCAAGAGAAATAAGTTTCTATTGTTTACAAACTACCCTACTCTCTAGTATTTTGTTATAGCAGTGGAAATAGACAAAGACAATACCTTTCACCAGCCCTTGGAGAAATAAATTTGTGAGGGGACCCCCAGTGTCTTTGAAGGGTTCTGTGATCACTCTTCTTTGCAGGCCACACCTTACAGTGGGAACCACAGCCACTCAATTGGAAAACCTAATGCAGTGGGAGCAACTGGATCATGGGGTGGCAGGGGCCGAATGGCAGCACTCAACTGCCAAAGGCAAGGTGGGCGTGGTTACTGTGATGGGCAGCAGAGTCAAAGCAACTATCAGAATAGTCTGACTCCACAGGCCTATGGCATTGGCTGGTTCATCATAGTGCTCCTAGAAATGAAATGGATAGGAAACACACTAAATTCTTACTAGATTCATATAAGAAGAAAAGTTCTGGGTCAAGTGAACAAAAGTCTTACTCACATCATAAAAACAGTGGGTCATGACTCTTTGATCAATTCCCAGATTTATACACTCAGCCAGTTTATATACTCAGAACAGCCTGAATAAGGGAGGCTGGGTCCCTTCGGGGAAGGACCCTGGTACACTACCCCAAATTTATACTGTTAACCTCTCTCCTAGCCTTCCCCAAAGAGACCTACAGCCTTTTTACCAGAGTAACTGTGCATTGGAACAAAGGAAATAATCATATTTTTCAGGGACTACTGGATACCGTCTCTGAACTGACACTGTCACTAGGAGACCTCACATGTCACTGTGGCCCTCCAATTAGAGCAGGGGCTTATGGAGGTCAGGCGAGCAATAGAACTTTAGTTCAGGTCTATCTTACAGTAGGTCCAGTAGGTTCCCAAAACCATCCTGTGGCTATTCCCCCAGTTCCAGATGCATAATTGAAATAGACATACTAGCAGCTGGTAGAATGCCCACAGTGGTTTCCTGACCTGTGAAGTTGAAGGCCATTAAGGTGGGAAAGGTCAAGTGGAAGCCATTGGAACTGCTCTACCTACAAAAATGGTAAATCAAAAGCAATACTGTATTTCTGAAGGGATTGCAGATGTCAGTGCCACCATCAAGGACTTAAAAGATGCAGGGGTGGTAATTCCTGCTCATCCCCTTTCAACTCTTTTATTTGGCATGTGCAGAAGACAGATGGATCCTGGAGAATGACAGTGGATTATTGTAAGCTTAACTAAGTGGCAACTCTGATTGCAGCTGCTGTACCAGATGTCGTTTCATTTCTTGAGCAAATTAACACATCCCTTGATACCTGGTATGCAGCTATTGATCTGGAAAATGGTTTTTTCTCCATCCCTGTCCATAAGGCCCACCAGAAGCAGTTTGTCTTCAGCTGGTGAGGCCAGCAATACACCTTCACTATCCTGTCTCAGGGGTCTACCAACTCTCTGGCTCCAGGTTATAATGAACTCACAGGGATCTCTATCACTTTTTCTTTCCACAAGATACACTGGTCCATACATTTATGACATTAGGCTGATTGGACCTAGTGAGCAAGAAGTAGTAACTACTCTAGATTTATTGTTAAGAGTGTTGGAGGCTGGGAAATAAATATGATTACAATTTGGGGGCCTTCTACCTCAGTGCAATTTCTAGGGGTCCAGTGGTGTGGGACCTGTTGAGATATTTCTTCTCAGGCAAAAAGTTGTTGGAACTGATCCCTCCTACAACCAAGAAAGAGGCACAATGTCTAGTGGGCCTTTTTAGATTTTGAAGGCAACATATTCCTCATTTGGATGTTTTGCTCCAGCCCATTTACTGAGTTTTACAAAAGCTGCTAGTTTGAGTGGGGCCCAGAACAGGTGAAGGCTCTGCAACATGTCCAGGGTGCTGTGAAAGCTACTCTGCCACTTGGCCCATACGACTTGGCAGATCCAATGGTGCTCCAGGTGTCAATGAATGGCAGGGATGCTGTTTGGAGCCTTTGGTAGGGCCCCATGGGTGATTTGCTCCACAGGCCTTTAGGATTTTGGAGCAAGGCTCTGCCATTATCTGCAGAGAATGACTCTTTTTTTGAAAGATTGCTCTTGGCCTGGTACTGGGCCTTAGTAGAAACTAAGCTTTGGGTGGTCCCTAGACATTTGACCAGGGTCCACCAAGTTACCATGCGACCCCTGAGCTGTCCTTCATGAACTGGGTGTTATTTGACCACCAAGTCAGAAAGTTGGGTATGCACAGCAGTGCCCCATGATCAAATGAAAGTGGTATATACACAGTCAGACCCAGGCAGGCCCTGAAGGCATAAATAAGTTACATGAAGAAGTGGCCCAAATGCCCTTGGTTCCCACTCCTGCCACACTGCCTTCTCTCTACCAACCTGCACCTATGGCTTATGGGGACTTCTTATGATCAGTTGATAGAGAAGCAGAAGACCCTGGCCTAGTTTATAGCTGGTTCTGCACAACATGTGGTATCACCAGAAAGTAGGTACAGCCCCTCTCTGGGACATCCCTAAAGGACAGTGGTCAAGGAAAATCTTCTCAGTGGGCAGAACTTCAGTCAGTGCACCAGTTGTGCACTTTGCTTGGACAGAGAAATGGCCCGATGTGCGATTGTAAACCAATTCATGGGCTGTAGCCAGTGGTTTGATTGGATCGTCAGGGACTCGGAAGAAACACAATTGGGACATTGGTGACAAAGAAATTTGGGGAAGAGGTATGCGGATAGACCTCTAAATGGGAAAAAAATTGTGACGATATTTATGTCCCATGTGAACGCTCACCAAAGGGTGACCTCAGCAGAGGAGGTCAAGAGGATAGGATACCAGTCAGCCTCTTTCCCCAGCCACCCCTGTCATCATCCAATGGGCTAATGAACGAAGTGGCCATGGTGGCAGTGATGGAAGTTACGCATGGGATCAGAAACATGGATTTCCACTCACCAAGACCTATCTGGTATGGCCACCTCTGAGTGCCCAACCTGTCAG
This sequence comes from Homo sapiens, assembly GCF_000001405.40. Taxonomy (NCBI): domain Eukaryota; kingdom Metazoa; phylum Chordata; class Mammalia; order Primates; family Hominidae; genus Homo; species Homo sapiens. The sequence goes on along the minus strand of NC_000009.12, from coordinate 126,569,795 downwards.
CAGCAGAGACTAACACTGAGCCCCTGAGATGACACCATTCCCCAGGGTGAACAGCCAGCTACTTGGTGGCAGGTTGATTACATTGGACAGCTTCCATTATGGAAGGGGCAGTGTTCTGTCTATACTGAAGCAGACATTTACTCTGGATATAGATTTGCCTTTCCTGCAGGCAATGCTTCTGCCAAAACCACCATCCATGGACTTAACAGAGTGCCTTATCCATGGTCATGGTATTCCACACAGCATTGCCTCTACCAAGGAACTGGTAGAAGTGTAATGGGCCCCCCCTCTGGAATTCACTGGTCTTACCATGATCCCCACTGTCCTGAAGCAGCTGGTTTGATGGATAGTGGAATGGCCTTTTGAAGACTCAGTTATAGCACCAGCTAGGTGGCAATAGCTTGCAGGGCTGGGGCAAGGTTCTCCAGAAGGCTGGATATGTTTTGAACCAGTGCCTAATATATGGTCCTATTCTCCCATAGCTAGCATTTCCTGTTCCAAGAATCAAGGAGTGGAAGTGGGAGTGGCACCACTCACCATTACTCCTAGTGACTCATCAGCAAAACTTTGTTTCCTTTTCCCAAGACTTTATGCTCTGTTGGCCTAAGGGTCTTAATTCCAGAGGGAGGAGTGCTTCCACTGGGAAACACAACTATTCCATTGAACTGGAAGTTAAGATGCCATCCAGCTACTTTGGGCCTCTTGTACCTCTGGGTCAACAGGGAAAGAAGCGAGCTATGGTGTTGGCTGGGGTGATTGATCCAGATCACCAAGAGGACATTGGGCGCTGCTCCACAATGGAGGTAGAAAAGAGTATATCTGGGATGCAGGAGACCCCATCTCTTAGTATTACCATGTCCTGTGATTCAGGTCAATGGAAAATGACAATAGCCCAATCTATTGGACTATGAATGGCCCAGACCCTTCAGGAATGAAGGTTTGGGTTACCCCGCCAGGTAAAAAACCATGACCCGCTGAGATGCTTTCTGAAGGCAAAGGTTGTACGGAATAGGTAGTAGAAGATGGTAGTTTTCTGAGACAGAATTTCACTCTTGTTGCCCAGCCTGGAGTGCAATGGCACGATCTCGGCTCATCGCAACCTGCATCTCCTGGGTTCAAGCAATTCTCCTGCATCAGCCTCCCGAGTAGCTGGGATTACAGGCATGTGCCACCACGCTTGGATAATTTTTGTATTTTTAGTAGAGACAGAGTTTCACCATGTTGGCCAGGCTGGTCTCGAACTCCTGACCTCAGGTGATCCTCCCGCCTCAGCCTCCCAAAGTGCTGGAATTACAGGCGTGAGCCACTGTGCCCAGCAGAAGATGGTAGTTATTAATGCCAGTTTAACCACATGACCAGTTAGAGAAATAAGAACTGTAATTGTCACGAGGATTTCCTCCTTATTTGGTTATGAATACATTTGTGTTTTTATGCATATATTTAACAAATATCTTTGTTTTCTTTCCTCTCTTATTCCCTTATCATGTAACATAAGATTTATTGACTTTGTATCACTATTTAAGTATTGTTAATTTCACATCATACTATTGAAGTTACAGGATATGAGGAGAGGAGTAAACACCACTCAAGGACTTTATCTCCTTTTCTGGGGAAGGGATTAGAGCATTTTCGTTGTACACAGGATAGTTGTATCATGTTCAGTGGAACCATAACCTTATTATTGTTGTTATTTGGAGATTAAGTATGGCTTCAGAAGATGCCTATGGATGCCTTGTTGACAAGGGGTGGACTTACGATGGTTAATTTTGTGTGTCAGCTTGACTGGGCTAAGGGATGCCCAGGTAGCTGGCAAAACATTACTTCTGGGTGTTTCTGTGAGGGAGTTTCTGAAAAGGAATAGCATTTGAAAAGACATCATTCTCACATCTTCTCACCCATGTGGGAGGGGACCATGGAGTCAGCTGAGGGATTGAATAGAACAAAATGGCAGAGGAAGACAGAATTTGCTCTCTCTTCTGGAGCAGGGACATTCATCTCCTCTTGCCTTTGGACAAGGACGCTCCTCATGCCTGAGCCTTTGGACTTGGATTGGGGCTTACACCATCAGTCCTTTGGTTCTCAGGTCTTCCAGCTTGGACTGGAACCACACCACCAGCTTTCCTGGTTCTCCAGCTTGCAGATGACAGATGTGGGACTTCTCAGCCTCCATATTGTATGAGCCAATCCCTCATAATAAATCTTTCTGTATATTTATATATGGAGATCCTATTGGTTTTGTTTCTCTGGAAACACTGACTAATACAGCCCTTTACCCAGCTTCACTCCAATGGTAACATCTTGCAAACTATGGTACAATATCACCACCAGGAAACTGACTTGATACAAGCCACAGGGTTTATTCAGATTCCCCTGTTTTACTTGTACTCGTTCGTGTGTGTGTGTGTGTGTGTGTGTGTGTGAGAGAGAGAGAGAGAGAGAGAGAGACTGAGAGTTCTGTGTGTCTCATGTGTAGGTTCGTGTATCCATCACAGTTAAGATACAGAACACTTCCATCACCACAAGGATCCCTCATGGTGTTTTTTGTAGCTACGCCCACCTCCTTCCTATATGCCCACCCTGCCACTTCTGACTTCTGGAAACCACCAATCTATTATTTTCTAAAATGTTGTCATTTCCGGCCAGGTGCAGTGGCTCACACCTGTAATCCCAGCACCTTGGGAGGCTGAAGCAGGTGGATCACTTGAGGTCAGGAGTTTAAGACCAGCCTGGCCAACATGGTGAAACCCTGTCTCTACCAAAAAAATTAAAATAAATTAGCTGGGTGTGGTGGTGCATGCCTGTAGTCCCAACCTCAAGAGGCTGAAGTGGGAGAATCGCTTGAAACTGGAAGGCAGAGTTTGCAGTGAGCCAAGATCGCCCCACTGCACTCCAGCCTGAGTGACAGAGGGAGACCCTGTCTCAAAAAAAATAAAATAAAATAAAATAAAATAAAATGCTGTCATCTCAAAAATGTCATATAAGTGCAATCATATAATATGTGAGCTTTTGGGATTGGCTTTTTTCACTTAGCATTATTCCCTAGAGTGTCATTCAAGCTGTGGCGTCATCAATACTTGGTTACTTTTTCTTGTTGAGTAGTATTCCACACCCCATGACTTTCAGTGGGTCCTGGTACCCTCATGGAGGGAGGAGCCACACACACATCCTAAGTGTGCACGTCACGGCCAGGGGTCTGTTTTATGGAGATTATTATTTAAATGACCAAGGGTAAGGTTAAAGTTAGGGTAAGAATGACTTAAGATAATGTATGTAAAGTGTTTGGCAGAATGACTGGCAAATAATATGTACCCAATAAACATTAACCAAAATAAAGTGCTCTAACACACAGAAAAGAGGAGGATTAAGCCCTCCCAGTCCCATATCACAGAGCATAGATTTTTATCCTAAAGATGTTTCAGACTGGGTTGTCCTGGGTTGCCCGCTGGGAAGTAGAGGGGCTACATTCACACCCCGGTCCAGCTGCCTCCAGATTCTGGATGCTGCTCCATTGGCCCTGATGTCGGAGGCTGCAGGCAGACCACCCACGCCGGCCTGACGGGCCCCAAGACTCTCAAAGGACCTCCAGCTGCAGAGCATGCCCTACACCCTGACACTTCCCTTCTACCCTGGTCCGAATTGCCATCACCTTCTGCCTGAAGAGACAGCAATGGCTCATGACTGGCTTCTCTGCTTCTGTCTCTTAGAGTTCAAGTCAACACACATCCTACTTCTGCTCATGACCCCAGTGCACTGAGAGTAGAAGTCCCATGACCATCTGCAAAGCCGTGTGTGACCTGACCCGCACTGGTGTCTGAGCGTGCTCTGCTCCAGTGCCTCCTTCCCTGGATGTGCTGGGCAGGCACTGGACTCAGGACATTTGCACTTGCTGTGCCCGCTGCCTGGAAACCTCCTCCCTGAGATGTCTGTGTGGCGGCACTTCCCCTTGGCCACACTATTTGTAACCTCTTAGTGATTCCCACCCCAGCATTCCCTACCCTCCTTTCCTGCTCTGTTTTTCTCTGGAGCACCCAGCACCATCTAACCTACTGCTTATTAATGTTGTGTACTGCCTGTCTCCATCCTCCACTTTCCTGGAACATGAGTTCCATGAGGGCAGGGATGTTGGTCTGTGTTGCTCACTGCTGTGTCCCTGGAACACTGCCGGGTGCATGGCAAGGAATGGAAGTGCTCAGTGAATGCCTGCATGCAGCTGCACCCGCAGCTTGGCACCCATTTTCTTGGGCACAAGTTGTACTTGCTGCAGAAACAAAACTCATGACTACCTTGGATTCACTGGCGAAGATTTAACTCCCACCCCACTCCATGCACTGGGCATGCTTCCTGCATCATGATCGCCACAGTTACCCAAAGTCCAGAGTGGTCCTGCCTCTGGACCTCGCTCTGGTTGGTGCCCATTTCCCTGAAGACTCAGTGCTGGTCGGCTGCAAATTGGCTCAAAGGGAGAAAGAGCGCTGCTTGGACCTTTGTTTTTCAACCCAGGCCATAGGGCAGAGACCTCCCTGGGTTCCTGATGCCAGTGGTCTTACCCTCCAGTTGGGTCCTTCAGACTCCATTATTCCCAGTAGAGCTGTGGAGATGGTGGGGTTGGGGGGTGGGCATATGCCAATCGAATGAGGTCCAACTGTGGGCCATGCCATCATCATTCTTAATATCAACCCATGGGATGCAGGCGCCACCATTGACTTGACCCAAACATCTTGCCAAGGCCTCTGCAGTAGGAGGTGGAGCTGGGGGTCCACCCGGCCACCTAGGGCCAGCATCTGCAGTGCAGGTAGAGGTGGGAGGGTTTGGGCTGATGTCTTCAGGTCAGGGGCCACGGCAGGCTCTGAATGTCCCTGTGTCCCCAGAGCCACCTGCAGGCCATCTACGATAAGGCATGCACAGGAAGCTGGGTGGGCTGGGAGTGACATCCAGACCCCCAGCTAGAGGGGGCCTCTAAATGCTCCCTGGGACTCCACTGGGCATGGATTTCTCCAGGGCTACTCCCTTTGAGTTCTATCTGCTGCTGAAATGTGGGGGCTGGGGCGAGCCCCCACACCACAGCCTGCCCAACTAGGTGCACCTGGACTTCCCCTCCCACTGCACAGGGATGCTGTGCACTGGGAGCCAGAAGCACTGTCCCTGGGCAAGGACAGGCTGGCCAGTACTGCGGGACACAGACGGGGAGAGGTTGGGATCAGCCAAACAGTGGCTGGGGACCCAGGGGACATACTAGGCATACCCCTAAACAGCAGGCATGAGTTTCAACCAGACAGGGTCAGGGCACAGGGGGCTGTGGCTGGGGACATGGCTGGACAGTGGCTGGTGACAGGACAGCACTACAGATACAGCGGGACAGTGCCTGGGGACACAGCAGGTCAGGCTCTGGAGGGGCATGACCTGGAGCTGTCCCTGGTCCCTCCCTAGGTCCCTCAGCCCTGCCCTTCCCCCACCCTGGTTGCTGCTCCCTGCTCTGTGGCTGCCATGCCACTGTCTGACGCCTTTGCAATCTTATCTCTCATCTTGTTCTCTGTTTCCTCCCCGTCCAGGCCTCATCTGTCTCCGGCCTCCCACCCCCCCACCTGCTTCCCATCTGCGGCCCTTCCCTACTCTCCCCGCCCCGCTGGCCATCGCCTCCGTCCTCCTCTGCTATCCGGCTCCAGTTCTTCCCTACCCATCCAGGGTAAAAGTTCAGAGCCGTGGGTTAGGACCCTGCCTCCTGCCTGCTGCCTGCTGCGTGCCCCACATCCTGGACCCTAGACCCATTGGTCCCTCCTTCCCTCCACTGGAGACATAGGCTATAGTCCTAGGAGGGCCCTGTCCTAGCCCTCAGGCTTCCCAGGGTCCGCAGCCCACACCTGCTGCTCCCTGAGGCTGGGTTCCCAGGTCCCCTCATCCAGGCAGACCTTCCTGACCCTCCCAGACCTTCCCAGAAAAGGCAATGCCGCCTCCTCTGAGCTTGCCCAGCCAAGTGTGTCCCTGGCTTTTGCCTGAGTCACAGCTGCCTGGATTCTGCCTCACTTTAGTCTGTGGCCTCCCTGAGGGCAGGGACAATTCCACTTTCCTTGCCTCTGTACAGAGAGGGAAACAGGCTTGGGAGCAAGGTGCACTGTCTGCCTGGAACACCCAGCTGGCTCCTCACAATTCGAGCTCCCTTGCACGCTGCAGGGCTTGGCTTCAGTGTCAGCCTTCAGCAAGGCTGTCCTGACCACTTGGCTAATGTGGCTCTCTCTCCCACCCCAGCCCCGACCCGTCCTCCACTTCTGCATCCTGGTTTCCTTGTGGGCTTCATGTCCTACTTTACAGAGAAAACAGATAGGAATGCCAAAGGGAGCTAAGAGTGGGCCAATTGGGGTGTCCATGGCACCTCAGGGCACCAAGAGCTCCCCAGCTCCCTGCCCCTCACCAAAGCCAGGAGTCCCAGGGGTCCCAGCTGCCCCCGGGGGCCTCCATCCCATGGAATCAATCTCCCCATGTAGCCCCAGCCTGTATGGCTTCAAGTCCCAGCCTTACCATTTAGTAGCTAAGTGATCATGGCGAGCGCCTTCTCTGGGTCTCGGGGTCCACACCTGCCTACTGAGGCTGGTAATGCTGCCTGTCTCAGGCTGGCAGTGAGAACTAATGAGTTAATGCACGTAAAGAACCGGGCACAGCGTAAGTACTCAATCAATAGCTCCTCTTGCTCCTAGACATTGCAGGCACCGCAGTAGCAAAAACAGCAACGATCATGAACTTGAATATGGAGATCACCTTCATAGGGTATTAATGAGAACGACCAATCCTTTTCATTGCCATGAGCCTGGTTGCTCCCGAATGCTTTATAAACAGTATCTCTAGACTCCTTTTAACCCATTGGGAGGTATAGACTCTTATTCCCATCTTCCAGATAAGCTGTCAAGATGCATAGGGCAGACATGCCCAGGTCACACCACGAGTCTGCGGGCAGCAGGGTATAGAGGCCAACAGTGGAGCTTGAAGGCTGAGGGTCCCTGGTCTGATCTAGCTCAGGTACTTCCACTGGGTGACCTGGGGCAAGTCATACTCCTTCTCAGCCTTAGCTTACCTATCTGTGAAATGGATATAACAAGGCCTTTCCTAACTGAGCCACAGTGAGCATTCAGAGCATTCTACAGGCTTGCTTACTGAGCATTCAATGGACTGTGGCTGACAACAGAAGCTCCAGACCAGGCTTTGCCCCAACCTGTCTGGCCCTGAGTGTGAGTGTTCCTACCCCTGGCCCAGCCTCCCAAGAATGCATGTGGTCCCTTCCTGCTCTGCCAGGGACCCTCAGACCTCTAAAACTGTGAGCACGCCCACCAGGGGTTCTGGGGACAAGGTCTACAGGCCACTTGGAAGCAAATGGAGCCTGAGTATCTTGGTCCCAGAGCCCACATTGAACTTATTTGAAGCATTTGCATCTGCAAAGTTGAAACCTAAACAAAGAAGGGAGGGTCCCTGGCAGATTCTTCTGTTCATTTAGATTGTCTTTCTCTGCAGTGCATTGCTGGCTGATACCTCCATGGCTAGACAATACAGGGCTGCCTGGGGTGGGGAGTGACCTCCTGGACATGAGCCTGCCACTGCCCTGAACCTTCTATGGCTCCCACTGTCCACAGGAACCAGCCACGTGCCTTAGTTAGATGACAGCTCTGGAGCCCACACACCTGGGCCCTTTCTCTGCTGTGGGACCCTGGATAAGTGAAACTCTGAGCCTCAGTTTCCTCAGCTGAAAAACGGAGAAAATATTCTCACTTTAAAGGTTTGCCCAGAACTAAGGGACTTCCCAGGATATGGGGTTTTCAGTGCTAAAACTTGGAAAGCTCCAGGCAAACTGGGACAAGCTGGTCACTTTCAGGGTTGTGAGGGTAAGAAGGAGAAAATGCATGAAAAATGCTTAGCACGGTGCTGGGGACTAGGAGGTGCTCAATCAATGGCAGTGACGACTGGGGCTGTGTGTGCACCACGCTTCGCAGTTTACGCAACCCTTTCCCGTCTGTTATTTCACAAGCCTCTGTCCATCCTGTCTGTTCTCTCCACTTTAAAGATGAGAAAACAGAGACACAGAGGGAGTAGGCAGCATGTCTGGGTCACACAGGGGAGGAGACAGGAGGCAGGAACTCACCTCGCGTCCCGAGGATGGTTTGGCCTGGGAAAGTTGTGCTCAACAGATGATGCTTCTCTGGTGTGGGAGCCCACAGTCTGCTGGATGTGAGGGCAGCCCTTCTCTCTATAAAAATACAATTTTTTAAACTGTTAGAACTAATAAACAAACAAAGTTGCAGGGTACAAAATCAATGCACAAGAATCAGTAGCATTTCTATATACTAACAACAAACTATCTGAAAAGAAATCAAGAGTCAATCCCATTTACAATAGAGAGCAAAAAAAGAAAATGCTTAGGAATAAGTTTAACCAAGGAGGTGAAAGACCTGCACACTGAAAACTATGAGACATTGATGAAAGAAATCAAAGGTTATTGTTTTAATAAGCCTTTTAATGCTACAGTCGGTTGTGTGATAATGCCTGCTTTGAAAACCAAATTTGCTCCGGCACAATTAATTAACTTATTCATTTGGGAAAATTTGAGCATTACTCGAATTTCCCATTTTCTTATGCATGATTTTGTCTACAAGAAACACTAGGAATATTTCATCCAGCTGAACTAGGTTGTAGGAATACACAAAACACATACTCCCCTCCAATTGCTACTATAGCTAACTCCATTCACCATGCATGTCAGCCACATCCATTCAGATCCCTTATTAGGTGCATCATATTACTCTAAAAGATGAGCAGCAATGAATATGTACACCTGGTGTTCTTTGTCACACCAACATTGGTCATTTCAGGTTTTTTTTTTTAATTTGCTGTTAACTGTTTAAAATATTTATTTTCTAGTCATTATGAGTCAAATCAACGTGTGTCACTGATGAAGTATTTGAGTGTCAGGCCCCTAATCTCATTTTTGCCCTGTGATTTCTTTTTTTTTTTTTTGAGATAGAGTTTCGCTCTTGTTGTTCAGGCTGGAATGCAATGGCACGATCTCGGCTCACTACAACCTCTGCTTCCCGGATTCAAGCGATTCTCCTGCCTCAGCCTCCCGAGTGGCTGGGAATATAGGCGTGCGCTACCACGCCCGGCTAATTTTGTATTTTCAGTAGTGATGGGGTTTCTCCATGTTGGTCAGGCTGGTCTCGAACTCCCGACCTCAGGTGATCCGCCTGCCTTGGCCTCCCAAAGTGCTGGGATTGCAGGTGTGAGCCACTGCGTCCAGCCTTGTGATGTGTGTTTGTTGCTAGTTTTTGTTGTTGTTGCTAGCGTGTGTTTTAAAAAATTAATTGACTTCATTTTTTAGAGCAGTTTTAGGTTTACAGAAAAATTGAATGGAAAACACAGAGTTCCCATATGCTTTGCTTCCCTTTTATTAATTAGCATCTTGCATTAGTGCTCTACATTTGTTACATTTGATAAGCCAATGTTGATACATTATTAACTAAAGTCCATAGTTTACATTAGAATTTACTCTGTGTTGCAATTCTATGGGTTTTGACAAGCTTATAATGACATGTATCCATCATGATAGTATCATAAAGAATTGTTTCACTTCCCTAAAAGCCCCCAGTGCTCCCCTATTAATCCTTTCCTTTCTTATCCCCTAACCCCAATCCTTGGCAACAATTGATCTTTTGCCTATCTCCACAGTTTAGTCATTTCTAGAATGACATATAGTTGAAATCCTACAGTATGTAACCTTTTTCACATTGGCTTCTCCCACTTAGCAATATACATAGAAGATTTCTCCCTGTCTTTTCATGATTTGATAGCTCATTTCTTTTTATTGCCCAATAATATCCCATTGTCTGGATATACCATATTTTATTTATCTGATCACCTACGCAAGAACATCTTTGTTTCTTCCAACTTTTGGCAATTACGAATCAAGCTGCTATAAATACCCACGTGCAGGTTTTTGTGTGAACAGGTTTTCAGCTCGTTTGGGTAAACAACAAGGAGTGTGATTGCTGGCTCATGTGGTAAGAGTATGTTTCGTTTTATAAGAAACTGCCAAACTGTCTTCCAAAGTGACTGTATAATTTTGTATTCCCACCAGCAATGAATGAGAGTTTCTGATGCTCTGCATCCTCGCCAGCATTTGATGTTGTCAGTGTTGTGTATTTTGGCCATTCTGATAGATGTGTAGTGGTGTCTTGTTTTAGTCGCAGTTTCCTAATGAGGTAGGTTCAGCCTCTTTTCATATGCTTGTTTACCATCTCTATACCTTATTTGGTCAGGTGTCTGTTCAGGTCTTTTGCCCATTTTTAAATTGGGCTGTTTGTTTTCTCATGTGTTGAGTTTTAAGAGTTTTTTTTGTGTATTTTGTATGCCAGTACTTTTTCAGATATAAGTTTTGCAAATGTTTTGTTGAAGTCTGGCTTGTCTTTTCATTCCCTAAACAGTGTCTTTTGCAGAGCAGAAGTTTTAAATTTTAATAAAGTACAACTTATCATTAAAAAAATACATTTTTTTGTATTTTTTTAGTAGAGACAGGGTTCCATCTTGTTGGCTAGGCTGGTCTCGAACTCCTGACCTCAAGTGATTTGGCCACTTTGGTCTCCCAAAGTGCTGGGATTACAGGTGTAAGCCACCTGCTCGGCTGTATTTTTTTAGTAGAGACAGGGTTTCTTTTTTTTTTTTTTTTTTTTTTGCTGTTTACTCATTCACCCATTTATTCATCCATTCGTCCATTCATCCATTCCTTGTCCTGTTCATGGGTCCGTCTCATCCCAGGTGAAGACTGGAGAGTGGATGGAGGTGACTGGGAGTGGAAAGGCAGGCTGCTATCCTGGAGGAGGGTAAGGCCCTCAGTCCTCATTGCTGCCAGGCTTCTGTCCCCAAGGACAGTGCCCCTAAGGACTCAGTGAGGTAACCCACAGAAGGGCTTAACAGAGTTTCTGCACTGTTAAGTGCATAGCAAGCATCAGCTAACAACACGAAGCATATAATTCACGAGAACAATACACTTCACAAAACGTTTCCCCCTCCAGGATCCCTTTAAATCCAAACAACAGTACTAATTCGAGAAGTGGCTGTGATTCTCCCTGTGTTCCAGATAAGGAAACTGAGGTCCTGGTCAGCAGAGGGAGTTGCCCACAGTTGTCACAGAGATTGCAGCAGTGGGGGGCAGGCAGCCGGGCTGGTGGGACTGGCTGGATAGCAGAGCTCTCCTGTCCCACCTGACCACCATTCAGCCTGTTCTCTCCTGACCCTGCCCCAGAACAAACTATCCTACCGTCCACCAGTGCCATTCCCCACTGTCTGAAATTTTTCTTCTTTTAATTTTGCTTGTTACTAGCAGAAATCACATGATTGGATTTCTTGCTTATTATCCATGTCTCACACAGAAGTGTCAGCTCCAAGAGGGCAGGAACTTTGTCTTTTGTGTTTACTGACAAATCCTCAATGCCCAGGCAGGTCCTCAGAAAACACTTGCAGAATTATTTGATCCTCTTCCAAGGGGACAAATGAAGCCTGGTGCCAGCTGTGATGCAGTGCCCCATACCAGCCAGCAGATGGCAGCAGAGAACAAGGCACCTGACCGGTGGAGCCCAGGTGAAGTGCGCAGGTTTGACCTTCAAGGTTGGCAAAAGAAGGGGAGCTTCTGGCTGTGTGTGTTGCGGGGGAGCGGGGGGGGGGGAGGGGAATGGGGGTTGGGGGTGGTGGTTGGGGGTGGTGGTGGTGGTTATGCATCTTTTTGCACCTTCTCCCCCTAACCACTGGCCAGGCCTAAGGATCCCAATCTGCTGGAAGGCAGCCTTTTCTAGTAAAATACAAAAACAGCTATCATTGATTAAGCACAAAATTAAGCCAAATACATTGTTTCATTCTCACAACAGCCCTATTATTAGCCTCATTCTGCAGACCGGAAACTGAGGCGCCATAACATGCCCCAGGTTACACAGCCAGTGAGGCACCAAGACTGGAAGGTGACCTGGGACCCATTCCTGTCACCACCATGAGATAGGGCCTCCAAGCTTCTGTTGCTCTATGGTGGACTTGGGGGGGCTGCCCAGGAGGAGGTGAGCTCCTCATTGCCGGAGATGTGCAAACTGTGCCTGGTAGGCGTCTGCTGGAGAGGATGTACGGGCACCCAGATGCCCAAAGCCACTCCTGGCCAGGCAGGACCCAGAGCAAAATGAAGTGTGGGAATGTCCGCTCCAGAATTACTAAGAATTTCAACACAATGACAGGAGAGTATTAAGCCAGGGGCAGGACCCTTCTGAGTTCCAGGGTCTGTGTGACCACACAGGTCCAATGCCCTCCAAGCCAGATCTTTTGGATCGGAGGAAGAAGTGTGAGGAATGGGTCTCAGGGTCATCTCAAGGTCAGTACCATGCTAGGGGCCTGAAGGGATGGGCCTTGTGAAGTCAATGGGATGGAGAAGACAAGGAGTGGACTCGAGTCCCCTCCAGTCCGAGTTAGGAAGCCCGTGGAGACGTCAGCAGTCCAGCTCTGCAGGAGTTCAGGGAAACGTCCCCTGCGCACATTTCTTCTCGTAAGACAGGGCTTGCATCCCCGCACCTTTTATCTTTCCCTGCTGCCTGTGATTTATCTCCACGTGAAGGGCTGGGGCGGCCTCGGAGGCAAAGGGCCCTTCTGATGGTCCATGAATCTTTCCTTTGCCGATCCTCTGGTCACTCTCTGCGCGGCCAGGCGGGCCCACCACTTCCTCTCTGCCAAGTGAGGATTAGGGAGTCATAAAACAAGGAAGCCAAACCCCTGGCCAGCAGAGCGCACACATGGGCCTCAGATGCCGGCAGAGACATGAGGGCTGCCGGGACTTGAGCCTCAGAGGAGGACTCCTTCTTTGGGGGCCGCTATTCCCAGGTCCCTGCTCCATGGGGGGACTCCCTGGCCAAGCCTGGGGTCAGAGCTGGTCAGGACCACTCCTAAGGGGAGAGAAGGTCCCAGCTGAAGCCAGAAGTGGTCCCGGCCCACACCAGGGGGAGAGGGGCTCCAGGCTGAACGGAGTGTGCGGGCGGCCCTCAGAACGGGGGAGCACCCGCCATGTGCCGGGCACCAAACGCATGTCATTCTCATTCCCCCCAGGGCTGCCATCCTGGGGCTCCTGGGGAGAAGCCCCTTGCCAAGGCCCAGAGCCAGGAAGTGGTGGGGGCTGGGATCTGAACACAGGTGAATAGACAACAAAGCTTTACACCAAAGAAAAATAGTAAAACCATTATATTGGAAAAACAGGTGATTTATTCCCTAAATGTTATCTTTTTTAAAATCCTATTATAGGCCGGGCGCGGTGGCTCATGCCTGTAATCCCAGCACTTTGGGAGGCCGAGGCGGGCGGATCATGAGGTGAGGAGATCGAGACCACCCTGGCTAATACGGTGAAACCCCGTCTCTACTAAAAATACAAAAAATTAGCCGGGCGTGGTGGTGGGCGCCTGTAGTGCCAGCTACTCGGGAGGCTGAGGCAGGAGAATGGCGTGAACCTGGGAGGCGGAGCTTGCAGTGAGGTGAGTTCGTGCTACTACACTCCAGCCTAGGTGACACAGCAAGACTCCTTCTCAAAAAAAAAAAAAAAAAAAAAAATCCTATTATAAAAAGCATGTGGTACAGAATTCAAAAGTGGTATAAAATAAGATAATAAGGCTTTGAAGTGTCTGTCTTCCTCTCTTTCGCTCCCCTGTTGTCCACAGGTCCCTGGCCCCTCCCAAGAAGCAACCACTGATACCGGGGACTTAGAGATTTCCAGAGAGAGTCTACAGGTTGCAAATACCTGCTATTTCTTTTTTTCTCTTCTATATAAATGGTAGCATTCCGTGGACAATACCTGCACCTTACTTTTTTTTTTTTTTTTTTTTTTGAGACGGAGTCTCTCTCGTCACCCAGGCTGGAGTGCAGTGGTGCCATCTAGGTTCACTGCAGCCTCTGTCTCCCAGGTTCAAGTGATTCTCCTGCCTTAGCCTCCCAAGTAGCTGGGATTACAAGCGAGAGCCACCACACCCGGCTAATTTTTGTAGTTTTTTCGTACAGACGGGGTTTCACCATGTTGGCTGGGCTGGTCTCGAACTCCTGACCTCAAGTGATCTGCGCCAGCCTCAGTCTTCCAAAGTGCTGGGATTACAGATGTGAGCTACCATGCCCGGCCTGCACCTTATTTCTTCTTCCTTTTTTTTTTTTTTTTTTTTTTTTGATGGAGTCTCCCTCTTGTGGCCCAGGCTGGAGTGCAATGGTGAAATCTCAGCTCACTGCAACCTCCGCCTCCCAGGTTCAAGCGATTCTCCTGCCTCAGCCTACTGAGTAGCTGGGATTACAGGTGCGCGCCAACACGCCCGGCTAATTTTTTTGTATTTTTAGTAGAGATGGGGTTTCACAATGTTGGTCAGGCTGGTCTTGAACTCTGGACCTTGTGATCTGCCCACCTCGGCTTCCCAAAGTGCTGGGATTACAGGCATGAGCCACCGTGCCTGGCCAATTTCTTTATCTTAATATATCCCGGGAACTTTTCCATGTCAGAACATAAAGGGCTGCCTCATTCTTTTAAAATTTTTATTTTATTTTATTTTTGTTTTTTAGAGACAAGGTCTTGCTCTTTTGCCCAGGCTGGAGAGCAGTGGTGCCGTCATAGCTCACTGCAGCCTCGACCTCCTGGGCTCAAGTGGTCCTCTCACCTCAGCCTCCTGATACCTCATTCTTTTCAATGGCTGTATTGTGTGCCACCATAGAGCTGGAGTGTATCAGTCAGCTATTGCTGGGTAACAATTCTAAAACTTAGTGGTTTCCAACTAACTATGCATCGTATCTTACGTGTCTATGGATTTGACTGATCTTGGCTGGGCTCACGCAGGCATGTGTGGTCAGCTGGCAGTTTGGCTGGGGACTGGCTGGTTGTGGGCAGCCTTAGCCGGGCACCTCGGCTTTCCTCCTTGTGTCCCCCACATCCTCCAGCAGGTTGCCTAGACATAGGCCCATGGTGAGATGGGCAAAGCGAGTGATCCTAGTGCAGCAGGGGCAAGTGGAGTTGGCTGGCAATGCCCAAACCTCTGTTTGTGTCACATCTGCAAACATCCTGTTGGTCAGAGAAAGCCACATAGTGGGGGAAGACTCAGGGTGGGAGGGGACCACACGGTTACTGGTCAAGTATGTGAAGCTATTAAATTTAGGCCATTAGAGTGACCTGTCTCCCATATGGAGCTTAATTCACCTAGACCCTCGCCACTGAGGACGGAGGCACCAAAGTGCCCAGGCTGCTGCACACTCCCTCCCGCCTGGGGGAGTAGCAGGCCTGACACGGGTGAAGCCAGGCACAAGGGGCTGGTCCAGGGAAGGGCCTCTGTGGTGTAGCCACTCCACCCCTACCTGGAGCAAGTTAGGGTTCAGGAGCATGCATGGTGCAGCCTGCCACCTCCCAGCTACAGGCAGTGGCTGTCATGCCCCTGGAGGCAGATGGGGGCCAGAGCGAACGACAAGGCCTCACTGCCAAGCCGAATGAACCCAGCTGGTTTTATAGCCCTATAGTATTCCAGGGCACCCCGCGGAAAAGGTCTTCCTCCCTCATTGCCCACTCTAAGGGGCAGTGCCCTGAGCTGGGCCCTGGAGGCCCAGACCAGTGGGAGAGACACAACCCAGCTATAGTCAAAAGTTTTGGGGGATTGAACGGCCGGGAGCAGTGGTTCATGCCTGTAATCCCAGCACTGTGGGAGGCCGAGGCGGGTGGATCACTTGAGGTCAGGAGTTCGAGACCAGCCTGGTCAACTGGTGAAACCCCATCTGTACTAAAAATACAAAAGAATTAGCCAGGCATGGTGGCACGTGCCGGTAATCCCAGCTACTCAGGAGGCTAAGGTAGGATCCCGGGAAGTGGAGGTTGTAGTGAGCCAGGATTGCACCACTGCACTCCAGCCTGGGTGACAGGAGTGAAACTCTGTCTCAAAAAAACAAAAACATTTTGAGGGATTGAAAAAGAAGAGTGACTAACCCTGCCATTCTAGGATGGGCATTTGGGAAGACTTCCCGTGAGGAGGGGGGAGGAGACAAGCGCTCTGGGCTTTGAAGGATTAATAGAAGTTCATCAACAGGCCCAGGAAGAGAGGGGAGGGCATCCTAGACAGTGGACACAGCCACTGCAAGGAGTGGAGGTACAGGAAGGGTTCGAGGGGCAGCAAAGTGCAGGTGCCCTGAGGCTGTAACGAGCACCGAGGAGAGACATGGCCAGAAGTTCTAGAAAAATATCTCCAACCTCAGAGGTATATAGACGTGCAGGCAAAATCAATGCCTCTCCAGGCTCAGATGTAATGGCACTTCCCCCAGGAGCCTTCCCTGATCCCAGCTGGGTCAGTGCCCCTGTTGAAGGCCATTGAGTGAGCAGTGTGGCAGTTATACGTGGGGTTCAATATCGCCCATGTGCTTGTCTGTTTAGTATCCATCTCTCCCATCAGCGTCAGGCTCCCGAGGGTTGGGACCAGGTCAGTCTTCTCCACCACGGCTTCCCCAGCACCACATACAGGGCCTGGCACAAGTAGGAGCTCACTCAGTCTATACTCAGTGAATGAATGAATGAATGGGTGAACAGGGAAAGGACAGAAAGAAATGAACCCCAATAGATAATAATAATGCATTATGGGTAATTTCCATGTTCTCTTTTTTTGAGACAGAATCTTGCTCTGTCACCCAGGCTGGAGTGCAATGGTGGGATCTTGGCTCACTGCAACCTCTGCCTCCCAGATTCAAGCGATTCTCCTGCCTCAGCCTCCCAAGTAGCTGGGATTACAGGCGCCCGCCACCACACCTGGCTAATTTTTGTATTTTTAGTAGAGACAGGGTTTCACCATGTTAGCCAGGCTGGTCTTGAACTCCTGATCTCAAGTGCTCCGCCCACCTTGGCTTCCCAAAGTGCTGGGATTACAGGCGTAAGCCACTGCCCGTGGGCTCTATGTTCTTTTTATAATCATCTGTCCATTAATGTGTTTACCCTGATTTTATTTTATAATTAACTAAAAACCAAATCCACATTATTATTATTATTATTTGAGACGGAATCTTGCTCTTGTCGCCCAGGCTGGAGTGCAATGGTGTGATCTCTACTCACCACAACCTCCGCCTCCCGGGTTCAAGCAATTCTCCTGCCTCAGCCTCCTGAGTAGCTGGGATTACAGGCATGTGCCACCACGCCTGGCTAATTTTGTAGTTTTAGTAGAGACGGGGTTTCTCCATGTTGGTCAGGCTGGTCTCGAACTCCCGACCTCAGGTGATCCGCCCACCTCGGCCTCCCAAAGTGCTGGGATTACAGGTGTGAGCCACCATGCCCGGCCTTGTTATTTTTGAGGCAGTGTCTCCCTCTGTCATCCAGGCTGGAGATCACTGCTTGCTGCAGCCTCGACCTCCCAGGCTCAAGAAATCCTCCCACGTCAGCCTCCTGAGTAGCTGGGACTACAAGTACACACCACCATGCCCAGCTAATTTTTAAATTTTTTGTAGAGATGGAGTTTTGCCATGTTGCCCAGGCTGGTCTCGAACTCCTGGCCTCAAGCAATCCTCCCACCTTGGCCTCCAAAAGTGCTAGGATTACAGGCATGGCAACTGCGCTGGGCCCAAATCCACATTATTTTGATGAGAGAATGAGAAATTGTTCTGGTGCCCAGTGGAGAAGAGACAGGCAAAAGATTAGGAAAGGTGGTGGGGAGGCTGCTGGCATGACCAGGTGTGGGGTGATATAGGAGGGGGGATTACCGGGGACTATGAGGGCCAGAGCCTCAGTTTCATCATCTGGAAAATGGGGCTAAGGGCCAGTCATGTGCTTAAATTACAACGTTCATATAAAAATTGCAGCCATTTATGGACGCTCACTCCACGCCCTTCACTGCCTTATTTATTAATAACTCCCCCACCCCCACCCACATTCCCAGGTGAAGACCATTATCTGCGTTTCCTAGCTAGGGAAGCTGAGCCTGTGGTCCATTGAAATCCTAGCTCAGCCATATTCAAGCGGTGTAACCCGGTCAGTTGTTCCTGAGCCTCAGTTTCCCTATCTGTAAAATGAGGACAACAGTCCCTACTTCGTGAAGCTTTGTGGAGGTCGTCGGATTGTGTACCTGAAGCTGGGTGCGTCGGTGTATGGGAGCTGTGCCTCATCATTACCAAAGAGCTGAGGTACTGTCCTGGGACCACATTGCCAACAAGTGGCTGCGCCAGGATCCCATCCAGGTTTCTCTGTCCCCAGAGCTGTGTTCCTGGGGTGGGAGGCTCCCCTGCTTAGTAGGAGCTCTGGGTGGCAGGTGTCTCCTGGTGCATAGTGGGGCTGGGCGTGGGAGGCCCTGCCCAGAGCTCCTCGCTGGTGTTGCAGCAGGGGCAGGGGCAGGGGCAGGGGCAGGGGAAGGGTCAGGGATGCTGGCCCCGTCGAGAGTTCCAGGGCCCGTGTGCTCAGTGTGGCAAGCGGTTTCCCAACAGCTGCCGCTCCGCTAATGGGCCTCCCTTCGTAGCAATCTGCTGTGATAACAGACAGGTTTAATTAAAAAGAACACGCGTCCTCCTCTGCAGGAAGGCTGCGGCCAGGATGTGGGGCCTGCAATGAAAACTTAGCTCCATAAAGCCCACACACAGGCATGGGTGCCCGGAGCTGCCGAGTTTTCTAAAAGGAGCGCACCCCGCCCCCTGCCATATCTGTTATTTATCGAGTTAATTTTGTCCTCTGGCAGCAGCATGAACCAACTCCGAGTCCCTGAGCCCTGACCCTGACTTGCCTCCCATTCCCAGGCTGTGCCAGGCACGGGCTTTTGCCTCCTGTGGGACAAGAGAGGCCGGGAATGCCAGCTTTGAACCAGGAAAACCTGGGAGGGGGGACCTGTCCCTGACTTTGTGATGCTGGGCAACTGACTCAGCCCTCTCAGAGCTCCTGTTTCTGCATCCAGGAATGGGGCAGAGGCTGATGCCGCCTCCGAAGGCTAAGTGAGGCCTGAACGAGGCAAGGGGAAAGGTGCCTGGCACCTGGTGGGTACTTGGAACGTGCTGGCTGTTGTTATGGTTGGAGTGATGACTGCTAGTGGTGGGACTGCTGGATGGAGCCCGGGGGCCTTGGTGAGAGGGTGGCTGGAATGGTTGGGCAGGCCCAGGCTGGCCCTCAAACTAGTAGACATGGATACTTTAAGAGTGGAATTAAAGCTAGGCACGGTGGCTCATGCCTGTAATCCCAGAACTTTGGGAGGTCGAGGAGGGTGGATCACCTGAGGTCAGTAGTTCAAGACCAGCCTGGCCAACATGGCGAAACCCTGTTTCTACTAAAAATACAAAAATTAGGCGTGATGGCGGGTGCCTGTAATCCCAGCTACTTGGGAGGCTGAGGCAGGAGAATCGCTTGAACCCAGGAGGCGGAGGTTGCAGGTTGCAGTGAGCCAAGATTGCACCACCACATTCCAGCCTGGGTGACAGAGCGAGACTGTCTCAAAAAAAAAAAAAAAAAAAAAAAAAAGAGTGGAATTAAGAGTGGAGACTTTGGAATCAGAAAGACTTCAGTTTAAATCCTGGTTCTGCCACTTACTACCTGTGTGGACCTGGCTGAGTGAATTCGTCCCTCTAGGGCTCTGTTTTCTCAAATCTGTAAAGTGGGGATGGTAGTAGAAGCTTCCCTATAGGGTTGCAGCCTGAGGAATCCATGAGCCAGGGCACAACACCTGGCACCATGTGAAAGCTCAAAGGGCGTGTGCTTGGGTGCTGTGGCTGGTAAGACCGACTTTTAAAGCTGAGTGAAGGGTTGTGACTTTCTGGCCTGGCCCCTGGCAAAATTTCCCTGGAATTCTGAGGCCAGCACCCAGCAGGGCAGAAGGGACCTCCTACGTGTTGGCTCCCCAGGTACCCACCGCTGTCAAGCTGGGGATGGGGGCAGCCGCCTCGTGGCCAGATTGGTGGCCTGATAGCAGGGACTTTGAGACAAAGCTATCGGAGGCAGTGACAGGATCCTGAATGGGCTTCTCCGTGCAGGCACAGAATTGCATTCGCTTGGATTTAATTAAAAAGACTCAAATCTTTCTGATAATCCTCCCAGCAACGGCTAGAGCAGGGCCTGAAGCCAGCTCCCTGGCAACGGCGCATCCTGCCGATAAAGAACTCTTGTGGGGGGGCAGTGAGCCCCCTCGGCTGGCCCAACATCCGCTGCTATCAGCCCTGCCCATCGCTCAGCAAGAGAGGGACTGGGAGGCTGGAGAGGCAGCTGCTGCCCCACCCCAGCCCACCCCACCCCGCGCTCCCAACCCCTGTAGTGCGCACTGGTGTGCCTCTTTGTTCATGGGTGTGCACCCTCTGCCTGGCACCCACACCTCCCCCAGAGCAGCTGCCCACCTCCTGCCAGCCACTGCCCCCACCCCGTGCACCTATGTGGTGGCTGAGCTGCCAACTCTGGTGCCTGTGGAATGGGCAGGTCTCTGGCTCTGCTCAGAGCCTGAATCCGATGAAAAGGGTGGCAGAGGACATTCCCTCTGCTGCGTCCCTTGTTCATGGATTTTGACTTGTCCTAAGCCCCAGCCCTAAGCGTTCCTCCCACCCACTGCCATTTATATATGAGTCCCCAGCCCAGAGTTGGGCAGACTGCAGGGATCAAGGGATGTCTGATGACTAACTGACAGAATGAATGAATGGAGACAAGCCAGCCTGACTCGGGACAGGGGCTCCTGTCCCACCTTTACATCTTAGCAGTCCAGGAGTCTGGTCCTGGCCCTTGAACTTGGCCCTTCCCCTGACCCCCTGCATGAAGGGTCTCAAAACCTCCTACCCTCTCAGCCTTCTCCTTGCCACATCTCACTCCCAGCAGGTAAGGGCTGAGCCCTGGAAGTCCTGGTGACAGGAAGGCCAGAGGAAAGGGGGACATTGGCTGGGGAGGGGTGGCTGAAGGGCCCTGGGGTCTGCGTGGCTTGCCCTGGACACTGCTTTGCAAACCCACAGCTTCCTGGAGCATGGCTGTCTGCCCCTGGTTTTCCCATCTCTACCAGACACCCCCTACTCCCAGGCTCAGCCACCCATGTGGGAGGTGGGAGGGTGCCCTGCAGTGGGCACGGCCAGAGAACACTCCAGGGGGGCATGGTTGGTCCCCCTCAGACGTGACTCTACATCAGCACAGGCATCCCTGGGGTAGGTTTGGCATCTGATTCCCCCTGAGACTCCAGCGCCTGCCCCCTGCTGAATGTGGGTGACAGTGAAGGGAAGATTGAGCAAGAGGGCAAAGGGATGCAGTCGTGCAAAGGTGAGCCTGTGCCCTGGGTGAGGCAGCCCCATCCAAGGCCTGGTTTCTGCCGAAGTCCGGCTTCTGCGCTGTGTGGCAGGCCAGTGACTCACCTTGTCTGTGCCTTGGTTTCCTCACCTGCACATTAGAGACATCTGGTCCAGGGAAGGGCTGGGTTCCATGCCAGCTCGTCACCCCTGCCCCACCCACCAGTCCACTGTGTGCCCACATCCTAGAAGTACCTCTACTCAACACATCTGTTCTCCTGGCCTCTGGAGTGTCGATTACCTGAGCCCATTGCAGCCTAATAGAAGGAAACAGAAGCTCAGGCTTCAGCTCCCCGGGACCAGACAGCAAGGCCTGGGCTGAGTCTTTCCCTTCCGCCTTCTCTAGCACCCACCTCACCCTAGAACATGTTGCAATAGATTTCAAATTTAATTACTTAAAATATGTAAGAATTCACATGGCTAGAAATTATTTCTAGACAGACTCAGCTGGCCCCTACCTCTAGAAAGGATCCAGGTGCACCTTGGAACTGGGAGGCTGTGGAAGCTTTGGTAGGAGAGGAGAGGGGACAGAGCCTGGGTGGGACAGCATCGGGGTGGGACAGCAAGGGCCAGGGATGAGAGGAGGGTGGCTGGTGACAGGCTGCAGGTGGGTCCTGTGATGAGGTGAAGGGATGGACTTCTGTTTGGGGCCCTAAGATGCCATGGAGATTCTCACCTGAAGACCCTGGCCACCTTGGTGAGGGGAGCAGGCTGGCTCTGGGTGGGGAGGGATGAGGGCAGAGGAGGGGCCAAGGGGAGGACAGGAGGGCCCTGGTGAGGTCCCCTCTCTGCATGGCTCAGCTGAAGGGGGCATGGCACAAAGGTCAGGCAGCAAGATTCTGCCACAGGGACCAGGGACAGGGAAACCAAGGTACACAGGGCTTAGCAGCTGCCCCACCCGGGCCTAGACCATCCTCCTTTCCATTCAATTCTCTGTCTCCTACCAAACTCCGAGTATGTTCTTCCATCATCTCCAGAGCTCAGTGCCAGGGGCCGCTCTGTTCCAGACCATTCCCACCCTCCCAGCCCAACAGGGTCCCAGGGAAGGCCTCCAGGGCAGGAGCCAAGAGAGAGGACCCCGAGTGGGCTTCAGAGACTGCAAACTACTGCTACAGCTACTGGATATTATTGCTATAATTATAAAAGATGACCAAGGGAAGGCAGGAGGGGAGGGAGGAGGAAGGGATGGGTGGGAAGGGGTGCTCCTGTGCACTGAGCACTCGCCCAGGGCCAGCACAGGTTGCACATTTCCATGGACATCCTGCTTAACTCACGCAGCAACCCAGCGACACAGACACCACCTGTTATGGTTTGGCTGTGCCCCACCCAAATCTCAAATTCCCATGTGTCATGGCAGGGACTGGAGGGAGGTAATTGAATCATGGGAGCAGGTCTTTCCTGTGCTGTTCTTGAGATAGTGAATAAGTCTCGCAAGCCCTGATGGGTTTTTTGTTTTTGTTTTTGTTTGTTTTTTGAGATGGAGTCTTGCTCTGTCGCCCAGTCTGGAGTGCAGTGGCATGATCTTGGCTCACTGTAAGCTCCGCCTCCTGAGTTCACACCATTCTCCTGCCTCAGCCTCCCGAGTAGCTGGGACTACAGGCGCCTGCCACCATGCCCGGCTAATTTTTTGTATTTTTAGTAGAAAAGGGGTTTCACTATGTTAGCCAGGATGGTCTCAATCTCCTGACCTCGTGATCCAACTGCCTCGGCCTCCCAAAGTGCTGGGATTACAGGCGTAAGTCACCGTGCCCAGCCAAGACCTGATGGTTTTATAAGGGGGAGTTTCCCTGCACACGCTCTCTCTCTCTTTGCCTGCTGCCATCCATATAAGACGTGACTTGCTCCTCCTTGCCTTCCACCATGATTGTGAGGCCTCCCTAGCCATGTCTCTTTTTTTTTTGTAAATTGCCCAGTTTCCGGTATGTCTTTATCAGCAGTGTGAGAAGAGACTAATACACCATCCCTATGTCCCCTTCACAGAGGAAGAAACTGAGGTGCAGAGAAGTTGGGGGCACATGGCTGAGGAGCTAGACTTCAGCAGAGGCCAGGCCTTGGATGGGGCCGCCTCACTCAGGGCACAGGCTCACCTCAGCACTACTGCATCCCTTTGCCCTCTCCCTCAATCTTCCCTTCACTCTCACCCCACGTTCAGCAGGGGCAGGAGCTGGAGTCTCAGGAGGAATCAGATGCCAAACCCACCCCAGGGACGCCTGTGCTGATGTAGGTTCACGTCCAAGGGGGACCAACCATGTCCCCCTGGAGCGTTCACTGGCCATGGCCACCGCAGGGCACCCTCCCACCTCCCACATGGATGGCTGAGCCTGGTGGTGGGGGGTGTCTGGGAGAGATGAGAAAACCAGGGGCAGACAGCCATGCTCCAGGGAGCTGTGGGTTTGCAAAGAGGCATGTCCAGGACGAGCCACGCAGACCCCAGGGCCCTTCAGTCACCCCTCCTCTGGGGAGGGCAATTGTCAAAGGAAATGTCACTCTTTCATCTGGGCTTCCTGTCACCAGGACATCCAGGCCTCAGCCCTCACCTGCTGAGAGTGAGGCGTGGTGAGGAGGATGCTAAGAGGTTGAGAGGTTTTGAGACCCTTCATGCAGGGCATCAGGCGAAGGACAAGGAGGAAAGCCCCAGTTTAAGGGCCAGGACCAAGCCAGGACTCCTCCTCCCCAGATTCCAAGTTGAGGCTCCTGGATGAGCTGAGGCTCTGGGCAGATTTGGAAGCCTCCAGCCATGCACTTCTTAGGGGAGCAGGGAGGACTGGTGTTATTCTAATGGGTGCGTGACAATTTCTTATTAATGTGTAAGAATCCTTTGAGAGCCAGCAGTTGCAGGGTGTGAGGGTGTGGTCAGGGTAGCACCAGCCTCCCTGGGCATCAGGAACCACATCTGTAAGAGGGGGTGGTTCTAGAGCGTTCCCCTCCAGCATCCTGTCCCCAGAATGGACTCGGAGCACCAGTTGCAGCTTTAGGGCCACAGGTGATCGGCCGAGAATAGAGCTGGGAGGGTGATGGGAGTCCAGGCAGGGTGGGGAGTTGATCCGGAGACCCCAGGATTTGGGGTGTGGGACAGTGGCAGGCTATTTCCAGACCTCCTTGTTTACGGGGGTGTGAGTGTGTCTCTGAAGACACACCCGGGGTTGGTGACCAAGGGTAGAAATGTGTTGGGGGGCAAAGTGGGGAGGGTGCCTCAGACTGGGGAGCTGCCGTGCCAAGGTGCAAGGGGCCAGGCCTGTTCCAGGAAGAGTGAGACGCTTAGTCAGGGGGCATAGGGTTCAAGGGAGACGGGTGAAATATGACTTTGGATCTTCAGACCACAGTGCCCACGGCCACCTCCAGGGAGTCAGCCAGCCTGGGCTAGGGCCTGGCAATGAATGTTTTTTATAAGCTTCCAGGTGAGTCTGCTATTGTTCAGAATGGATAAGAGAACAGTAGGGAAGGACTCGAGAAGGGGTCTTCAGTGGGGGCATGTTCTGGGCAGACGGTGGCCCCCCAACCTCCACAATGTCACCAGACCCTCAACCTGTTAACCAGTTCATTAGTCATCCATTTCATAGAGAAATAATGTTTCTTTCTTTTTTTATAATGGAAACAGGAAAATAAGACACATGATATATATTTTTTAGGGAAACTTTAGGGAAAAAACAACAAATAGAAGAACATAAAAACCATCCATAATCTTCTCACCCAGGGACCAGCACCATTTAAGATATGAATGTATATACTCCAGAAATATGCACTTAAATGTATTCAACAAATATTTATTATGCCCCAGCTTTGTGTGCAAGAGTGGAATGGGGCAATGGATAAGCCAGGTACAGGTGAGAAATATACACATACACATAGACATTCGTGTGTATATTTATTTCTATTTTATTTTATTTTATTTTTTTGAGACGGAGTCTTGCTCTGTCGCCTGGCTGGAGTGTGGTGGCATGCTCTCTGCTCACTACAACCTCCACCTCCTGAGTTCAAGTGATTCTCCTGCCTCAGATCCTGAGTAGCTGGGATTACAGGTGCCCGCCACCACGCTCGGCTAATTTTTGTATTTTTAGTAGAGATGGGGTTTCACTATGTTGGCCAGGCTGGTCTCAAACTCTTGACCCCAGGTGATCTGCCCACCTGGGCCTCCCAAATTGCTGGGATTACAGGCATGAGCCACAGCGCCTGGCCTATTTCTTTCTTTCTTTCTTTTTTTTTTTTTAAAGATGGTATCATATTATTTGCACTGTTTAGTTAACTGATTATTTTTGACAGGTCCCCAATGTGAAAATAAATGCACATATATAGCATAACTTTTTTGTTTTAACATTTTTAAATAAATAATAATACAAGCACCATATAAAACCTCAAAAAAACACAAAAAGCTATATTCTCCACAATGTAACATTTTGGGCATGTTTTCAGAATGTTTATGAACATAAATGTTTGTAAGTATATTTCACAGCTTCAAACATGCTATACATAGTGTTGGCATTTTCTTTTCTTACCCAACTATAGTCTGGAGATCGCTCAGGTCAGCACCCAGAGATTCTTCTCCCTCATTCTTTTTAATACTGGTTAGAATGGGTGTGCAACAATTTAACCATTTCCCTAAATGTTTAGCTTGTATCCAGTTCTTTACCTGTTTATAAAGAGTGCTTCATTGAATTCTTTTGTGCAAGTATCTTATTTATTTCTCCACAATACATTCCAAGAGGTGGAAATGCTGGGTCAGAGGGTCTGAGTATTTTAAGGGCTGTTCATGTATGATGCCTCTTCCAGGAGGCTGCACCAATTTACTCCACTACCAGCAGTATGTGAGAGTGCCTCTTTCCCCACAAACTCACCAGCACTGGGTGTTAGCATTTTTTTGAATCTTGATCAGTTTGATAAGCAAAACATACTATCTTTGTGTATTAATTTGCCTTTCTTTGATTATTTGTGAGGTTGGGCATCTTTTCTTACACTTAGTGGATTTTTTTTTTTTTTTTTTTTAGATGGAGTCTGGCTCTGTCAGTCAGGCTGGAGTGTAGTGGCGCGATCTCAGTTCGCTGCAACCTCTGCCTCCTGGGTTCAAGCCATTCTCCTGGTTCAGCCTCCCGAGCAGCTGGGACTACAGGCATGCACCACCACACCAGGCTAATTTTTGTATTTTTAGTAGAGATGGGGTTTCACCATGTTGGCCAGGCTGGTCTAGAACTCCTGACCTCAAGTGATCCACCCGCCTCCGCCTCCCAAAGTGCTGAGATTATAGGCATGAGCCACCGCGCCTGGGCACATATGGATCATTTTTATTTCCTCTTTTGTGAACTGCCTCTGTCAAATTAGTACTAAATTTTAGATTGGTAAGAGATATCTATATGTAAATATAATCACTTTTTTCTGCCATATATCTAGCAAGTACCTTTCCTCTCCTCAATTTAGAATTTATCTCTTCTAGTTTGCTCACTGCAATATTTTAATATGCCAAATATGTAATAGTTGTATGTAAAAATAATAAAAATATTATCTAATACTTATAATTTAATAATGTAAACATAGCAATTAAAACTTTTTTCTTGTTTTTGTTTTTGAAGTAATATTTAGAAATATCTTTCCCACACTCAATATTGTATAACTATTCACCAATATTTTCTTCTGGCAATTAAAAAAACATCCCCCTAAAAACTTACATCTTTAATCTATCTGGAATTTATTTTCACATAAGGTAGGGATTTAACTTTATTTTTCCCAATGCTTCCTCTAATGTTTCTACATTATTTATTAAGCATTCTATTATTTCCCTATTGAGTTGAAATCTATCCTTTATTATACTCAATTTCCATTGTCTTTGGGCCTTTTTTTATTTTGAGATGGAGTCTCGTTCTGCTGCCCAGGCTAAAGTACAATGGGGCAATCTCGGCTCACTGCAACCTCCACCTCCCGGGTTCAAGTGATTCTCCTGCCTCAGCCTCCCAAGTAGCTGGGATTACAGCCACCCACCACTGCGCCTGGCTAATTTTTGTATTTTTAGTAGAGATGGGTTTCACCATGTTGGCCAGGCTGGTTTCAAACTCCTGATCTCAGGTGATCTGCCTGACTCGGCCTCCCAAAGTGCTGGGATTACAGTGTGAGCCACCGCGCCTGGCCAGGTCTATCTTATTGACACATTTGTCTCTTTCTCTATCAGTATCTTTCTGATTTAATTTCTATAGCTTTATAATATGTTTTGTTATCTTATAGGCAAACTTCTTATTAATCCTTCTTTTCAAAAAATTCTTGGTAATTCTAATACATTTGTATTTCCAGATGAACTTTAGAAATATTTAAGTTGAAAAATAAAATTCCACTGATATTTTGTTTGTACTGGTGTTAAATTTGTTCATTACTTTGGAGAAAATGGACATTTTTATACTAATCAATCTTCTCATACCAGAAAAATGCTCAGTTTTAGAAAACTTCTCCCCAGTGATTTAAAAGCTTTTCTAGGCCGGGTGCGGTGGCTCATGCCTGCACTTTGGGAGGCCTAGGAGGGCGGATCATTAGGTCAGGAGTTCAAGACCAGCCTGGCCAACATGGTGAAACCCCGTCTCCACCAAAAATACAAAAATTAGCTGGGCATGGTGGTGCATGCCTGTGGTCTCAGCTACTTGGGAGGCTGAGGCAGGAGAATCGCTTGATCCCAGGAGGCGGAGGCTGCAGTGAGCTGTATCGCACCACTGCACTCCAGCCTGGGCGACAGGGTGAGACTCTGTCTCAAAAAAAAAAAAGTTTTTCTATATCCCTCAGTAAAGTTTTTTAGTGTTAGTCTTATAGGTCCTGCACATTTCTGGTTATGCATTTATAACCTTTTTTTTTTTTGAGACAGGGTTTTGCTCTGTTGCCCAGGCTGGAGTGCAGTGGTGTGATCATGACTCACTGCAGCCTCAACCTTCCGGGCTCAAGAGATCCTCCTACCTCAGCCTCCCAAGTAGCTGAGACCACAGGCGTGCACCACCATGTGTGGCTAATTTTTTAAGTTTTTTGTAGAGATAGGGTCTCCTTATGTTGCCCAAGCTGGTCTTGAACTCCTGGGCTCAAACCATCTGCCCACCTCAGCCTCCCAAAGTGCTGGGATTACAGGCGCGAGCCACTGTGCCTGGCCCATTTAATACTTTTTAATGGCCTTTATAAGTGGGATTTCCCCATTATATTTTCAAACTGCTTGTTATTAAAATATAGAAAACTTACTTATTTCTGCTTTTCTAATTTTCTGCTAGCCATTTTGCCAAACCCCTTTTTTAGTCTTAATAATTTCTAAATGATTATTTTGGATTTTACAGACAAATGACATCTTCATCTGAAAGTAGCGATACTTATTTTTCCAATATTGTACTTCCTACTAGGTCACTGTCTGTCATGATTATCTGAGCTGGTGGGTTACAGTCTATGGTCCCGGAACCAGCAAAACCTCCTGTGTGGCTGAGGATCACCCTCTACACCCAGGGGTGGCCATAACCAGACGAGGACAGCAGCTTCTCCTTAGCCACAGTTTTGCTTTCTATGGTTTCTGTTACCCATGGTCAACTATGGTCCAAAAATATTAAATGGAAAATTGCAGAAATAAACCATCCCCTAAGTTTTATTTATTTATTTAGTTAGTTTGTTTGTTTTTTGAGATGGAGTCTCACTCTGTCACCCAGGCTGCAGTGCAGTGGCGTGATCTTGGCTCAATGCAACCTCTGTCTCCCATCCTGCCTCAGCCTCCCGAGTAGCTGAATTACAGGCGTGCACCACCATGCCAGGCTAATTTTTGTATTTTTGGTAGAGACGGGGTTTCGCCATGTTGGCCAGGCTGGTCTTGAATTCCTGGCCTCAGGTGATCCGTCCACCTCGACCTCCCAAAGTGCTGGGATTACAGATGTGAGCCACCGTGCCCGGCCAAATTCCTAAGTTTTAAATTGCACAATGTTCTCAGTTACATAATGAAACCTCGCGTCATGCTGCTCTTTCCCACCTGGGATGTGAATTATCTCTTGGTCCAGCAGATCCACACAGCCTCTGCTACCTGCCTTCACTACCTGCCCGCTAGTCACTTAGTAGCTGTCTCAGTTATCAGATCAATGTAGTGGTTTCACAATGCTTGTGTTTAAGTCACCCTTATTTTACTTAATAATGGCCCCCAAGTGCAAGTGTACTGTGCTTGATTTGTAAATTAAACTTTATCCTAAGTACGTATGTACAGGAAAAAAAAAATAGTACAACTAGGGTTTGGAACTATCTGAGGTTCCAGGCATCCACTGGGGGGCTTGGACTTTATCCTCCAAGGATAAAGGGGGACTGCCATATGTAAATATGTTTGTGTCATGAAGACAAAAGGAGGAGGACAGTGCGCTAGCATCCAGCATACCCGGGGCAATGCTGTGTCACACAGGCATCCTCGTCATAGCCAGGTCTGGTTCATATACCTGCCACGATGTTCACTCTTTTTTTTTTTTTTTTTTGAGACAGAGTCTCCCTCTTGTTGCCCAGGCTGGAGTGCAGTGGCACAATCTCAGCTCACTGCAGCCTCCACCACCCGGGTTCAAGTGATTCTCCTGCCTCAGCCTCCTGAGTACCTGGGACAACAGGTGTGCACCGCTATGTCCAGCTAATTTGTGTATTTTTAGTAGAGATGGGGTTTCACCGTGTTGGCCAGGCTGGTCTCGAACTCCTGACCTCAAGTGATCCGCCCGTCTTGGCCTCCCAATGTGCTGGGATTACAGGTGTGGCCACCATGCCCGGCTGGCGTTCACTCTTAAGTACAAAGTCTGCACAATATTTAGATTGAGAATGGGCATTAAGCGAGATAGATAATATAAACAGACTTTCCTCATCTGAACCTGTATTCCTAGAATGGTGTATTAGATTTTTAATGTTTTTTTTTCTTTTTCTTTTGAGATGCGGTCTCACTCTGTCATCCAGGCTGAAGTGCAGTGGCATGATCACAGCTCACTACATCCTTGACCTCCTGGGCTCAAGCAATCCTCCCACCTTAGCCTCCGGAGTAGCTGGGATTACAGGTGCACGCTACCACGCCTGGTTAACTTTTGTATTTTTTGTAGAGACAGGGTTTTGCCATGTAGTCCAGGCTGGTCTCGAACTCCTGG
Organism: Homo sapiens; assembly: GCF_000001405.40. Lineage (NCBI taxonomy): Eukaryota > Metazoa > Chordata > Mammalia > Primates > Hominidae > Homo > Homo sapiens. The sequence goes on along the minus strand of NC_000009.12, from coordinate 126,539,436 downwards.
GCTTGAGCAATCCGTCCACCTCAGCTTCTCAAAGTGCTGGGATTATAGGCATGAGCCACTGTGCCCAGTCAATATCTTTAATGTTTTGCTACTTTCTCTATGATAGCATTTGATTTTGTGTTTCCTCATCGCTGTTTATAGATGAGATTAGTCATCTATGGGGTTTATAAAGCTGTCTTTGTTGGGTTATGGGATTAGATTTGTACTAAACTCACAAAATTATAAGTGAAACTTCTCATCTTTGGAAAAGTATAAATTACATGTACACTATTCTTTGAGAGAACTGATAGAATCATCTGGGCCTGGTGCCATTTTAGGGTCATCTTTTAAAAACATTTGACTATGCCACGTGCTTTCAACAGTTTCTCAGTGATCACGGGAGAAATTGCAACTTCTCTACCACGACATTAAAGGTACAGCATGATTTACTCTGCCTCAGCTCTTACTATTCTTCACCCCTCTTTTGCTACCCTGGCCACCCCTAGCTTCTGGAAGTTCCCCAACCCTAGAGTGGGAGAGTCACAAGAGCAGGGACCATGTTTATTTTGTTTGGGATGGAATCTCTGGCACCCTGTAGAAGCTTACCTTTGACAAGTATTTGTGGAAGGACATTCACTCTGATAATATCACTGTGTCTTTTAGCTCATGTCAACACATGTTCACTGAGCACCTTTTGTTTCTTTTTTTTGTTGTTGTTGTTGTTGTTTTTGAGATGGAGTCTCACTCTGTTGCCCAGGCTGGAGTGCAGTGCTGTGATCTCAGATCACTGCAATTGCTGCCTCCCAGATTCAAGCAATTCTTGTGTCTCAGCCTCCCGAGTAGCTGGGATTACAGGTGCATGCCACCATGCCTAGCTATGTTTTTCATTATTATTTTTAGTAGAGATGGGGTTTCACCGAGTTGGCCAGACTGGTCTTGAACTCCTGACTTCAAGTGATCCACCCGCCTTGGCCTCCCGAAGTGCTGGGATTATAGGCATGAGCCACCGCCCCTGTCCTCTCTGAGCATCTCTTCTGTGCCTGATCATGTGCTGGTCCTGGAGACAGAGATTCCCAGCCTCTGTCCTCAAGTTGCTCTCTGGCTATTGGGGAACCAGGTGGGTAAACAGGCCTTTCAGTTCAGTGAGAGGGGCGTGACTGGGCCTATGGGAGCACACAGGAGGCCACCTGACCCAACCTGGGTAGGAGAGATCAGAGGTGGCTTCCTGGAGGAGGTGAACCTGGATTTAGTCTTACATAATGAGGAGAAGTGGGGGGTCATTCTAGGATAAGGGGATACCATGAGCCAAAGACCAGAAAGAAGAATCGTCATCTCTCATTGGAAGATAATTGTAGCCACCTCCTAGCCTGTGTCCCGGGGTCTGCCCAAGACTTCCAAATCAGCACGGCAGCCAGAGTGAAGCTTTTGAAATGTGTCTGTCACATCACTCCCCTGCTGAAAACCCACTACTGGCTTCTTAGCTCACTCCAGATAAATTCCAAAGTCCTAAGCATGAACAATCACACCCTACACAATCTGGCCCCTGTGTTTCTCTGAATTTACCTGGTCACTCCATTCCAGCCATTGCTCTTCCTTAGATAGAAAAACAGTCTCAGCTCGGGGCCTTTGCACTGGCTCTTCCTTCTGCCTGGAGAGCCACACCATCTCTTTCTTCAGGTCTCCGCCCAAAGGTCACCAATGAATAAGGTTGTTCTTGACTCCCATATAACACAGCAACTCCCACGGTGACTGTCTTGGTCTTTATCCTGCTTATTTTTCTCCATGCTATTAGGTTGGTGCAAAAGTAATTGAGTTTTTTGACATTACTTTTAATGGCAAAAAAACGCATTACTTTTGTACCAACCTAATAACAATGCCACCTGATATTAGACACACACAATGCACACACACACATACACACACACACACATGCTGCTTTTTAAATTAAAATTTGTTTTAACCTACTAAAATGAAAACTTCAAGAGAACAAGGATTTTGTCTTGTCTACCCTGTAGCCCCAGTACCTGGAATAGCATCTGGAAGAATGCCATCCATCAATGTGAGCAGTTTGGTGTGGCTGGGGCAGGGTGCACCCGAGGGATGGGCAGGCGATGGGGCTGTGTACTCCTAGGCAGCAGCAGGAGGCTGGGCAGAGCCTCAGATGACGGCCGAGGAGCCCGGAACTTCCAGAGGTGACCAGGACCCAGGGAAGGGTAACAGGGTCAGATTCACGCTTGGGGATGGTGGCATTGCCCGTCTGGAGGAGGGCGGGCTGGAGGGGGGGAGTGAGATGGGCAACAGTGAGAGAGAATGACCCCAGTGCAGACAAGAAATGGCAGAGGAGGCAAGACAGCTGCCTGGGCTGCTGGCGGGGCCGTGGGGGATGAAGATGCCATTCTCTGACCCAGGGGCCCTCAAGGGGGAGATTCTATTTTGGGTGTCTAGGAAGCTGGGCCACGGGGCTCATGGAGCTCAGGATAGAGGCCTGGACTGGTAGGAGTGGTTTGGGGGTGGGGATATGGGGAGCATGATGTCACTGGCATTGTTGTCATCATCACTCTTATAATCTTCATCAAAACAAACTTTTATTGAGTGCTTAGTGTGTACCTGGCACTGTGCTCAGAGCTGTGGGCAGAGTTCTTTCTTGGCGTTTCTCTATAACCCAGTAATGTGCTGCTACATGTCTCACAACCTGCTCTCTGGAGGAAAAAAGCCCTGATTTGTGGAGTTTGACCATGTCTATGGTGTAAATACTCCTACTATGGCTGATTTCAAGTGGTGAACATGATGTTACTGCACGTGGAGTTAGGCACAGATGTGCCACAGCTGCCATGATGTGGCATTTCCAACACAGATACAGTAGACATGAGCTCAAGGGCATAGATGATAGGAAAATGAAGTAAACGTATAGGAATGGATGAGTTTGGAGTGTTTATTACCTTTGATTTGAATATCATTTATTTAAGTTTACATAATTTAAATGTTTAACAAAGGCTGTGTTTAACAACCAGCTTGTAACATTAATTCTTGAAAATGTAACCAGCAGCTCTTGCAAACTGACATGGACCGATGCCCACACCCCACTGCTACAATCTCACAATACAGACATACAGACGCAGTCATCAGGGAGGGGAAGGGAGGTCACCCGGCTGGTAAGTGGCAGAGACAGGTGTCCTTGAGCAAGTAATGTTCTGTCCCTGAGCACCAGTTTCCTCACCTGTGAAATGGGGACAGTAAAACGTCCCTTCCGGGTGCTGTGGCGGTTTAATAAGCCAATGCTTATAAAGCAACTGGCATATAGTAAATGCTTCATAAGTGGGGACCGCTAGTGTATTATTGTTATTTTTATTTTGTTCATTTTTGAGACGGAGTCTCACTGTCACCCAGGCTGGAGTGTAGTGGTGCAATCTCGGCTCACTGCAACCTCCGCTTCATAAGTGGGGACCTGACCACTAGTGTATTATTGTTATTTTTATTTTATTCATTTTTGAGATGGAGTCTCACTCTGTCCCCCAGGCTGGAGTGTAGTGGTGCAATCTCAGCTCAATGCAACCTCCACCTCCCTAGTTCAAGCGATTCTCCTGCCTCAGGCTCCTGAATGGCTAGGATTACAGGAGTCTGCCACCACGCCTGGCTAATTTTTGTATTTTTAGTACAGATGGGGTTTCACTATGTTGGCTAGGCTGGTCTCGAACTTCTGACCTCAAGTGATCTGCCCGCCTCAGCCTCCCAAAGTGCTGGGATTACAGCGTGAGTCACCGTGCCCAGCTGTGTTATTGTTATTTTAATACTAATAACAAATTCGGATCCTGCCCTCAAGGTATTCATGGCCTAGTGGAAGGAGAGGCAAACAATAAGACATACACACATTCAAAGGATTCCAATTCAGGCAGAAAAGGAAGGCTTCCTGGAGGAGGATGCATTTGAACTGGGCCTTGTAGGTTTGGGAGAGGGTGGGTCCATTTGGGTTAAGGTGAGGCATTGCTGGCTGTTGGCCCACAACAAAGAGAGGAGGGACATGGGGATGCATCTGGAACGAGGACCAGGTGAGAGAGGAGGCTGGAGCCCATGAGAAGATTGCTGGATGGAGAGACGGAGTCTGCATTTTCTTCTGAGGGCAGTGGGGAGCCACAGCGGGCTGTTCAGCAGGGTGTGACAGGGTTGGATTGGTCTCTTGGAACATCAGTGTGACTGCAAAGGGGAGGAGGACCAGGAGGGGGCCACAGTGATGGTGGCAGAGGCTGTCCCAAGGGGCGTGGGGATGGCAGCCCACCCATCTGGGCTCCTTCACCAGCCTGAGTGGTGCTGGGGTGTCCCTCGGCACCTCCCCTCCTGTACTTACTGGAGAGGGCAAGCAGGACTCCTCCCCCACTGCTCCAGCCCCAGCCCCATAGCTAATCCTGGTGACACCGGGTCCTGAGGCTGGGGCGGGGCAGCCGGGCAGCTGGCCTCAATTAGCTGGGAGCCGGGTCTGGACAGTGTCATTAGGAGAAAACCAGAGCCTGCCCATAAACTCTAATGAATGCATTAATGGAAGGCTTGTGCGCCTCAAAGGGAAAAAAAAGCAAGTCTAAATAAAGTTATTAACACAGCCCACCTGTGTTCGGCTCTCGGCCTATATTGTTCAAATAGCCCATTAACTCCTGAAGCATCCAATCTTGAAAGTGAGCCCTGCCTCTCTGAAGCAGACGTTTAACTGCGTTCATATAATTCAATTAGATTCCGCAGTCGTGGTCCAAAGGCACTCTCCCGGCTTTCATCTCAGTAATGGCCTGCAGGCTGGAGCAGGACACAGGGGGTTAAAAAGTGGGGCTCAGAACCTGCCTTTTGGCCTGACTCACTCCATCACCCCAAGGGCCCTCCAAATGAGTTTCCTGGGGCAGTGCCTTTATCACTGGAGCACACTCACGGATGGACTTCCCGGCCCCGGGATTCTCACTCGGAGACCTCTCATGCGCTCTCGACCCAGCACGGGCCCCGTGCCCCTTCTCCCGCTCCATCCCCGCCTTGTCCAATGGGGCAGCACACCACGGACCCCGACTCCACACAGCCAGCCCCATTAATAAAGAGTTAAGAAAATTCATTAGGAAGTAGGTCTTTTATAGATTCCATTAAAGCCTTCTTCCTACTTCTGTCACTGAGAAAGGATAAAAATCCTTTTATCACTCTACAACTTGTTAATGTCCCACCCCGGGAGCGTTTCATCTGCAATAAACATCTTCACAAAATATGCATCCCCAGGGAGGAGCCGTTAATTTCCTCAAGGCCTCACACATGTAAGGGATTTTATTGCCTGCAGGTGCTTCATGATATTGTGTGAGCTTCTAATAAACGTCCAGTAAACCGCAGGTAGCGCCTCGGAGAGAGATGGGCCCATGCACCTGTCCACAAAGGGCCTCCACGCACCGCGCCTTCACCTTCTGTGGCCCAGCCCTGGCACGGTCAGCTCCTGAGCCCAGCCTGCCCCTCGGGACGCCCGCAGGTAAGGTCCAACTCTGAACTCCTTGACCCACTTACGGACCCTGAAGGATCCTGGGGGAGCCTGGGGCTCACTGCTGTTTGATGCCAGGAAAATCCCACCGTCAAACCTACACACCCTGGCAGGAATCGCAAACACGCCAAGGCGTTCTGGTTTTTTATTTCTTGGTTTTCTTTCCTTGTTCATTTTGGAGGCGTGACCCCTGTTATGGTCTGCTGCGGAAATGTGATTATGAACAAATTTAACTTCCTATTTTCTTAATAACTGAGATAGAGGGAAAAGGGAACTTGCCTCTCTTAAGTGAGTGTGTTTTGCATATCTTAAGGGCAGTTTTCGAGATGTTAAAAATAATTGCTAGGAAAATACGTCGTAGCTCAGTCACTAGAAAAAAGACGACTAAAGGAATAATTAGAAGTTTGCATTTAATAAAAATCTCTCTCTGGGATTCTTTCCAATTTTTATCACCAAGTGAATCGTCAGGTGCGTGCTGGGTGTCTGTGCAGATGTGCTTTGTGGCAGGGGGGAGTTGTGGATGCCACCAAGGGCCCATTCCTAGCCCCGTGAGCTGCAGAGCAAGACTTGGGGTCTGGGGGGTTCACAGAGGCCTGCGGGGAGGAGGATGGGAGACGGCCCAGGTCAGTAGCAGGAGACCAACAAGATGGCCTCTCCAGCTCTTTCCAGAATGAGGTGCCTCTGAGAGCCGGGTGTTGGGATGGGGTGATCCCTCCTAAATCAAAGACAGCTTATGCTATCTTTGGACAAAAGACAACTGGCATTTCTGGGACACCTTCACAGCGGTGGGTCTCTAAGGGACGTGACCTGAGGCCAGGATGGTGGCTGGAGCTTCTGTGAGCTCGGTTTTCATTCAAGTCTGTAAATGCTGAGTGTGGACGGTTCAGCCCACCAGGCCTCATCTGTAGGTGCCCATGTCGGCTTGGGGCACACACACCCCGCTCGCGGGGTGGCACAAAGGAACCCAAGCTAGGGAGAGAAGGGAGAGGGCCACTGGATTTAGCCCTCCTGTGCCCCTGTGGCTGGCAGAGACATCTCACTGGGGCCTCGGAAGCTTCTGGAAAGAGGAGATCCCCAAATGGATTTTGGAAGTGTTGCGGAGGAAGAGCTAACTCGGCCGTGTTTACAGACCCCTCCTTTCCTAGGTAGGAGCAGGCTGCAGCAGAATCCAACAGGCTCAGAATCCAGGACTCTAGGGTCGAGCAAAGCCAGACAGCTGAGCCCCTGGGTGTGCACATTCCTGGCCTGAGATGACTAACAATAAAACAGAGATAATGTCGCTGAAAATATGGGCCCCGCACAGCTCTCGCTGTGGGTCAGGGCCAGGCTCATTAGGACCTTATCTCTAGAATCTTCCTAACTACCCCTTTACAGATGAAAAAGCTGAGGTTTGAGAAGTGAGGTCATTTATCCAAGGTCATCCAATGGGGAAAGAGAAGTTCAGGGTGGCCTGGAACAGAGGCAGGGGGCTCTACCCGTACCACCACATGGCATCCTCTTACCAAACCTTGCAGAAAGGGCATCAGTCCGCATTTTCCAGAAGACAAGCTCAGGCTCACCCTGCAGTAGGAGGAACCTGGCACAGCTGTGACATCTGCCTCCTTCCCCAGACATGGCTGCCCGCACCCCCCGCTTCTCTGGGCTGGGAGGGGAGAGGGTCATTCGCCCTCTGCCCCTGCCCTGGCTGGCCCGCCTGGCAGGGCCCAACAGAAGCCACAGGAGGGCCAGGGAGCCTGGAGTGGCTTCAGAGGTATGAAGGACATGATGAAAGCCCTGGAGCACGGGACCCAGCCGAAAGGTTAGAGGAAGCAGAGTTATTCTGCCCGGGGAGCGGAAGGCCCAGGGGGCAGGAGTCCTGGCTAATGGAGAGCACCAGATGCTGACCAGCTGTTCCCTGTCTCCCTGGAGGCTCAGCAGGAACAAAAAGATTTCTCCTACAGCAGGAGGGAGTTAAGGAGGATAGGAAAAAGAACTGGCTGAAGGAGGGGTTTGGACTGAGATAGTAAGAGAACCATCCTCTGAGGAGCTGTAAGAAACAGGTTGGCAGCCCCTAACTGGGTTTTGGCCAGGAGGGCAATGCCAGCACCCGGGGCAGGGATGTGGTTTGGGTGCAGCGGGAATGGGGACACTCCCTTGAGAAGTGGTATTCTCCTCTGAGAACATGATCTGAATTAGTAGATCCCTGTGCCTGCCCAGCCCTGCCGTGTGGAGCAGGGGCTAAGCCACCCCAGTAGGGCCAGCAGTCTGAGGTCTCATAGGAGCCTCTGAGGCCATTTCCCCAAGCTCAATGCAGGAGGTGAGAGGTCTGGGAAACCCCACATCTCCGGGGCCTGGACCCAAGCTGGCTGGGGAGAGCCAGGCCCACAAGTCCCGACTTTGAACGGCCAAAGTTCCCAAAAATTTATCCTCTACCCCAGGTCATCAAAACACACGGTAGTAAACTGTAAAGCAAACATCAAGGAAACCTGCAAAGTCCCGATTCTCCCTGCGGTGAACAGTTTGGTGCTTAACAAGAAAATCCAACTGAAATTTCTGAGTGTTTTTGTCTGCGTGCTTGTTGGGTGACCCAGCCAGGCACGTCCTCCCTTGGAGCCTCAGCTTCCTTATCATAAAGCAGGGACCGGCTCAGTAATCTGGGAGGCTTGCAAAGACAGGAGAGGGTGAGACCCAGAAAGACTCGCTCAGGGCTGCCGGAGCTGGGCGGCTTCCTTCCCTCCTGCAGGCCTCAGATCTCACCCAACCCCCAATTCACAGATAGGAAAACTGGGGTTCAGAGAGGAGATGGGACGAGTTTGTCACACAGCTAGCTGATGGCCAGGCAAGCATTGTTCCCAGCCCAGCACAAAGCACTCTTTTCTTCATGGACTCAGTTTTGCTTTGAGGTGGGAAAACTGGGATGTCCCTGTTCAGCCTGCTGGACCCTGTTTGGAACCCAAGGCTAGGGTTGCCAGATGGCATACACCAGGGCAGGTGAATTTCATATGAACCAGGAATAAGTTTTTAGTATAAGTATGTCCCATGCAACCTTTGGGACATACTTATGCTTAAAAAAAAAAAAATTATTCCTGGTTGGGCGTGGTGGTTCATACCTGTGATCCCAGCACTTTGAGAGGCCTAGGCAGGGGGATTACCTGAGGTCAGGAGTTCGAGATCAGCCTGGTCAAAATGGTGAAACCCTGTCTCTACTAAAAATACAAAAATTAGTCAGGTGTGGTAGCGGGTGCCTGTAATCCCAGCTACTCGGGAGCTTGAGGCAGGAGAATTGCTTGACCCCAGGAGGTTGCTGTGAGCCATGATCATGCCACTGCACTCCAGCCTGGGCAACAGAGCAAGAGTCTGTCTCCAAAAAAAAAAAAAAAAACAAACAAACATATTATATATATTCCTGGTTCATTGGAAATTCAAATTTAATGGGATGTCCTGTATTTTTATTTGCTAAATCTGGCAATCCTACGCAGTGTCCCAGTAGGGCTGCCCCATCTCCTCACAGGGAGAACCTTCCAGGCCCCTTCTCTGGCAGCAGAAACCCAGGTTAGAGCCACTTGCTCTCAGCTTATGCAGACACCAAAAATCCGTTACCAGCCCTTTTCTGCTACAAGAGTAGAAAATGTGTTTCCTTGTGATTTTGTTTTCTTTCAATATATATTTTTGGAGGGGACTTGGAATGGGGGGTGGAATCCCTTAGAATGGGAATTATTTATCAGGGAAATACGGCATTTTCGAGTTTGCTGTTTGTAGAGAACGTAGCAGTGCCGGCAGGCAGCCTCGTGATCTCCGGTTTCTCTGGAAGAATACGGAAAACAGGAGTCATTATAAGGGAAACTTTTCCTTCTGATGCCTCTGGGGCCTCATCGCCTCAATTTAAAACTTGTAAGACACAGGTGAATTTTTAAGGGTTAAAGTGGACAGAATAAGATAAAATATCAGAGAAATTTCCTGGAGTAGCCTTGGGAATATGGTTCCCTGGATCAATGGTATTTCATTTTTCAAATTGTTGAGAGCTTTTTCAAAAAATTATTTCCAAGGAAGTCATTGTATTTGCACATAAAGAGATTCAGAAGGCTTTTCTTTTTCTTTCTTTCTCTCTTTGCAACTCTCTTTCTTAAGCTAAGACAAAGATGTTGAAGACGAATTGTTTGAATGAAGCAATCAGGAAAAAAATATTTGCAGAGTCAAGAAAGATCAACAGAACATGAAAAAAGGAAACATGAAAAATAAAATACACACTAGAAAAAGTCTTTATATGAGATTTTCTTTAAAATATTTTAACATTTGACCTTCTACCTCGGTGTGCTATTCTAATCCCATTTAGTTTCAAAATGCCATAACTATCAGTGTGCAGATGGATGGGCTTTTTAAAAAATGCCGTAACTAGAACTTCAAATCTTGACCACTTTTTCTTACTTTTCCCAAATATTTGATGGCTTTTTTTTTTTTTTTTTTTTAAACATCTTCCCGGACCAGGAGAAACATTCTTCTGTGGGAAAATCATGTATTCAATATATTTGCTTTCCAGAATGGTCTTCAAAGGCATTCAGGCTTTGCCTTTAAAATGGTAAAATTTTGCAAAGGCCAAATCTGAGGCCCAGTTGACACCAGAATCAGAGCGGGAGGAGTTTCCCAGTGCTCACCAAGGCTGAACTGATGAGGGGAGTCCCAATCACTGAGTGCAGAGTAGTGCTGGAACCAAAGGGATGAAAAACCTAAACCTGCACCCCATTTCTATCTCGCGTTCATCCTCTTCCCTCTCTGAACACAGACCCAAGATCGAAATCTCAGCCCGCAGCCTGGAGCCAGGAGGTGCGGCTTGATGTCAATTACTGCCCAATTCCAGAGGTGCCATCAAAGAGTTAGCTAGGATGTCCCAGCGCGCAAATGTGGGATAATTGGGAAACAAATTCTACAAACATCTTGAAAGGGGCAAAAGACCTTTGATCTTTCTATAGAAAGGAGACATTACAATGCCGTCTGCCTTCTGGGGCCTGCACACATCTCATACCAGGTTAGAGGATGGCATCTTTCTGAGAAATCAGCCGACACCTAATTCCATCGTACCTTAATTATCCTAACTGGTTTCACATGGTCAAGGCATTTTTTCCAAAGATTAGAGGAGAAAGAGGGACTGACAAAATAATTAAATATGCAATTTGCCAAGCGTGGGCAATATGGCTTTGAAATCACCTTTTCAGGAAGTTTTACCGCTTGTTCATTGACATGTATATTGCAGGCTTCAGACTTTTATTTAAGCTCTTTTGATTGCCTTAATGGATTAATACCCGAGTACCATCAGCGAGGGGCAGAGACCCAAGGCTGTTTCTAATTTCGAAAATATTGCGCCCGCTTCCTCTGGTGTTATGACAAAAACAAGTATGTAGAATTTGCCTTCTCACTTAAAGGAACAGGCCGATTTCCTCTAATAATTGCCTGATGTAAGAATCTGCGTCTCACACATGGTGTTGTCTGTTCTAGGAACATTTCATGGTGCCAGGGGCCAGGGTGCTGGCAGCTTGGGCAGGCCCGGGCGGGCCTGCGTTGCGTGCATTTGGGGCATGGATCGGTTTGGGGTAGCATCCCCGAAATGGGTCTGTGTCTCTGGACAGTAGAACGCCTCTCAACCTAAGGCCCTGGCAGCGTCCGGGGTGTGGAGGAATGTGTTACTGCCTTGCTTATAACTCCTGCCGTGGGTAAGAAACATTCCATAGGGTTGGGGGTTGGGGGAGGCTGCTAGTCGGGATTTGGAGAAGAATCTCCGCTCAGACCCTGCTGTATCCAACAGAGGCATCCGGAAACCGGAGTTTGCTGTGGGGGAATAGTTTGCATTCTGTCCTCATGATGGGGAGAATTGGAGTTCAGAGGAAGGGATCCGTGGAAGTGATTGCACCATTCCCATCTTTTGGTTAAGCTGGGTGTCTGGTGGCGGGGGGCAGTGTCTGGGGCCTCCTCTGAGGACATGAAGGGGAGGTCTCCTGGGGCAGGTTTTGTCTGGTCTAGGACATCTAGACATCTAGGTACCCAGTGGGCAGAAGAGGGATCATCTCAAACATGCAGAGTGCCTGGGTACTGAGAGGGGTTAAAGGATAGTTGGAAAAGACAGAGAACAGAAAAAGACAGGGAGAGCCAAAAAGAAATACTAAGAGGAAGAAGAGAGACCCACGGAGATACTGTCATACCCTCTCACGTGCGCACACACGCGCAGAGACAGTGAGATTGCCTTTGAAGGCAGAGGGACAAGGCCTAATTGTCCCAGGGATGTGCACGGCGGCCTGGCTTTTCATCATTCCCAGAACTCTCTAATGAGGCTGTGGCCTCTCCTGGTGGGAACTTTGCTCCCTGAAATCAGCTTTGATAAAGGGGACAGACCGTCTGGGACGAGTTACTGGGTTTTCCTCTTTTCCTTTGAACCCTGTGGTGGTTTTGCTCTTTCATGGCAAACAGAGCAGGGACAAAGTCGCTGGCCTCTGTCCTCGGGCAATAGAGACCAGCCCACCTCCTGGGGCACCCAGGCGTGTGGGGCAGGGAGATGGCAGGCCCTGTGGGGGTGTCACTGGCCCAGGTCACTTTGCAGGGCTTGATATCCAGACCCACTTGCCCGTCACGATTGTTCTGCTGGTCCCCCAGTAGAAGCAAAACCTTGAATGCATCTCAGCAAATCGCAGCAGCCAGGAGGTCCCTCGCATCATGAGGGCACACAGGCTAACAACACTGATGACAAGAACACTGGCTGCTCACGGAGCACTCACTCCGCGTCAGGCTCTGAGCCAAGTATTTGACAAATGCTATTCATGGCAGTAGCAGCCCTGTGCCCCTTTTCCAGAAGAGCAAACAGAGGCTCCGAGAACTAGGTGGCTCACTGATCAGAGGCAAAATCGGACCGAATCTGTCATCCCTGGGCCCTGCTCTCAACCACTGGCCTTCCTGAAGGTGGGGGAGCCTTAGCTGGCCCCCTGGACATGGCAGTTTTCTAGCTGCACCATCCCTCTCTCGTTTCTCTTACCCATGACTGGGCTCTCTGTGAGGTCACAGCCATAAAGTCAGCAAGGCCTCAGCTCTAAGGTCTCTGGACACCTATCCCTACCTCACTCTCTATGCCCTGGAAGGATGCAGTGTCCAGAGGTCTCCCTGAGCCCCGGCTGTCCTGGGCAGCAGCTCTGGAAGGAATGGGGGGTGTGGAGTTAGCCACTCTGGGGCAGGAGGAGAGGAAAGGGCCTGGCTACCCCAGGAGGACCACCAGCCCGGTGGGACTTGTCTTTGATCTCCGATGATTAAAACAAACACCCTCTCCGGTGCTTCCTCCTTGTCCGAGGAGGCCTTCCTTCCTGGCCGGCAGACATTGAACGGCCAGGGAGAGGCTGCCTGGTCCCAGTCCCAGGGTCCTCATTTGGAAGTTGTCCTAGGGTCAAAGGCAGCTCCAGAATGCCCCGGCTCTGGCCTGCTCTCCATCTTCTGACCCCAGTTGCCTTCCTCCTGCCGTGATCCCAGCCTCCAGCTCCTGAGGCTTTTCTGCCAGGCTCCTCAGCCTCCTCCCGGCTACAGCTCGCTCATCCCCAGCTGCAGCCACCCGGGTCAGGCGGCAGGGGTGGCCAGGGTCCCATTCACTGCAGGCCATTCACCTCTTATCTCTAAAGTTGGCAGGCTATGAGGAATGACCTGAAATTTGTTCTAACTTGTAAAAGAGAGAACATTGGCTGTAAGCTTTAATTTACTCCGAGTGCCCGCTGCGTGTCAGGCCCTGGGTTGGTGCTGGGGAGACAGCAAGAGTGAAAGAGGTGTGGTCCTGCATTCATGGAAGGGTTTCTGGTTCTTGTTTTTTTTTTTTTTTTTCTTTTGAGAGAGCGTCTCACTCTCTCACCCAGGCTGGAGTATAGTGTCGTGGTTTTGGCTCACTGCAACCTCTGCCTCCCGTGTTCAAGCGATTCTCCTGCCTCAGCCTCCTGAGTAGCTGGGACTACAGGCACATGCCACCACACCTGGCTAATTTTTGCGTTTTTAGTAGAGATGGGGTTTCACCATATTGGTCAGGCTGGTCTCGAACTCCTGAGCTCCAGTGATTCACCCACCTCGGCCTCCTAAAGTGCTGGGATTACTGGCATAACCCACCTCACCCAGCCGGTTTCTGGTTCTTATGAGCAATGGATTCTGTGCCACACACTTCACAGCTGTTTGGGACACCACAGAGCACAGCTAGGCCATGAAGAGAGAGGGCTGGGGAGAGACCTTCTTGTTCAGTGTCTGGGGACAGCCCTCCTGTTTCTCTCTAGGGATGGCGTGTGGTGGGGAAGCCACCCTGGAGCAGCTTCATGCTCCCGTCCGAAAGAGCTCCTTCAGCAGCTCGCGGCTGAGCCACACGACGCCTCTGCTGGGAGGCAGGAAGTTGCATATTCCTGCCCGTGTACCCGGCAGAACGTTCTTTCCACGTCCTACCATTGACAAATCCTCTTGGACTTCCTGGTCACTTCATGATGACAGCGTGCAGAGGGAGAGCAGGTAATCAAAGGACGGCCATGATGAGGGCGAGGGGTTTTTCCTCCCAAATTTGTATGATGAAAATATCCAAACATACAGAAGAGTTGAAGGAAGAACAAGGAACACTCTCAGAGCCCATCCTAGAGCTGACGCGTAACCATGTCACACGCTTGCTTTATCTGTCTGTGTAGATACATCTCTAGAGCTATGTATTTTTTGCCGTAAGTTTGAAAGTAAGTTCCAGGCATCATCCCTAAATACTTTCGTGTGCTTTTCTAAGAATGAGGATATTCTCTAACCACAACACCATTATCATCTGAAGAAAATTAACAGTGATTTGAGACGGAGGGATTTTGGGAATTAGTCAAGGCGTAAGCGTTGAGACCTTCGTTAGATGAGGAGGTACTGTGTTGTATTACTGTTCGCAAAGCTTCCTTTGAGCTTGGTCCCCCTGCGGGGCAGCTGGAGAAAGATGGAATGACACTCCCATTCCAAAGTTTGAGATCTCCAGGGGAGCAGAGCACCACGCTAGTAGGGTAGGTGCTTGGGATGTGCACAGGGAACACGTCCCAGGCCAGAGGCCACCCCTGGGTCCCCCTTCATGCTCCTGGGCATAGAGGCTCCTGTTTTCCCAGTTCTGCCCCGTCCAGAGGAGAGGGGGGTGGAGCTTGGCAGGCAGATTGGATCTGGGCTGAATCTCTGTGAGACCTGGGCTGATTGGGCTTCCCCGCGACCAAGTCCTCAGCTCCCCTTGGGGTCACGGAAGCTAAGCTTGGGTGGGGAGATGTGGGGCCTTCCCAGGTGCTGAGCAACCCTTTTCTTTACCCTGTGGAGGGGACCTGGAGACAGGGACAGTGGAGGGGTTCAAGTGCCAAAATCTCCCCATCTCGACCCAGGGCTGAGATGGGTCCCTGGATCTTCCAGCTATGATGTCCCCAAGAATCTGCAAAATCTCCCACGACTCCTTCTGATGGGGGGTGTGCGTTGGGGCGTGCCCAGGTGAGAGCTGCAGATGGAGGCTGTGGGGTGACTGCATTTATCTGTGGGTGTGACCGAGCATCTCACAGGTCCAGGAGGGTGGTCCTCATATGTGCACAGAGACTGGAGGGGCGAGGGTGCATTTTGGTGCATGTATGGATGTCCCAAGAGCAGATCTGGGGTGTTCTCATGTCAGAATGTGGGTCTGTGCTCTGTGTAATGTTAGAAATAGGGCTTTGGGAACAGAATATTATTCAGCCTTAAAAAGGGGCAAAATTACAACACATGCTACAACACGGTGAACCTGGAGGATGTTATACTAAGTGAAATAAGCCAGTTACAAAAAGACAATGCAGAATGAATCCAGTTATATGAGGCATCTAGAGAAGTCAAGTTTATAGAGGCAGAAAATGGAATGGAGATTGCCAAGGGCTGGGGGACGGAGGAGTGGGGCGTTCTTACGTAGTGGGGACAGAGTTTCGGTTTTGCAAGATGAAATGAGTTCTAGAAATGAATGGGGTGATGATTGTACAACAACGTGAAGGTACTTAATGCTACCAAACTGTACTTTTAGATATGGTTAAGTGGGTGAATGTTGCATGATCTGTATTTTGCCACAGTGAGAAAAAAAAAGTGGGGTTCTGGTGGCCGTGACTGGCTGCCTTGTAAGGTTTCCTGTTTCTGAATGATGGTGACACCCACCCCGTCCCCATGTGACCTGCTTGCTCACTACTGTTTACCAGGAAAGCCAGAATATTGTCACTAGGAGAGAATGTTGTCAATCAGAGGAAATCTAACAGAGCCAGGGAGATGCTTTGGGGATCATACAAGTCTCAAACCCAAGACCCGTTTCTGGAAATGCTACCGTGTTCCAAGCAGATCTCACCAGCTAGGAATGGAAACAGAGGCATTCTGTCAAAGGAAAGAACTTGATGAGAAATTATTTTATGAAAGCCAAATTTTGGCATGTTTTCACATTTTAGTTTGTCAGAACACAGAGTAATAAATGTTAAACATGTTGTTTATTATTATGCTCGGTTGATTTCTTTATGATGACAATTTTATTTTTCAAGTTTGTCCTCGAGTGACTGCAGGATTCCAGAACAGAACGGGAGAGATGTTTTACAGTTTATCCCAGCAGGACCACTGGGAGAACAGTTTTTATTTAAAAAAAAAAAAAAAAAAAAGAGAGAGAAAAGGGGGTGGCCCAGGCCCCTGTTCCCCTCCCACGGTTGGGTCAGGGGTTGGAGTGGCGGCCAGGGCTGTCGTCAGGTCCCTGGTTATGAAGCTCTGCCTGCTGGCTGTGGTGGGATCTGTTACGGCTGCAGGGCCTGGCTGGTGGGAGGGAACTTGGCTCTGCTTGCTGCAGTCTTTGTTTCTGAAGCTGATGCCCGGTGGCTGGTTTGTGGTTGTGAACATGGGGAGCTCGAACGAGGAGTGGGAGAGGCCACCTATTTGGTGTGGAAGGCTCAGGAAGCCTGCCACAAAAGCCGCCCCACGGGAGAGGGGGACCAGTTGCGTGAGTTTCCTCTTCTAACTTCTCGTCTCCACCATCAGTGGATGGAGCAGGGGTTGGGTTCTAAACCCTGGTGGGCTGACGGTGGCGGAACCCAGGACAGCACCAGGAGCCTTCACACATTTGGCCCTCCTGTCACCTCC
The DNA here is from genome assembly GCF_000001405.40 of Homo sapiens. NCBI lineage: Eukaryota > Metazoa > Chordata > Mammalia > Primates > Hominidae > Homo > Homo sapiens. Next base: position 126,522,866 of record NC_000009.12, on the reverse strand, counting down.
AGGCTGCGCAGGGCACCTTGCCTCTGAAAATCTGTTTCCTCAGCTGTAAAATGGGTCTCTGTGCCCACCCCTCGGGCCATTTCCTGGGAGCTCAGACTGAGCTGGGTGCTTCGGAGACAATGCTCCACCCAACTCTGTGTCCAATTCTGAATCCCATTTTCGGATGAGGAACTGGACCAGAGATGGAGAGCCACCTTAGCCAAAGTGCCCACAGCAGTGGGGGCAGCGAGGCTGGGTTAGGGTCCTGACTCTGTCTGCTTAGGATCTGCATAGGAAATCACCCAGCCTGGTTCAGGTGGGAGCTCTGTCCTGATGAAGTGATCTGGCTCCTGGGCTGAGGAGGAAGAGCATGCTTCCGGGGGCACAGGGAGCCTAGCGCTGAGCAGAGCTCAAGGGTCCTGGTCCAATGTGGACAACTGTGCTTGAGTCCCATAGGGTCTCTCCGTGGGTGGGATGCGGGGTCTCCGGTTCCTGGGTCTGTGCTCTTGGCTGAAGTTTGGGCAGCTGGTGAAGGGGCTGTCTGCGCCCCACACTGTGGATGTGCCAAGTGGGGAACCCTAACATCTGTTTACATGGGAGGGTCCTCTTTGGCGGGTTCTGAGCTGGATGCAGGGGGATCAGGTGCAAGTAGCCCTCCCAGGGAGAGAGGCGTGGGCCTGCTGGTGTCCAGAGGAACTTCCATGCAGATTCGGAGAAGGCACAGAGAGGCTGTGGCACTGGTCTAGTGTCACACAGCATGTTGGCAGAGGGGCCACCTGCCCAGCCCTTCCTGAGGCCTTTAGGGGGTCATCAGGAGTCTGAGGCTGGGGCTGGGGGCAGCATCTCGCAGCCCAGTTAATATTCCCACCTCTTTGGCATCCTGTGGCACACAGAGGGGCTTGGAGGAAGGACATGTGCCCCCAGTGCCTCCCAGCCAAGGCCTCATTCATCACATTACTGTTTTCACACCCAGGCCTGGGCCAGTGGGCTTGAACACCGATACTGGCCAGGGCAAGCTGACGGAGAGGCTGGTGAGGGGTTAGTTCAGGCTCCTTCCCCCAAGATTCGGCCCAGAAACACATCCAGCCAATCGTCCAGGCCCCCTCGGCCCCCGATCACCACCCCTGCTGTAGGAAACACTTTTAAGAAAGTCGAGGTGGGGGAATCCAAGATCCCTGGCACTGGCTGGGGGTGAGGTGGCCCCGCCACTGGCTGCTCGCAGAGGGGGACTCAGCTCCTGCCCCTCTGACCCGAAGCTTCGGAGGCCTCCAGCACGGCAGCCGGAGCCTCCATAAAAGAATAAGGATCACATTCCTCACTTTTTAAGTTGCACAAAAGCTGTATGCATAATTAATGTGCAATAAATGTGAGCGGCTGGAAATTAACTACATGGAAAAAAAAGAATATACTTAATTGTGAAAATTAATTTTGCCTTTATTCTTTTTCTTTTTTTCTCTCTCCCCCTTCCCCGGCCCTTTTACAACTTGTTATATTCTCAGAGCCCTTCAGATCTGGCTGGGGATCATCTCCTGGCCGACTTGCCTGCTGACCTCTTGCCAGGGAGCCGAGGACAAGATTAGTTTTAAGCCACAGCCTAGTCAGTTGCTTTCAACAGAGGGTCTGAGAGCGCACACGAGCCGGGTCGGGTGCTACCGTGTCGCACAGAGGAATGTTGTAATCATCCCCCAAGACCTTCCGTGGGGGACCTCTGTACCTGATTTTAAAGGTTTGGTAGACGCAATTTTGAGAGCTGCCTTTGGAAACTCAGAGAGAAAGCTCATTGTGGTGCTTAAAATTCCTAAACATGAATTTGGTGGTTAAAAAGCCAAAGGCCTAAATACATTTACACATATTCAAACAAAGTATTTTAAGCAATAACCTCTACGGCTCCCTTTCTGGTTTTTCTTCTACTTTTTTTTTTTTTTTTTTTTTTTACGAGGACAAGACCTTTTCTAAGTAGCGAAATTTCCCAGTGGAAACACTTCTTATCATGTTCTCACTGTCACATCTCTTGATAAAACCTGAGGATTCAACTTCAAGAAACAACCCACCCACTTGAAATAGTTTTTTAAAAAAGAATTAATTCTTGAGAATAAAACACTCTATTAACAGATGCTTTAAAATATGATTTATTGCACACACATAACAATAACCTAAAATATCACATCGCTGGAAATAAATCACTGCCGATCCCATCTCCTTTCCATGCCAGCTGTTTTCCTGTTTCTGCCGTCTTTCCCAGCCCTGGTCTGTATCGGCAGATAATTTTAAAAGAGGCAGAAGAATCAAGAGATGGAACCCAGAACTGTCTCGGCTGTTTGGGTGAGAATTGTGTTTTCAGAATATCCTAGTTTGTCTCGGGCAGTTTGTAAACTTCGCAAACCGCAAGTAATGCGGGGTGTCTCCGAGTCACTCTGTTACCAGATAAATTTACAGCCAGAAAAGAGACTATCAGTACGGTCGTTTGTGCTCCCTGCCACCTCTGCCCAAGTACCTGGTCTTGTTTAAGATGAACTGCTGTCATCCGAGAGCTGCCCGGTCACTGGGGACCACAGGCAAGCCGTAAATAACCAGATCTGTGGCTACGGATCATCTTTGGCTAGCTGTCTGGCCTGGCCGGTTCCACCATAGCCCAGCTGGCAAATGTGGCTGCCTTCGTGAACAGGTGACCCACAGCAGGCTGTGGATGGGCAGTGGGCTGGGGCGGCCGGCAGGCTTCTGCAACAGCCTTTCAGGACCAACTTGGTTCCAGCCCGAACCCCCGCACCCACCGCCTGGCCAGGCCCCGGCCACAGACCTTTGCATTCAACAGCTTCTGACACTAAAAATCAAGGTCTGTCGGCCGTTGTCATAGGAATGCAATATCCTCTGGAGGTTCCCTTATTAAAAACCAAGTCTTGCCGCCGCCGCCCAGGATAGATTTCTATTTCATTTGTATTGATCACCGGGAAATGTCTCATTCTCTGGTTGACAAATATGGCCAGCAGGGAGTGAGTTAGCGTTTGGTGGAAAACATTTGTTTCCACAGTGATTTGGGGCACCCTGAGCTTGAGCTGTGGTTATATTCACAAGGTTGTGGTGAGTAATCTCCAGCTATGATATAGAATTACAAATGTGAGAAGTGCAGTTTTGCAGAACAATAGGGCCTGGCAGGGGCTTCAGAAATCATCTAATGCGGCCGCTCCATTTCACACTCGGGGTTAAGGTAAGGAACTTGACTTATCCAGGGTCACAGAGGCAGTGGCAATTCTAGGAATTTATCCTACAGATATTACCCACTGGTGTGTGCAAATGATACTCATCACGGCACTGTTTATAAGGGCAGAAGATGTGAAACCACCTAACCAAACGCCCATCATAGGAGATTCGGTAAACAATTATGGTATATAGGCAGAATCATGTGAAATTGCCTTTTTTTTTTTTTTTTTTGCTGGTCAAAAATGGTTGAATATGAACAATCCCATAGGGGCCAATGTACTCCTTCTATTGAATGGAATGACGTGTAGTCTTCAAAGGAACGAGATGGAGAACTCTCCCAAGATATATTATTAAATGAAAAAAGCAAGCTGCAGAACAGCGTACCTGTTATGCTCCATATCTGTTTTTACAAAAAGAGACATAGCCACATTGGCTGGTATAAGCCTCCACTCGAGAAGGAGAGACAAATTGTCCGCGGTGGCTGCCGGGGGAGGGAACAGGCAGCTGAGGTGGGGATGATGTGAGGCTGATTTTTCACTTTATAGCTTCTGTACCTTCCAAATGTTACACTAGGTGTGTGCATGGCAGACAAGACATCAATTCCAATGTAAAACAAAGATCCGGATTTCAGTAGAGCCCTCATTACTAGGGGTTAAATGCTCAGCCAACTGTGTGGTCTGACAATTCTGGGCTTCAAGTCATTTCATCTCACGGAGCCTCAGTTTTCTCATCTGTCAAGTGGGGGTAATGATAGTGTTGACTTTTTAGAGTGGAAGTGACAGTTTCCTTGAGATACGAATGAGAAAGGCTTGGCATTGTGGCACAAAGTAAATGTTACATGTTATTATAAACGACACATAAATCATAACACACACATGCGCGCACATCAATCCTTACATTGACCCGTTTAGCATTTTGGTTTTCTTGGAAGAGTCTTAAAAATAGCTGTGTGTGTTCGGAGACAGGAGTCGAGATTGCTGAGTGTTACGTTTGCTGGGGGGACCGTGTTGCTGTTGCAGTGATGGCTGCCCACGCTGAATTTATAGGGTGGGTCTGATGATTTTTTTCTGAATCAGTAAATGGTCTTCCGCATGTCTATGTACACAGGCAGGTGAACTAATAGAATTAAGCTTATTGGTTTAATTCCTCTGGGCCCCCTTGGCGAGTGGAGAGCAGCTGGATGAATATTTTAATTAAGCTCTGACACCCAGAAGTCAAAGTCCTGGAGTGGTCCCATTGGGCAAGGTCTCTCGGTTTGGGGTTTAATCAAGTTCGGCTTCAGAGTTCAAATTTCTTCCTGGACAGAAATATGTCATTAGGCGTCCAAGATTTCCACTGGAAAAAAAAAATACAACTTGACTATATTTTCTCTAGAGAATGACACCATGATTCGATTAGCCCTTTTTCCTTGACATTTTGCCCACTTTATTAACTTCTGCTTTGCTTTTAAGCAGGCAACTACTGTTTTACTTCCCTGAAGAAGCTCATAATATTATAATTCAAGTGTCAGGACAGATTAGGTTAAACGAACTGTGTAATTCCCGAAGGAAAACAAACTTCAAAACGGACGAGGTTTGCCTTGTCACATGTCATGGATTGCATTAGCGGGGAACGACGAGTCTATCACCTAATGTGCTAATGTTGGCTCAAGTGTTCCCCACTCTGCAAGGTGAGAAATGACTTAGCTAACAAAACATTTAGTTTTCCCCTCTTTGCATTCTTTCTTTATGAGATTCCGAATGTGACATTTTCACCAAAAAATCTCTGTGCTTATTTGTGAAAAATGTATATTAAAACCAAAACCCATCAAATGGAAAGAAATCACAGATGGTTTTATTCACAAGCAGTAGAATTAATGGCCTCTCTTCTCTTTATAAATATTAGAAGCAGATGAGTTCATTACGCTCTCACCCTAATAAAGAAAACCTGCTTGATTTTGACAAGACATCGACTTATCTAACACATCTACTAAATAACAAAGCCACTTCCCGCCCGTTAAAACACGGCTCGAAAACACCAGCTTTACCTGGACTGATTCTAAATTAATGAAAAACACTCCAAAGACAGCAAACGAAGTGGGGCGCGGGGGATGGAATTCAAGAGATTTTTGAAAATGTGACTGATTTTGAAAAGAGAGGGTTTTGAAATGTTTACTTTGTGGTGGTTTGAAATTTTTACATCTTTCAACAAAGCGGGCAGAGAAGTGAAACCATCTGAAAGGGCTTTTGAAAAGAGCGATTCAGCACAAGTTGGATGAAGCTGCGGTTCCTTTATCTCGGTGAATCTGTGGACATCGTGCAGGGGAGGCCCGGCCCCTGGTCCCACTCCTCCCCAGTGCGGCAGCCTCAGCCACGGCTTCAAAGCGCCGTTGGCTGAGCATCCTGGGAGGGAATCGGACACCTCGCCCTGGGGCCGCGCGGCTCGCTAGTTCCTATTCCTGAGCCCTGCAGCCTGATGTAGTCATCTCCTTGGTCATGGGAGTCCGGGGTATTTCTGTTTGTGCCGCTTTCAGCACTTGTTAAGAAAGAAGTGGGAGGCTTATGTGAAACTGCGAAAGATGGTTTTTCTCTCCAGAGCCACGGCATTTGGGGCCTCAGCTTATCCATCATTGCAAAGATTGTTCAGAGAAATGGAATGAGTCAGCCCTGCCCAGAGGGGAAGGAAAATGAAGCATGCATGGAGCCTCTGTCCCGGGCCCTTCTTGGCTGGGCTCCCGTGGAAGGGCGTGGGCTCCTTAGCCTGAAAGCTGCCCAGGGAATGTCTTTGGGGAGGGAAGCCACACAGTTTAAGAAAAATGGCACATCAGCATGGCTTTGGTCCCTTATTCTACCATTCAGGACTCTCAACCAGGATTCCATCCCACACTTTCCCACCCTAAGACCAATAGCGGGCTTACACCGCAGAGATCAGACACCTGCACTCAAGTGTCATGGTTGGGGGCGGGAGTGGTGGTCAAAGCTGAAACACTATTTCTAAGCAGCTCCTTAAAAGTGAACCAAGCCCGGTACCTCCACATCGTCCCAGGAACCTGCATCTTTCTTGCTGTTCTGTGCTCTCTTCCTCCAAGTGAGGGTCTATGAATTCTCTGACAGGCCCAGGTGGAGTTCCGAACCGTGAGATCATCCGAGTCCTTCCTTCATGCCTCAGTTTCACATGTAGCCAACTTCTGGGGAGATTTTTGAGGAAGCAACAAGTTTGAGCCAAGACCCCATGATTGAAATTCTCCAATAAATCCCTCCCAGCTGAGCCCTAAGGGGCTGTAGTTGCTTCAGCAAGCAGGGACGGCAGGAAGGGGGGCGGTGGGGGGGGGGTGTTGCAGACTTCAAACAGGACCTGGAGTGGTGGGGGTGGCGGGGGATTGTGCCGGGAGAGGAGGCCACCGAGCCAGGGCTCAGAGTTAATTAGCCTGCATGGTGGCACCTCTACGCACAGCTCTCTCCCTAGGCAAGCATCAGCAACTCGGCTTCTTTGCCGACATGGCCTCTCATTTAGAGCCAAGTCTGGAAGAGTAGGAGACTCGAACCACATTTAGAATGAACGTTTGCGGCCCTTGGAAGGCCCCAGCCTGGGGGTACTCTGCCCTCCCACCAGGAGTTCTGAGGGAGCTGAGGTTGTGTTCAAAAGCCTTGCAAACATCAAGTGTGGATTGTCTTCAGGCACTAGGCTGTGTCTATCACCTGAGTGACGGGACCATCATCTCCCCCATTTTACAGATGAGAAAAGTGAGGCTCAGAGAGGCAAAGCCACCGGCTCAAGGGCATATTGTGGTGGTAAGGGGAATCCAGGTTGGAATTCATATCCTCTAGTTTACGCCACTGGCTGGAGATGGGGACCTAGCCAGAGACCAGCAGAGGACAGTTGGCCCTGAGTACACGGCCCTCACCTCAGCCCTGACCCCTCGCACTGTCCGTGACATTCAATCAGGTGCCGGTGATGTCTGGCCCAGCAGTTGGGGCAGGGCCTCCCCAGCTTCCCGGCGACAAATGGTTCTCATTTGAAAGGGAGGTTATAAAAACACATGCCCAAAGACACTGTCAGGGAACTGAGGATTAATCTCATTTCAGTCAAAGACCATTTCAAATATTTTTCTGGGGGGGAGTGGGGGCGGCACAGCCCTGGCTGGGAAGGAAGTCAGAGTTGCTGGCGTGCCCCTCAGGTCGGCGGGTTTGAAGGCGGCTGAGATGCCGGCTGGTGGGGGCCAGGGTCACTCCGTACCTAGTAAGGCAGAGTCTGACAGAGGAACGAGGCTTTGCTCCACGAGTCCCCAAGGCTGGCTTTGCGGGAGGCCTACACTCTGGCGTGGACGCTCACACTGCGTTCAATATGTTGGCTGTGTTTCAGGGCAGTTTAAGTTGCCAAAAGGAAGGGAAGGATTAGGCGCCTGGGACATTTTCATTTTCTGGATGGTGTCAAAAAGCGGAGTGTTTTTGCCGTGTGGCTCAACCAGAGCGGGCCCTGAAGGGCAGCCAGGGGAGGGGCACTGCCGCCAAGCCTCCTGCCCAGACACCTGTGGCTGCACAGCGAGTCCCCCACTCCAGCCAGGGACTGGAGGGAGCACCCACTCTAAGCCACCAGCTCCCAAACTGGGGGGCCTGGGTCCCTAAATGGCAACCCGTGGGATTTGGGGCACAGGCTTGGGACTGCAGGTGGGGCCTCTGCTGAGCGGGCATAACCCCAATAGCTCCATTTACTGAGAGCTCAGGGGGTGCCCAGCAGCGTGGGCCAAGCTCATCGTATTATACAATGGCCCTCTGAGGGGAGGACTTTTCTTATCCCCATTTTACAGCGGGGGAAGTTGAGGTTCAGGGAGGGGCGCAGGTGGCTTGCCTAAGGACTGGAAGCTGGGCAATAGTGATACATCTTTAACTTTCTCAGAAACCTTTTAAAGGAGGGACTGTTGACCTTCCCATTTTCCGGATGTGAATGTTGAGGCTCCTGATGTGACTGCCCAAGCCCACCCTTTAGGGGCGGGTGGAGCTGGGGGGCTTGCTCGGGCCTCTCCAGTCGACCCGCATTCCCGACCAAAGCGAGCGCGGCTGGGCCCGGCCCCGCAGTCTATGGGAGCCACCCCAGGTCCACGAGGTCCGGACGCCGCAGGGGGTGGGAGGCCGGCGGGGCGCTGCGGGGACTTGCGCGGCGGGCTAGCCTCCTTCCAAACACACGTCCGTAGCGCGGTGCCGAGGGATTGATTTGCCTCCAGTCCGCGGAGCTCCGCCTCGTGTGTGCTGGGGTCCGAGCATCCCCAGTGCGCGGCCGGGGCGTTCCCGCAGGGCCCAGCGAGGGCCGGGGAGCCGGGCGCCCCCGCGCGGCCGGACCGCGTGAGAACCCGTGTTTGGGGGCGGAGCGCAGGGCGGGGTCCCGGGCGGGCGGCACGGTGGGAGGGGCCTCGTGCAGGCGGCTCTGGAGGTCCACCCTGCTGGGCAACCTAGAAAGGGAGGTGCCAGAACCCTTGGGTTCCAGGGGAGAAAGCAGGCCAGAGACCTCCTGGGGCCCTCTCGCTGGGCAATGGAACTCCAAGGGGCTTTGCCTCGCTGCGAAGTGCCTCTTCCTGGGCCTGCGGGAGGTGAGGTGGTCTTGGCCCCTGCCAGGACCCACCCTAGGGAGCGCCCCCCAGTCAGTGAGGTGGGGTGCTGGAGACCTGGCCCGACATCATCCCTCTTCCTCAGCGGGAAGCTCTCTTGAGCTAACTGGGGCTGGTGCTTAGCCTGGAAGCAGATTGCTAGCGTGCTCCTGAGTCTCTGCACAAGGCCAGGGGACAGGTAGGGGGAGGAAGCTCACACGACCTCAGACCCTCAGTCTCCCTTCCTGCCCGTGGAGGGGCCTGGTGGGGCTTCCCCGTGGCCAAACGCCCTCTGCTGCATCCCCCACCCCTGCCGTGTGCCTTGCCCCAGGCCAAGTATGTAATGGGTTTGCTCAATTCCTCCTCCAGAAAGCCCTGGTTGCTGCTGGCTGCTGTTATCCCAGAGCCCCAGGGGCACATCAAGGGAGGTGACTAAGCTGGGCCCTGAACTGGGCCTGTCTCACCTCATGAGCCATCCTCACCTTAACCCCACAGGACAGGACACCTCCTTCCAGGTGTGCATAATCCAGGCCGCGCCAGGAGCGGCACTGGAGTTGGACATGCCTGGGCTGGAGGCCCTGAGGTGCCCCTGTCTGACTGTGTGCTTCTGAGCACTCTCTGGAGCCTCAGTTTCCTTATCTGCTAAATGGGCCATCCCTAACTTCAGGACTGTGGTGATGACACACAGAAGGCTACCCCTGCTGTCCTCTGTAAACGTTTGCTGATGCCCAGTGAACAATGAAATACCTCCCCCCTTGACATTTGCTTACCTTCCCTGGGAAACACATCCTAGTCCAGCCCCCTCTAGAGCTCAGGGCATACCTTGCCTCCTCCAGAAACCCTTCCTCACTCATCTTCCAGGGAAGGTACTGGCAGGAAAAAAAGCCAAACATTTTTTTTAAAGGGTTTGGGAGGATAGGCAAAGATTTTTAAACGAGACACAGAAAGAACGATCATAGAGGAAAAGGTTGAAAATTGGACTATGTTTTTTTTTTTTTTTTTTTTTTTTTTTGAGACGGAGTTTCGCTCTTGTTGCCCAGGCTGGAGTGCAATGTCGCGATCTTGGCTTACCACAACCTCTGCCTCCCAGGTTCAAGCGATTCTCCTGCCTTAGCCTCCCGAGTAGCGGGGATTACAGGCATGGCCACCACGCCCAGCTAATTTTGTATTTTTAGTAGAGACGGGGTTTCTCCATGTTGGTCAAGCTGGTCTCGAACTCCCAACCTCAGGTGATCCACCCACCTCAGCCTCCCAAAGTGTCGGGATTACAGGTGTGAGCCACTGTGCCAGGGTATTTAGTTTTCTTATACCAATTTTGACATTTTATATTTTTCCAGATATATGGTAATTAATACATGGTTACTAATAATATTCCTGTTAACTGTTATATCTGCAGTTATCTTTTGTTTTAATTCTTATTTGCCTCTTCTTTCTCCTTGTCTGAAGTTTGTCTCTTTTAGTCTTTTCAAAGAACCAAATTTTGACTTTGTTCATAATTTCTGTTTGCTTGATTTCATCGATTCTTTTTATCATTATTTCCTATTTCTTTGCACTTACTTGTTGCTCTTTTCCTATCTTCTTCAGTTAAAAGCGTAGCTTGTTTATGTTCAATCTTTCTTGCTTTTGGATAAATTTAAACTGTAAATTTCATTGTCTACCGTTTCAATCGTGTCCCACAATTTTTTTATTTTTATTTTTTAGAGATGGGGTTTCTGTCATCCAGGAGAGTGGAGTGCAGTGGTGCAATCATAGCTCACTGTAACCTAAAACTCCTGGGCTTAAGCAGTCCTCCTGCCTCAGCCTTCCAAGTAGCTGGTACTACAGGAGCACACCACCATGCCTGGCTATTTTTTTTTTTTTTGAATTTTTTTGTAGAGACAGGATCTCACTATGTTGCCCAGGCTGGTCTCAAACTCCTGGCCTCAACTGATCCTCCTGCCTTGGCCTCCTGGAGTACTGGGATTACAGTACATGTGAACCACCATGCTTGGCCTCCCACAAATTTTGATATGTAGTGATTTCATTATTATTTTCCTCTAAGATGTTAATAATTTCCCTTATGGCTTCCTCTTATTTAATTGTAGTGCATTTTCCAATCATGTGTGGTTTTAAAAAGCTATCATTTTGCTTTACATTTCTTATTTTTTCATTGTATGATCAGAGATGGTTTTAGATATGACGTTGGCTCTTTGGAAATTATTGAGGTTTGTTTAGTGGCTTAGTTCTTAGTTGATTCTGAAAGGATATGGGATCTATGCCAGGTTGAAAGTTCTCTGCTTGTTAATCAGGTTATTCAAACATTTTATATCTTTGCTCATATTTTGGCAATTTGACTACAGTTTCTGAGAGAGGTGTGTTAAAATCTTCAAGTGCAATTACTGGCTTATCTGTTTTTGTCTCTCTAGGTCTGTCAGTATTTCAAAACTGACAGGCTCTTATTCCAAACAACTTCTCCCTGCCCAATGTTCCCAGGGTCCTCCCACATCTCTTGGAGGATGCCTTTTGTTTATATTTAACTCATGCTCTGGCTGGTCTATGACTTCTGCTTCTGCTGGTGTGGGTTGCTCAGCTTTTTGTCTTCCCTGGGTGGATGAGCTCTTCTGATGTCTGTTCTTCCACCTGCCCCTGGGAATTCATAGTTCCCTGGGACTCAGCTCCACTGGCTGGTAACATGTAACTGGGGAAGTGGTGAAAGCTCAGAATTGAGTTGTTGTTGTTTTTTTTTTTTTTTTTTTTTTTTTTGAGATGGAGTCTTGCTCTGTTGCCCAGGCTAGAGTACAGTGGTGCAATCTCGGCTCACTGCAACCTCTGCTTCCTGGGTTCAAGCAATTCTCCTGCCTCAGCCTCCCGAGTAGCTGGGATTACAGGCACCTGCCACTGTGCCCGGCTAATTTTTGTATTTTTAGTAGAGATGGGGTTTCACCATCTTGGCCAGGCTGGTCTTGAACTCCTGACCTCGTGATCCACCCGCCTCAGCTTCCCAAAGTGCTGGGATCACAGGCGTGAGCCACCGAGTCCGGCCAGAATTGAGTTCTTACTCTCAGCTGCACATTGAAATCACCTGGGAAGCTTGAACACTACTGACTCCTTGGTCCCTCCTGCAGAGAGAGATTCTTGTTTGATTGGTCTGGGTGTGGGTCTGGGCACAGGAATTCTAACCCACTCTCAGAAGGTTCTAATGTGCAGCTGAAGTTGAGAACCCTGTGCCCGCTCCAGAGAAGGATGAGGAGCTGGGGATGGATGTGTCTTGGGTGTTCCAAACTGTGCCAACCTCTGCCCATGTGCCCTCCCCATCAGGAGTCCAGCCCTCAGGGCCTTCCCAGACCTCTGCCCCCGCACCACCATTCCCAAGACCTGTGTCTCTGCAGCAACATGACCCAAGGTGTGGGGCGAGGGGAGGAGGGGGCTCAGGGCCAGGCAGCTGCCCGCCTGTGCTGCCCTCTGCTGACACCCCTCCCCAACCTGCAAATGGATGAAAATGACCCACCTAGGGCAACGTGGAAGGGATGAATGGGCATAGCCAGAAAACTGACCTCTGCCATCTGTCGTCTAGGCACCCAACCACCTTTCACTCTGCTCAAGACTTTATTGAGGCTTCTTGGCCAGGCACAGTGGCTCATGCTTGTAATCCCAGCACTTTGGGAGGCCAAGGCGGGTGGATCACGTGAGGTCAGGAGTTCGAGAACAGCCTGGCCAACATGGTAAATCTCTACTAAAAATACAAAATTAGCTAGATGAGGTGGCAGGCACCTGAAATCCTAGCTACTCAGGAGGCTGAGGCTGCAGAATTGCTTAAACCCAGGAGGCGGAGGTTGCATGCAGTGAGCCGAGATCACGCCAATGCACTCCAGCCTAGGCAACAAGAGATAAACTCCATCTCAAAAAAAAAAAAAAAAAAAGACTTTATTGAGGCTTCTGATGCCCATGTTCATGAAGCAAGCCATGCTCCTAATTTTTTTTTATGTGCATTATCCATATCTATTTGGAATCAACTTATCTCTGAAGTTCTCCAGTCCCTGAGATCCAAGCCCCTGGCCATTTTAGTGTTGGGTCTTGTGACCCATCTACCTCCTCCCTTTCTCTGACATCCCCCAGAGCTGGGTTCTAGAAAGAGACACAGCAGCCGGTGGCAGTTCACCTTCCTGTCCCACCATCATCACCATGGACTGATGCCAGCTTGCAGCCAGGCCCCGTGTTGGGTCCTGCAGCTTCGGAGATGAACCAGACAAGGCTCAGCTTTCATATCCTTGTCTGATCTCTCTGGGGCCAGCATCGGGGTGTGTCCAGGGAGGCCTGCCGCTGGGCATCACAGGCCCTGTATTGCTGGTGTCTGTCCTTCTGGGGCTCCTCAGCAATTGAGTCTAGTTCATCTGTCTACTTCATCCAGTGTAAGGAATTCATTCAGAGAGCATTTGCTGATGTCCACCATTTTTCCAGGCCTGTGCTGGGCACTCTGGGTATACAATGGTGGGGGAGGGCATAATAAATGAGACATGGGGCTGGACGTGGTGGCTCACGCCTGTAATCCCAGCACTTTGGGAGGCTGAGGCAGGTGGATCACCAGGTCAGGAGTTTGAGGTCAGCCTGGCCAATATGGTGAAACCCCATCTCTACTAAAAATACAAAAATTAGCCAGGTGTGGTGGTGGGTGTCTGTAGTCCCAGCTACTTGGGAGGCTGAGGCAGAAGAAGAATCGCTTGAACCCGGGAGGCGGATGTTGCAGTGAGCCGAGATTGCGCCACTGCACTCTAGCCTAGGCGACAGAGTGAGACTCTACCTCAAAAAAAAAAAAAAAAAAAAAAAAAAAAAAAGAGACATGGACCCCTTCTTCCAGGAGCACATAATCTAATGAGAGGTACAGGTGGCTGCAATGCAGCGACATGTGGTCCCCTGTGCAAGGCACAGGCAGCTTGAACAGGAGAATCATTGATTACCTTTGCCTCCAAGACATCCGGATGGACATCACAGAGGAGGTGCAGGAACAGGGTCTTGAAGGATGAGTAGGAGTTTTCCAGGTAGAAAAATGGGAGAAAAGCATTCTAGGCAGAGGGAATAGCATGTGCAAAGGTAGGGAGGCATATGAGAGGTAAGGGTTTGGGAAGCTGCAAATAATTCAGCAGGGGCATCAGTGGGAGGTGAGCCAGGCCCAGGAGGGAGGGGCACAGAATGGTGGGGACTCAGCATTCATTCCTAGGGTGATGAGGGCAGAGTAAGTGGAGGAGTCCTGTTGGCTGGATCTGGGCTGTGTGGGGGATGAATGACAGGGGACAGGGTGATGTGGGAGGCAGGTGTGGCTAGGAGGCTGATGCTGCGATCCAATTGAGAGGGCTTGAGGCCAGAACTGATAATACCACAGCAGCAACAAGAGAATGTAGTGGCCGGGTTTGAAAACAGTTAGATGACAGAACTGTCCAGCTGCAGATGGAGCGATCCCAAAGGGCTCCAGGTGGGGGCCGTGGCTAACTCTAGGGGGAGATGGTGGAGCTATCCCAGAGATGGGAGGGTTGGAGGAGGAGGGGCCGTTTAGGGCTTGAGATAGGATGGTTCATTCAGCTCGGCATGTGCTGAGGTCAACGTGAGTATGGGACCTCCACATGGACACCTCTAGGTGGCTGCTGGAACTATGTGGCTGGAGCTTGGAGTGACTGACCAGCGACAGAGCTAAGCACAGAGAAAGGCTGCAGGGAGCTGCCGGCGGGGACGCAGATGGGAAGAGAAAGCCCCGGAACGTTAGGGTTGAGATGGTGGTCAGGCTGGGAACCAGCAGCTGGAAGCGCAGGGGGAGACGTCGGCTCAGGTGCCATGGGGCCCGTGGGAAGTGCAGAGGATGAACAGGGGCTGCCAGGCTGGCCCTCTGAGGCTGGGCTGCACCTGCCTTGGGCACCATGGGCCTCCTCCTGGGCTGGTCACTACTGCCTTGGCTTAGGCCAGTGTAGTAGATTTCAGCTCCTTGCAGCCCTGGGGCCCTGGGCATTGCTCTGTCTTTCCAAGCAGTACTTGAGGCCTTGTCCTCGATACCAAAGACCACCACCTGTACTTCCTTGGTGTCTCCAGACCCAGCATAGAGGAGGGACTCTGTACGTTTTGTGGACAGTAACATAGAATCAAGGCCCCCCCAGAAAGACCTGGCACGTGCGTGCTAAATGTCTCTGCTGTGTGCTAAATGCCCTGCCTGGGTCCTCATTCCATCTTCCCAGGGCAAGCCATTGAGGGAGGGGAACTGTGTCGCTTTGGACAGATACAGGGTGCAGGTGACCTGTCGAAGGCCACGTGGTCAGGAAGTGGCAAGGCCCACGCTGGAACCCAGCATCAGCTGTTCTATCTGCACCACGGGTCTCTTATGGGATCCTCCGGGCTGCTTTTCCTCTCCTACTGTGGGACAAAGACCTGAGACATCCCAGAGCAGGGGTCTGGGATGTGGAGGAGGCGGGGCTGGTGCCCCTGAGGTGAGCGCTGAGCTAAGGTGGCTGTGCTCCAGCTCCTTCCTGCCCGAGTCCGGTGTGAACGGGCTGCAGGCAGACTGGTGTCTGGCCCAGACGCACAGAGCATGCTAAGAGGAGGCAAAGAGCTTTGATGGTGAAACCTGAACTGCCGGCTCCTCACAAGGAGCGCTGCGCCTGTTCCTGGGCCCTGCAGCCTCCTTAGCTGGTGTCTGGAGTGGCCTCTCACAAGCAGGTGAGCAGTCGGGACAGGATTGAAACCACCCAGACTCCGACGTGGTCTGCGCCCCCAGACAAGGGCTCTGGGGGGAGTCGGAGGTGAAAGGCACCGAGCACCCCGGCCCTCCCCACCGGGGCCACCTGGCAGGAGCTGCTCCTGCCTTCACGCCAACTGGGGCTTTTCTCCTTCCAGGAGCACCCCGAGGGCTGCCACCAGATAACAGCGGGGCTTTCTGCATCCCCCGGAATCCCACTGACTTGTAACCAGGTCGTCTCAACTAAGCAAGGGGCAAAGAAGCCCACCAGTCCTTTCTAGAAGGCTGACAGGCCAGGTGGTGACAAGAGCCCTGCTGGGGGAGAGAGAGCTTGGGGCTTGCCCTGAGGGATACTGACCTCTGCTGCCTTCAGACACCACGACAGCAAACTGGGGAAAGAGGTTAAAACAAACGTTTATTTAACAAATTATATTAAGAATACAGACAATCACACAGTGGACTTCCCTTGCCAAGTACAAGAGTCACCTTGAATAAATATGCAGCGGGGACGTCATCCCTAAGGGTCTTCCTTGTCCAGGCCTGACACAGTCACACAGCAGCTCCACGGCCTTAGCTGGGAGAACAAAGCCGTCTCTGGTGGCAACCCCCGGACATGTGCTCAGAGTGGCAGGAGGAGGCCGGGCCACCCTGAGGGTGCCAGGCAGCCCAAGCAGGGGCTGTGGGCTCAGGGGTGAGCGCCTGGCGTGGCCTCCAGGGGCAAGGCAGGCTGCGAACCAAGTTCATGAGCTCAGCCGCTGCGTGGCTGCCAGGCCTGGGGGCTGCTTCCTCAAGGCCCTCCTTTGCTTTCATCCTTAGGTTCACCTGCTTCTCCAAGAACCTGCAGGCTGGGATTCCCCACAGATGCCTGCAGGCTCTGGAGGGCCCTCATCTGGGTGGAGGAGTACGGGCAGGCCACTCCTGACCATGCTCTGCGCCCACTGCACAGTGGCCTGGTGACCGGCAGGGCCCAGTGGCGGCCGGGAAGTCCGTAACTGGACTGGAAACAGAAAGGGCAGCCCCAGCACGGGCTTGCGACAGGATGGCTGGCCCTGCCTCTGCCGCTTAGCAGTGGGCCAAGTCAGCCTCTTCAACTCTGACAAGGAGCAAAGAACATCTACTTCCAGGTCACTCTGTTTTTAGGGGGAATGAAAGGAGAAATGTGCTTAGAGAGCCTGGCCTAGAGCCTGGCCAGGAACAGGTGCTTAGAACATGGGAGTCCCTCTTGTCCTCTCACCGACCTGCAATTCCTTTACGTGACCCCACTGGGTTCTCATCTCTCCAAGTGGCGGAGGACGTGGCTGGCATTTGTTCTTGGACTTGGGGTGGGAAGAAAGGCCTTAATTATACATTTGCAAGGGAGACTGCAGCAAAGCACCTGCTCCTTATCACCTTTGTGCCATTTCCAAGGCCTTTGGAGATACTTCAACTTTCCAGAGAGAAAGGGGAGGCGGTGGGGACAGTGTGCTCTGGTTAGCCGTTCTGGAGGGACAGAGGCTGCCAGCAGGGACAGAAGCAGTAGTGGGAAGTGCTGTGGGGGGACCTGAGGGATGAGGCCAAGACCCTTCACATTTCCAAGGGAACCCTTGTCCTTCCCTCCCACAGTGGCCAGAGGGCTCGTGGAGAAAAGTACTCTCCCAAAAGACAGAAACGCTCTCAATTCCTAGGTTTGAGCCAGAGTTTCATGCCTCAGTTCTCCTGCACGAGCCCCACTCAGGTGGGCTTATACACACGCATGTGCGTGCACACACACACATATACACACACACACACACACACACACAGGCACATGCTTGTCCTCACCCACCTCTCAGAAGGCAATAAATGGTGGGTTAGGAGCAGCCTAAAAGCTACCACAGACACCAACTCGTCCTTAACACTGTCTCTGCTTACTTATCTTAAGCTGCCGTTTACTACAACGTTCACAGTCATTTACTCTTATGCTAAGTCCGTAATGCTATGGAGAAGATGGCTCCAGCTCGCTTGAGTCCATGCAGTTTGTCCTCTTCCTGGTGTCCCTATCCATCCAGCAACTGCAGGAGGGCATGCGGGGGCACCTGGCTGGGACCCCAGCTCGACAGGGGCCTGCAGCGGCATCAGTGGGGGCTGTGGGAGCCCCTTCCTCTCCTGCAGCCGCCCTCACTGCTTATTCTGCGTCCTTGCAGACAGGGCTCCCACACCACTGCCTCTGAGCCTCCTAGGGTCCAGCGGCGCTGCCACAGGCCTCTTCCCAGTCATGGGGGCGGAGTGAAGGGCCCCTGGCATTACCTGTTAGAGGCAATCTCACAACCAGGGCACGAAAAGAGGTGAAGGACAAAGTTCACAAACCCTAATGAAGTGGGCAGAAGTGGCCAGAGCTCTGCCCTCTGCCCTCCTGCTGCCCCCACCTGCCAGGAGTCACCCTTGCTGTTGGGCTTTGTCACACAGGGCACCACCCGAGGAGCCACGGCAGACATAGGTGCCCCCTGTGGGTGCCACAGGGCTCCTCAGGTCCCCAGAACCACACTGGCTTATGTGAACGGAGCATCGGCAGCCAGCCTGGCAGCCCCCTCCCTGCTCAGCATCAGTCCCATGACAAGGTCCTGCTGCTGTGCCACCCAGGAGTCCTGAGAAGGCCACCCCCACCAGGGGCATCCTCGGGTCTCAGGGAGGGAGAAGTGGCCGCTTCCCTTATCCACAGAAATCAAGAGGTATCCGAGTGAAGATCGGGGTGGCAGAGGAGGAAGATGGGTCCACAAAGAGGCCTGGGGCCTGGAGACGGAGGGGCTGGTGCAGGGGCATGAGGTATTTCTGGCCCCGCCCGCCTCTTGGCCAGCTGCGCCGTCCGGCGCTGCCTCCCTTTCCTCCCGTTCCTCTGGGCCTCAGCTAGCACTACTGTGGGCTGCCCAGGACCTGCAGCAGGAGGCCGTCCCCGCTGAGGCAGAGGCTTCCACGGACGCAGGTAGTGCAGCCCCCAACCGCAGCATCAAGCCTCCACATCCAAGAGCCAACTCTTGGGGACCCAAAGATGTCAGGTCCCCATACTCTGAGGAATCAGGACACAGCCCAGTGCCTGACACCACAGAGTGAGGCAGCCCTTCGGGTGAGGGCCTGGGCCCCGAGGGATGGCAGCCACCACTGCCTAGGCAAACGCACCTGGGGCTGAACTTGGCGCCCGGCACTTTGAGGACGCCAGCACCAGTGGGCACTCGGAAGTGCCAGTTCTGGCCCAAATTTGGTGACCTGGGTCAGAGGGACCTTTCAGAATGACTTGTTCCCGTCAGCAGATACCGTCAAGACACGCCTGGCTCTGAGAGGGGCTGGGTGCCCGTGTGCCTGTATCCTCCTGGGGCCAGCACGTCTCAGAGGGTGTCCCTGTGGTCCCCGGGTCAGGGCACGGGGCTGAGGCACCTGGAGCTATTGTTGGCATGTGGTTGTTGCACAGATGAGCCCTTGGGGGAGGCGCGCCATGGCCGAGCACAGCGTCCTGGTGGTGGATCCAAGCAGGGCCGTCAACCGTCCTCCTCCCCAGAAAGCAACAACCCCTCCACCGGGGGCAGGGGTGCTGCTCCCCGACTTCCAGGCGACTGGGTGACAAGTCCATGGGATGTCCAAAGGGCAGGGTCCACCCCAGGGCCACTGGCTTCTTCCTCCCATGTCTTCTCAGGGCTGCTGTGAGATCCTGCAGAGAGGAACTTGTTCCTGGCAGCCCTGGGCCGGGGAGGATCAGCGACCCTGGAGAGTCCTAGGCAAAGCTGCCGGCCCTCAGGGTCTTCCAGGAAGAGACTCAACGGCTTAGTGGGGTCTGCCCTGGTAGGTGACAGGAGGGAGCGGAGGGAGCCGGTGGGCGTCACTGGGCGGCCAGGGCAACTGCCCGGGGCCCTCAGGGTGACTCCGTGGTGAGTGAGGTTTTTGGAGGACAACTGGTCATCACACAGACACGTTAGGAGCCGCTGGTCACTACAGCACACACAGATTAGTCATGGTTATGAACAATGTCCCCAGGGAGGCCGGGGTGTCAGTGAGGCCAGCTGAAGACAGGATGCGCCCACTTAGCTGCCCAGTCTCCGGGCCAGCCCTGCTGGGGCAGTGTGGGAGGGAGGGCTGGCGGAGGCGGCAGGAGGAGGCGGGGGCAGCAGCCCCTGCCGTCAGTAGTCTGGGCGGCGGTGGTCTCCCCGCAGGTGGCCGCTGGCTCCTCAGGACTGCGGGATCTGCTGACACCTGGTGGGGCTGGGCGGGAGCCTGGCGGCTGCGCTCTGCTCTGTGCGGAAGCTGTACTCGTACTGCAGGGGCGGGTGGGGACAGAGAGACACAGTCAGTCCATGGGACACTAGGGAAACCCCTCCACAGCCTCAGATCAAGATCAGGCAGAGGCCTGGGCCGCCTCGTGGGGCATCTTGACATGGCGCAGCTGGCCAGGCCGGTGCCAGCCAGAGCCTGCCCTCGTGGGCCCCTGAACTGTGCATGTGGCGTGTGTGCGTGGACACGCCTGCGGGGGTGACAGGCTCCTGTGGTGATGACTGGTACCCTCCACAGTGCCTGCCTGCTCCCTGTGAGGCCAGGCCTGGCACCAGCAGTGTGTAAAACCACGGTGCCGCCCATCTGCCAGGCCCGTGCTGACTGTCATGGCCTCCCACCCAGCGGGACAGTTTTCATGCCCCTGCTGGTGAGGGTAGATTCTCAACCCCAAACCTGGCTGAGGCTGGTCTCAGCTGCCAGGCTCTAGGGACCCCTGATATGCTGGCTCCGCTGAAGCAAGGACCAATACCAGGTGGTGCCCAGGGTCATGGGAGGGGCCTCCACTGCTGTCCCTGGCACCATCCACACCCTCCCCATGCATTCCTCACAGAGTCCTCAGAGGCACCCCTGCTGAGGACTCCTGACAGGCCACAGCGGGGCCAGGGCAGCTGCCCGGTGGGGGGACCTTCCTCCACGGCTCAGCCCTGCTGCTCCCCTGTCTGGGGGCAGGAGTTAAGCCTCACGCCAGAGACCCCAGCTCACCTAACCGACCCTGGCTCACTAAATCGCGTTCCAAGTCTGATGGAAATTTAGAGAAGGGGTTAAGTACCTCTGAGGGGGCTAGGAGCACCTGTAGTTCACTTAAGAGGCCAGGTGAGGTCTCGGTGCCCAAACATAAGGCAGGGCATGTGGGCAGAGCAGGCACGGGGCACCCCAGCCACAGAAATGGGCTGGCAGCTGCCTGGCCGGACACAGGTGCAAGGCGTTGGGGCTGGGTGGGGTATGGGGAATGGCCTGGAACCCTGCGTCAAGGCAGCCTCATGGTCACATGGATTTTAGGAAGCAGGAGCTTAGATTAGATCAGTGGTTTTCAAGCATTTGAAGTATTTATTTGAAAAGTTTTAGCAGTAGAATTGTCATAAGAAGGGCTCCCCTGCAGACAGCAGGTGGAAGTGGAGCTGCCCTATGGGTGAGCTGACCATGAGCTGCAGCTCCTTGGGGGACACCTGTACACGGGCAGGCCAGGAAGGGAGGCCCTCAGGAACACGGCAGGGGTCACATCGCCCCAGCAGGAGGCGGAGCACTGCACCCAGCCCCAGGGAGGGCCCTGGGGTGCCCACGCCCTGCCCACCAGCAGGCGGCTTTCCAGGCCTGCCCAGCCCTCCCTGCTGCCCAGAGCGAGCCGCCTGCAGCAAGGAGCCCTCCCAAGGGCCCTGATGAGCGAGGAGGGCCGCAGGGCTGAGCCTTCAGGGGCACAGTGGGGCCCAAAAGCCATCCAACCATGAAGGAGCATGGGAGGCCTTTTTCCCTTAAAGTGGAAAACTGGTGGGGAGGCTGTGGCAGCCAGCAAGTCACAGCCCAGCACCACGTCCATGGCCACAGACTAGCGCCATGTCCACAGCCAAAGCCCAGCACTATGTCCATGGCTGCCACTGCTCCACAGTCCCCAGGCTGACCCGGGACAGATGGACAGACCCGAGTCTCAGCTGGGGCTGAGGCTGGCTCTGTCCCCGTGTGCACGGTGGGCTGAGCAGACATGTGGCCCCCAAACCGAAGGGAGCCCTGTTCACAGCATCTGCTGCCTGGCAGGGTGCAGAGGTAAGGACCCGAGGCTTCAGGGCTACTCAGGCAGGCTCCTCTCCTCTCCTGCCCTCAGTGAACTCATCTCTCAGGTGGGGTGATGCGCCCATGTCCAGGCCTGCCTGGAGGATGGAATGAGCGATGGTAGATCAGGGCCCGCCGCGCCCTAGCACTGAGCAAGCGATCACTGAGCATCTGGTTGCTCCAGAGAACCCACCATGCAGCGCCAGCTCTCTCACTCCAGCCCTCTCACTTTCCTGCTCGCCAACCACCAGGCACAGGCCGCGGTCAGGAGACTCCGGCTCCGGGAGGCTGAGGAGGGGGAGCTGCGCCAAAGTCTGGGAGGACACTGCCACCTGGTGGCCGCCTGGGCACATGCACGGCAGGGAACAGCGGCAAATTCATTCCCTGGCTGGCTTCATCAGCCCTCACTGACATCCGCCCTGCGCGGGACTCCCAAGGTAGCAGAGGAGGGGGCGGGCATGCCCAGCACAGCCCAGCATGAAGGCCACCTCCGAGGGCACATGCACGGGGCGTGGGGATCACCGGAGAGAGCAAGGAGGGCTTCGCGGGGCAGGGGGCATTCACATCTTGAAAGCAGATTCGGGGCCTGACTGGGGAAGGGCATGGACGGCACCTAGGGCAATAGGTGCCAAGGTGCAGAGGAGAGTGCCACGGGCACACATGCCTGCGGAGACAGCGGGGCTGAGGGCCTACGGCGTGGATAGTTAGGCCATCAGCCCCGGCTCAGGAGAGAACATGCAGCAGGCTTTTCAACTCTGAACGCACACCAGTCCCCGGGGGGTCCCGGTCAAATGCAGATTCTGACTGGGTAGGTCTGGGGCCAGGCCTGAGAATCTGCATTTCAAATAGCTCCCAGGTAACCCCATGCTGCTGGTCTGGGGATCAGTTTAGAGAATTCTACGACCCAATCACTGGAACCTGGGAATGGGTGTGGACATGGATGGGCAGAGAGGGAAGGGCCAGAGACCACACGCTGTGCAGAAAGGAGCTGGGGAAGGACTGGTTGGGGGAGGGGGTGGGACATGGCTTGGAGGTGCTCCACTTTGGATGCTCCAAGGCCATGCCAGGGAGATGCCTGCAAACGCGAAGCATCTCAGATGATAGAGGGAGAAAGCCCAGAGCCAGGTTCCTGCAGGGCAGTGGAGGGGCTGGGGGAGGCGTCCTGGGCCGCGCCCTTCTGCTCCTTCAGTAGGTCTTGCTGTATCTACTGGGCCGGGTTCCTGGGGGTGGCAGGGAGTGCTGAGGGCTGGCCGGCCAGAGAGAGCAGGTTAAGGGCGATTGCAGCCCCAGCCCGAGTGTCCACAGCCAGAGAGCCTAGGCCCGGGCCTAGCGGGAGCTTTCTGGATGGTGAGCGGGGGAGCAGGACGCTTCCACGCCTGTGTGAGCAACTGGCTGATTCGGCAGAGGGGCTGTCGTGGGGACCCTGTGCCGCTGTCCCAGTCTCTGTGGCCAGGAGTGGGGACAGGGTCACGGGGAGGGCATGGCTGGGCCCTCCGGGCTGGGCTGAGCTCCTCTCTCCCGGCCCGCGGGCTGGGGGAGGGCGGAGAAGGCGCCCCTTCCTGCCTGCACCACGCCGGTCCCCGCGAGGGCGCACAGATTGCGCCCCCACCCTCTCTCCCTCGGGATTTTTTCCCTTTTTAGGTTATCTTGGCTGGAGAAAAGCGCCACCCACCCCCGCTTCTTGTTTTCCCTAACTCCCCAAATGAAATTTCAACATATGTCCCGCGACATAATCCCCTCTGGCTGCGGCCGCCTTCCCGCAGACGCGGTCCCTGCCCGCTCCTCCCGCCGTGTTTACCCAGGAGACGGGGCCGCTTCTGGAAGCCCTTTCACTCCCTTGGGCAAACAGCGAGTACCTTTGAAGGTGGATTTGGACCCGGATCTGTTTACTCAAGACATTAGTCTCCTGCATAAGGAAAACCTGCACTTGCGAACAAACAGCAAATCCTTTTTGAATTAAAAAAATTTTCAATTAAAAAGCATTTGGTCCGCACAGCCCGGTCCAGCTGCGCAGCGCCGGGCCTGCGCCCTCTGGTGGGCACAGGCCGCCACTGCAGCAGCTGGGCAGCCCGGGCCTGAGGCCTCTCTCGGGAAAGAGATGTAACTGTCAGGGGTTCTGCCAGGGGTCCTGGAGGCTCTGCCAGGGGTCCCGGGGACCCTGCCACTGATGGAAGCAGGCGTCTCAGGCCACGGTGCGAGAGTCTCAGCTTCTAAAAGCCTTTTCTCATAGTGAGGTCAGTGTCCTGTGATAGAAGGTGCCAACTGCAGCTTCCAGCAGCACCTGGAAAGCACCCAGCTTCGAGGCAAAGAGGGGGCAATAGAACCTACTGGTCTACCCACAACTAGGACGATTCGTGTGCAAGTGCCTTGAAAGTGAAGAGAATTAGCCCTGGTTATGCATCAGAACCAAAGGCTTTAACCACAGTGATGCATGGCCCCCACCTGTGGTTGGCAGGAGTGGTCCTGGTTTAACCGGCACGGGGACACCAGCATTTTTTGAAAACACTCAGGTGATTTCAGTATTAATTGCACTAATCACCAGAGGGGAAGGCAAGTGCACTGCCCCTCCAGCCTCCTCCCTCCTTCCCACACCAGGTCTCATACTAAACACTCTAGAGGGCTCCAGACGAGAAAAGGCAGTAAGGGGCTGTTCCCAGCACCCGAGCTTTGCAGAGAAGGAAAGTGAAGCCCAAGAAAGGATCTGACTTCCTGAGGTCCCAGAGTGAGCTGGGCAATGCTGGACGAGGCCTGGGCCCAGAGAGGCGCAGGGGGCAGGCGCTGGGCTGGCTGGGAAACCTGCATTAGGGCAGGCATTGGCACCTACCTCTCCTGGGGTGCAACTCCAGCATGGGGGCCAGACCGACAGACATGAACTAGTGAGCTCACGGGTGAATCACGATAGGGCCAGGAATGGTGTAGTCCAGAGGGCAGGGGCTGGGCCAGGTGAGGACAGGTGGGAGGGAACCAAAGGGGCCAAGGCTGGGGCCAACGAGAAGAGTCTGGTGCAGGGGTGGACAGACACTGATGGGTGGGCTTGGGCAGGCGGATGGGCCTGGCCCTAGCACAGGCAGGGAGAGGTGGGGGAGATTCTGTACAGCAGCCCCACCTGTCTGCTTCTCCAAGCCCCCCCGGCTCAGCACTCCAGTCATCCCCCTCCATCTCAGGCACTCCCACGGCCTCGGCTATGATACAGGCTCTTCCTGTTTCTAAAATCCTAAAGCCTCAGCTTCCTCACATGAGGGGCTCCACGTCCTCATCTGTTTCCTGAAGATGAGGAATGCAGCCCTGGCTTCTGAAACGCTGCGGGAGGAGAGAGGCAGGGCCCAGCACAGTGCCCACGTCATATGGCGAGGCCTGAAGCGCTGCAGTCCCGGGAGAGGCCTTCAGGGCCCCACGGCCCCATCCTGCAGGCCTCTTCTGCGAGACGAGGGTGGGCCGCCCGCTGCTTTCTGAGCCATATTCCAGGGCCCCTCCCCAGGCAGTACTTCAGTGGGTGTGGGCGTTTTGACAAGGACCCCAGG
The DNA here is from genome assembly GCF_000001405.40 of Homo sapiens. Classification (NCBI taxonomy): domain Eukaryota; kingdom Metazoa; phylum Chordata; class Mammalia; order Primates; family Hominidae; genus Homo; species Homo sapiens. The sequence continues at coordinate 126,497,875 of NC_000009.12, read as the reverse complement.
TGACTCTGAGCAACTGTTCGGTTTGGAAACCCTGCACGTCTTCTTCCAGCAGCTGCAGGGCCAGCTGAAGTCCTTGCTTCCTACTTGGGCCATGGTTCTAGAGACATTGGAGAGGCTGCATACCCAGCGGGAAGCCCCAGCTCCAGAAAGCGTGAGAAAGTGCTTCACTAGGAGGAAGGCTGTTCACGAGCAGGTGGGCCTTGGGGGTAGGGAGAAGCCAGGATGCTCACCTCATGCCCCGGAGATGAGGTGGATTCCTTGTTCAATGCTCTCTTTGAAAGCGAGGCCCTGTAGCTGGGCCTGGAGCTCAGGGCTGTGACCCCTGTGGTCAGGAGTGGGGAGCCGAGTAGTCTGGCAGGACAGAACCTCCTTGCCACTACTGGGGAGTGAGCCGAGGTCCCATGAGGCTGCACCACCTGACCAAGGCCTCGGGGTCAGGGCACAGCTGGGAGAGGCCTTCAATGACCACACTGCGGGGCGTGGGCAGAGGGGTGGGTGAGGGCTCCCGCAGACCCTTTAGGAAGCTACTTCTGTTTTCCTAACAGCCCGCCCAGATGGTTCATGAGCTCTAACCTGGGAGCTGCAACCCAGGAGCAGGGAACCCCAGATCCAGCTGGGGGGTCTCACCCTAAACCAGGGGGTGCAATAAGGGCCCCGCTGGTTCCATGTGGTTCTAGGGCCCCCCACTTCCAGCCAGTTCAGCCCCTGCTCCCTGGAGCTAAGAGCTCCAGAAGCAGAAGCCTGTGTGTCTGGGCACTGCTGTGTCCTCACTGCCCAGCACAGCACCCAGCCCGGGTCACTGAATAAATGCATGGCCATCTGCCAGTCCAGTCTCTTCCTCTCTACTAGTCCGCATCCCAGTCATTCTGTCAATCCTCATCGGTACCCAGCCCCTCCTGTCTCCTCCAAGCCTGGGTCTCCCACTGGGTGATGACAACGCTGAGAGTCTGTCTCTGAGGGACACCCTGCCCTAGGCTGCCTGTCCCCTGGGGGACAGGGGCCTGGAGAGCGCCCTCACCTTCAGGGCACCCTATCTCACAAAACACCTTCCACCCAGGATCTGGCCTGTGTCCAGGAGCAGGGCAAGTGATTCCCAGCTCCCCACCCTGATGCAGAGCCCTGAGCCCCACATCCTGGGGAGAGGTCTTTCCCCTGCATGGTTCTCTCTCCTCTCCCAGCCAGTTCTGTCAGGAACACTCCTCCTCCCTCAAGTGGCAAAGTCCTACGTGTCCTTAAGGACCACTAAAGGGGCACTTGCTCTGGGAAGCGTGTTCCTTCCCCGGGGAGAACGGACCACAACAACACTTTCTATACCCTCCTCATGCTCAGGGCAGCTGTGGAGCCTCAGCTGTAGCTCCAGAGCCCAGTAGAGATCACAGCCTAGAATGAATGCAGGAATGAGTGAACAGTGGGTGGGTAGCGGTGGGTGGGTGGGGGAGTGGGTGAGTAGATGAATGGGTGGGTGAGTGAGTGGGTGGGTATGGGTGGATAGGTAGTGGCTGAGTGGATGGGCAGGTGCATGAGTGAATGGGTTAATATGTGGATGGGTGGAAGGGTGGGTGGGGTGATGGGTAGGTGTATGGATGGGTGGAAGGGTGGGTGGGGCGATGGGTAGGTGGATGGATGGTTGGGTAAGTGGGTGTATGGATGGGTGGGTGGATGGACGGGTGGGTAGGTGGGTGGGTGGGTGGACAAGTCGATGGTGAGTGAAGAGACACATCAGGCTCTGGGCATAGCTCAATGCAAAGGAGAGAAAGCAGCTAGTTTAGGGGCTCAGTTCTTGGGCAGGTAGAAGGTCATCCTGGTTTCTAGTCCTTGTAGCAGCAGCACTGTGCCTGCACAGCCCTGGGGCCCCTGGGCATGACTGAGTGACAGCCCATCCCATGGTACAGTAACTCATGCATGTCAAGTACCAAGCCCAGGGCCCATCCACAGCAGCATGTCACACCTGTGGATGATGAAAATGAGTCTAAGTCTAGTGATTTGGTCTGTTTCTCTATGCAGACAGTGTACAAGCTGCAGGTTCACACAGTGCTGGCCTGTGCGGTGTTTCACAATAGTCATAAACACTGAAAAGTGGAAAGACTTTGCATAGGATGCCAATATTTATCTAGATGTTATTGAAAAAAACATAGGGAGATACAATTCCAGACCCTCATTCTCACCCAGTAAACCCTCAGTCTCACAGGTGGGTGGTGGGTGGAGGTGACCTCCTTTCCAGAGGCCTGTGCTCTCCAGTTTGCCACAGTACCCCGCACTCCCTACACGGCGCCCAGCTGGGAAGAGTGTCCACTGCCATCTCACCACAGTGACTGTGTCTTGTGTGTGCATGTATAGGATGATGGGGGCAGAGCAAGCAAGAAAGCAAAACGTTTCTCGTACTTGTGACTATTAAAAGTAGGAAAATGAAAGATAGAGAAAACTATGTATTTCAAAACAAAAATGGGAGAAAGCACATTTTGTGGTGGAAATGAAGACGGCTGCATGACGAACAAAGACAAAACCATGACTTGCTCTCGCCTCGCTCTCCCCAACCCTTCCCTCCCTGTGGCACCTGGGTGTCCAGCTGTGCTGCTCTGGGTGGAGGCTCTGGGCAGGGCTGTGCACCGTCAGATGCCCTGGCCACTGAATAAATGCTATTTCCCTTCTCTTCTTTCTCTCTCTCTCATTTTTTTTTTTTTTTTGAGACAGGATCTCACTCTGTTACCCAGGCTGGAGTGCAGTGGCTCGATCTCAGCTTACTGCAGCCTTGACCTCCTGGGCTCAAGTGATCCTCACACCTTGGCCTCCCCAGTAGCTGGGACTACAGGCATGCACCACCACACCTGGCTAATTTGTGTATTTTTTGTAGAGATGGGGTTTTACCATGTTGTCCAGACTGATCTCAAACTCATGGGCTCCAGTGATCCACCCACCTTGGTTTGGCAAAGGGCTGGGATTACAGGTGTGAGCCACCGGGCCTGGCCTAAATGCTATTTTGGTGTCTGCAAACAACCCTGGGGGGGGGTGGGGTGCTCCCTGGTCACTGAGTCAGCATTTTAGAATTCACCTGAATACCACCTAAAAAGTGAGTCTTTGTATTTCTCCTCTTCTAGATAGTTTGTAGAAGAGATTTAAAACCACACTGATTGCCACCACTGGTTACTGGGTGGAAAATGAGAGCCGTGAGGTGCTCTGAAAAGGTGCCCTCCCCACCCTTTGTCTTGATGCTTATTTTTACATACATGCCAGGTAGCTTTCCACTTGTTCATCTTTGTAGGCATTACTTTACCTAAAACTAGAGGTGCAAAAGTTCCCAGAGACCATAAGAAAAGGGTAGGAAAATCCTCCTCTGAAGGACATGCAAAAGGCGAGATGTTCACCTTGACTTCAATTCTGCATGAGCGGGTATGACTCATGGCGGTAACCAGGGCAGGTGGTTCTGCCTGGCAAACGTAATCTCTGCTTCACTTTATTTCTGCAGGCTCAGCCTGGTTCTCTTATTCATATGATGAATGCCTTGGGCCACCACGGGAACAAGATGTGTGGTGGTGGTGGCTGCCAGGACACTGGCTGCCGAGAAGACCCAAAAGGGCAGTGGGGAAGGGGGCCTCCAAGACTCTTGGAATTAGGAACTCTATTAATACAATCCACCGTATTAATATGCTTGGGGAGAAAAAATATGATCATCTCAATGGATGATTCAAAGATATTTGTCAAAAGCCACCATCCATTTCTGATAAAAACATTTAGGAAAACAGAAATAGATGGCTAACACTTTAACATGAAGGAAAAAAAAAACAATGTCTATAAATAGCAAGTCAAAACGCAGCACTATGGGTTAATATTGAAACTACAAACTTCCATTTAAAATACGGATGACATAAGGAGGCCTGGGGACCTGCAAGTCCCTGCCGAGGTGTCGGACAATGGCACACAGGAAGAGGAACGACCTTGCCAGGATGGAGGCCTCAGCATTCACAGGCGACGTAACTGCCTGCCTGGGGAACCGATGAAATGCAGCTGGAAAGCCATCAGAAACAGTAAAAGAAGCCAGAGGGATATCTAGCTCCAGAAATATTACACAAAAGTCAATGGTTGCTTTACATATAAGTGGCAGAAAATAGAATGAGAAAAAAGATCTCGTTCACAAGAACCACAAAGACAGAAAGCACCTAGGAATGACCTAAAGAGAAAGGACCAAGACCTGGGCTTACAAGAGGCATCCCTTGTTTCTGGATGGAGAGACGCTTGATCTAAGATTCCGATTACTATTCTGTTCAACCATGTGCTCAATGCAGTTCCAATAAAAATCGAGAGTGGGCTTTTCGGAACTTCCTTCGCCCCCAAGATTCTAAAGTTCAACTGGAAGAATAGTCCTGTGAGTAAAATTAGTAAAGTTCTGGGGGAAAAAAGAGAGAACTAACCCTAACCTATATTAAAACTTACTATAAAGCGATAAGATTCAGAATAGTGTGGTACTAATATAAAAATAGAATAACAGAGCAGAACGGAATCAAGAAAAACATCCACTGATCCACTTACATATGATAAAAGTGGCATTTAAGAGTCAAAGAAAGATCGCCAACATTAAGAAAACCGGCTAATGTTTTAGGGTAAAATAAAGCTGTCTGTAGTTCTTACCTTCTAATAAATTTCAGATGGATTAAGTAGTTGAAAAGTATTTAATATTTTAATATATAAAATAATAAGGGAAAACAGGGGTGAATGTTTTCATAATCTAACTATGACACAAAGCCCAAATAAACAGAGAAAATTGCCCACGAACATTTTGAAACTTTTGTATAGCAGAACACATCATTTACAAGCTGAAAAGACACTGATTAAAGTGTGTGTATTTGAACTCATAGAGAAAAGTTTGCTCTCTTTAAAACGTAAAGAGCTCTTTAAAATCAATGCAAAAGCTACAGAAGCTGATAGAAAACAACTGAGCAGAGAGCGAGCAGAAGACGCTCGCGTGAGAACACAGTGGCTCATAAGCACCTGAAAAGTTGTTCAACTTGAAGAGTGGCCAAATTGTTTTTTGTTTTAAGAGACAGGGTCTCTCTCTGTCACCCAGGCTGGAGTGCAGTGGCACAATCATAGCTCACTGCAGCCTCAACTTCCTGGGCTCAAGTGATCCTCCCACATCAGCCTCCTCCTGAGTAGCTGGGAAGAAAGGCATGAGCCACTGTGCCTGGATAATTTTTTTATTTTTGTAGCGATGGGGTGGTGCTATGTTGTCCAGCCTAGTTTCAAACTCCTAGGCCCAAGTGATCCTCCCACCTTGGCCTCCCAAAGTGTGAGGATTACAGGCGTGAGCCACTGCACCTGGCCAAAATAAGCAGAGATTAAAAATTAAATGGAGGGGCACATTAAGGTCCCAGTGAGTCTTAGCTAGAATAAGGATGTGAGGAAAGGTCCCCTCAGGCACCACTGGTGGGACTTCCAATAGCCCCGCCCTGTTCAAAAGGCAAATGGTAACATACATCCTCTTCCAGGGAAAGACCCAGGCGAGCCAGGCAACATGTACAAGGAAATCTATTGCAGCGGTGTAATTGTGAATAATTGGAAGCACCTCAAAAGTCAGTCAATAGTGGATTGGTTAGATAAATTATGGCATAATCATAAAAGGGAACAACATATAGTCATTAAAAAGGGTAAGGCTGATCTGTAAAGGAACATGCGAAGACGTGTAAGACATACTAGATAGTACAGAGGCAGGTCGCAGCCGGCAGTACTGCATGAGCCTGCTGAGCGTGTGTGTGTGTGTGTGTGCACGTGCCGCAGGAGTGGACGGAGGGGGAGGTTCACCTTTTACATGTTCCTGTAATGTTTGCATTTTTATAAACATGGACAACCTTGGTACTCAGGAAACACTAAATATTTAAAAAATCAATTTTGATCGGCAGGGGAGCTGCTTAGAATGATAAACTGCCCAAAAGAACCTCAACAATTTATGGGAAGATAATTAATCTTGTCTGTGGCATAAAACTGATTCCTGCGCTGTGGTCAGACGCTTGTAGAGTCTATGAAGCGGTGGTCCCAAGCTATATCCTGTATTTGAAAAGAAGCCTCAGACTTCTCTCATGATTTCTGCAAGGCATCTACTTTACTAATTCGTTAGGTTTCTTTGTTTTGGGCTGGAATTAGCTCAGTGTGACAGCTCTGTAGGAATTTGGGTGATAGTTTTGTGTCTTTTAGCAATATATTAAAGGGAGCAGACTAGGTTGGTTTCTTTTTATTTATCTAACTTTTAATATCTGAAGTAGGCAGATTTATTTCCCCAAACATTTCAGCTTTCTAACAGAAAAATAAAGAAATAACAAGGATTCTGGGCGGTGAAATATTGAATCTCATAGGCAGAGAAAAGGCACCTTATTTCCTGCTGCAGTTTAAGATCCTACCACTAGATGGTGCAAAGGGACCGCACATTTTTCAGGCTGCACCAGTTCGCGCCACAAAATTCTTCAACATCTAATAAGCACCAGGAAAGCTTTCCAAAAGTAGAAAGAATGAACAATTGTGCGGGAATAGGAACATTTTGCTTTTATAAAATTGGGACGCTGCCATTTCATTATTGATACAAAAATCTGCTTCACTTTATTCCTGCGGGACATAGGTCCCAAATCTACGCTAACCTCGTATATTTGAAGAGACCCGCAGAAGCCCACGCAATGCGGACGTCTAAAAGTTGAATTCAAAAATCCTTTTCACCTCATGCTGCCAAATGCATTTTCATTAATTCCACCTCAGTGTCGTGACGTAAATGCTAGTGGAATCGGCCCCAAGCTAAATAAGCAATAAGCCCCATTTTTCAACGCACAAACACATAAAGATGTCAGCTCAAACTGTTTACTAATTAACACTTAAAAAGACACAAATTAGATATGCGTGGCTAAGAGCAATTATAATCAAGACGGATTTCTCTAGTCATTTGGGAACTGAAAAAAATGCCTAATTGCTGGAACCAGTGTTTTAAAAACTGAAATCACGCCAGTTAGCAAATATGTTCATTTAAAGAACATTCCACGTGACTACACTCTTGAGGACTGACTACAAACATGAGAACAAGGAAAATATTTAGGTATAAAATTAAAACTGTAAGCTCCCTTAGATTTATAACTTCTTCATTAAATATGTCTGCAAACAGCAGCCCATAAAAACCTGTGGCAATTAAGTGGTTAAATGAACTGCCTCCCTTGTCAATTTTAAGCGGGTGATTAATATTAGAGCATCCCTTTACTAATTAGACCCTCCCTCATCTTTCGGCTTTAAAGTCGAATGAAAATGGAGGCTGTTGCTCCGCCAGGAGTGCGGCAGGCTAATGTGTGCTTCCTCCGCCGCGGTTTTGATGGTGGCACTCCTGGAAGGGAACGGGGAGCACTGTGGTTTCTGCTGAGGTTGGCAGCTGATAGAAACGGCTCCGCATGGGGCTGGAAGTCGCTCCGGACTTCTCCACTGCCCGGTGCCCTGTCATTACAGGAATGGTTCACTCCTGTTCTCACAAGGCTTGCGGGTAGTTAAGCACACAGCATGAAACCTACACCCAAGGCTGCTGCCTCCTGACCGGGATGGTGAGGTCTTCCACGGATGCCAGGGCGGGACCGTGGGTGGGGAGGGAGGATACACAGGTAATCAAGACATGAGGATTATTTTAGAAGCTCCCGCCTGGACTGCAGAGCCAGGCAGCTCCCACCCTGGTTGCGATGGGGAATCCATCAGCTAGAGAAATGGGGCAACTGCTTACCAGGGAAATAAAGAGCGGCAGAGACAGAGAATATTTATACACCCATCTCCTCACGCCCAGAGAAGATGCTTCATCATGGGCGCTGGCTGCGAAATTACACTTTCCAGGCTCTGGGACACAGACAGCCTTTTGTCTGGAGAACCGTAAGGGCTTCACTGGGACAACAGCCCCACCGGGTCACCCACTGCCCTCCTGCAGAGCCAAACTGGAGGGGAGGGGACAAGGCACGGACAGGTGGGGCCGGGACAAGAAAACTGCCCACGGTGGCCACGAGGCTGCCACTGACCAGCCCCTGGTCACCTCCCTGGCTGAGGGACGATGAGGTAAAAATTCACTTCCTCATGCCTGGGACTCATGTATGCGGGCCCTGGGAGGACAGCAAAGCCCCTGCTCTGGGTGCGAGGTGACGGAGGTGGCAGGAGCACATGGCTGCTGGAAGATGGCCAGGCAGAAGGCCACTGCTCTGTCATGGGGAGCCAGCAGGGTGACGGCGTTTGAGTTGGAATTTCTCTATGAATCACGGCTTCCTTCACTTTCAGCCACCCGCGCCATCATGGAGCATGTCTGAATCGTGAGAGGTTTTCTGTCTTTCCACAGATCCTTTCCTTCAAAATTTGCTCAATGGCGCATCCACTGATTCTAACTTTAAAACATGACCGTCCTTGGGCATTTTTCATGAAATTTCACCCAAGTGCATCAGGTACCACGACTCTTGGGGAGACCCTGGTGAAGAGCAGGGCAGCTACATCTAACCACGCTCCACCAGCTGCCAGGTGCCCTGACTGCCGCGCTGTGTGGCACGCTGGGCTGGGATGAGCAGGCCTGTGTTCCACTTTGGGGTGAGGGGGCCTGGGAACATGCCCCAGGGCCAAGCCTATACAGCAAATTTGTCCCCTACCCCAGGCATCCACACTGGGAGGCTGTGTCCTGTCCACTGCCTACACAGCCCATGAGGGTCCCTGCAGACACCGGCATCTGAATGGGCTCATTCCCCTTCCAGTTCTCCAGGGCAGCCTGGCTGTCCGGGCCCAGGAGCGCATGCTCCCTGGGGCTCCTCAGGATGCTGGGGGCTGAGGGACACCCACCCACAACCAAGTGACACCCTGTTTGTCAATCAGTGCTGGGCAGCTCCTAGGCCAGGCCATCTGTGTCCTTGTGGGGGTGGAGGCAGCTCTGCTTGGCTAGCTCTGGGGAGCTCCCTGTGGCTGCCCATGTCCCTAACCTCCATGCTCAGAATACACAGGGTCACACGGTTTGTTGGAGGGTGACCGTCCCTGAAGCCGAATGGTGGCAACTGTGCTTCGGCTTCGATTCAGAAACATCCCTCAGGCAGGGCATGGTGAGGACAGTTAACGCTGGCAGGAGGGACACTGGCTGCAGTTCTGGAAGGACAGGACAGTGCTGCCTCAGGGCTCACACTTCTATTTCCCTTCAAGTTGGGACCACTCTTCAGTAGATGAAGACGGTCATGTATTCAGCCAGGGTCACACTCAGACCCCTGTTCAGCTCTGGGTTGCTGCTGTGGGAATCTGGCCAGTCACTTAACTTCTTGAGTCCAGACTTCCGTAAATGGGTGGACCCCCCTTCCTCCCACGTGGTGCAGAGGGATCCTGAAGGGAAGCACCTGCCCAGCACAGAGCAGCCTCCCCCTGGATGCCAGGCTCTCCACCCTGTCTGGGAATCGTGGGCGAGCCTGGGGAGATGTTCTGGACGAGCGGGAGGCACGGTCAAAGGTCTATGCCCCTGAACCTGAAAGCAGTCTCCCACTTGTATTTACTCTATTTTTTTTTTTTTTTTTTTTTGGTTTAATGGTATAAAACACAAAGGTTTACAGTGAGCAAAGCAAATTCTGAGCAGAGACTTCTCCACCCCCAAGCCCCTCACTAAGGGCAGCCAGACCTGTTATAAATGGAAGGCACAAAATCAAACTCATCCCGACCCAGGGAACACAGCCCACTCCAGGGCCAAACCTGCAGAGTCCAAGAGTGACAGCCAGTCGTTCTGGCTCCAGGCACCACTTCTCCCTGAGCCCCCAACTCCCACGAGCAATGCCGAGTTCAGTGGCTAAAAGAAGCAACTTCAGGTTTATTTACGGAGAAAAGCCTTTGCCACGGCTGCGGAAGGAGCCCGTTGGCCAGAGTGTGTGGACATCAACGTTACGCGAATGGCTGTGCATGCCAATGGCTGGTATAAGGAACTTTTAAGTCCTCAGGTTAAATGAAAAACTCTGTGGAGCTCTCCACTGCAGCGATACTTGTTATGGTTTTCTACCCTGTTTAAGGTTCTAACCTCTCCCCATTCCCCCACATTTCTTTACATCGACTTTAATTTACTTCAATAGCAAATACAGACCTGTTTTGTTATTTTTTTTTTTTTTTTTGAGACGGAGTCTCGCCCTGTGGCCCAGGCCGGAATGCAATGGTGCAATCTCGGCTCACTGCAACCTCCGTCTCCTGGGCTCAAGTGATTTCTATCTGCTTCAGCCGCCTGAGTAGCTGGGACTACAGGTGTGCTCCACCAAGCCTGGCTATTTTTGTGTGTGTGTTTTTAGCAGAGACAAAGTTTTACCATGTTGGCCAGGCTGGTCTCAAACTCCTGACCTCAGGTGATCTGCTTGCCTCAGCCTTCCAAAGTGCTGGGATTACAGGCGTAAGCCACCACACCTGGCCCAGACCTGTTTTTCTTTTAACCCGTCACTAAACCCAAGAAATACAGCTGACCTTGGTCCACAGGGATGGAGCTTTCAGCCCCAGCAACAGAGCAGCGGGACAGTGGAATGGGTGGGCCTGTGCCGACTCACGCCCTTCTCTGTGGACAAGGAGAACGGTAACGATGGTGACGGTGGTGGCTGTGATGACAGTGGCAGCCAGCAGCACTGAGGCAGGCACTGGTTCAGGCCATTCACTGGACCTTTGCAGTTAAACCCACATAGACTCTGGACTAAGCACTATTATTACTATCCTGATCGTGCAGAAAAAGAAATGTTGGCTCAGAAAAGTCAGTGGAAGATCTGAGATTCTAGCCAGGCACTGACTCCGGGGTGTGCCCCAACCCCTGGCTCTGCACCTCCTGGGGGTGGCCACACTGTGACTCGGAGCGCCCGACATTGAGACACTACATTGTAATGAATCACAGATTTCAGTCCTTAGAGTGGGGAAGAGAATAAGGTTTGCAGGGTTCCCACCACCCGCCCTGGACCCCACACTGGGACCGTCACCCACTTCACCCCACCCCAGCAACTCGAAGGCCCACCCAGGTTAAGGAACTAGACTGACTGGCCACCAGCCTAGAGAGCCCCCTTGGAAGGACACAGAGCTGCCACTTTCCGTCACAGTGGGGAGGACTTGGAGCACGACACACTGGGTCTCCACCTTGTCTTTGGCCAGTTACTCCACCTCTCGGAGTCTCCATTTCTCCCCACGACACAGGGAGGAATGAGGCCTGGGGTAGGAACCAGTGATCACGTATGGAAAGCCTCAGGCCCCAGGCTGAGCACACAGCAGGTGCTTAAACGGTGCCACCATTAGGCCCACAGGCAGGCCGGAGCAGAACGGGAGGGGAGATGGCTCGACGCTGAGGCCGCTGCTGCCAGCACGTCCCACCTATATCCATTTGGCATCACAAAGCACCCCGTGAGACAGGTTCTGCCGTGACCCCATGGTAAACAGCAGGTATGTGACTTGCCCCTGTCCACAGTGGAGCGGGCTGGTCTGGAGGTATGTCAGTGTAACCTCTGCCCTGGTGACCACCTGTGGCAGCAGCAGCTCCTCTGAGGCCTTCCTCACATACCCTGGGCTGCACCACACGCAGGGCCCCATGCAAATGGGCTGTCCATAAGCAGGTGGACTTCACAGCCACCCACAGCTCCCCTGCTTTGAGAAGGGCAGGTGTGAAATTTTATGCACACCTATGTTTCTAATGTCCCAGCCAGCCATTTTTTCCCTGAGTTATCAAAAAAAGAAAAAAAAATCTATATATGACAATCAGGTTGGTTTTTATGATTTACTGAAAATCAAAGACAAAGGGGGACTTTTTTGTCTTGTTTTTGCTATGACAGGTTTAGAAATTTGTTGTACTACATTGATTCAATTTTGCTTGATTTCAGCCATCTTTCAATAATGCAGCCGGCTTCTGCTAGCTGGGTACACAAGAGAAAACCCCAAGGAATGGAGAATATTGAAATGGTTCTACCATTTCCATCTTTGAGATGAATGTTCCTCTCGGAGGAGAGCTGGCTGTGGCGTGTGACTGCTTAACCACCCGCTCTACAGAAGAGAAGCCACACACCCCGTGCTGTCTTAGGGAAACAGGAGGGCCCTGGTGGTCTGACTCAACTCCCTTTCTTCAGAGTTATCATCCGCATGCCAGTCCTGGGTTTCTTTTTTATTAGGAAAATGTGTGAACTGTTTGAAAGCAGGCTGCCAGATGTGTTCCAGCTTATGAAGCACAGTGGAAGGTACCCTGACCTCATGAAGCACAGTGGAAGGTACCCTGACCTCATGAAGCACAGTGGACGGTACCCTGACCTCATGAAGCACAGTGGAAGTACCCTGACCTCATGAAGCACAGTGGAAGGTACCCTGACCTCATGAAGCACAGTGGATGGTACCCTGACCTCATGAAGCACAGTGGAAGGTACTCTGACCTCATGAAGCACAGTGGAAGGTACCCTGACCTCATGAAGCACAGTGGACGGTACCCTGACCTCATGAAGCACAGTGGAAGTACCCTGACCTCATGAAGCACAGTGGAAGGTACCCTGACCTCATGAAGCACAGTGGACGGTACCCTGACCTCATGAAGCACAGTGGAAGGTACCCTGACCTCATGAAGCACAGTGGAAGGTACCCTGACCTCATGAAGCACAGTGGAAGTACCCTGACCTCATGAAGCACAGTGGAAGGTACCCTGACCTCATGAAGCACAGTGGAAGGTACCCTGACCTCATGAAGCACAGTGGAAGTACCCTGACCTCATGAAGCACAGTGGAAGGTACCCTGACCTCATGAAGCACAGTGGAAGGTACCCTGACCTCATGAAGCACAGTGGAAGGTACCCTGACCTCATGAAGCACAGTGGAAGGTACCCTGACCTCATGAAGCACAGTGGAAGGTACCCTGACCTCATGAAGCACAGTGGAAGGTACCCTGACCTCATGAAGCACAGTGGAAGGTACCCTGACCTCATGAAGCACAGTGGACGGTACCCTGACCTCATGAAGCACAGTGGAAGGTACCCTGACCTCATGAAGCACAGTGGAAGGTACCCTGACCTCATGAAGCACAGTGGAAGTACCCTGACCTCATGAAGCACAGTGGAAGGTACCCTGACCTCATGAAGCACAGTGGAAGGTACCCTGACCTCATGAAGCACAGTGGAAGTACCCTGACCTCATGAAGCACAGTGGAAGGTACCCTGACCTCATGAAGCACAGTGGAAGGTACCCTGACCTCATGAAGCACAGTGGAAGGTACCCTGACCTCATGAAGCACAGTGGAAGGTACCCTGACCTCATGAAGCACAGTGGAAGGTACCCTGACCTCATGAAGCACAGTGGAAGGTACCCTGACCTCATGAAGCACAGTGGAAGGTACCCTGACCTCATGAAGCACAGTGGAAGAAGGTACCCTGACCTCATGAAGCACAGTGGAAGGTACCCTGACCTCATGAAGCACAGTGGAAGGTACCCTGACCTGCCCCTAAATTGTGGAGACGCTTGGTCATTTCCCGAAACCCCTCCTGGTGGCAAATAATAAAACAAAACAAATGGAGGAAGAAAAGTCAACCTGGTGCCTGTCCTCCAACCTCCACCTTCCCAAAGCTGAGACTTCTTTTAAAAAAGGAGAACTGAGGCTCTGTCTGTCATGTAAAACATTCTGACTTAGAGAAGACAAGATGTGGGTCATATTTGACTGGAAGTAGGAAATACATTAGAATTTAGTTACTTTATCTAAGAAACACATTTGGGTGCAACGAAAGTGTTTTTCTCAGAAGAGAACGGAACACCTCCACCTGTCCCTCTCTTGGAGTGGATCCCTAGGGGAACACACGAGAGACGCCGGTGTGCAGGCGATGGCCCAGGCCTGCCCTCCCCTCCCCTGATGGCTTGCTTACCTCTTTTTCGATTTCTGCTAGAGATTTGATGGTGATTCCCAGGAGATCAAAGGGCTGCATCTGAAAACACAGATGAAGTTGCCCTTTTAAATAGCTGGAAAATGCTCCTCCCACACTTACTTTTATGCATGACAATGGTAACACCTCAAGCCACGGTGTGATCTAGCGTTTCTCTACCCACTTTCCACAGGAAGACAGTCAGTGGGACTCTCGGTCACGCGTGGGGGTGGCAGGAGAAGTGATGATAGAGCCTGCTGCAGGAATGTGGCCCTCAAGGTGCTGGCCCCTGTGCTGCGGGACCTTTGCCTAGTTGTGGTCTGTGGCACCCAGGGGGATCCAGGTCTCCTGGAGGACTGACCGTGGCTGGCCTGCTTCACCTGTCTTCTCACCCTGCCAGCAGAACACGCAGGCAAGGTTTGCTCTTTCTCGCTGCAGCTATAAACCGGAGGTGCCCAAGCTCTCCCCGGAGGCCGCCCAGCCACTGTGTCTGGGTAAGGCAGGAGGTTTAAGGAACTCCAGGGAGGAAGAGTTCCTTAGGGGGAATCCAGGGTAGGAGCTGGGGGGATTCCAGGTCTTTGGAAATGCCAGGTAAATGAAACAACTGCCCATCAATTATCATTTGAGAAATCGATGTGGAAAAAATGATAACATTGCATTTTAATGAGAGTTTTTATAATTTCATGAAGATTGGAGACTTAAAAAAATGCTGGCTTTTCAACAGACAGCATGAAAAATCAAATACACATGGCAGTTGAGTGAGCTAGAGGCCCATAGAAGCCTGGACTCAGAGGCTCGGAGGGCAGAGGGCGTCCAGTCCATGTGGCTCCTGGTCTGAGTCCCTACTGGGCACATGAGTGTTCTGTGCTCCCCAGAAGGGTCCCTGGCCCAGCCTCCTGGGGCCAAGGCTAAACCTGAGGGCCTTCGACAGAACCCCAGGGCCCGCATGGTCCTGAAGGGCGGCAGCTCAGGGATGGGAGGGGAGCTGGAGCCTCCGCGAAGCCAGCAGGGGTTTCCTGTGAGGCCAGCTCTGGAGTCTGAGGACCCAGACTCAAAACCAGTCTCAGCGCCTCCTGGCGATGCAGCTGCGGGTTAAATCCCTTCCTCATTCCCTCGTCCATTAAAAGCGGCGGCCCCCGTAGTGGGGCTGCGGGGCGCTGCACTGAGAAGAGCAGGGAGCGCAGGGCACCGGGCCTGGCTGGGTATGTGTCCTTGGAGCCCTGGCCGAGGTGGCAGCGCCCGGCAGCAGCACATTCGCGAGGGCGATCTTGGGACGGGGCCACCGAGTCACACGTTCCGCTCGCGGCTGCTCTGCCGGTAGCCACGGAACAGTGTGGTGCTCTCTGTGCTGCCAAAACGAGGGGTGCGAGAGCGGGGCCGCCTGCCTGCGACCCAGCAGAGGTGCAGCTGCTGTGTCATTAGGCTCTAACCACCCCACTAAATTCTCCCAACTGGAGCTGGTGAGCAGGACAGAGCTGCCTCTCCCAGGGAACGGCGGCAGAGGCGCCAGCGTCGCCATGGCAACGCGGCCCCGTGGAGTCGGCTGAAGTTCCTGGAGCTCCGCATGTCACATCACGAGCATTTTTCAAGATTAAGCTGCTTACCAGAAGGGTTCAGAGGAGGCCTATTCTATTTCACGAAAATGGAAACTACAGAGCAGGTCAAATCGCAAGCCGGGTGGTTTTAAGCTGGATCCAAGAAAAACACTAAAGGATTCTTTAGCTGTGCCCAAGCTGGGGCCTTCATGTTTATTAGCTAGTCAAGGCCAACTTCTGCAGAAAGGATCAAAACCAGAAACGGGTTTGCTGAGCCAGCGTGGGGCAAGCCTGCGCAGCTGGGAGGGGGCCACTGCCACCTTGGGGGCTGGCGCCATTGGAGGGCTGACCCTAGCAGTGAGAGGCAGAGACCCCACTGCCATGCAGGGTGGCCGCCCCTCACAGTCTGAAGTTGGCCTTTGGTCCCGGCCAGCTCACTCGGTCCCTCTGATAAAAAGATGGCGTGAGCCTGGCCTGCGTGAGAGTGCTGATGTGGATGGTTGGGTCCATGCTGGACTGGCATGGGCAGGAGACCACAGCTAGAGGCACCACATTTGCATGGCGGCCTCCGTGTCAGAGCGCAGAATGCAGCTATGACAATGGGAAAACGAGGCAGCCTCCTTTCTACAGGAAATTGTCATCCTTAAGTAAGAAAGAACAAAACTTACTAAGTTGGACTTGGGAGACAAAGAACATTCACAACCAGGGAAGCTCAGGTCGGGTTAATCACGTGCGGCATGGCAAAGGCTCAGTGCACCTGAGCTTGTCTGACAGCCTCTTGCTACTTTCCCATCCCCCAGCTGTTGTTTTCTTCATTTCTCAAACACCTACTACATGGGGCACTGGCTGATAGGGCCAGAGATGCACACGACCCACCCCCCAACCTCAGGAGTTCCTGTCACTGGGTTGCAGGGTTCAGCTTCCAGTGGGAGAGAGGACACGCAGGCGGACAAGATTCCGGTAGGGGAAGGGGCGTGAGTACTGCCAGAACAGCCCTGCGTGCTGTGTAAATCAGGATGGAGGGACCTCAGGCTGGGGGGTGGCAGAGGGGAAGGGCGATCATGCATAAAACTTACACTTTCTGGAACACAAGAAAACTTCTCTGAAATCATAAAAGGCACACCATCCATTGCTGCAAAAGAAGAAAAAAAAAGATGGCATTAAAGGTATTGAAGATGGCATTTAGTTGTCCAGCAACTGAAGATGTCGAAACAGAGAATATGAATCCGTCACTGGATGGAGCCAGGTGACATCCAGCACAGATGTGCTGGAGCTATGAAAGAGGACAGGTCCCACCCCTGCTGCCAGGACACACAACCTACTGAGAGAGGCAGGCGCCTCGTCATCCCCTGAGCACCAGGCAGTTGTGTAGACAAGAGCTCTAGGAGCAGAGAGCGGCTGGTCCAGAACCCCTACTCTCCACCCCTGGAGTCTGGTCTCTGATCTGTAACGGGAGAGTCACCAGGGGCTGGCAGCAGGATGAAGGTGACACAGCTGGCAGGGACAGGCTGCAATGAGATGAAGGCAGTAAGCACGTGCATTAGACATGCTCTAAGGTGCTGTTGGACTCAGGGGAAAAGACTAAGTGGGAGGAAAGAGGAGCTCAGGAGTCAGATTGGCTGGGTTCAAATCCCAGCTGGTGACTGCAGATGAGCAACTGAAGTTGAAAGACGAAAAACTGAAGTCACATTTAAAAAGATGGCGCCACCTACATGACAGGGTGCCTGTGCATCAGAAGTGGAGTGTGTGGGGCACCTGGCCAGCGCTGGCACAGAGCAGGTGCTTGGCATGTGGGGGCAACAGTGGCTGTCGCTCTCAGTCACTCAGACCCAGGGCATCAAGGGCTGACTAGAGGCTCACCAGTGTGCTCAATTTTAACAGGACACGAGAAAAAGGGCATGGAACGGGGACGCAACGATGGAGAAACCAGGGGCCTGGTTCCTTTTCTGTGGCCACCCCTCCCTCCGCCCTGTCCCAGGGGATCGCTTTCAAAAGCACACGGACAGAAACGACCCAGGGTGTGCCTCCGTAAGTGAGCACTTCTCTATGAATTATAACCTCAGAGAGGAGGACTCTGGTGCCACACCAGGACTGGAAATCCTGCCACATTGAGGAACAGGTCACACTGGACGAGACGTGATGCCGGCATTCACAGAGCCAACGTGGCAGCCATGCGGCTGCTGGGACAGTGGTAGGGGCCTTTCCAGTGTTGGCTTCTCCCTTAGGTCTGGGAAGAGTCGGGAACATGCAGCCGCAGTTGTTAGGGGCCTGGTCATGAGTGCAGGGACGCGGAGCCCCGAAGTCAGGGGTGGCCGCACCCTGAGGTGGTGGCTATGCAGTAAATTGTGGTTTCAGGGAGAAACGGAGTGAGCACAATGGAAGCAAGGTAGAGCATGGGGGCAGCGTCGGGCAGTGCGCTCCTGGGACCAACAATCTTTGCTTCCCCCAGTGTCTCCTGGAATGATGACTTCTCTGGAACCTTCAGTGGTCATATTTTTTCTTTCTCAGTCCTAACACAGAAGAGTAGCAGAAGCAGAAAGCAGCAAAGCAAGAGGAAAGGACATAAGAGAAGAAAAAACCTGGAACGGATCCTCCCAATCAGCAAGAAAAGCCGAATGGCTCATGCTACGTTCATACAGGGATAAAACATCATAGAACTCTGCTCACACTTTATTTTAGGGAAGGAAAGAAACGAAACCTTCTTGGATCAGCATGAAGAAAAAGACACAGCACAGGTGGCGGCAGTCGCTGCATTCCCCGCGCCCTCCTCTCTTGGAAGGGCCGCTGCCCAGTGTGGCTGCTGGACTTAGACAGAGACTCCTGGTCAGAGGCCTTCTCCCATTTCAGGTGGTGCTGGCAACCTGCTGTGAGCTGACGGAAGAGATGGGACAAAAGTCCCGAACAGGCAACACTTCCCCAGAAAGTGGGGTGAGGGGAAGGCCCCAAACAATCTCACTCAGTACGTCCCGCATTTGGGCCTCAATCTCGTTCAGTACATCCCGCGTGCAGACCTGTGTGTGAACTCTAAGTACCTATGCGTGTATGCTGCTTCACAGATGAAAAAGTTCAGCAATGAATAAAGGAGTCTGGAAGAGCCACAAAGCCTTCTAGAGAAGGGCAGAGTCAAGTCCCACCGGATATCCAGGAAGAGGTGTGCCAGCTCCCACCACCATCTGCCTGACCTGACTTCCATGCCCTTCCTAGTGCTGCTGAGATGGGCCGGGCACTCGTAACACTTCCGATCATTTTAGAGATTGGGAAGCAGAGGCTCTGAGAAGTCGGTGCTTGCTGGGGTCACAAAGGTAGGCAGCAGTGGCCCCAAAGCTCTGGATAGTACAGGCTACTTGACCTCCCCAGTAAAGTCCCGAAGCCCACTCTTCACCTGTCATGGTCCTCACTTCCCACTCTCTGCCCACATCCATCTCTTCCACAGCTTCTCTTGCCTGCTAGACAGACAGCAGGGTCCACAGCAGAGTCCTCTCTGCACGCCCAGGTACTGTGCACAGGCCCTGGCAATTGCTCCCCTGCAGAACCCACTCACCATTCATTCCCCAGACTTTCTGCCTCTGATGTTTTAAAGACCTTATTAGTATTTGGGAGTGAAGAACTGCCTCTCACTGGTGACAGTTGTTTCTATCTACATGTCACTGTATGTCTAGGGATCCTGTGTGTTACGAAGGTGGTAAGGTGATGTGCAAAGACCTGATTACATCAGGAACTGAGGGGGCTGAGAAGTACTGGGGGTGGCAGAGAGGAAGGGGGCTCCTCCCATGGGAGGCCTCCCTAGTCAGAGGCTGTCAGTACTGCCTGTGCCTCCAATGGACAGAGAAGGGCAGGATTTCCAAGATGGGGGTCTCGACTGGCATTGAAGGCCCTGGCCCCTTGCACCTGACCCTCTTCCCGGCTTACCCATCCCTTCCCTCCCTCTATGCTTGTACCTCAACTGTCCTTCCCAGTCTTCTGAGTGCCTCTCCTGCAGCATGCCTTCCCCGAGGTCCTCCCTGGGGTCTGGCCAGGCCCGTGTCTCCTCTCCTCTTATTGTAGGTGCATGTGCGAGTCACCTCTGCATTCCAGGTCCCCAGCCCAGGGGCAGGGCCTGGGGGCTCAGGGGCTGTGCTGGACAGGGAGGGCTGCTGTTCCCATGCACGGGGATCTGGGGAACTGGGTAGAGGGCTCCAGCCTGGGGCAAGTGCCTAACTCTCTCAGGACCTGGGGACCCTGCTCACTGCTACCCCCGCCTGCTGCTGCTGGAGATGAAAGCCATGGATGGAAGAAGCCTGGGAATCACTTCTAGGAACTAGGAAGATCTAAGCAGGGAGGGAAATGTTTTAAAAAATTCATATAAAATTAACCATTTTAAAGTGAACAATTCAGTGGCATTTAGAACATTCACAATGGTGTGCGATCATCACCTCCATCTAGTTCCAAAATATTTCCATCGCTCCAAAGCCAAACCCCTCACCCATGAAGCAGTTTCTCCCTGCTCCCACAAGGAGCGTGTGTTTCTTTCTCCTTCCAACTGATGATCACGTCTTTGAAAGAGAAGGATCTAGAAACATAGGTGGTCCCGTAAGCCTGGCTTTCTGACTACAGTAGCCAGGCCTCCTGTCACGCTGCGCTCTTGCCTTGCTAGTCAGCAGAGGAGATGAGGAAGAATGGGTTGCCCAGGCTGGCTGCTCTGAGTTTAGGGCTTTAAATAAAAATCAAGGATAAAAAAGTAACTTGTTGATATAGTTTAGCTATGTCCCCGCCCAAATATCATCTTGAATTGTAGCTCCTATAATCCCCACGAGTTGTGGGAGGGAGCCAGTGGGAGGTAATTGAATCATGGGGGCGGGTTTTTGCCATGCTATTCTCATGAGAGTGAATAAGTCTCATGAGATCTGATGGTTTTATAAAGGGGAGTTTCCCCTGCACATGCTCTCTTGCCTGCTGCCATGTAAGGCATGCCTTTGCTCCTCCTTTGCCTTCTGCCATGATTGTGAGGTGTCCCCAGCCATGTGGAACTGTGAGTCCATTAAACCTCTCTTTCTTTATAAATTATGAAGTCTTAGGTATTTCTTCATAGCAGTATGAAAATGGACTATACACTTGTAAAACTTAGATATCAACAATAGCATTTTTTGTACATATATTGACATAGTTTAGATATATGTCCCTGACAAGTCTCATGTTAAAATGTAATCCCCAATGTTGGAGATCGAGACCTGGTGGGAGGTGTTTGGGTCATGGAGGTGGATCCCTCATGGCTTGGTGCTGTTCTCACGGTAGTGAGTGATTCTCACAAGATCTGGTTAAGTGCATGGCACCTCCCCTGGCCCTCTCTCTCACTCCTGCTCTGGCCATGTGATACGCCTGTTCCCCCTTCACCTTCCACCATGACTGGAAGCTTCCTGGGGCTTCCCGAGAAGCAGATGCCAGTGCCATGATTCCTGCACAGCCTGTAGAACCGTGGGCCAAGAGCCAATTCAATCTCTGTTCTTTATCAATGACCCAGTCTCAGGTATTCCTTTATAGCAACATAAGAACAGCCTAACACACAAATATATATATATCACATATATTATGTAAAAATATACCTTTACATAGATTATAGATTTACATTTTTTTTTTTTTTTTTTTTTGAGATGGAGTCTCGCTCTGTCTCCCAGGCTGGAGTGCAGTGGCGCAATCTTGGCTCACTGCAAGCTCCTCCTCCTGGGTTCACGTCATTCTCCTGCCTCAGCCTCCCGAGTAGCTGGGACTACAGGCACCCGCCACCATGCCCGGCTAATTTTTTTGTATTTTTAGTAGATACAGGGTTTCACCGTGTTAGCCAGGATGGTCTCGATCTCCTGACCTTGTGATCCGCCCGCCTCAGCCTCCCAAAGTCTTGGGATTACAGGCGTGAGCCACCGCGACCGGCAGATTCTACATTTTGTATATATAATATGTAAGGTATAAATTATATATTTCCATTATAAGTGCATACGTATGCATATGCATACACACACCCACATATGATTAGGACAAGGCCCTCCCTTAGCCACTGAGAGACTGCAGGGAGCGGGCAGGGTGCTCACCCCACCTCCCAGTGGGCCCTGAAGTCCCTCAGAGGCACTTCCCGTTTGTCTGCAGGCCCTCCTCACATCTGCCCTCCAGAGGTGAAGCCCTCCCTCCCAGACCTTCTGGGGCACCCTGGGGAGTTGGTGGGGCCCATGGCCAACCTGCTCCACATGCAGGCATTGAGGTGCCTGGGTGAGGGCACCTTCTGGCCCTCAGGCAGGCTCAGCGGTAACACCTTAGTGAGGAGGCAAAGATGAGATGTGAGACCATTGCGGGATGCCGCACAGCAGCCACTGGGAGGGAAGGAAGACGCATTCCTGAAATGTCTGAGGAGCAAGATGCAGCAGCAAGGGGGGCCCTCAGGACTTTGACGGCCTCGCTCCACCCCTCGGCCCATGTGCTCCTGACTGGACCAGCAGCAGAGATGAGGAGACCTGCTCTGACCTAATCCTAACTGCAAGGAGGAGCTGTCTGGTCAAGTGACAGAGACGGGAGCCTCAGGACAGACCACCACCGTCTGAGAGTTCACGACAGAAGGAGGGGCATAGTCAGATGCTCCCTATGTTCTTCTAGAAAATAGACTTTTATTTTTTGTAGAGATGGGGGTCTCACTGTCCAGGCTGTCCAGGCTGGTCTTGAACTTCTGGCCTCAAGTGACTTTCCCAGCCCGACTTCCCAAAGTGTTGGGATTACAGGTGTGAGCCACCACACATGGCCTAGAAAACAGATTTTAACAAACTCAGAGGAAAGAAAGAGGAGGTGATAGGATCCCATGGGCTGAAGCTCACAGTGGGAGCTGAATCAAGAGGAGCGGGGCTCTCACAGTGCCCTTCTCACCAGCACAGGGAGGCTCCAAAGAGAAGCAAGTGCCACCAGGACCAGCAAGACTCTGCTAAGCAGATAATCTGCCCACCAAATCCCACTTATTTTAGAAAATCTAGTATATCAAAGATTAAAGCAGGCTGAAATAATATGGATTTCAGCAAAGCATCTTACAAATTTTCTCATGTTATCCATGTACACAAGATGGATAAATACAGCTGGCTACTGTGGAGGTTAGCAGAATCCATAACTGGTTGAACCACACATTCAAGAAGCTGATTAAGAGACCAATGCTAACCTTAAGTGACCCCTGTGAAGGGTGCCCAGGGCATGATCAATGACTCAAATGAAGACACACAGGGTATGCTCATCTAATGCACGCCTGATGGGAAGCCGAGGTGGGCAGTCTACAAACCAGATAACAGAGTGAAAACCAGTAAAGTCTCAAAAAGTTGTGATCGTGGGCCAAATGTAATGGAAGGAGTTCACTAGAGACCCATGAAGAGTCTCGTAGTGTAGGTCCGAAAACCCAACTGTGTTGGATGGAATGGAAGAGGCGTGGAATAACAGCAGGAGACAGGAAAGAAGGCGGCTGTAGGTGAGTAAGTCAATGACGTGATCTGACTATTTAAACGGAGCATCATAAGGTTACAGTGCCGCAGTCCTGGTGCCCGGATGAGTCACTCACCCTGGTCTACTTGGAGCTTGAGTGGGGCGCTCAGAGCCAGAACCACCTTCCCAGAGGGTCATCCCGGGGGCCTTCAAGGAGGCCAGAGTGGTGAGGGAACCTGAAGCCAGACCATGTGAGGGAAAGGAGAAGCAGCCATCAGGTTCGATGGCCCAGGAAGGCACAATCCTGTCCATTTCTGTTCATCCTAGCACCCTGCCCAGCACCCTCAGAGCCCAGTATGGTGTCCAGCACATGAGAACTGCAGCAAAAGTGGCGGTTCAGATAAGAGAAGACTTGAGGTGAACATAATCAAATGTCTGCACATGTTTTCATGGTGGTCACAGCATAAGGGGCTAGACGCAGACAGCGACTTGCTGGGGAGCTAGGGAGGGATTTTGTGTGTTGGGTAGAAAGCTGATCTGTGGGACTGCTAAATCCCCTCTTAATTCTGTAACATCCATGTCTCCTCTCATCTGGGCAGCCTTTTCATATTTTAAAACATCTAGAGGTTTGCAAAACATAATTCTTAAAATCAACGGCATGCATTCTTCATGCATTCCAAAAGAATGTTCATGAATCATCTCCGTCCTGGCTTCTCCTGGGGAGCCACGTTTACTTCCTTCCTTTCTTTTTCCCTAGCTGCAACTAGCATTTTGTCTTTGTTATTATTTTAGAGCAGAGAGACTGTGATGTTCTAGCATTTAGTCTATTTCTGAGTCCCATGCAGGGTGACATGCTGTTCGAGGAGCTGGATGGAGGCAGAGCTGGGAACGAGACACACATTTTCACCCCTGACCTGCCCCTTCCATGCAGCCTAAGGGCTTGGATGGGGCTTCATCCCCCCACGCTGCCTGACCAGTCTGCACTCACAACCTAGATGCAGGGACGGCACCTACCCTTTCCTTGGCAGAGCCAAAGACGGCACCCAGGTACAAAGTGGCCCTCTCTCCAGGCCCTGGAGCTCTCAGTGTGCCATGACAAAGCCCCCCACCCCCAACAAACCTGGGAGGTAAAGAAGTTCTCCCCAAGCCCAGTTCTACAAAATAGAAAAGGAAAGGGAATCCGTGCTTACTGCCCATACACAAGGTGGTGAACAGGCATCAAATAACTCAAGCCTCAACATTACCACTTAACGTGGCTTGAATCTGTGTCCCCACCCAAATACCCAAATCTCATGTTCAATTGTAATCCCCGGTATTGGAGGGGGCCCGGCGGGAGATGACTGAGCTATGTGGGGAGAGGATTTCTTGTGGATGGTTTAGCAGCTTCCCCGTGGTGCTGTCCTTGTGATAGCGAGTGAGTCCTCGCGAGATCTGGTTGTTTAAAGGCGTGTGGCACCTTCCGCTCTTTGGCTTTCTTGTTCCTGCTCTGGCATTCTTGTTCCTGCTCTGGCCATGTGATGAGCCTGTTCTGGATTTGCCTCCACTATGATTGGAAGCTTCCTGAGGGCTCCCCAGAAGCAGATGCTGCCATGCTTCCTGTACAGCCTGCAGAACCATGAGTCAATTAAACCTTTTCTTATAAATTACCCAGTCTCAGGTATTTCTTTATAGTAACGCAAGAATGAACTAATACACCACTTGCAAGGCTTAGAGGAGTTATGAGGCTTGGCTGGAGCCAGGATTCAAACCCAGAGTGTAACCTGCTCTGGGGCTATGGGGGGCTATGGCAGGGAAGGAGGGGCTGGGAGCTTGGCAGACCTGAGTTTTTGCTGCAGCTCAGCAGGTGCAGATGTGCAGCTGTTGCACAGGCCACCCCACCTCTCTGAGCCTTACTTGCCCTGTCTGTAAGGTGGGCATAATACTACAGCTGCCTCTGCGGGCTGTGGTGAGGGTGAAGAAAAATGAAATAAGACGACAGAGATAAAGCACCCACCACGTAGGGAGGGCTGGTCACCTAACCCTGGCTTCTGCTCTTACCAAAAGCCATGTGCTGGGGCAGGTTTCCTTTCAGTACTAGGCCAGTGCTTTCTTCTTCTTCTTGTTTTTAAATTTTTTTTTTATTTTTGGTGGCAGTTTTAACAAAATGCTGATCCACAGCATCGAGCTACCTCCAGCAGATGAAAGCAAGGATGTGCCGCTGGCTCTGTGGCGCAATTAGCATTCTCCTAAACAAACGAGCTTCAACAGAGCTGTAATTAAGCAGGCCTGTAATTAAGTATATGCCCTTTATCATAACGATCATGCTTAAAAATGGCATGATGCATGGAACTCTGTTATTAATGCTGTAATCCCAAACTGAAGTGCCAGTACATAGAAATCAGCATGTCAGGCCTGTCACCAGAGTGTTTGTAAAATACATTAAAGAAAAAAACCAGAAAACAATGAGCTCATTCAACTGTTCTTTTTACAATCAGGCACTACAAGTCAAGGGGATTGTGAATGCTTACAGATTCTACAAGGTTTAAACAAATAAAGCTCTAATCTGCTACTGTATTAATCCCACCCCCTATTTTAAAGGAGGAAAAAGGGGGTGGTGGGTTTTTTTTTTTTTTGCCAGCTGACCTGAATGCCTGTCTTTGCTATTCTCGGGGAAGCAGTCAGTCCAATCTGCATGCTGCATTTGTTTGGACATAAAATTGGATTCCTGCTTGCACAGACAGCTCTGCCATGAATCTGTAGGAACTTTGCCTGGCAACGAGATGGGATTATAGCTCCTGCATCCTCCCTTCATATGGGAACTATAATTTTACCTGCCAAGGCAGTCCTCCAGAGCCATCCCTTGATTCTCCCCTCCAAACACACACCTCAGACTTCTGCAGGCTCAACACAAACCCACCACTGACCAACTCCCAAGGCTCCGGACTTAGGACCACCCATTGCCCCGGAATACCTAGCTGCTCAGAGCCGCCAACCCTTATCCCTCCCCAACGTCTCAATACACAGCAGGGGTGAGGAAATACTCCAATCAACACATGGATTAATTTCAACATGCTTGATAAAGAGAGTCATAAAGTCATGTGGTAAAAATGTAAAAATTAAAAAAAAAAACAGACTCTATTACCAGCACCTCAATTGTTATCTGCTTAAAGTTGTCAAGCGGTGTTAAGTGAACTCGGGTAATAGTACCTCAAAGTACTTGCAGAGATGCTGGTGAACAATGAGGCTTATTGGCAGGTAGTCATTTTCGGAATAAAATTAAATGCAATTGGAGTGGTGGGAGGCCTTTAATTCTGTGTACCTGCCCGGGGCTTGGAGCTGTAAATAATCAGCAACCCTAAGCCTTTCTTCGCCCCTTTCCTGTGGCGTTTCAAAAGTCCTTTACAATTTGTAATGGGGAAAACGCCAACAACTCAAGATCTCAAGGCCATTTCTCAAAACTCATTTGCAAACCAAAACACGGAGCCTGTTTTGCTTTCTTGGTGATTTCACTTTGGGGATATTCCTTGGAAGATATTTGTAGATGCCTCCAGAGCTGTCTGCTCAGTGACATTCCAATTGAGTTTACACAGGGCCAACAACTTCCTTCTAGATCCCCAAAGTAATTTGTTTTGCCATGTTATTCATAAGCCAAAAGGAGTGATTTATCAGCCACTGCCGGAGCCTCCCGAGTCCCCCGCGTGAGAGGCAGCACGGGAGGACGGAGCACAGGCGCCGGAGTCAGACACGTGTGAACGCCGAGCTGGGCCCAGTGCTTGTTGGCCGTATGGCTTTGGGCAAGTCACTTAACCTCAGAGTCAGATTTTCATCTGTCATATGAGGATAATTGTGCCCACTCCGCAGCACCGCTGAGGGATCAGACAGCAACAGGAAAGAACAGCCTGACCACAGCAGCCACTGAGAAAATGGGGCAAGGCTGCGGTTTTATGTCGAAAGCAGCTGTTTCTGCAGGAAATGAGTTTAGACCAGGCCCCACTTCTAACTAGTTCTGTAATTTGGGACAAGTATTTAATCTCTCTGAGCCTCTCTTTCCTCAGCTGTAGAAGAGAGAAAATAATAATACCTGGACTGCAATGACATTCAAACAAGATAAAAACATAAAGCCCTAGGTACGAACGAACTGCTCAGTAACTGTTAGCCATTCGTATTAGTGTTAGTGTTATTACTGCTGTACAGAGGGAAATACCCTTTCACGGTTGACCTTTTTCTACCTGCTTTCACATAAGAACGTAAGTGCAGCCATATTAAATTACACAATCCATGGGCTGTGAGACCCAATCCAAAGACGTTTGGTGGGACGGAAGCAATGTTTGCTAAGGAGTCACTCATTGGGCACCCAGACCAGGGTGCCCTCACACCACAAACGAACATTCTTAGAGGTTCTATTT
Organism: Homo sapiens; assembly: GCF_000001405.40. Taxonomy (NCBI): domain Eukaryota; kingdom Metazoa; phylum Chordata; class Mammalia; order Primates; family Hominidae; genus Homo; species Homo sapiens. Next base: position 126,470,696 of record NC_000009.12, on the reverse strand, counting down.
GGCATGAGCAATCTGGATTACACACACACACACACACACACACACACACAGAGCACTGACTCCTCCTAGGCTCCCCATCTCTACACAGAAGACTGTAATTGAGGGGCTCGCTTCATCCCTCTGCATCCCTAGTGCCCTGGGAGGAATCTAGGGCCACCAGCCCCCCCACCTCCTCCTTCAGGGCAGTCCCTCCCTCCAGGGTCCAGGGTGCAGTGCTGGGCTGCACAACCTCATGCAGGTCCAGGGCAGTTCTCTGAAAGCTATGGGAGCACAGAGGGAAGGCAGCTGCCCCACAGTCCACACCCACAAGAAACTCGACACACAACAAGAACATTCTCACTGAGCCTCAGAAGCTTGGATCTTGCTTCCAAGTCGAGCTTGACTTGCAACACCAGAGATAGCAGACACCACGGAGAGCCATGGTCTGGGGGACCCAATGAGTTACTCCTCAGCAAACATTGCTTTTGTCCCTCCAAACGTCTTTGGGTTGGGACTCACAGCCCCTGGGTTATGTAATTTAATATGGCTGCACTCCTGTTTTTATGGGAAAGCAGGCAGAAAGGGGTCTACCGCGAAAGGGTATTTTCCTCTGTACGGCAGTAATAACACTAATACTCACTAATACTAATACCAGTGGCTAACAGTTACTGAGCAGCTAGTTTGTACCTAGGGCCTTATGTTTTTATCTCATTTAAACATCATAGCAGTCCAGGTATTGTTATTGTCTTTCTTCCACAGTTTAGAAAAGAGAGGCTCAGAGACATTAAAGAAACATTTTTTTAACGTTATAAATATTTAATGGCTTGGGGCAGGGATCAACTGCATTTTGCTCAAGGTAAAGATAAAACGCAACTCAGTGATACTTTTCCACATGAGTTCAAAGGTACCCTGGTGGCTGAGGGGCCACTGGGTCAGTGCACACACCTGCTGCCCACAGCGACAAACGCAGAAACTCCTCAGTGAGCTCGAGACCAAAGGAGCTTTGTAGATGCAGAACAAAAAGCAGACCCAAGGTCCAATGCAGATACGTTACCACTAGTAGCGACCACATCCTCTGGAAGAAGGCATGCTCTAAAACAGGCAGTGTGATCTGCAGCCACGGGGGGTAACTGACAGCAAGGGCCTGACAGGCATGGCCTGTGACTACGGAGCACGCCTGTCCCCCAGGCTGAGCATCACATACACCCCTCGGTTGTGGAGCAGGGAACCTCAGGCTTGGAAGACGCACTTTCTCTGCCAGGGCTCTTTTTACCTTCTCAAAACCAACCCATCTATATTTTTAAGTTGTACTCTTTAACACTTCAGCACATGAATATATTTTCTAAGGAAACCATTCCAATAGGATAGCTAAGTCAAAGCACCCCTTGAATCCGGAGCCGCTGATCCCTGGACCCTTCTCAGAGCAAGCCTTGGTAGTGGTCTGTACACAGTGCCTGGGGTCCTGCCGGCCTGTCTCCCATGCATTCACCTGCGTGTTGGCATGTATAGAAAAAGGACAGAATATTATTTTTTTATTTTTTAGACATGGACTTTTGCTCTATCACCCAGGCTGAAGTGCAGTGGTGCCATCATAGCTGTGTGTAGCCCCGAAATCCTGGGCTCAAGGGGTCTTCCTGCCTCAGCCTCCCAAGTAGCTGGGATTACAGGCATGAGCCACTACAGCTGGCCAGAATTTTGTTTTGTATGTATTCGTGTTTTTAATAAAAATAGCATCACAGCATAAGTAACTGTTTTGCAATTTACTTTTTTTCAATTGACTGTGTTTCCACATCAATTCTTAGAGCTCTGTGTCTCAGCCTTTTTAACTGTTGCATAGAAGTAGGGTCCAGAGACAACCAAGAACCAGCCTGCCAGGAGTCCTGATGGCCATTCTCAGCAGACTGAAGGACATCATGAGGTCCCTGGGGAGCCACCAAAGGGTCTTTGAGCTGGAGAGAGAGATGGGGAGATTTAGGTTTTAACAGCGTCTCCCTGGCTATGGAGAGGAGAATGAATTACAGGGAGTGAGGCTGGAGCAGGAACACCAGGGAGGAAGTTCTGACACTGAACCAGGCGAGGGACGCTGGTGGCCCGGATGAGGGCAGTGGCAGTAAGAATGGAGTGGCTGGGGAAGGCCAAGGGACATTTAGATGGAAGAATCAAGAGACCTGGCCACTGGCTGCAGAGGGGCAAGGCGGAATCAAGGGTGACCCCAGGATCCTGGCCTAAAGAGCTGGGAGAATGAAATGCCAGGTACTGACGGGGCGTGGGGGCCAGCGGAAAAGCAGCAGAGATGAACTCGTGGGTCCCGCTGAGCATGTGTCTGGTTTGAGGGGCTTGGGCCACAGCCAAGGGGAGGCAACTGGTCAACACTGGTTAGAACATTATGACCGAGAATGTGAGATGGGTGTGTGAGGGCTGCCGGGTGGAGATCCAGAAATGAGGCCTGGCGGGCGGGGATGTGAGGGTGAGTTTGGAAGTAACCAGCATGGTGATAATTGAGACCATGAGAGAAGATGAAATATTCTGGAACATGGTGAGAGAGGCAGACCTGGGACAGAGCTGAGGAATGTTAACGTTCCAAGCTGGCAAAAACAATGGGAAGATCAGAATGTACTCTGTGATATTGGATCAAAATCAGATGTATCATTATAAAGTCGGTTTTAATATGTAGTTGTAGACAGATACATAAGCGCACATCTGTGTGTGTGTACACTTATATGTATATGTGTACATATATTTCTCTCTACACACATGTGTGCATACATTTCTCTCTGCTGAGGCAACGGCAGTTCAGAGGCAATGGGCACTCCTCATACCCAGACTCTGCTTTCTAGCATCTCCTCTAAAAGAGACAGGAGCTGTTTGGAGAAGTGGCTGATTCAGTGCTGGGCAGGAAGGGAAAAGGCCAGGAACATCTTGTTGTGCCAGAAAGTAAAGAGGTTCTCAAAGAATCATGGGAACACAGCAGAAGGGCATGAGAGCCAGCCTGAAGGGGTTCCCATTGGCTAAATATGAATCCATTTGAGCATCAAAATAAAAAATGACAACTATGAGTAAGAATACCCTAGTCCATACCAATATAAAGAAATAAACTGGCTGAGGATAAGGGAAACCTCTTCCTTATATACTGGAGAAATGGCAGAGTTATAAAAATCAATGGATGCTAAAAGTGGCAGGTGAAAATCTGATGAGGAACAAGTTATTCACGTAGGCCTACAGTATTCCCCACAAATTACCTACTAATTACAAAGGTAAAAGCAGTAAGTTTACAGTGAAGAAACCTGCTACACAGCACCTTCGCCAGGTGATCGAAGCTAACTTCACCAGTACTGGGTCACACCAGCACCGTGGGCCTCCCAACAGGATGCACTGAGAGTGAGACTCTATCGATGGCCTCAGGAGGATTCCTGCCAAAATGCATAACAGATCTTATTATGAGAAAACATCAGACAAGGGATATTACACAAGGTACAGGATACTGAAGTAAAGGATAGGATCTACAACACCCGGGGGAGTCCTCACGTTACAGCCCCAGAAAAGGTGATGTTCAGTTTAAATTACTTCAATCAAATCTGATTTCCGGCTGGGCGCAGTGGCTCTCATCTGTAATTCCAGCACTTTGGCAGGCCGAGGTGGGCAGATCACCTGAGCTCAGGAGTTCGAGACCAGCTTGGGCAACATGGTGAAACCCTGTCTCTACTAAAAAAAAAAATCCAAAAATTAGCCGGGCATGGTGGCACATGCCTGTGGTCCCAGCTACTCGGGAGGCTGAAGCAGGAGGATCACTTGAACACAGGAGGTGGAGGATGCAGTGAGCTGAGATTGCACCACTGCACTCCAGCCTGGGCGATAGAGCCAGACCCTGTCTCAAAAGAAAAAAAAAAATCTGATTTCCCACAAAAGTGAGTGGCATACACAAGGTTATTACAGGTCTATCCCAGGGTTGATATCCAATTTGTAATAGAAATGATCACAAACACCAGAGTTACTTAATTATAAAGTATGCATCTCTAGGGCACCATAGAAAGTGCTCTAAAGTGTATGTAAATAAATTCAACAATACAACACTTTTTTCCTCCTTAACAACTCCTGGCACCTGTCAGGGCCGGAAGTCTTCTTTGGTGCGGTCTGCAGTGGTAGATGGCAAAAATGGTGGCAAATCCCACCATTTGTCACCTACGCGGTCATGTCACACTATCCGCGTATGTGTGCCCCCTAGCAATATGATTTGTCATTTCTCTCATCAAGAGGTGTAATCTATTTCTTCACCCCTTGAATCTGGGCTTGGCCATGTGACTTGCTTTGGTGAATGGGACATTAGCAGTTATGACACCAGCAGAGACGTAAACACGCTTGTGAGGCCAGGTTAGACTTCCCTGGCTTTGGAGTGCTGGGTCGGCCAAGTACACAGGCTCAGAGAAGCCTCCTGGAGCCTGAGAGATCACGTGGAGCAAACACGAGCATCCCCAGGTAAGGCATCCCTGGAGCAGCCACCCTGCCAACTACAGACAAGGGAGTGGGGCCATCTCAGGCCATCCGGCTGCAGCCAGGTTGACCCAGACCAGCATAATCACCCACTGACCCACAGAACCATGAGAAATTCTAAATGTTGGTTGGTTTAAGCCCTAAGTTTTAGGGTGGTTTGTTATGCAACAAAAACTAACTGATGGAGGGGCTACATCTTTGAGAGGAAATTCAGATAGATTTCTCCAGAAACTGCTCTCTTTGTATCTTTATACTGGCTGCCTTAGAATAAAGTCAGTAAACAGAAAGGGCTTTGGTGTCAGACAGCCCTAGGTTCAAATGCCAGGCCCACCAGGCACTAGCTCTGCACCCATGAAACACACTTATACAGCCTCTGGAAATGGGGCTGATTATTCTAGGGGCGAAGCAAGGATTCAGAAAGATAACACATCTAAAACAAATGTTCAGCATGTGTTAGCTATTGTTATCATTACCATCCCAATGATGTGCAGAGGCTAAGACTTTCTTGACACACTGCTGGAAGGACCCAGTTTCAATGTGCTCCCCCCACCCCCCGCCCCCACCAATCTGGAGGCCACTCGTGCATTTAAAGGGTAAGCTCCATGATAGCTGCGCCCCCAGCTCCTAGAACAGTATCTAACATATAATGGCATCCAAAGAAACCTATTGAATAAGTAACGATGGGAAGAGAACTGGCCTTGGCATCAGGGGGCCCAGCTTTTGGGCAATGAAGTCTGTGCCCCCATCTGAGAGTAAAAGGGTTGGGCTAGATCAGTGACTCATCCTGGTGCTCACTGGTGAGTTTGAAAAGATTGTTGCTGCCTGCCACCCCCAACCCCAGGGGTTCTGATTCAATTGGTCTGAGGGGTGGGCTCTGGGGATCAGCATTGTTTCAAAGCTCCCCGGTGATTCTAATGTGCAACTAGGTTTGAGAAGCCCTGGGCTAGAAGATGTTTAAGATCCAGCTCTGATAGTCTTCATTCTCACAAATGCTGAGTCACCCCAAGTATTAAATATGTATTGGTAATTTTTGAGAACCTGGATTTAAACCCGAGGATGCAATGTATAAATCTCACTAAGTTGGTCCATCCTACATGACAGCTGATTTCTATAGCCCTCACCCAGATTCTACTCATAAAGTCTTATCAAAAATGGTCTGCAAAGGTAAAAGTAGGTCCTGGGCCTTCCCTTTCCTCCCCTGAAACCAAAGGGCAAGAAGAGAGAAGGTGTCTTGGATGCTCTGGGTGTCTGAAGCCGATACCGGCACGAGAGCATCTGTCTAAGGGAAGCAAAGCACGCCGGGAGTAACAGGTGTTCTCGTATAAACCTCACAATGGCCCTGGCACTGGCATTCCCATGCCCCCCAGAAGGAGTCTGAAGCCCAGAAGGGAAGGAACTTGTCAGGGCCGCAAAGCTGGTCAAGGGCAGAGCTGGGTGGACACGGTGATCTCCTAAATCCACTGCCTTCCGCTATGTGAAGGAAGAGAGGGTAACACCTTGCCATGTGACCTGAAGAAGTCATCTGAAGATGGAAGTGGAGAAAATATAATCGAGAAGGTGTGAAAGTGAAGGCAAGCTCCACACAGAGTTAAGGGATGTTAGGGAGTGTCCTCCGGGCCCTCTCCCAGAAGATCCATTCATGGCCAAGACAAATATTCCCACGTCAATATCACTGGAGTTCTCTTTCAAGTGCAGACCTCGTGTACCATTCCTTTACTTAAAAACTTCAATGTCTCCTAAAGCTTATAGGGTCATGTCAAATGCCACAGTCCAGGCCCTTCCAGGTTGATCCCAACCTAGCTTTGTTCCCTAGCTGCTCTCTCCTCCCTGCCACTCTGCTCCCTACACTTTAGGATTTAGCTATTCTGGCCTGCTAACCACTTTCTACTGAGTCAAGCCTTCCATCTGTGATAGGCCTTTCTCCTTGCTGTGGGATCAGCCTGGAGAGTCCTTTCCTATATACCTGCTTGTGAACTCCTCAAAGGGCAGAAACGTTACCCCCTGGGCTGCCTCCTGAGCTACCACCCATCATAGTGGATGACTGTGCTCCGATCATCTGCCTGGATGTCTTCCCCTGATTATGAGCTCCATGAGGGAACCATGGTCCCTGTTGGCCCAGGGCCTGTAGGTGGGGGAACTCTCAGTAGCCAAGGCCTGGATGAGGTGATAGACAGATGAGTGAATAAAGTCGTGTGCCCAGAAGAAAGCTGCTTCACAATGGGGATTCTTTAGGACTCTGTGAAACGGGGACATTCCACTCCTTACTCGGATTCCATGATTTAATCACTTATCTGCCCAAGTACGGGAGTGACGAAGATAGTAGGCTTGAGTACTGCACAAACTGGAAAGCTATAACCTTGTTATAAATTTTGCTTAAGATTTCAAAAAGACTCCCTACAGGTTAAAAAAAATGGTATAAAATATGACACTTGGTACCACAGCACAGGGATCTTCTGACCTTCATTAGTGGGACCAAGATCCCCAGGACCTGAGCACCCTCAAGAGAGCCCAGAGAATTGGGGATGGAAGCTTTGGAGCTCAGGCTGGGAGGTGACCCCTCAGGGGACAGCCACCTGGGAAAGGCTATTGAGAGGGCCCCAGACTTCTTCCTCCTTAGAGCCACCAGGTGATTCCAAAAGATGAGTCACCATGGTGGCCAGGGATAGACCAAATAAAGAGAGACCTGCCACAGAGTGTCGGCAGCAATCTAAACCCCACTTCTATTTTGTGTGAGTTGGTACCACTTGAGTGCATTCGAACCAGGTCATCTCTTCATAATAAAACTTAATTTATGGAGAAAAAGGCATTTCTATGCCTTGTATTTCTCTCATTTTATAGCAAGCAGAAATACCGGACTTCTCAGTTCAAAACTGAATACCTGGTTTTCCTACCCCTCACATAGCTACTCGTATCATCTAGCTGAGCTGGATGCGGCTGACAGTCCTCATGGTGCATGTGAGAGGATGGGAGCCCTTAGAACTCACGCCTCTTGGAGACGGGAGGCAGGAGAACACACACCAACCTACGCAGAGGTGTGTTTCCAACCAGCAGGACTGTCAAGAACCATTTCCCTGGGAAAGGGCTTCTCTTGAAAGCAGCACACACCACACCCACTGGCCCAGGACTCAGCTCCAATGGACCAGCCCGCAGGACAGTGGGGAGATGAGGCGGAAGGTGCAGTGTGAGACGGAGCTGATGCCGAACTGACATGCGCTTTGATCTGGAAATAGCAGGGATGTGCTGAGCTGCCTTCTGTCTGGTTGCTGTGTCTATGAGGCAGAATGCCATCAATTACCCAGATTTCAGATCTAATATTAATCTTTAAAGGGCATGTCACGAAAATGTATCCTCTAAATATTGGTTGTGAGTTCACTCTGTAAGCCTGTCAGGGGAAATGGGCGTGAGGCGGCCACCCATCTCTGCCTGTACCTGTCAGGGGCATCTCCTGCCACCTGACAGTAATCCCACCTGAGCTCAGCAGTCCCACAAATGAACAATTCAGCCAGCCACTCTAACCATGGTCTCAGCTCAACCTTAAGATTTAATAACAGGGCCTGCTGGTATTCTAATTTCTGCAGCTGATGAACTTTCAGAGGCAACATGAGTTGAAATAACGAGCGCAGAGATGACAAAGAATTCTCATCCAAGGTTCTCTGAACTATCCGGTATAATAAGCACTTGTTCCTTTCTACAATGGGCATATAAAAGAGAAATCTAAATAATAATTGCTGTAATTATCTTGAAAAATATGCAGAGATTAATGGTGATTATGAAAATCTGTATAATTGTTCTCTGAAATCATCTCTGATCAAATGGTGTCTTGGAATGGCCGCTGCCAGGGAACTTTTAACACTGAACCTCATGCGGGCACGGAAATGTGACACTTCGGCTATCTCCCCGTAAAATATTACCCTGTGTTTACGAAATTGGTTTTCATCACTTCCAATACCCTGGCCTGCATTTTAACTCTTCGTACCAGTGCCCTGTGGAGGCTCCAAGACGCCCCTAATGGGATGTGTATGTCATTGTGGTTCAAAGCTCCAAGTTCAACTTGTTATTTATTCAAATAATTAATTACTCTTGTATCTATCGAGCAGTTTGTCATGACACATTAATGACTTGATAGACTTCTATGAACTGGTGAACACAGAACAGCAGAGCGTTTTTATCGTCATTTAATTTTAAAACGATCCTGTGTGAAATTATCTAGTCGTGAGTGATGGGAGCATAAAGCACAGACTCAGCGAAGCCTCTTTTGGATCATTGCTTTATTAATGGTAACGTCAGGGAAATGAAAAATGCTAACATTGTCATATTCCGCTGCTGGGTGGAGATGAATGGCTGGCGGGTGGGCGAGGGCCCCCATGCTCTCAACCCCCACGGGCACCGACCCCCTCCCAGCGCTGGCCAGCCAGTCGGGGCTCAGGGCCTTGGACACCCACCAGCCCACCCACCCCGGGAGCCCACCTCCACGCCCAGGCTCCCACCTCCACGCCTGGGTTCCCTTTCTCGGTTTACGGCTCTCCACGTCTATTACTTTGTGTGTGTGGTCTTTTTTTTTAAACTTGGATTTTCCACTAGTGATATAAAGCACCCTCACGAAAACATTTCGCTTTATTGCTTTGAACATTAAATGTTATTAATCCAATAGAAAAACGTTAAAGATATTGCTGTCACCTTTAAATGTGAAATGATATTAGGAGCTAAAAAACGCTGGGCTAGTAGAAAAGATGTTCCCTTAGTTTCTTTCAAGCCTTGAGATAGGCGAGCTGGGTTGATGATAAAATAATTTTTCTACATGGCTCACAGCACAACATCTGCTTAAAAGAGACTTTCTGTTTAGCTCTTTTTTTTTTTATATATAGTGAAAATTGTTTCTCGATTGTTTTAATTACAAACTTGGGAATCTACGCAAGCTCCTCTCCAGCAGCGTGATTCAAAGACAACAGAGAGCAATCCCCGTAGAAGCCACCAGGGCCAGCCTTCGGCGGTTGTGGGGGTGCTGACGGCCATGCACAGGCCCAGGTGGGGACAATGGAACTGGATCAAGGCATCACTCCTGGCCTCCACGGAAAATGAAGAATGGGTGGACTTCTCTTCCTTATGAGGTTCCAGTTTCTGTTTTCCTGATCCCTGTGAATAGCTCTGCCACCCACCTGGATGTCTGGTCCCAAGGCCTGGGAAGAACAGGGACCTGTCCCCAGACCTCATAACAGTCACCAGTCCTGTAAATCGCAAAAAGGGTGGTGGTGGTGACTCAAAACGTTGTTCAAATGCTTGCTCTGCGCCAGGCTGTAGTCTTGGGGCTTTCTGTGTATTGACTGATTTAATCCTCAAGGCAACCCCATGAGGGATGTGTGTATATTATTATTATTATTCCTATTTTACAGAGGCCACTCAGGCAAAGAGCAGTTAAGACACCTCCCCAGGAGCACCTGCCAGCAGAGGTGGAGCCAGGGTTGAACCCAGGGAGTCTTCTCATTCCATCTGGCCATCACTCTGGAACTTGCCCTCCTCCCCACCTCCACTGGCCGCTACCACCCCCAGCATCATCTCCCCAACATGCTGAGGCCTAAATCCACCCTTTGGCCCTCCCTTCTCCAGACCCCGGTCAGGGAGAGGCGATGCCCACCCCTCTGACCTGCCGTTGGCTGCTTGGCTGCTCCTGGCTCCACATCTCTACACAGGGGATAGAGAAAGAAATGGAGTCCGAGCAGATGCTTCTGCAATAGACGGGAAGTGCAGCAGAAGCAGAGCATCTGGGGGCATCTCCTGGCATGACCAAGAGCACAGCTGGATGTGAGCTGAAGCAGAGACGTTAGAATTCTGAGGATAAACAAATCAAAGAATGTGGGAAGATCTGAGCCAGAAGTTTAGTTTGGCGACTTATGTTGTGGAATGCTTTCCTTTTTCAGATGGAGACACTGAGGCCCGAGTGCCTGTGACCTTCCCAGGAATGTGTCCAGCAAGGCGGCAGCAAAGTTGCCTCATTGTGCAGTGAGTGCTGGTCACCTGCATGGTGACGGAGCCTTGTCCACCCTGCCGAGGAGGTCTGAGCAGAACTACAGCCAGCAAGAGCAGCTGGGCAGAGTGTTGCAGGCCCAGCGGCCAGGGAGCACACAGTCAACTGATTTGGGGACCCCTAGGGGCCCCCTCAAGAAGATAGGCAGACATCCTCTAGAGCCACTAAGACTGAGTTATAGAACACTGCAGAGGCCACGGCTGGGGAAAAGTGGTTTCAAATGGGAGCCTCAAATTCAAAGTCCAAAGCACATGCCCCAAATCGCAGGGGAAGCTGCTTCCCAACAAGAGCGGCTCCACTCATGAAACCCGCCTGTGAAAACCATTACTGAGCCCCGGAGCCCTTTCTCTCCCTCGAGATGGGTGGGCTGAAGCTGGCGATTCTGACTGTGAGACAAGCGGCCCCTGTGGGAGAGTGGCAGGTCCAAGTGAGCGGGGCAGGCAAGGATGGGTGCAGGTGAGCGCGGCCCCTGTGAGCGCTGTAACAACTGCGCACTCCAAGCTGCCCCACATCCAGAAGAGGCATCCTTCTGCTCCAAAACTCTCAAACCCGCAGGCATGCCACAGTCACCTGGGCTGCGTGCGAAAATACACATCCTTAGCCCCAAGCCTCCCGAGGCTTTGGCTCTGGGACCTCAGACACAATGGCACCATGAGAAATGCTGCTGTGGGCTGCGTGCCCGCGTGCTGCTGGGGTGAGGGTCTCGTGGTCTCACAGGCACAGTTCTGTGAAGCCTTTCTGAAGCAACAGGACTCTCCATTACCCGGAAGGACTAACCATGCTAGGGGCAGGCAGTGATGCAGCTGCGTCTTGGAGACGGCTTTGGACTTTGTGCCAAGCACCATGCTAGACTGTCCCCATGGGTCACAGTCCCCTAAGAAAAACACAATTGGCCTGTTTTATGACTCAGAGAGGCAAGGGAGCCATGTGTCAGTCAAGGGGAGGCCTGCACTGGCACCACTCAGCAGGCCAGGCTCGTGACACTCTGAGTTTACGACAAGGCATCAAGAAATACCAGTGCCAAAGCACAGCCAGGTAACCTACTTGCCAACTGATTACTTTTTCCTTAGTATGTAACCCAACCTGGGGGTTCTCTTAGGTCCAGACCTGCTGTGATCTGAGCCCTTAAAACTTGCAGGATGAAAGGAACCCTCAGAGATCCTTGGTCATCTGAATCTATAGGCTTAGTGAGTTTTCTCAGCACTCAGGGTTTTTAAGGTATTGACTTTCAGTAATAGAAAGAAAGAGAATAAATTCAGATGCCTTGTGAATGCCTTTTCTGGATTCCAGACAGAGGGTGTTTTTTCGGTCTCTCTCCCTACCTAACTCAAAGTGAGCTCTTCCTATTTTGAAGCTAAGGAACACAGTATTTCTAACTTGTGCTGGATTCTTGATTTCCTTCCTTGAACCTTTCTGTGCTTCCCTGAGTAATGACTTCCAGCCATTTGAAAATCTGCCCTGAATTTTTTCAAGGGACTCTGGTCACAGTAAAGTATAAGAAGGACACATTTCAATGGAACCTAACAGCCTAGAAAGATACCAATAAGCCAGGGCTGCTGTCGCAACCAGGCGGGACAAACTGCAGGCTGGAATGAGGGGGAACCACCATGAAACGCAAGGCCCAACAGGAGACCTGGCGCCTGTTCTTAAAAATACTTTCCCTAAAGCCCCAGGGGAAGAAGAATATCACGTGAATCCAAAAGAGCAGACCCTCAGGGAAAAGAGAAACCCAGCAGGCAGGCAAAGTTAAGAGCCAGTGTTGAGTGAGGATGCTGGCTCCGGCCAGGGGTCAGAAAGCCCCCCAAAAGGAGCAGCCCAGAGGCCCCCGAACAGCCTAGAAATAATAGGTTTCTCAGACACACACAAACGTGTGGTGTGGTGCCTGACAGGGTTCCTAGGGGTTTCACACCCATTATCTCATTTGTCCTGGTCTCTATCCTGGGCCTGGTGAGGCTGAGCCTGGGCACAGAGACGTTTACCCGCTTGCTCAGTGTGACCTGGTGGGCGAGTAACAGAACCAGGTGTTGTCTGAATAGGGGTCTCCTGACTGTTACATAATCATTTATTGGGTCAGTGGAAAAACCGTTTGAGCAGAGACCTGGCAGGGACCTGACAATCAAAAGTCAAGGTTGCCCCGTGGTGAGGGAGAGTGCAGGGCTACTGACGGTGGGGTCCAGGAGCTCAAGGAGATGGTGAGAATGGCTATTCGCTTTCTGCTCAGTCTTTATTGTGAAAAAGTCCCCAAATCGTCTTTTGCCAGACATACTTTGAAAGCACAAGCTTTTTGCTCGCTTTTATTATCTGGTTTTGGTGGAGAGGGGCTCTCAGCTTGACTCCAGCGAGGCTATTGGACAAGCACCAAGCCGTGATTTCATTTGTGCCTAAGGTTCAGAAAACACAAGGTGGCCTTTAAATGTTCTGCCTGTAAAATCCCAAACACATACCACCCGTTCTCCCTCAGTAGAACGACAGGCGACGCGTCCCTATTTTCATTCAGTCTCAACCTGTGTTGTCTGAGGTGTGACAAAATGCGGAGAAAATGGAAGTACTGGCAACCGCATCCTCACACCTGAAATCTGACTCTCTGGGACCTGAGACTCCAACATCCGATGGGTACACTAGAAGCCCAATCTCTACCCGTACACAACATACAGGTACCCCCAAATCTAAAATATAATAAAATAATTTAAAAAAATAACATTCATGGTGGCTAGGATTGGTGGAAGTCTTGAAGGTCATGACATAAACATGTCACTGAACTTGGCACACACTGGGGTTCCTGGAGCAGGCGTGCCTCAGTGGGGAGTTGGGCCAGTGAGCGAGCCAGTCAGATGCAGCTCCCAGATTTCAGCCTGGCTGAGAGGCGCCCCACTTTTCTCCTGCAAAAGCAGTACCTCCCTTGAAGTGACACTTCGTCTCTTTATTTTAAAAAACTGATCCCACCCAAGAGCCAACTGCTAATGTTGGTGATGGAGGGAAGAAGGGATCCCAAAGGTCTAAGAAAGGGGAGAGACTTGGCCGCAGTGTGGGTAAGGGAAGGAGCTGACATCGATTAAAAAGGGGAGGGTGGGCTGAGGGCGCAGCTCAGCTCTACTCTGGGAGGAATAAGCCTGCCACACATGCGATGTGGAAATGAGAAAGGGTTTGCGAGCCTAGTGCAAGGGCTTCTGACTGTGGAAGAAACTCTGGTGAGAGCTGAAGATCTGGTTAAACTCGTGGGGTGAGGGCATGAGCAGACGGCACAGGACTCTTGACACTGCTTCAGGACGAAGCCGGGGCCCATACGTAGACTCCCAAGAGGAAAGGAGGTTCCAGAATTGTAAGACGCTTACTTTTTCTTTTATAAACTGAAGTTAAACAGGGGCGCTATCAGCAGCCTGCTGCTGGTGAAGTAATTACTAGATCAGCTGAAGAAACTCGAGGGGAGCATGGCTCTTGCACAGAACACCCTGCAATGCAGATGGACATGGCCTCTAGGAAGGAGATGCCTCAGACCCCATATCCCAGGAGGAAAAGGAAGCTGCGCGTTCAAGGTGGCCAAAGAGTAACTGATCCTTTCCTCTCCCACTCTCAGGCAGTCTTTATGATTCAGTCAGGCTTCAACCATATTCCGAGTATCTGAGCTGGAAGCAGGGAGGGGCAGGATGAGAACCCCAGCCAAGTATCCCGTCAGCTTGTTAGAAAAACCCTGGGGCTTGGCTCAATTCTTTTTTACAAAAAGAAAACTCACAGTTAAAATCATTATTAGCAATGATGTAACATATAAATTTATTTTAGTGACAAAATTTATTTAAATAACTTTATGAATGATGTCAGTTTTTATTTATAGAACCATTAGTTCTAACAAGTTCACCTGAATGTTTCATATCTACATTACTACATTCTGTGGGAGAAATCGTGTGCGAAAGAGCTATTTTTAAATTTGGAGATTTGGGAATATCTTGGAGGTAAGTATCCAACAAAAACATTTAAGGTCTAATTACTGTATTGGGAAGAGATGTTCAAGATAACCTATCAGGCGGGGCGTGGTGGCTCATGCCTGCAATCCCAGCACTTTGGAAGGCCAAGGTGGGCGGATCACCTAAGGTCAGGAGTTTGAGACCAGCCAGGTCCAACATGGTGAAACCCCGTCTCTACTAAAAATACAAAATTAGCTGGGCATGGTGGCGGGTACCTGTGATCCCAGCTACTTGGGAGGCTGTGGCAGGAAAACTGCTTGAATCTGGGAGGTGGAGTTTGCAGTGAGCCGATATCACACCATTGCATTCCAGCCTGGGCAAAAGAGCAAGACTCCGTCTCAAAAAAAAAAAAAAAAAAAAAGAAAGAAAGAAAGAAAACGACCTATCAAAGTTTATTGTCTTAGAACCACCACGACAGCAAAACTGTAACAGGGAGCATTAGAGGCTCAAATACCCACTTCAGTCAGGCTTAGTGGTTTGCACGCCTGCAATTCCAGCACATTGGGAGGCTGAGGCAGCTGGATCACTTGAGCCCAGGAGTTCAAGGCCAGCCTAGGCAACATGGCAAGACCCCATCTCTATAAAATATCAAAAAAATCAGCTGGGCATGGTGGCACACGCCTGTGGTTCCAGTTTCTCAGGAGGCTGGGGTGGGAGGATCACCTGAGCCTGGGAAGTCGAGGCTGCAGTGAGTGATGATCTTGCCACTGCACTCCAACCTGGGCAACAGAGAAAGACCCTGTCTCAAAATAAATAAAATAAGGGCCAGGCACGGTGGCTCACACCTGTAATCCCAGCACTTTGGGAGGCCGAGGTGGGTGGATCACGAGGTAAATCGATCGAGACCATCCTGGCCAACATGGTGAAACCCCGTCTCTACTAAAAATACAAAAATTAGCTGGGCGTGGTGGCACGTGCCTGTTGTCCCATCTACTCGGGAGGCTGAGGCAGGAGAATCACTTGAACCCGGGAGGCGGAGGTGGCAGGGAGCTGAGATCACGCCACTGCACTCCAGCCTGGGCGACAGAACAAGACTCCATCTAAAATAAAATAAAATAAAATAAAATAAAAAATAAAATAAAATAAAATAAATTCACCTCTAGCCAGCTCGCAGGGTCTTACTGGGAGCTGTGGGTCTTACTGGGGAGAGAGCTGAAGCCCGCTCACCTTTAAGGGGCCTAGAAATAGGGTTTTGGCCCAGGTAGCCCTGCCAGGACGTGGTTCAAGATCCTTCCTGGAATCGCCATCATGGTGCATGCTCGCTCATCCCCGGAGTGGCTGCCCTGCGCACCCACAGGCTCACAGGAGGGAAGGGAAGAAAGGGCTGCCCAGTATTCCTATCAGTGGAGTCTGGTGGAGAGCGGCACGTGCATCTCTGTGGTGTGTTGTTACCATGTGTCAAAGCATTTAAAGAACATTGATTAAGGAAGCATTTTCCTGGCTGGTTAAAAAAAAAAAAACTCAATTATGGTCATCGACCCCTACCAGAAGGCTATTCACTGTATTACGTGGCATGCACATTATGCAGTGCTTAACAAAAGTAAAATGAAAAAGAAGAGGAAAACATTCACTTCCATCTCACTTATTTAGTTGGGTCTTTATGGGGCTAAAGCCATGCAGGGGTTAAAAAATGCAAGGTCCATACCCCTGGCCACTGCAAATGTATCCTGATGCTTGAATAGGGCACTCCTTTGGCTAAGACCAGGGGCCACCTTTCTACTCGCCCAGCCCCAGGCCACCTGGGTGTCCCGCTTACTGAGCCCGAGGCTCAATGGGATTAGCTGCAGAGTGGTAAACAATGCCTACACAGGAAACATTTCTTCCCATTAACAAAAAAATCAATTCTGCCCCACTAGGCTCTAGCTGAACACAAATGAATTAGGGGGATGAAGGAAAGAGGCTGGAACAACACACTATTGGTGGTTGTGAGCTGGTGCAGCATTTAGGAGAACAAAGTGGAGGCACGGTGGGACCCTGGTGGGTCAGGGCAGCAAGGGGCAGGGTGAACACATTTTAACAGCCAAACTTCTCCTTTCACACATGTGTAAAACCTTTGGAATTCCATCAGAAAAAACTTTATTTCAAAACTGATCTTTGAAGTTTGAAAATAAAAGAAGAAAGCCTATTTCTCAGTACAGAAAGCAGGTTTTAAAATGCTGAAGGGACCAAAGGGAGGTGCTAGCAGGTGGTGGTGGCACTGACTCTGAGGTCCATGCCTCTCCTGTCTCCCGGTGCTCTCTGCTTTACCGCGTCTGTTTCTCACTTAGACTTTCCCTGATGGGACACCAGACTTCCATCTTGCCTCTCTCATTGTCTTTTGCCCTGTTGGGGCCTGGTGAGCCCTTGTCCCAGCCCTGGAAGGTAATCTGGATGGTATCCTTGATGATCCAGAGAGGAGGGGAGGCCACCTGTGTATATGTCATGTGTGCACACATGTGAGCATGCACACGTGTCATGTGTGCACATATGCATGTGAGGCTGTGTGTCACATGCAAGACCATGCACACGGTATGTATGTACACGTGAGAGTGTGCCACACGTGAGTGTATGCATGTGCCACGTAACGCATGTGAGATTGTGTCCATGTACGAGTTATGCACATGTGAGAAGGGGCATAGTGAGAAGAAAGAAACCGCAAGAGCCTCATGGGCAAGCAGAGGCTGAGCCTGTGTAATGAACACCTCTTCCAGGAAGCAGCCGGTGATACACAGGCCACTGCTGTTGGCAACGGATTCCTCTACAGCCCACACAGGCAGAAAGAAGTCACTAGGACCTCCAACCTCAGGTATGAAAACAAAACTCCATACTTGAGAAGGGAGAAGGGGCAAACAGCAACACTCCTGAGCTCTGGGAGTCCCTTCTGCCCAGCCAGGCCCTGGTCTGCTCCGGGTGCTCAGCTGCTTCCCTGCTTGCAGCTGGACCTTTCACCCCTCCCCTGCTTGCTCACCCAGTTGACAAGTTCATGTGTCCTTGACAATGCACTGGGGTGGGTGGGGATGCTCACGGGGAGGTGGCACGTCTGTGGGGTTTTCTGGCAAAAATAGATGCTCACTAAAAACCCGCTGAACTTGAAGAAATAGGGATTTTATCTTTCTCACATATTTCACAGCTGACAAAGCACTTTCAGCAAGTCTTCTCTTAATTAGTCTTTACCACAATCCCGGGAGGCAGGCATTTTCAGCCCCTCTTGATAGAAGACTGACTTGAAGCTCAAAGAAGGTGAGGGGCTTGTCTCGGGGGCAGAGCTGGGACTTGAGTCCAGAGCTTTTAAAAATTAAACCTCATTGTCCTACAGCCACTATTCCCCACCCTGTATTAGCAGGTCACTTATTTCTGAGAAAGAACTAGACTGCAATTTGCAGAAATGGCTGGAAAATAAAGGGCCATGAAGTGCCTAAGCATTTCATTTATTTTTTCTTTCTGGCATCAGTTAGCAATTACCCTTGAACTTCCCTTCCTTCCCTGCTTCCTAAGACATCCCAATTACTTCAGCCAAAAAACTCACCCAAACTCCCAAATCACCCCCACCCCCAACACCCAAACATCCAGGTCAGCAAGATCAAAGGCATGGGGGAAATGGGCTCTGACAACTCTTTCTTTCCTCTGCCGGGTTCACACACTTTTCTCACTTACTAACTGAGAACAGAGAGGCTGAACAGCTGCCTTGTTATTTCCAGCAACATTTGGGATAGAACCAATTTCCAGTCTGGCCAAACGACCTGAGGCCCTGCTGAATGTGTTGCACCGGCTGCCCCCAAATCACCAAATGGACAGCGCTCTAACAGGGAACACATTTCCCCAGCTCCCAGGCAACCCCGTGGGCCCGCAGGGTCTGCACACGTCTGGAGCTGAGTCCCCAGTGCTGGTCCGAGCTGAGGAGGGAAAGCCTACCAGGCTCCAAGGCAGGGCCATGTCTTCTTTACCTTTTGTGTCCCAGATTCAAGTAGAATGACCAGCAAGTAGTTGGGGCTCAGGGCTGGCTGAATGGCCTCCACGTGAACACCAGGAATTAGGCTGGGTCTATTGTTTAAAATGCACATTCTCCCTGGGAGCCCTGGTTGCGCGTGCCTGCACGTGAGCACACGCATGAGCTGAAGGCACGGACTCACATTCTTCCTTTTTTCATCTCCTAGGGAAAAAGTAGGTGCATCTGCTGGTGCCTGACACAAGGATCCCCTGCCTCCGACATGCACAGGAGCTGCTGGGAATGGGGTTGATGGTACGGTTCAACTTGCACATAACTGGTGAGCGGGGCTAAGGAATGAAACAGTGGGACTTTCATAACCACCAAGCCCGCGGCATTCCAGGTGTCCTCAATCAGACAACCTGCATGAAATTTACACAGAGACTCGGCAAACAGCTTGGGATCAGTCACACGGCTAACCTAATCTGCTCTTCATATTCCACCTGGCTTTTCATTGCTTACCTGTGACCAGAGGCTGTGGGTTCAGGGGCATCTTTAAAGCTAAATCAGAAAGATAAATAAACCCCCTCCAGATGACATGAGTCCCGGGCACCCACCCAGGACCCTTGTGCCTCCTCTCTTCCTGCTTCTGGAAGGTAGTGGGAGGGTCGTGTCCCACCACGGAGTTCCTGCAGTGCCTCATCCCTCTGTCCAGCTTTTTGGCCCCCCTGTCCCGGTGGGTTTGAACTCCTACTGCTTTGGGAGCTGGGGATAGGGAGATGCAGCCTTGACCATTCCCCTGGGCTTGAATCCAGTTCTCACAGAGCCTTGCTGTCTCTGGTCTCCAGGGTTCCTGCTCAGAGCCTGGATGGGCTGCAGCTCTTGGGATCATTTGCTCGAGACCCTCTACTAAGTACCCCTGACCTGTCCCTGACACCCTCCTCCACCTGGAGGTGCAGCAAAAGGCCTAGGCCTTTGAGAGAGTCCCCTCTGCACTGCTTCCCAGCCATTCTCTACAGTGGTGAGCACCTACCGTGGGCAGGGCCATTTTGCAAGCTTTATTTCATTTCATCTTCACTGCAATTCTTGAATGAGGCTTTTCATGCCTCCATTTTTGTTTCTACAGTCAAAGACGCTGAGGCCCAGATGGTGAAGGGCCTGACTCCCTATGGCAGTGGTGGTGTGAAAGGCAAGGCTGGGAATACTCAGCCTGCCAAGCCTCTTCCTCCTCCTCTGACCCCTGCTCTTCTGGTGATGCAGAGATGCCACCTAGGGTGGAGTACGTGACCTTGCTGTCCAGCACAGCCCCAAACACAGCCACTCACCGCAGAGCCCAGTCACCATGGGAGAAAGGCCAAACAGTGCCGCTTCCCTCCCTTAATGTGTCCCCTTTTGGGCTGGGTGGCACAGCTGGTCTGCACCTGCAGGGCTGAAGGACATCCCTGGGATACAGGGTGTCATTCCTCCTGCTTGATCTGCCTCCCAAAACCCAGCCCTGAGCAGGCAGCAAGTGCCCTTTCAGCCTCCGCTGCACCAGCCTGAGCCGGAATCCCAGCTCTCATTAGCTGTGTGATTGGGCAAGTTGACTGAGCTCTCTATGCCTTGGTTTCTGCATCTATTAACTGGGATTAATTATATCGACACCTCTTTGGGTTGCTATGAGACTTGAAGAGAGTTTGGGTGAAGCACTCTATAAATGCTAGGTAAGTGAGTGTTATTAATTTCCCAAACGTGAGAAAATGACCAACATCTGTTCTGGCACCCCTCCATCTCTATGCCCTCCCCACCAGCCCTATCAAATGCAGTTTCCTGTAAATAATCCTCACATGGGGATGGAGCAGGGCCGGGGAGGGAGTACATCCCTGGTCCACAAGGCTGCTGTGACATGACAAATAAGCTGCAGGCTGACAATGTCTCCAAGACATATTGGAGTTTACTTTGTCATTTGGGCTTGCCATCTGTGTCACCCCAATGGGGGCTAGCTTCCCAGGCTGCTCTGGGAGCAGGCGGTAAGAGTCCACTAGTCCCCGGACAGATCTGGAAGCTCAGCCGGCCATCCATTAGGCTGACTAATGAGAGGAAGTGGAGCTTGCCCACCGCCCACCTGGGAGCCAGACCTTCCTTCCCAGGGAGGGCCAGGGGCTCTGCTCTGCACAGTGCAGGGAGCAGCAGGACTCATCACCTGATGGGCCCTCCCAGGCTTTGGGCATAGGCGAGACCAGACTGCGACATGAACTTGACTGCAGAGCTCTCACGGTTAACTCTGATGTTAGATGTGAGGAGGCCAAGGGCATCTCTCATGGAGTGCTCAGCCTAGGAAATGAGACAGCAACTTAAAACTAAGAGTGGAGGAGTGAGAAAGCCTACTACGGAATTCCGTAGGAGGCACAATGAAGGCACCCATGGGCCACTGCCTTGATTTGCTGTGTGATGTTGGGAAAGTCACTTAACCTCTCTGAATCTCGGTTCCTTATTTGTAAAATGGGAAGTGGAGTGGTTTCAAGGATTAAATGAGTTTATATATGAAGGTGACTTAGCTCAATAAAAATTGATTATTATTCCTGAAACCAAACAGACACAAAAAGTCACTTGCTTTTCCATGGTAAGGCCAGTCAGGAGAGGAAAAAAGCCAGTCTCTCGCTGCAGGTAATGATGTAACAGTCACCCCAGCCTAAGCATACCTGCCCATGGGACTCAGAACATACTGGGCCCAGGCCAGCCCTGTCCAGGTTCAGAAATATTCCTATGCCTCTGGGCAGAAAGGAAGTGGCTAAATTTGCTGAAATTAAAGGCTGTCCTTATTCTTAACCATGAAGAATGACTCTCTGCCTTCCTCTGGAAATGAGCCTTAGCAAGGAGGTGCTGTGGGGGGTCACTCTCATCTGAAACCACATTAATGACAGGAAGCCAGGGAGGCCAGACCTGTCTGTCAGACAGCAAACCTGCAAGGGAAAGGGCCTGCGGGTCTTCTCTACAGCCGTTGCCATCTGCCAGGATGGTTCTGTGGACTGCAATACGTGCTTGCGGCCACCGAGCCTTCTCAACAGAGGGACCAGCACATCCGACTTCTGCAGGTTGTATTTGTACCGGTGGCAGGTCGCATCCAGTTGGTGTGTGGGGGCCCCGTGTGCTCTGAGCTCCCACTCACTGCCCGGGGCTCTCTGCCAGTCCAGGCCCCAGGGCTGGGCACATGGGAGTTTCCTCAGTAACTGCCCAGTGAACGAATGCCCCTTGAGAGACAGGTGCAAGGAACTGGGCAGCTGACGGGAGCATTGGCAAGTTATGGGATCATGTCCAGCCAGGGAGGCAGCCAGTCTCTAAAACCCCTGCCCTTCCTTCTATGCCACGCTGCCTAGCGCTCTGGTGTGGGCCCCTGGAGTATCATCAGGGAAGATGGGAAGATTTCAAATAAGCACTTCCAATGATCAAAGTTCTGGGATGAGGCTTGATATGGTTTGGCAGTTTGTCCCCTCCAAATTTCACGTTGACATGTGATTCCCAATGTTGGAGGCGGGGAGCCTGGTGGGAGGTGACTGGATCAGGGGGCAGATCCCTCATGAATGGTTCAGCACCATCCCCTTGGTAATAAGTGAGTTCTTGCCCCATTAATTCACCGAGATCTGGTTGTTTGAAAGGGCCTGGGACCTCCCCCTTCTCTTTCTCTTGCTCCCGCTCTTGCCATGTGATACATCGGCTTCCCCTTTGCCTTCCACCATGATTGGAAGCTTCCTGAGGCCCTCACCAGGAGCAGATTCTGGAGCTTCCTATATAGTCTGCAGAACCGTGAGTCAATTAAACCTCTTTTCTTTATGAATTACCCAGTCTCAGGTATTTCTTTATAGAAACACAAAACGGCCAAACACAAGGCTCTTGAAGTAATTTTTAAAAAGTGAATTAACTGGTCTTTCATGGTGAACCATAAGAATAGAAGAGTCTAGTAGAACAATCAGCTCTTTAATAACAAGGTGATTATTTGGCAAAGAACGGCTCTGAGCAGGGCTGGACTTGCAGCATATGTGTGGTCTCTCAAGGGGCATTCATTCCCTGGGCAGGGAAACTCTGAAAGCAGGGCTTGTGCCCACAGCAGGGGATGAGCTGGTGGAGGGCCTTGAGAGGCATAGCTCAGGGTGTACAGGAGGCTGTGGTGCTCACAGGATCCAGCAGAGGAGGACAGGAGCTGCCAGGGAGGGCTTCTGGGAAGAGCTGGAGACACAGACAGGTCAGAGGCTGGCAGGGATGTGGTGGGGAACAGGAGGGCTCTCTTTGGTGGAAGAGACAACCACAGCAAAGGTGGAAAACCCCTGGAGGAGAAGCCTCACCTGGCCAGAGCAGAGGGAGGAGGAGGGGCAGCACTCAGAGCCAGGGCCACAAGGGACAGGAGCACCATGGAACTTATGGCCAAAAATGCGAGATGCGACAAAAGGGGAATTCTATTTCGATGAAGAGTAAAATACATAATAGACCTTTAACCGTCATAAACCTTCATGGCCTCAATAACACTGCATAGGAACATACAAAATAAAACCAATGATCAAAATGATACTGACATGAGAAGAACTGTGCAAAACAAAAGCTACCATTGTTTGGTCAAATTGAATGAATGAATGTATATATCTATATGGGGGTATACATACCCATCCATCCTACTTGATCAAAAAACGTTGATGGTGGGAGTGTATCTCAAACACTGTGACAGAGAGAAGATGTGTTTTCAAGTATCAACGGAGCATTTAGTAAAACTGATATATCTATTAGACTGCAAAGACTAAATACACTTGAAAAAACAAAAAATTATAGAGGTCATATTCTCGGATAATTACATAATAAAAGTAGAAATTAAGGTTTCAAAAATTACTTAGAAATGTCTTTTCTAACACTTGAGTCAAAGGGATAATCAAAACTGAAATTATGTATTTATAAATAAATATTATATATGAAAGCTACAGAATGCCACCAAAGCAATATACAAGAATATTTATATAACCCTAAACACTTTTATTAAAAATCAAAAAAGGACAGAAAACAAATGAGGGAACCACTCAAGGGAAGCTATTAAAAAAGCTAAAATAAATAGAAAGTTAAAAAAAAAAAAAAAGGTGGCTGGGGGCAGTGTGGTTCATGCCTGTAATCCTAGCCCTTTGGGAGGCCGAGGCAGGTGGGTCACCTGAGGTCAGGAGTTGGAGACCAGCCTGGCCAACATGGTGAAACCCCATCTCTACTAAAAATACAAAAATTAGCCAGGCATAGTGGTGCGCACCTGTAGTCCTAGCTACTCAGGAGGTTGAGGCAGGAGAATCACTTGAACCTGGGAGGCGGCGGTTGCAGTGAGCCAAGATGGCACCATTGCACTCCAGCCTGGACAACAGAGTGAGACATTGTCTCAAAGGAAAAAAAAAAAAAAAAAAAGAAAGTTAAAAAAAAGAACTAATACAGATAAAAATTTATTAAATAGTATAAAGCAAAAGTCTAATGGCTTTATAAATTTAAAAAGCAGTTATTTGGAAAGACAAATAAAGCAAATAAATCAACCAAGAAAAAGAGAGAGAAAAATAACATCAGGATATATATGACTATAGGTATATTAATTTTAAGATAAATACAAACTCTTAAGTAAAATTTTGTACCAATAAACTTTAAAATTTAGATGAAATTTAGGTGAAATTGCTATATTTTCTTTAAAAAAATACACATGATAAAACTGGCTCAAGAAAAAGTAGAAAGCCTGAAAAAAATCACTAATGCTGAAAGAAACTGAAATAGTTGTCCATCTCCTCAAAATGCCCCTAGCTTCCAGGTCCACATAGTTCAGACAGGATTTTTTTTTTTTTTTTTTGGTGTTCTTTTTTCCCCAAAATGAACAGCCATTTAAATATTTTAGAAATATTTTTATATTTGAAAAAAACTTAGATCACACAAAAATTACATTTTGATAAGCAAAAAGCCTAATCTTACTTATATAAATGCCCAAATCCTAACTTAAATAGCAGTGGCTCAAATCTAGTACTATATTTAAAGAAGAATGCACCATAATAAAGATTGATTTCAGAAATATAACAATAACTTTCTAAATGCTAAATCATCAAAACAAAATAATCTGTATCTGTCAATAAGTGAGAAAAAATATTATACTACATTAAAATATTCCAAATTTTTTTATATGAAACTCAAATTAGTGCCTGAATTTATTAAAAAAAAAATCTTTGGAAAATAGGAATAGAGAATGGGTCCTTTAATACAATCAAGCCCTCTCTCCTCCAAATTCCCCCAAATCTATATCAGACTTAACCATGGGACACTAGAAGCATTCCCATTAAAGTCAGGAACCAGGTAAGAATGAAAACTACTGCCACTGCTTTCAATGTTTTAGCCAAAAATACAAAGCAAGAAAAACCAATGGTGTATAAATGTTATCAAAGAGACAAAATGATCTGTATTTGCAGATGATGTTGTCTTCCAAGAAAATCCCAGTAAATAAACTGGAGGCTATTGGAAATAACAAGCATACAGAGAGGTGGCCAGTTACCAAATGAAGATTAAAAAAAACAACAGGGCCAGGTGGAGTGGCAGAAGCCTGTAATCCCAGCACTTTGAGAGGCTGAGGTGGGAGGACTGTTTGAGGCCAGGAGTTTGAGACCACCCTGGCCAACACAGTGAGAACCCCCATCTCTAAAAAAGAAAAAAAAAGACCCAACAATATTAAATTAAATATTTAATCACCAATGAAAACATAATGGGCAATGCAGGCTGGGTGCGGTGGCTCACGCCTGTAATCCCAGCACGTTGGGAGGCCGAGGGGGAGGATCACTTGAGGCTAGGAGTTCAAGACCAGCCTGGCCAACATGGTGAAACCCTGTCTCTACTAAAAATACAAAAATTAGCCAGGTGTGGCGGTGGGTGCCTGTAGTTCCAGCTACTTTGGAGGCTGAGGCAGAATTGCTTGAACCCGGGAGGCGGAGGTTGCAGTGAGCCGAGATCGCACCACTGTACTCCAGCCTGGGTGACAGAGTGAGTCCCTGTCTCAAAAAGAAACAAAACAAAAACCAAAACCAACATAATGGGTAATGCAACAAAATTTAAAACTTAGGAATTATATAAACAGAAAGCAAAGAAAACTATAATATGTTACTGAATAATATACAAAGACATTTGAATAGAGAGTTATATCTCTGGAAGGAAAGATTGGATATTTTTCTAAATGACCACTCTCCCCAAATTGACTTATAACTTCAATGTTTTTTTCAATCAAAATCCTCAAAGTATTTTCCTTGGAACTTAAAGTGATTCTAAATTTCTACTGGGTAAAAAAGTTATTATTACCTGGAACATTCTGAAAAATAACTACAAAGAATAGTAAGATAAGAAATTAAAATACATACATTTATAATTATTAAAAGCGTGACCCTCCCATTGGAATATGCATTCAACTCAATGGAACACAACACAGGCCACAAAATACATCACAGTAAGAGGTTATTATAGGATTGTTTTCCAAATGAGTTGGTTAAAAGAAGATTATTTAACAAGTGATGCTGGGACAATAATAAATAATTTGGAAAAACATAGATTCTTATCTTGTCACACATCAAAACAAATCACAGCAGAACTTTAGATTTAAATGTTAAAAAAAATGAAGGTACTAGAATATACCAGAAAACCGAGAAGGCTTTTCTAAAACGTGATGGCAAAGACACAAAACATAAAGGAAACATGAAATGAAAGTACAAAGCAGAAACTGGAAACAAGCGGTAGTAATGTGAGAGCAAAAGAAGGCCTTGTTGCAAGAGGAGCTCCTGCAACTCCACAAACAAAATTAAGACTGCAATGGAAGAGATGCTGCGGACAGACAGGCAAAGGTCTCGAGTAACACAAGTGGCTCAACACAGGCAACCTTAGCAGTAATCAAAGAAATGTAAATTAACAATAAAATACCCCTTCACCTTCCAATTGATAAAAATTAAAAAAAAAAAATTACCAGTTAGCAAGTCTTGTGTGGAAAACCAAACCAAACAAACCTCTTTCATACATGCAGAAGTGTAAACAAATTCAACCATTACGGGGGACAATTTGTCATTATATGTCAAAATAATTAAAAATGTGTTTATATATTTATTTAAAGGAACATTCACCGAAGTATAACTTTTAGAAATGAAGATAATGTAAAAACTCAGCCACTGAGGACTGGCTAGGTAAAGTACATTGTATCCATAAGAGGGAGGATGATACAACCATTAATCCCAGCCTGACGACCACCTGACCTAATGACAAGGAACGAGGTACATGAACAGGTCTCAAAGCAGAATAGACACCTGGAGTGTTGGAAAGGAACAAATTCCTGATACATGCAATAACATGGAAGACTCTCAAAAATATTATGCTGAGAGACACACAAAGCTACATATTGTATGAGTCCATGTATATGATAGCACTGGGCAGGCAAGTGACTGCCAGGGACTGGCGATGGGGAGGGAAGGGCCGGAAATGGAGGCAAGTGAACTTATGGGACTCCTGGCTATATTCTGTATCTTGTTTCTGGAGGCGGCTATCCTGTAGTTTGACATTGGTCAAAAGTCACTGAAATGTGCACATAAAAAGCCTGGATTTTATTACATGTAAATATATTTCAATAAATCTGACTTAAAAAGAACCCAGAATGGACAATTAGGTAGACATACACTTTTAAGTGTAAACATATGGCATAGAAAAAGTGTTAAAAGGACATACACTGAAATACTGTTTCTCTGGGTAATGGGGTTGTGATATTTTCTTTCCAATGTTTTCATATATTTTGTAACTTTTCTACAATGAACATGTAACTTTTATCATTCAGGTAAGAAAAGCTTTGTGTCTGTTTTTTTATTTTTTAAAAGAGGAAGAAATATCAATGAACTGTTTGGTCTAGGAACAAACTTTTTATCAGGCTCTTACCGGAAATGACGGGTGGGTCATGCTCAGTTGGAACCTCAGTCCCTCCTACCCTGAGGCAAAACCTCTCAAGGCACCTGTTCTAGCCCCTGCAGGGTGCCTGGCCCTCAATGATTGGTGGAAGGATAGAGGGACAGGAGGTCCACCCTGTCCAACAGCTTCATTTTGCAGCTAGGCAAACTGAGTTCCAGAGAAAGGAATCACGGTCCCATGTTTGGAAATGGTCAAAATGGGGCTTAAACCCCAGAAAGTAGTGCTACTTCCACTGTGCTGAACACCCATCAAAATCCCTGAGCTCTCCCAAACACCCCAGGAGGACACAAACTCTTGATGGGTTGAAGATAAAATTCTGCACAGGGAAAAGCTACAGACATTATCGGCCACCAGTGTTTTCTAGACTCTAGGAAGGTGCCTGATGTCTCAGATTCACTTATTTTTTTCCAGTATAATTACTGACTTTATATTTTTACAGCACACACTCACATTTTAAACTCAAAATAGCTTCCTCCAGTGGGTAGTGTCACCATTCCCGAGTATGTGTTCCCACTTCCCTGTAACAGTATGACCATCTGCCCACTGCCGTGTGAAAGGCACATTGGGGGAAGAGGATACACTTCTGCCCAACTCATGTTGGCCGGCTGTAGGCCTTGCCACCATGGCCAGAAGCTTTAAGAGCCACTGGTTGTTTCTTCCAGGTCTCACTCTTCCCTCTACTATAAAAATAGCAAGTTACAGTTGGGACCTGCTCTTTCAGCCTGGGTCCCAGAGTGCAAAGACACAAGGAGCAGGGTTCCAGCCAATCCACGGTCACCAAATTGGAACTTGAGTGACATGGTGATATATGTCACTCAAGTTCCAATTTACATTTCCAAGTTCCATTTTACAAAACAGTGAAACTGTAAGCCATTGTGATCTGGAGGGGTGTTTGTTACTGGCATGATAACCAAGCAAAGACTGATCAATACACTGACTTTAGTCCCATTCTGAACAATGATATCCACTGATAAGCTATTATGAATGACAGTTTTCAAAAGGTCATCCATGTCTACTCTAAAATCCACCCCACCATGAGTACATGGCTTTGGGAAGCATATGTCAGCCTGAGGGAGGAAGTTAGATAGAACCCCAGAAGATACAAAGAACCATTTCTGATGGGAGGAGCCTCTAGGGCCCTGCGGATAAAATTCAGAAAGGTCTGATTCTCCCCTGAAGAACTGTAAACTGCACCATTATTCTTTATGTGTGTTACTGCTTTAAAAGTACACATCAATTGTAAGACAGATCCAAAATTCAGAATTGTTAAAATACATAGGGAAAGTACATCTCAGATTCAAGGGATATAGGGAAGCATGAAAAAATCAAAGTCAAGGAGATGATTATGGGCTAGCTATTTCTCCAAGCAGTTAGCTCCATTATGAAACCCAGCAGCTACTAATTCTTAAAGCAAAATCCACCCTGACCACCTAAATATAAAAGGTCCTTGCTGACTCTACCACTATATAATTTAGTTATTCTGCATAATAGGTACCATTCAGCTATCTAGAACTTTCAGTCAGCTACATCATGCTCTAATCATTAATGGTCCACTTGTTTGGCTCAGGTAAATCACATTTGCATATGCAAATTACATCTAAATATTCTACACTATTAATGTTATCACTAATTACATAATAATGTTACCAATTTCCACATGGATCAAACTTACAGTTTTGTAGCTATTAGGGAAATTGTGCTTTGTAATTAAGATAATCCTCATTTCCAGATGCTAATTAACTATATAATAATCAGTCCCATTCACTAATGCAAATTGCGGATTTTCATCTTTATTGATAAAGGAGTGGCTTCTTATCGGTTAAGAAACGATAGCCCCAGAAATCTTGCAGAGAAATACCTTTCCTCCTCTAAAGGTTAAAAGGTAAATCCATTTTTATCAGTCTCATTTGCGAATGCAAATTAGGTCTGATTAATCAAGTCAAAGATAAATATGCTAGTCTTATTTTAGGACAGAATGTATCGCTTACTGAGTTCATCTCTTTTCCCCTTATAAAGTACACAGATAAACAGGGTTCACCAAACAGAAGTCTTCCTAGTGAGAGTAATTCATTGATGGTCAGATGAAAGCTCTGGGATCCGTGCCTCTCTCTATTATGCTCCCTTTTGTTTCGCCTTCAAGCCTCGCAGAGGAATCTGGAAATAGCTGTGTCTTAATGGTTCAGCCACAATGGGAATGAGTGAGAGGGTTTTGTGAGTAAATACAGAGGAAAAAGGGATAGCCACATTTGCTTGGATTATTAAGTTTTCTGTGCTCCAAACGGAATACAAACTGGCACCTCCCATCGTGACTAATGAGGGCTGCATCGGGAGAACAGAAGGGCTGACAGCCAGCGAGGCCTAGTTGGCAGGCCTCAGCCCAGGCCTCGCCGCATTCATCATCCGCTAAACCAATCCACCAATTCCGCACCACCATTTGTCATTAATTATGCTAATCAGCACACCATTACTCTCTGATGACACTGTAGCTGTTATTAGCTAGTTATGGCTTTCAAAAGCATAACTTATTGTGCATGCACGGGCTGTGCCTGCATTAGCCTACAGGGAAGAAATGTCCAATTATGAAAAGAAGAAATTTGCTATTATCTTTTTATAACAAACCAATTTAGTAATTAGAAAAGTCTCTGAACTCACTGGTTCTTTTTTTTCCTCCCTTAAAATAATTGAAACAAAAAAAAAATGTACTTTTCAATATTTCTCTGAAAGAGGGAAATACCAAAACAGATTTTTTTTGCTACACGTTTAGAAGTGGGGCCTGGAGAACAACTGTTTCACGCGTGTGAGGGGCTCACGGAGATTCCTGTTGGGCTTTTTTTTTCTTTCTGATGTTGAATTAGCAGGACTACTTTATTACATGTATTTCAGCTAGGATGAATGCCTGAAAGATGAAAGCACACCCATGTGACCTTTTACAGTTCACTCGTGGCAGAGGGAAGCTGTTTCACGTAACGATGCCAGACTGTGCACACCTTACCTGGCAGATGCTTCCACGGGAAGTTCAGCAACAGCCTCCTTTAACCCCTCACAGGCCCCAGTGCCACCGCCAAGGCTATCAGCGCCTCTCAAATAACCTTGGAGAGGTACTTCGGCCTAGTTAGCACATGTCCTGTGCACAGTTTGGGGGAGAAAAAAGACAGTACTCAGGCTGGCCGAAGAATGGGTGCTCTGGAGTCAGCAGCCAGAGCCCGTTACAGGAGGCCCCTTTCTGAAACAAGGCTCCATACAGCAAGGGGCTCGCGCTGACCCTCGAGTGTCTGCAGGACTCACCCTCAGGCATCTGTCCAAACCAGGCATTAATTCCAAGTTGTTGTGTTCAGGCTGGGAGTCTTTACCACTAGTTTTAGAAGCTTAGTCTGTATTAAGAGCTCATTAATATCATCAGAGTAAATGGGCCTATTAAAACATCTTTAAGCAATATCTGAACATAAATCTCCCTAAACTATATTTAATGACTGTACTTAAGATACATTATATGCAAGTCTTAATGAGACATTAGATAGCATTTTGAAGATTAAAATTAGAGAATCCATATAAAGTCTGTCCACTTAATGTAGCCTTAAGCTATACTGATGAAAGCATTACTACCAAATTATTACTGCATTAGAACAAATATTTTTAATCATCTCTGATTTATGCATTCTCTTTTTCATATAATTTTCATTTTCACAAAAATACATTTTGAGTTTACAGAAGAGGGTATGTGAAAGGTTTCACGTTTCTGAAGTTCTGGAGGTAAAGTGAATACAGAATTGAGTTGGTACTGTACGTGTGAGCGTGCTCTAGGCTCTGAGTCACATTTCTTCATGTTCGGTTTAATTAGTCATTCTAGTACTATTCGAGGCTTACTGTGAAATGTCCTTCAAGACCAGAGTAGATACAAAATAAGAGTTTAACCAAAAATATTCTGAAGACCAGAATATAGTACAAGGTACATGGTACAATCTGTGTGGTACTGGCAGTGCTAACATCTGGGTTTCTAACAGAATCTGTGTTTCAGGTCCCTGTGGAGACCCCAGACTCCCACAGAGCAACTCTCACCCTGCGCCCAGCGCCCCCACCCCCAGCAGACCCTGTGAGCTCCCTGCCTAGCGCCCCCACCCCCAGCGGACCCTGTGAGCTCCCTGCCCAGAGCTCTCAGAGCTCCCAGGTCTGCCACTTTCTGTGGCTTGTCTTTGTTTCTCCAGAGCCTGCTCAGAGGCATCAACGCAGGCCTGCTTCCACTCCAGGGCCCCCTGTATGAAGAGCAATCAGTGTTGCTGGTGGAAGTGTATTAAAATAAAAAAAAAAGTCCGATTCCCCCAGGGCTAAGGGAATCGAACCCTTTAAACAGATCCAAATCCTCCTCAAGTCTGTTCAAACAAGGACGTGTTCTCAAGCCTGTGGAATGGCTGATGAGGCGGACCAGAACTATCAGGAGCAAGCAGATGGACCTTGCAGCGATCGAGTATCATACACGGGATTCAACTCTACTTAAAATAGAAAGATAAGTCCCAAGTCTACACAAGTCCTGATAAGACTTAATATGTGATGGGCTCTTTTGTAAACAGGTCAGACTATATACAGAGAAATATTTTTCTATGGATTTACTGCTATATTTAAAATACCGCATATCCAAACAGGATTTCTGATGCAACAGAGAGCTCTCTACCCCTACCCCCACCCCACTGGGCTCTGGGAAGAGGTCCTCCCAAAGGACGGAAACTGCATCCACTCCTGCATCAAGGTGACAGTCCCTCAGTCCCATTTTGGAGTGAGTCGGCTGAGTACTTCATATCCCACTAGCAGCTGAGCCATAGAGAGAGTGTTATCTGAGAACCTGGACGAGGATCAGCCTACATGAATGTTACCTAGGGGTACACACCACCTGGACTTGGATCCGACACCAACACAAGGGCCTTGGTGATAAACAGACACTTTGGAAAATGTTAGAGACGAATTATCATTGACACCTTTAGACTTTTTTTTTTTGGATACTTTACACTAAAGTGTAACCACCTTTTATAAATGCTATTCAATTATGAAAGACTTTTGGGATTATGTAAATCAAGACAAGTCAACCAGTGACACCTCTGTTAATAGAATAAGATTATCTGGGTTTTTCCTTCTTCAAAGGAGAAAGTAGCACAATTTAAACACGCTGGTCATTAAAAGAAGGCTCCTCCCTTAGCATGTAGAATCTGCAGCAACAAGCCTATTTCCATTTGCTTTTTCCAGATATTCTCTCCCCAAAAGGAACTACTTCATAATACAATTTTGCATTTTTAACTGTATGAATTAGGCATTCTTCATAAATAACAGCTATGTTCTATACACAGGAGTTCCTTTTTATTAGGGACACAGTAATGAACAATGAGCAATGTGTTCTATTATTCTCTGTCAAATCACAAAATGCTACATTAGAATAACTGTGTTGGTCAATGTAATATAGTAGATTAAATTCAACTTCTGTGGAAAAACCACTGTAAAACAGCATGATAAGAAGGCTATAAAAAATTTAATTTTACTCCAAACTCCATCACAAAAAAAATGGTGTGAAAAGTAATTTTGCATAATCAGTACACGCCATCTGGAACAATTAACTGATTTCTATAGAACTATGAGGATCAGTCATATCTGCTTATTAAAGATCAGAAATTATACAAGTAATAAATCCTTGAAAAAACTAAGCGTACTCCCGCCTGTCAACGCTATTTTAACTTCAAATACTGAAGAACGCCTGATAAGGCTGAAAAGAAGAGATTAATATATGCAAATTACATCCAGCATTTAAAATCCCCACAACTGTCTCCGGTTTTCTGTCCCTTATTGCTGCCTTTATGTTTTATTCATACACCAACTCACCTGTCACTTCATAAGCTATAATATTATGGGGGTATTATTAAACAGCATAAAGCCGTGCTTTAATTGGAAAGCTTCATTGCATTTTCCAATTATTTGGAGTAAATTAAAAGCAGATGCACATAGTTTAATAAGGAGTCTAATATCAGTTCCGGGAAATCAAAATTCATTGTCATTACTATGCCGTGATAGTTTTGCAAACTGTACTCAATTTCAGAGGTTTTCAAAAGAAAATCTGTCTATGCAATCTGTTAATTGTCATTCGGTTAATAACTGTTTAAATATCCGAACTACATAGCAGCTTCCTATTAAAAAAAATTAAACTATGGAGTTTACGCAAGCAAACAAATACAGCATGCCACTCCTGGGCTGGGCTGGACTTTTCAGACTTGCCTGTTCACCCTAAAACAATGGGAAGGCTCGAGAAACCCACCCACACGGCAGCTCAGCTCCAGAGCTGGAGGACAAAGAACAGCAATTTTGTACTTCTGCAAGCACCAGAGGTTACAGTACCATAAGACAGCTCTCTGTGGAAGGGCAGAAGCCATGTTATAAATTGTGTTTTCAGAGGTCTGCTCTGCTCAGCAAAAAATTAGCTTCCAAAGTTTTAATTGGTCCACCTAAAATAAATTCTTTTAATGAGTAAATTAACTGATTCAGGACACAAACATGGAAAAAATTAAAGAAAGCAAATGTTGTGAGCAATTCGCTTTTAAAAAATTGACCCAGGAAGGGCCATTCCCTTACTAGTTCATGACTCATGAGTGGAGTGCCCCTTAGGCTCTGCAGGGGCCAGCCACTGTGCCCACAAGTGGACTGGACTGCCAGACAAAGGACTATATGCTGAGCCACTACGGATTTAAGGAACCAGACCTTAAAGGTTACTCTTCATAAGGAATCTTGCTCACAGATGTAGTTACAGCTCCACAGCTGCAAGTTGCATACATACACATACATGTAGCTAAAGCATTTACAAATGAAAAGTCATAGGTATACTCAAACTAGTACACGTAACCTTTTCACTTTTATACTAAGTGGCAGACTTTTTCAAATCCTGTGTGTGTAAATTATAATAGGACAAGCAGTAATTGACTTTGAAACTCCACCCACTGCGAGGGCTACAATTAATCTGTTTTTAGCATAAGAACTGCTGCTCTGCAAAGTTCATAACTTGTAGGTTCTTTTTCCCAATCCAATTAAAACCTAAGAGTGTTCCTAAAAGGCGGCTGCACAGAATTTACTCTTCAGCTCCCGTTTCAAAGGGCGTATCTGCTAACATCCCAATCATCAAAGGGCAAGCCCCTCCAGACCAGAAAGGACCCCAAATGCCCGAACACGAGAGAGCCTCCTGGCAAAATAACCAGAAACTATGCTCAAAGATGAAGATAAAAGCAATTCTTGTGCAGTGATCCAAAAAACAGCATCTCTTTTTTTCCCCAAAATTACCTGTTTTAATAAAGTAGACATACTGTGCCAACTGAACCATTTAATTATCTGCAAAAATGATGAATCAAAACAATAGTTTGCAAAAATAAATGACTAACCTCTGATTAAAATGTCTGTCCTCATTAAATCCAAAGAAAAGGTATGATCTCTTTTTAAAAAATGTAGCCTGAAGAAACAAGCAGTCCCCCCGCATCTACAGCCGTACCCTTCACAGTGGCAGTGACCTGCCATGAGACGGGACATCTGAGGATGTTGTCTAATCTACTCTCTCCAACCCTGAGAAAAGACGGTGTGCCCCTGTGGCCTTCGAGCCTCTGGGTGCCGCCGGCCTGGCAGCAAGTGAGCTCAGGGACAGGGGACTTCCAGATGATGTGCTCGGTGGGTGGTGTGATTCTGGAGCAAGGAAAGAAACTTTTTTTTTTTTTTTTTGGCTAAAATAAGAGGTTCTGGGAGGGGAGTGGTTGGAAAGGAAGGAGCCAAGGCCAAAGAGAAAGAAAAAGAAAGGCAAAGAAGGAAAATCATTTAAAGGGTTGAGTGCCGATATGATCCCTTCTCAAACCAGAGCTGACTTGATGAAAAGGAACATGGAAAATTGAGGCTGATTTAAATGTTGAGAAGTTCTCTCTTTAAAATCATTTTACCCAGTAGCAAGCTAACATCTCCAGCAATTACACATTTCTGAACTAGAAGGGAGGGTTTGCCTTCTATTATGCCAAAAGTTTCCCTGAGCCATGCCAGGTCCCACCATTCATGAGCTCCCTCTGTCAGCTGCACCCTCTCCATCCCCGGCTGGACTTTTAGGTGAGGTCACACTGCAGGGTGAATGAGACCAGTGCCTTCTGGTATAATAAGCAGCAATTCCCTGGAATAACAATATTTACGGCAGTTATAGCAGCTCCACTTCTGGAGTGCCCTCTTGGTACTAGGCACTGGGTATTTCATGTACATTATCTTTAATCCTCAAATTCAGAAGAGAAAATATAATTCAAAATTACAAAAAAAAAAAGAAAACAGACTGCAATGTTATATAAACTGTCTAAAGTAATGTAGCTGGAAAGGGTGGATACAAAAGGGTGAACCAGTTCTAAGACCCAGGTCCTCTCAGAATCAACGAAACATTGAGTGTCATGGAACATCCCCTGTATGCTAGGCCCTGGGCTGGGCATTGGGCATCAGGCACACACCAGTGAAGGAGACATCATCTTGCCCTCCAGAATGAACCCTGAACTCCACATGATGACCAGAGATGGATCTCCTTTCTTAGAACTCGGAAACCAAGCAAATGGCCAGAGTTTTACAAGAAGCATAAATAGCCAAGGGGTTTCCTGGCCAAAGAAGCTACGTCTTGGGCCTACAAAAGGCACTACCACCTTTGGCAAAATAGGGGTGAGTGAAGGCCGTGCAATTCATGAGCCAAGGACCTTCTCACAGGAGTGAAACTGGCGTTTTGCTACACAGGGCATATTTCAGGTAAACACACAGGCAATGGAACATAAAGATAGGTGTGTTTATTGCCTCTAGGTAGCAAGCGATTAAGGACTTCTAAGTGTGTCACCAGAAGCGATGCTTAGGGCCACCGAGGCAAGCTTTACTCCCTCATTCAAAATTATGGATGTTGCCTCGCCAGTGGATCATGCGATCGTTCATGCTATAAAACAAGTCAGGCGTAAGAAACTGCTCTCTAACAAAGGATCTCAACCTTGGAGGAGAGTTCTGTATCATTCATTGTCTTACAGACAATTGTAAGACAAATCTGGGGAATCAAGAACCTTATTCTCTGGGATAGGTGATAAATATATTCCATCCAAACTCCAGGCTGCAGGATTGAAGATTTTTTTTTTTAAACATAAATGCATTTAGGACTATCACTGGCCATTAATAAAAAGAGGGAAAAAGCCATTCAGTATTCAGGGCACAAACACCAACTGTGTGACAGTAGTTGGATTCAGGTACTCTGTCCAAACAAGACAGGTGGCTTCGTTGTTCTAAAAAAGATCGGAATTTCTTTTGTCCTAATGTCAGCAGTTAAATGCATTCATTCTGACAAAAAAGGGGGACCCTCATACTGTGTAAGAGCTGAAAGATAAATCTCATCACCAAAGCTTGTGCGACTGTTCAACTTCTCCCCAAGTTCTGGCACCGCATGTATCCATCCTTAGCAGGCCATCGAGAGTTTACCCCAACTCGGAATCCAATGCCCTGCCACTACTGTCTTAACTCAGAGATGCTTGAGCTCGGCAATGCTGGCAGCTGGAGGACTCAGGGGGCTGGAAGCAGGCAGGAGTGGAAGCTGGGACTGGGAATGACTGGGTCACAGGTGAGGGTTATTCTGGAGCACTCACAGGGAATACTCACAAGGAATGCTCACGGGCTGCAATGGCTCAGTAATCTTGGGCTTGGGTTTAGGAGAAGTTGGCTCTTAGGAGGCCCAATCTAGAGAATGAAGCTTCCAAGCAGGAAAGGCAGGGCAGCACACAGGTGACTATCAGTTCAAACTAGAGCCCTGCCCATGGGCAGGGTACAGGGACTCACGGAACAGGAGAGCTAGAGTAGGGGAGAAGAACACTTGGGGGTCAGACCCAATAAGTGAAACGATGGGCTTGGGCTGCCCACCATCACTATAGGCTAAGAGAAGGCCACCACGAAGAGACATCCCAGTGCCAAGGGCTCCCCCAGACACAGGTTTATAGCAGCAAGGCTAGTGCAGCCCCCACTATGAAGGCAGAGGTTCTTTGATACCTGGTGTATCAAAGGGGATACCTGGTGTATCAGAGGGGATACCTGGTGTATCCCCTTTCCTGGCTGGGAAAGGATCTGAGAAGGGGCTGGGAGGGCAGGGCTGTGGATACCAACAATCACAGCAATACATCAATAGCACTTTCTGTGTCCCAGGCATGGTTCTAAGCTTCACCATAAGTCACCGTCACCCCCATTTTACAGGTAAGGAGACAAAGGCACAGAAGGGTTCAGTTCCTTGCCCAAGGTCATTTAACTTTAAGTAAGGAGGCCTTGGGCTCCCCACCTTCACTGTTTTGCCCAGCAAGAGTGATGGGAGCCACACCCCCTATTCCTTTTTTCCTTTGGATCCAGCATTGCCATCAGCCAAGTGTCAAAGGCCTCACTCTGATGAGGTCCCAGAGATGATCATCCAGGGGCCCACGTGAGAGTTTAAACAGTGCTGAGGCCCAGTACACCAAGTTAGTCCTAGCACGATTCACTCCAGGTCTGTGTGCCATTTCCAACCTTCAAGTTGATGAGGGGAGGGAAACGGTCACACGCAACCTGTGCTAAAGAAGCATCCTCAGTACCGTGGTTTCGAGCTCAATGTCTGCAGTCAAAGAGACCTGGGTCTGAATCTCAGCCCTGCCACGTACCACAGGTGTAACTGTGAGCTGATCACAAGCTCTCAAGACCTCAGTTTCCCCATCTGTAAAAGATTTTCTTGGTTAAGGATTTGTTGGGATTAAATAACATAATGCATGGCAAGTGCATATGCCATACCTTACACAGGGTAAGTAAGAGGAAGGCTGGGTATTATTCAGTAAATTCATTTAATTAATTTAATCCATTTTAATAATGCAAAAACAACTAAATGTGTTTCAATGAAAGAAGTTGCCTTCATCATTTTCCCCTCTCAGCTGAGAGTTTATTATTTTGAGAGAGACAGAGGTAGAGAAAGAAACAAAAGGCTAATTTGGTATAAGCTGCCTCTAGGCAGGAGTGTCTGGTCACACTACTTCATTCACTCCAGAGTAAACCTCTGAAGAAGTGCTAAGAGCAGGTGAAGGGCTGGGCTCAAGGGGGTTCCCTTTGTTTTCAGCATTTCTCTGGCCAGGTCTACAATTATGCTGTCTCTAAGGAAGGGAATTATCAGGGGGAAATGGGCATATTTCTGCTGAAAAACTAGACAAAGAAGATAAACATACAGGGAGAAAGGTATCAGAAAGTTGGTTTTTCTGTGTTCATGTGTTTAGGAACGTTACAGTCAAGGCAGTGTTTGGACAGAATGTCTGT
The DNA here is from genome assembly GCF_000001405.40 of Homo sapiens. Lineage (NCBI taxonomy): Eukaryota > Metazoa > Chordata > Mammalia > Primates > Hominidae > Homo > Homo sapiens. The sequence goes on along the minus strand of NC_000009.12, from coordinate 126,432,073 downwards.
GAAGTCCAGGGGCAGTAAATGCACATTTGCTGGCCACTGCGAGGCCTGGGGCATCTCAAGCTGCAGAATATACAAGCCTCCTTCCCACATAGCTTTAAGTCCTGGGAGGTGGGCATTACCACCTCCACCTTAAACACCAGACAATGCCTGGTGCACAGGAAGCGTCCCATAAGAATGAGCCGACCTATTGCTATGTTCAAATGATCGATATTGTTACTGCAATTGCTGATATGGAGAGATGTGGAATTTAGATCCAGAAAGGCTAGGATCTCTGCTGGCCTCACTCGGCTAGTCGGTGGGAGAGACAGGGCCTGCACCCAGCTGTTTGGGCTCCCACCCTGCTTCATCCAGCTGCCCTCGGCTGCCTGGACCACAGATTTAACCCTTTTCCAAGTTAAGAAGGGGATGTGGCCCATTAAACCAGTGCCGCCTAAGCTCTGCCATGCTTAAAAACCAAAAAGAGAAGGAAAGCACAGTGGGAAGGTGGCCGCCTGTTTAAGAGCACTGAGGTATCTGTCACCTAGTAATATTTTTATTTTTCATGATGACTTAACTGGAAAAAGTCTTAACTTCTTCCTACCCATGGGGCACAGGAAAAGCAGAAATGAAAGCCTAGAGCAGAAATCAGCCCCCCAGGCACTTTTCCTCCAAAAAACCAAAGGTACATTGAAAGATTTTATAGAAGTTGCAGCCTCACGCTGCCAAGCACTTCTCTCCTTCCTGCCCCCAAGCCATCATTCTGTCACCTTCTTGAGAAAGGGATCGTGGGCTGCTTGCCACGGAAAATAGCCCACTTCTAAGTGGTGATGCGTGACAGAATGTCTCGGCTTCCAGGGGGTACTGAGCTGAGCCATGCCAGAGAGCCTTTTATTGCAAGTTTCTCTGGACTGAGGAAGAAATTTCCTCTGAGCACTCTGAGAAGTAATCTTATATATCAAAATTATATAAGGAAGCACACGGCTAAGAAGATGAAGACCGTGCTGGGCCCAAGCCAGCGTGTCCCATGTGATAATTCTCAACAAGTCTTTGGGCTCTTTCTTGGATCACATCCCTGTAGGGGAGCTGAATAAGGAGAGAAGTGACATTCCTACACTGCTTCCTGGTTTATGAAATGTTCTTACCTACCCTAGATCTTCACAACAATCCAGGAAGGAAACGGGCATTACTGCATTGTTTTAAAGGTATGGATACTAGCATTGCCCAAAGTAGCATTGTGCAGGGTCCTTGTACAGTTCTAGAGGATGCTAGTCACATATTTTGTGCAGTGCACAACCTTGGCAACTGCTCACAGCAGCACTGTATGATGGCCAGTATGTGTCAGAGCCAAGATTCTGACCCTATGCTTCCAACCCCAAATGCCCTATCAGGGCAGCAGGCTTGCCCTCAGGAGCACAGGACAGGGCAGCTCTCGGTGACTGTTGAGTGAATGGAGTGAACAATCTTGCTCTTGTCTTTGCCTTTGTTTACCTACATCCTCCTCAATTAAAAAAAAAAAAAGAGGGGAGCCTCCATTCTCTCTAAATATGGTCTCTGCCCTCTCACTCAAGGTGCTCACAGGTGAAAACTCTCCAACAGAGTAGTGTGGGGTAAACCAGGAGAGAGCATCAGCAGCGGGAGAGGAATCAGAAAAGCCTGATGGAGAGGCAGCTTGGGAGTGGCCTTCAGAGCCACAGCCAGGGACAGAGAGAAGAGAAGGTGGTGAAATCTGAGCTGCTGGAGTGGCGGGGCAAGCATAGCGCAAGACAAAGGCAAGGAGGACGCAGGGAGCGACCCAGGCTGGTGGGACACGGGTGGGGCTGGTTGTTGACAGCCCCAACACCAGGCAGGTGAGGTCTGAGGTCTGAATGAATGCAGTCAGGCTGTGGAGGGGCACAAAGGTGTGATCTGAGGAGCAAGGGGACCAAGGAGGTCTTTGGAGAGATGAGTCAGCTACCTGGGCAACTGGGCTGAGGCTAGAAAAGCCTGGTCAAGGAAGAGAGTCAAGTAAGGGCTGGGCACCAAAGCCTGATACCTGCCAGACTGCAGCCCAGAAGGCCCGGGCCCACGGCCTTCTGTGGGCCCTGCATTCTAAGTGAGAATGCAGGTGTGCGAAGAGAGGTCCCACGCTTAACACTCAGCTGCAGAGGACCTGCTGGGGAACTGATCCTGACCATGGACTTCATCTGGAGTAAGATGACCCAGAGCCCAGCTCAGGGTTCTCAGGGTCTATCTCTCTGTGAAGTCCAGGAGGAGGCACTCGCACTGCAGAAAACCTCCAGGAGGCAGGAGTTCCCCAAGTGCCCTGTGTGTCTGCCTGCACACGCTGTTCATTAACTTCAGTGACACAGCCACCGTGGTGGATGTAGAAAAGCACATCCAATTAGCCAGGCCTACATGAATATTTGCACTCTTAAATCTTTTGCATTTCGAAAGGGTTAAAGCTTATTATTAGCATATAATTTACAGTCCTTTCTCCCAGGAAAGGAATAATGCACAGTAAATGCCACATTCATTTTAATAATACATGTTACAGTCTGTGCCCAACATCTGCACAAAGGTAAAGGAGACAGATTTTTTTGACATGTCCCACTCTGCCATCTAAACACAGGCTTTTTGTTTCTTAAGTGACGGAAGGTTTAATCAAGAAAGCAGGCAATTCATCAATCGAAACAAGGCAGTGTGCGTGCGCCTGACAGCACACACATGGTTGTGTACGGAGCAAACCTGGCCACCTGTCAGCCGCACCTTTTACATCAGGATATACAAATACACCATGCGATCAATTCCCCATCCGCTCCCATTCATTTCTTCTTTTTCTTATTCTATTTTTCTTTATACTTGATTTTGTTGTCAGTCAGGGCAAGAGGAGATGGATAGACAAGGGTTCTTATAGGGGATGATAAAAATGGTTCTTATAGGTGATGATAAAAATGTATCTGTCTTTAAAATGACTTCTTTCCTCCTTGGTTCAAGCACAATTATTATACATATCTTTTCACTTCATTCAGGAATTTTCCCATATGCTATTATCAGTGGCTGTGCCAAATTGATGTTCCTGTCTCAGATCTGGGGCAACCCTCCCATACGCTCACCCACCACCGCTTGAGCCAGTTGTCGGTGATTACGAAAATCCTCTGTGGAGCGAAGAACCTCAGGGAAGCCAGGGTCAGAAATGCAATGCCACCCCGAGCCACGAGAACATATCCACTGAAGACAAGGGCCACAGGGACCCCTGTGAAAGCAGAGGCTAACACTACTCAGGGGCTTGCACCAGAAGACAGTGGCTCTTTCCCTCCTTGGTGGTTATCAGGAACACACTCACTCAGCCCACACACTCACCCGAGCACAGGGAAAAGGAGAACCACAGGCACATGGCACACCCAGAATGTGGATGCAAATTCTGTGGCATCAAACCATGAACATTACAACATGCCAAGCAGTTGTGTTAGCACACCTGACACAGGAGAGAACAGCGCTTCTCAAGCACCCCATTGTTTGAGTCTTTTACCCTTCATTTTCCCAACCCTGCAGTGCTTCCTGATCATTAAAGTATTAAGTTTATTTTCAATTTCCCGGGTGAGTTTTTTTTTTCCTAATTAAGAGACAGAAATCATGTAATCACTGCAAATGAAAGGAAAATATGTTTGGAATTGTTTGGTATGCTGTAGATGAGTTTTTAAATGATCACATTGTAAGATACACATTTTTTTCATCATAAGATGAAAAGCTGGTGGCAGAAATTTTATCCAATTGGATGAAATATATAAATCATGAATTTCATAATACTGATAATTAAATGTCCATCTTCCAATTTAAATGAGGACTAGATTAAAACTGCATGGAGAAGGCTGATATTCAGAAATCATTAATTATTTTTAATTGCTTTGTGCTTTCCTACTCCAATGTCAGAGCTACATGGCTCACCCACGGTTCTGAGTTACAGATAAAATCCTCCTTCTCTCTGTACAAGGGGCCATGATCCAAACTGATGAGATGATGGACACTGACTTGACCACACCGACATCTTTCCTGGTGTCAAACATCCTGAAAGGGGGGCTGGTTTTTAAAAAGCAAACAGCTGTGGAGGGCAATAAGCTGGCTTTTCCAGCAATCAAAAAGAAAAGCAAAAAAAAAAAAAGAAAAAAAGCTGAAGGCAGAGGAGTGGCCAATACACCCCAGTCTGCCAGGATAGATTCAGGTTACAGCTTCTGTCCTGGGACAATTGTGTGCCCCCTTCACTTTAATAGTCAGCCTAATGCTGATGGATAAATGAAGATGTCAGTGAGCCAACCTGTCTAGGTCCTAAAGAGGAAAGCAGTCCTAGCCCCGCAGCTCACTGCACTGTGTGGCTTTGCAGAGTTTCTGCACTGTGGCTCACCCTGCATTCATAGGGTGTTCGAGATTTTTTGGTCTTATTATATGCCAGTTTTAATAGGTATTTGCTTAATTTTACTATGTCAATTTTTTTTCAAAAGAGATAAATAAGCTTTCTATGGTTAAAAACTGTGCACTTGGAGATAGAAATCAGATTACAACAACAAACACAACAAAAGAATAGGATGGTATCATTTCCCATCCCACAGTCCCGTTTGTTAAGCAAAACCTGCCGTAAGACAAAAAACCCTCCTAGGTTAGAAAAGCCGCACTGTGCTCTCCTTGGTGGCCCCTCTCCTTATAGGAAGCCTCTGGGGCAGCTGTGAGCAGCAGGTTTGGGCAGGGGGTCAGGGAAGATCTGTCTTTCCTGACATTCCCCGAGGTCTCCAGTCCCATAAGGTGCCTGACACCCACCACAAGAACATTTCTTAAGAAACATCTCACTCAACTTTCAGACATTTTAGATTCATTTCAAACAAGTAGGTGTCCCCCCAATACATGGATATATATATATGTATAAGCTGTTCTTATCAAACTTAGAGTTATAATCATTGAAAAGCAATTGTTACATTGTTTACAGCATTTTATGGAGCCCTCCTCCCCCCCGCAAGGTGGTAAATATTTATATTTCTCTCATTCATGTCCAGTGTTGTCTGAGACGTCTACTAGCTTTAATATGTATCCATAGGACTAACACTCATGTGGCAATAATGTGGGAAAGTGCAGAACTAAAGAAATAAAGAAAACAAGAGCACTCATTTTGGCGGTAGAGGTTTTTTGCTCATTTTGTTCAGCTTTCTAAGGAATGCATATGTGGGAGTCAGCGCTGACCCACGGGACCCTGTTTATGAGGAAGGACAGCTCTTCGGGCTTAAGAGAATAGTTCAGTTCTTCCCAAGCAACTAGCTTGTTTCTCTCTTACCCCTAAAGGACAGCCCTCTGCCTCAGAACCTAATCTAGATATCCCCTGCACATAGCCGCACCTACTTTCTATCCTATTTCCATTCACTTGTGTTTCCTCACTTCCATTTTCATTTGGCCGTATGTATTTTTGGAGCTACCTTAAATCCTTCTGGAATAGATGAAAGAGAAATGAGTGAATGGGCAGACATCTAAACATATTAAAAAATCCAAGAAAAAAAAAAGGTAGGGTGCCACCATTTGGGACTAAAATAGAAGACTTTTCAGGAAAGATAAGATGTTCTTAAGAAAAGTAACAGCCACTAAGAGTCCTGACCAGGAAACTCAGGAGTGGGGTTGGAGTAGAACCTAGAGAAATCAACATGACCCGGAAGAGGGCCCTCCAAAGAGGTAAGATCTTAAAGGCATGCTCGAAAAACCAAAGGCACAAAGCTACAGGGGTCACACCAGTAAGACCAGCACCAGGAAAGCTACAGTCAGCAAGGTAAGAACTATCAAAAAAGGTTGTTTTGAAATATTTTGTTTACAGCTAGAAAGAGTAAGGATGAATAGCACCCATGGCTTAGGAGTGATGACCCTAACCAGGGGTTGGCAAATGTTTTCTGTAAAAGGCCAGAGAGTAAATATTTAGGATTTCTTGGCCATCCGGCATTGCCTGCACACACCTAACTCTGCCATTGGAACGTGAAGCAGCTATGGACCATTTGTAAAGGACTGGGCATGGCTGTGTTGCAATAAAACTTTATTTACAAACACTAAAGATTTTCATATAATTTTCACATGTCCCTAAATATTACTCTTTTTATTTTTGTCCAACTATTTAAAAATATTAAAACCATCCTTGGCTTGCATGTCACACAAAACAGGCCCTGGATGGGATTGGGCCATGGGCTTTAGTTTGCTGACCCTAACCCAGATGGGTAACAGAGTGAGCCAAGCCAAGCGACCATCATTTTATCCTTTTAGGGAAAACCATCTTCAAAACCCTACAGAGTGACACACTGATGGGGGACATGAAGAGCAAGGAAGGCAGGGAGGTGGCTGGAGCAGCCGGCTGCTTGCCTGCCCAGTCCACATCCAGAGGGCCAGCAGGACATAAAGGATGGTGCTGGAATTACAGACAGTGATCTCTGAGGAACTCGAATGAACAGGTGATTTCAGGGGACTGCATAACAGGGAAAAAAAATCATATTTTCTAAAAGGGACAATAAGAAAATTATTGATCTGTGGTCTGGAAGTGCTCTGCAGTAAACTTCGAAAGCATAGACTCATGAGTGCTCAGGAGAAAATGGTGATCCTGCAGGCCGGCAGGGTTTACCAAGGACATGCCACACTCACATCAGGTGTGTATTTTTTCTTACTACAAAAGCAACACGTGCTATTATGGAAAATGAGTAACTGCAAAGAGGCCAAAAAAAGATGAAAGTCCCAAGAAAACCACCATAAACACTTAGGTGTGGACCTTTCCAGACCTTTAGATGTATTTTTTGTTAATTTTAAAAAATTAATTTTTTTAAAGAGACAAGATCCATGTTCCCCAGGCAGGAGTGCACGGCTATTTCCAAAGGCCATCATAATAGCACATTATAGCCTCAAACTCCTGGCCTCAAGGGATCTTCCCTCCTCAGTCTCCCGAGCAGTTGGGACTACAGGCATGCACCACCACTCCCAGCTTAGAATGTAATTGTTAAAATGAGATCACTGCATATTCTGACTTGTTACCTGTTTTTCTTTCCACTTAACAATATTCACATACATCTTTTAATCTAAGTCATCACTTCTAGATGGCTGAAAAGTTAAGGCTACTGTATGGATGTTTTGTAATTTAAGCATTCGTCTTTGTTTGGGGCATTTAAGATCTATCCACCTCCCACCCCTGACTTGAAGTATTATTTTTGAGAAGTGGCGGTGCTTATCCTTGTGGATAAATCTTTTTGCACATCTGTATTTTCTAGGAGATACTGCTAGGACAAGTGTGAGGATGGATGCTGGCTTTGTGGCCGTGGCCGTTTGGATTAGGGTACAAGAGAGCAGAGCGCAGGCCACAGGCATCTCAGGATTTCAGCACTGAGTTAGAGCTCCTCACCCCACTTCCGTGGGCAAGAGAGAGATACGACTGGACTGTGTAGAACAGCTGGCAAATTTTGGTCGGCAGAATGCACAGTGTCTCAAATTGCTGAGTGGATGTGAAAGAACAGGAAGATAGAGCCCTGCTTAACGAGGAAGGATCTCACAGGGATGGGTGGGCTGGTAGGAGGTGGTGGTCCCAGACACCACAGGCATTCAAGCAGCAAAATCAGGATGACTACCTGGCCCAGGGTTTTGGGAGGGTACTCCTGTGCAAGGCAGACAGGAGGCTAAATGATTCCCTTCGTCTCTTCCTTCCTTCCATGACCACATCATGAGCACTGCTTTGTGCCAGGGATGGGACTACATATCGTCTCCACTGGTGTCTCTTGCAACTCTGTGCCACGTCTCACCCTTAGCAGGCATGATGGGAGCCAACTGTCTTAGTGAAAGATACAGGAAAAGGAATCTACTAGCAGGTATGCCACTGAGAAAACATTTAAAAGTTAATATACTTTAACAACCATACATACACATTAAGTGTGGGCTGTTTTTCAAATTTCTAATTACACTGTTTTGAAACCTACTTATCTTAGGAAGGGATGGAACACTAAGGGAGCAGTAATCGAATGTCTTCAGGAGGGACACAGAGCCCGCCAGGAGTCTGCACCAAAGGCTCAGCTCCTGAAGTCTGCAGTGAACCTGTGCCAGGGCCAGTTCAGAGGCAGAACGGTTTGATGATTCATTTCATTATCAGCAGAACTCCAGCTATCAAGGCATGGGTACTGGGCAAGGGCTAGGGCCTGGGGCACACTTTGCCTTAACTGTTTTTGGAAGAAACCATTGGAAACCCTAACTTCACAATACCAAACTGAGATAGGCCACTCAGTGCCAAATACTGTTCATATGGGGGTAAGGGAGGTGGTCTCTGCTCCCTTCTAGCCAGAATGACTCGCAGGCAGGCTGCCAGTGGGTGGGCGGGCAGCCTTCCCAGTTGTACCATAGTTGCCCAGTGCTGAGCTTGCAGGCCTTATGGAGCCAGCAGGTCCTGCAGGGTATTTCTGGCAGCAACACAACAAAGCAGTCCTGGACCCTGGCAGAGCAATTTGGTGCTTGCAGCCACTGAGGAGGCCTGAAATTGCCTGCTGCCGTGGGCTGTAGCCTCAACTACCTCTGTTTGGAAGATAAAATCCAATTGACTGCCACTTACATAAATGTAACAGGAAGTTTCTGAATGGCTTCCCCTGTGTCTTGAGGCTGTTACCTTGGTATTGCTAAACTAACAGCTGAAATGAACCCAGACAACACCTCATCAAAGCTGCGGGGCGAGGAAGCAGCGGTCCAGAGGCAGACAGCAGTGTTCCTGCCAAACCATAGGAGATTTCACTCTGTGGCTCTTTCCTGCAGAAACGCCAACAGCTGGGAAAGCCATCAGAGAACACAGGTAAAGTGGGTGTAGCCAAACGCTGTGGCTGGAAAAAGATTTGTGAGCTGCAGAAAAAAAGTCATCCGTTTTGATGAAGCTTCCCTTGTGTGCATTCTGAATGGGGGCGCCCTGCTGGATTCCACAGGCCTGTTCTGCACCTCTATGCCACTAAGCATCTGGGGAAATATTCAGCTTTTCTACAAAATAGGTCATCTTTCCACACTTGTTATGCTCCTTGTCGACTCTGCTGAAATAGCCACAGCACAAAAGAAATTCTCCCTGGAGATGCTGTTCTTAGACAAACACGTTCCCTCTCCCCTTGGAGAGCCTGGCTCCTGCAGTGGAGCCAGGGATGGGGGCTTAAGAACATCCCTGTTCCTCCCCTTCTCAGCAGGAATGTCACCCAGAAATGGAACAACTGGCTTTTGCTTATACTTCCAAACCTATTAGGGAGTGATCATAACGAGAAAAACTAATACTGACAAGAATTATGCCATTGTTCTATTTCATCTATTTAGTAACCTGTAGTTGCAATTTTTAGAAAAAAGATTACCTTTTAAATAACCGATTCATTATGGAACATGAATGAATGCCATGTTCCTGTGTTCAAAATGTCACTCACCATTAAGGGTGTGTGCTGGTAAGTGGCACTGATTTGCCACTTTCCCCTTATACACAAACACCCCTCACTGGCGGCCCAGGATAATCGGAGGCGAGTTTGTGGGTTTCCTCGGCTCTTAGCAAGTCACCTGTGCTGCCAAGCACCTAATGAATCTCAATTCTGTAATAAGGCTTGTAAGTTTTCCCCTCCCTGGGTGAAGGTGAAAAGGAAAACTAGGACTGATGAAGTTCCTGCCAAGGTAACACTATCAATTTCAAGGCCGAGTTCAGAAACCACAGACTCATGCTCCAGGGGTGTGAGGGGAGACCGCCAGTGTACCCGCTGGCCACAAACCTGGCTGTGAGAAATGAGAGGTGAGGACAGACTTGGATATGGGAGGGTGAGCCGACCAGGGCTCAGCTCGGCGCTGCTCCCGAGGCCCCGTGGGAAGCCTGCCCGGGTCTGGCAGGTGAACAATGTGGCGAGTATTCTCTGGAAACCTCCCTTCAACCCTGTGAAATCCACACATTGTTTTTCATCATTAGTTTCAAAACATGCTGAGTATTTGGCCCTTCTCTAAGTGCTGTGGCGACACAAAGGAAAGGGAAGGCCTGGTCCCTGCAGGGAACAGGTCCCCTGCAGGGAAGAAAAGAGAGGTAAGGCAGACAGATCCCACGAGAAGACAGAGAACGTGTGGAAGGAGGTGGCGCCCGGGACACAGACTCTGTAGCTGGCCTGCAGCGGTGGCTCCACATACCTGATATGGCATACAAATTGGAGTGCTGGTACTCGTAGTCCGTCCGGGTGCTGTTCCTGCCTCGGAAGGTGGCAGGAAGTGTTAGGGAGATGTGCCTGAGGAAGAGAAGGACGAGAGAAAGGAGATTACAAGGAGCATTCCCCAAGACTCAGGAAGCACTGACGCCATCAACAGCTGAAATGCAGCACAGATCAGCGGGCAGAGCAGGTGCTTCTGGCCAGCGCCTCCTTCTCAATCAAGCATAACTCCTCCACTGGGCTCAAGTCCTCTCAAGGAATTTGGAAGTTTCTAGACATCAGCAGCCACATTTTTTTTCCATACTAGAAAGGACATCCAAGAGGAAGAAAGTGTGTCCCAAGCCTTACAGCGGGCCCAAGGGACTCTACGGGGTGGCAGTTTGATCCAGATCTCTGCCCACTGGGCAAAATGCACCAGCAAGACCGTAACAACCCAGGCGCTGAACACCAGCCTTGGTTTATTCCAGGAGCCATGCAAATGCTTCCATTCCTACACCGCAGGGCTGCTGAGGATCACTGCACATGAAGCGCTCTGTAAACAAAGGTGTTGGGAATTATTATTGCCATATGAGTTCAGGAGACTAATGACCTCTGAAAATCAGGATGGCACATCGCTCTCAACTGCTATGTCTGTGTGTTCCCCCTCAGGCAGCGCACACAGTAGGTGCTCAGGAAAGCACCTTCCAGACAGATACAGCACAGTCTTTGATGGCTCAGGTGTGAGTCATTAAAGCTCACAAAGAACACTCAGCCTAAGTGAGCATTTAGTCAAAAGTAAACAATCCATTTGGCATGGTCACCAGCTGCCTGTAGTGAATGCTGAAAAGAAAAATTAAGCGAATAGGAAAATATTTAAAACCCAACAGGACTGGGGGAAAAAAACAACAAAACCTCTTGGTGGGACAACTGGGGGCTGTGTTGCAATAGCTCAGGAGCCTAACCTGTGGCCACACCCGGACATTTCCGAAAAGGAAGAGACTGCTGGAGGGAACACTTATCACATAAAGTAAGTGGTCAATTACTAGGTGCCTTTTTCACACAGCACATGTGTGACCTAGAATGACTGCTGTGCATAAACACTCCTGGGAGGGCCGGGCGCGGTGGCTCACGCTTATAATCCCAGCACTCTGGGAGGCCGAGGTGGGTAGATCACCTGAGGTTGGGGGTTTGACACCAGTCTGGCCAACATGGTGAAACCCTGTCTCTACTAATCCCAGCTACTTGGGAAGCTGAGGCGGGAGAATTGCTTGAACCTGGGAGGCGGAGGTTGCAGTGAGCTGAGTTCATGCCATTGCACATTGCACTCTAGCATGGGCAACAGAGCAAAACTCTGCCTCAAAAAAAAAAAAAAAAAAAAAAAAAAAAAAAAAGACTCCTGGGAGGAAAGGCTCTCCAGGGAGGGGATGTTCCCACAGGTCCAGGATTGAGCTGGAACCGGAAGGAGCCTTCCAGGGGCAAGATGAGCACCAAGGGCTGTGAAGGTATTGGGTCTGCTAGCCACAGAGTGATAGCTCATGGCGGACACTCAGCCACAGCCCAGCCAGGCTGAATCAAGCACCAACTGTACGCTCAGGGCTTTGGGGAACCAGCAGACACATGCACTGTAAGTGTGTCCACCGGGTGCACTGGCGTGCATGGAGGGAACCTGAATATTCTTTGTTACTGCTGCTAACTAAGGGTACAGAGGTGAGCTCCCTCAGCTCAGGCTGCAGGGAATAAAGCAGAAACAAATCACAGTGCAACGTGACATGTGCTCGGAGAACAAGAAAAACTGAGTGCTGGTAAGCATGAAAAGAAGGAACAATATATTCTGTTAAAGGGAACGGGGCTTCAGGACCCCTCAAGGTGTTATGGCAGTGAAAGGCACCCACCAGGGAGTCAGAGAGAGCCAGCACTTCCCCATAGGGTTAGGGCACACGTCGGAAGCAGAGCTAGAAATGCAGGCAGGGCCAGATGGAAAGGGCGCCAAACACCATTACAAGAGGCTTGGGTTCAAACTCCTAGGATGGAGGTTCCTAAACCCCCATCATGGCATTAATGAAGGCGTCAGTCACCTGGGAACTTGCTACAACACAGATTCACAGGCCCTGACCTTGGGGAGTCTGATTCAGTGGGCCTGGCCGGGTGCAGCCCAGAAATCTATTTTTAACAAGCTCCAGCGGTGAATCTGAAGACTGGCCAGGTCTGGGAAGACTGGCCAGGTCTGGGAACCCTGCGAGGGTGAGGAGCAGCTGCAGAAGGGTTTTCAGCAGTTGATCAATGTCTCTGACCACAGCACTTAGTCAATGAAGCTGAGCAAACAGAAGAGTGAATTATCGACTGTGGTTGTGGTTGAGCAGAACTAAAATGATGACAGGTGACCCTGCTGAGAGTGTCACCAGGTGCCAGCCCTGGGAATGCAGGTGTCACACATCCTCCTATGGCTCCTCACAACGCCCCTCGAGGCAGGTATGGGAGCAGCTACACAATATGCGCGGCCCAGTGCGTGTTGAAAACATGGGGTCCTTATTCAAATGCTATCAAGAATTTCAAGATGGCAACAGCAGAGCATTAAACCCATGGTGGGGCCCTTCTGAGCACAGGGCTTTGTGTGTGTGACTAAAAGGATCCAGGGTAGGTGCTATAACTGCACTCACTATACCAATGAGGGAATTTCCAGGAGCCAGGGAAGTATTTTGCTTCATGGCTGCCAGACTAAGATTTCTAAGCCTCCAAAGCCCTAAAAAGGTGCACGCAACCTAACTAAGGATGCAGAGCGATTTGTGCAGTGCGGTAAACACTCCAGGAGCTAGAAGCATTCAGGGAGGCTCACAGAGGAGGCAGGAGCATTAGCAGAACTTTGGGAGCCAGGTGGACATGGATGATGGCAAAGAGGCCAGCCAGGAGGCAGAGGAGAAAATGGGGCCAGCCGAGCTGTTGGGTGGTCAAATATGCATCAATACAGATCTGTGGGGGACTCAGTGGTGGCAGGACAGGCAGGGGGACACGAAAATATCCATAAAGTTACCTGAACACTTGCTTACAAGTGTGATCATTTCCTATGGAAGGCGGGAAGACTCAAGTGCTAGGAAGGGCAGGGTAGGAGAAGGCTCCCTGGAAGGCTTCCTGGAGGAAGGTACATTGAGGTGGGAACTGAAGATAGGCAGAAATCAGAGAGATGCAGCAGGGAGGAGGGGTGAGCACTCGAGGCTCCGTGGGGAGTCTGACCTCCTCCAGACTTAGGAGGAAGCCAGGGTGGCCATGCCTAGAAGGCCAGGAAGACGGTGGGGCCAGGCCACGTGGAGCCCAGCATGGGTTCTGCCTTTCTCTGGAATGATTTTTAAGCAGAAATGTGCCAACATCCAATTTACAATTTCAAAAGCTTGCCCGTCTGTGGGAGAGTGAGGAAATAAAACTAAGGCGCCAATGTGGATGGGAATGGTAGCAGGAAATGATCATGAGCCTACAATTATTCACTATCTACTTTGTGCAGAGACTTCATTCCTGTCGACATGACTTGCCACAGACCCTCTAAATGGATAGTTTTGGGGAAATTTAGGACTTAAAAGAAATATATGAGCAATAACAACCACAAAAAAGTATATGAACAACAGAGAAATCAAGGGGCCCAGCTCTTCAGCTGCTCCATGCAATACTGATGTCCGGGACCAAACTTTCTTGTCCCTCGGGGCCTCAGATTTTGCCTGGCTTGCTCTGCAACTCAACCCCCGCCCCAGGTTCTCTTCCCTCGTTGGAGATGATTCTTTCTGCCCACCACCCCCCACCCCGCCAACTCCCACTTCGTCTCCAAACTTTGCAAGGTTGCTGTTTGCAAGGGTGCTGGCTTAGCTGTCTTCTCACTCTGTACACTTACACATCCCCGGCACACCAGCCCACCTTCCAGATTCTGCCTCTTGCCACTACTTACTTCCCCTCTCCTCCAGAAAGAGTGGAAGTCTTGTTAATCTCTGAACAGGCCTTGTTTTTCTCATGCCTAGGCCTGATTCTTTATCCATGCCACTCCCTCTTCCTAGGAATCTCCATTCTTCCTTACCGACTCTCCAAACTCCTATTCATACTTCAAGATCCCACCCAACCATGCCCTCTTTGGAAAAACCTTTCCTGGGCTTGCCCCAGACTGGATTGGATGCCTGAGTGTCTTCTCTCACCCCACTCCAGGTATCACAGTACACTTTGGTCATCTGATATAAACCTGTTCCCTAATGTGATTGTGACCTCCTCAAGAGCAGGGCCAAATATCATCAATTTTGTACTTCATTTTCTGGGACAATTTTTTGTCACAGGGTAGACAATTACTGACCATTTGTTGACCAAATCAAGTGTTGTAGTTGGCTCACTAAAACTCCTGGGTTTCTTTTTTGACATGAACTGCTGTTAGTCTCTATCATTTCATTTCTCCCTGTGTGTATTTTCCCAATTAATTAGGCTCCAGGGGTCTCTGTTTTATACCCTGAATCTCACCTCTCTCCATTATGGAGGAAACCAGGTATGGGTAAGAAGAAATCAGCAGCAGCAGCAACCAGGAATTTACAAGAAGGGAAAAAAAAGAAGGTTTCTGTTCATATATGATAGACAATGTGTGCCTGATGCAGCAAATGTGAAATTAAAAGAGGATTCAAGTCACAGGCTGACTGTATTTTCTGCAGAATAACTGCTCAGTAGGGATCTGCTGAATTGAAATCAGGTTACTGAATACTCCAGCTAAAGTAGCTGATGCAAGAGTGGGTAAGGGACAGCAGTCAGAGAGCAGCAGGTGAGAAGGCCCCCTGGGCAGAGAAAGCTTTAGGGAGAAGGGCTCCTCCCTACATGGCAAATAGCTTCCCCTGCATTTCTGCTTCCACTACTCCTGGACACAGGAAGCAGGGGACATGGGGACAGGACAGAAAGGCACATCAAGGCTTCCCATTAATGAGAATGAACAGTTTGGGCCCCAGGGACAGATTACCTGTGGTTAAACAGGACAAGTCACCTGCCGAAGGAGAAGTGGCCCAGGAGTGCTTTGGTGTCAGATTAGCCTGAAAGTGAGAGACAAGGATGAAGGCTCTGCCATCAGCTGGGTCTCTGGCGAGATGAGATTCCAGTTCCCCAGCGTGGGATGGAGCCCCACCTGCCAGGACCTGGGCTGGGGGTCCTCAATATATCACCCGGCCTCATCACCTCAACAACCTTTTTAGGTAGGAGTAATTATTCTCATTTAACAGAATAGGAAACTGAGGCTCTGAGAGGTAAAGCTGATGAAGGGAAAGCTAGGTATTAATGAAGAGGTCAGTCCATGTGTCCTCCGGAGGTGGTTATCGCTATGTTAGAGTTACCCCGATTCAGCTTCACTATCGGGTATATAAAATGAGACTACTCAATCAGGGCCACAGGGTCCCTCCTGAAGGCCCTTTTGAAATCAGTGATGCCAGGGACATGACATCTCTGCCGCTCACTAGCTCAGTGATCCCGACAGGTTACAGTGAACTATACAGAGCTGGATGACCAATGGCCCGATCGCACACCCAGGGAGGCAAACCAGTTGTAGTGGTTGAGGGCAGTGCCCCCGAGTCCGCTGGATGTGGGTCCAAATCCCAGCGCCAGCACCAGGGAGTCACATGGCCTTTGGCAGGGGTGTGTTGCCTCCCAGGGCACAGAGGGCCACCATGCAGGCAGGGTTGACAGCACGGAACCAGGCATGCGTGAGCACATGCAAGTACGCGAGCTTCAATCCTACTCCCACTCTCCCCATTCTTGCCACCCCGGCATTATTTTAGAGTCTGGCTCATGAGGGCCTCCATGCAGCACCACAGCAGAACCCACGGGGCCTTTCCTCTGCATCAGGATGAAATCCAAACCCGCCCACGGCTGAGAAGTGCTGCCAGCTCTGGCCCATCCCTCCTCTCTGACCACATCTTGTCCACCCTCCCTGCATTCACGTCTGCCAACCTCAGTAGCCGCTTTTGTTCCTCCAGCCTCTGCTCTTGTTCCTGCCTTAGGGCCTTTGCACTTGCCACTGTCCCCAGATCTCAGCGGCTGGCTTCCCTCCCCAGTCAGGCCACCCTTCTGAGGAGGCACCCCGCCACACTCTTATAACACCTGCCTCCTCCCTGTGGCGCCCTTCCCACTCTATCGGGCTGTCTGACTTGTTTTCATGTCACCAGAACATGATCTCCACCACACCTTTTCTTCCCACCACATCCCCAGGGGCGAGAACAATGCCCAGTACACAGTGAGCGCTTAACAAATATTAGGGAAAATCCTCTAAGATTACCTACTACTTGTTGATCTGATTCTGACTTATAATTAGGGATAGTTTCGGGAAACTTCCAGGAAGCCTTGTCTCTTCTCTCCTTCTCATCCCCACGACTGGGTTGGTTAATGGCTTGGAAAATGCAACTATTTCTGATTCACGATATTTTTACGTAAACAATAAATTCATCACGGCACTACTTATAAAGCCAAAAACTAGAATCAGATGAACAATCAAACAATGGAGGACTGGTTAAAAAATTGTGGTACCACTGTTTCATGAAATATTTGGCTGTCTTTTAAAATATTTTAGAAGACTCTTTATTGGTCAGTGCCTATGCCTATGACCACAGCATCCAGTGTCTATGGACTGGCATCCATAGACAGAAAGTCCTTATTTTCATGCTTGGAATCGTGGTCAGTTAACCCAATACTCTTTGGCTTCTTTCCCATACAAAGGCCTCTGGTTCATGAGAATAAACAGGTTGGATTGTCTAAGGAGAGACTGAAGGAAGGCCCCGATCACGACCCTGTACCTGGAGGAGGGAGGAAGCAAGAGATCAGGAGCTGCACTAGGCCACTGGCATTGGACACTCACCTCTTCTGCAGCTCCCAGCCAAGGGAGTTATAAGAATGAGTAGGTACTCGACAGCATCAAACAAAACCGAGAGGCCGGCTGGGAGTGGGGGCTCATGCCTATAATCCCAGGACTTTGGAAGGCCGAGGCGAGTGGGTCACTTGAACCCAGGAGTTTGAGACCAGCCTGGGCATCATGGTGAAACCCCATCTCTACCAAAAAACAAACAAACAAACAAACAAAAATTAGCCAGTTTTATAATCCAGTCTCAAAATAAATAAATAGATAAAAATTAAAAAAAAAAACCTGAGAGGTCCACGAGAATGATGGTGGCTGGTGCACTTATGGACAGCAGTTTCAGTGGAGTCATTTTAGTGGGCCCGAAGTTGACCACTCTGTAGGCAGATCCATGAGTTTAGATTTTAGGAGAGTTCATAAAGCTCCCCAGCAGACTGAGGAGAAGGAGACTCAAAGGCTCGAGAAACTGTCTCTACTTAGGATAGTGCCAGGAGGTGAAGGCCTTCTGGCACCTTCCCCAGTAGGTCTTGGACCCCTGGAGCAAGGGCTGTCCATCAGAGGACAACCATGTCTGCCACTTGACTCAAATGATGGATTATTATTCCAAAATCTGTTTGGTCACTGGAGAATTGTAACTGGAACAGTCCCTAAATCCTCGGGGAGTGTTACCAAGCTATCCTCCCCTTCCCCCTGCCCACGGAACTGCCCGGAGGAGACAGGGCTCTCACCCTGCTGCTTCTGGTGGCCATCACGTCTCTCTGCAGGAGGGATTGGCTGTTCTGTAACAAACAGGTCAGCAAGCACGCACTGCCAGCGATGACGGCTCCAGCTAAATACATGCTGAGGGGAATTTCATTTTTTCCCCCAAGTCAGTCTTAGGCACCTTATTCAATTAACATGGCCACTAAGCTGCAGACAGCTCCATATAAAAGCCCTTCAGTTATAGAATATATTTTATTATGAGACAATAGTTGCCAGCACGATTTATTTCCTTTGATGGGATTCTGCTTTTTCCTTGTTAATTTAAATCTGTATTTTCTAGTGCTGATTCCAGGTCTGTGTGAATTTTTAAAATGTTACCATTAATCTTGTAGACCCAGTGGCCACATATAATGAAGATGGTTCTGCCCAGGCAGCTGCAGTGCCTGCTGTCCTCCCAGACTGTCAAAGGGCAGCGTCGAGAGAGTGGTGACTAGCAAGGCAGAGGCGCACTCATAGTCAGAGGCACCTGCCACTTTGATCTCCCAACCCTTATACACACACACACACACACACACACACACACACACAACCAATGGGGTTCACAGGATTCCAGAAAATGCAATGAAAAGAGGATACATCCTGGCAAATACTGATGGTGACTTCAGACTTTTCCTCTGCCATACTAAATGCTGGAAGACGACGCAGCCAGTTTTGAAGGTGAAAATAGTTGTGATTCAGCAATTTTGTATGACTTCAAGTTGTCTTTTGTGCAGGAAGACAACAGAAGATTACTCATGTCACCTTCTCTAGGAGAAACACTTAATAATACATTCCAGATGATTCAAATTTAATACTTAAGAAAGGGGAAGTAATGCGACAAAAGGACCAGCATTTATTCTTCCCTTTTTGAGATTTGAGGAAAGAACCTGAAATGTGGGAAATGACCTATTTAAGAAAATTTAAAAATATCATCAGTTGACTTGTTTACAGCGTGTACCTGTCATATGCATCTTATGATCCCTAACCCAATCCTACGGCGAGTTGCTGAGACCCCCCCTACTCCACAGGTGTCTCAGAGAGGCTCCACAGCTTGCCTCTCTGCTGGATACAGCTTGGACTTGAACACAGAGTATGCAGAAGCTTGGATTTGAATGCTGATGGGGCCAATTACACAATTCATGCTCTTAATTATGACGGTCTACTCAAAAACTGGAAATAATGTTACTATGTCTGACTCAGAATATTATGCAGACATAAAATGATGTTTACAGGCTTTGTGGAGAGGGTTGGAGTGAGATGCTCGGGATCTGTGTATGGAATATGATCTCAGCTGTGGAAGGAAAGGACAGGAACCAGGGCCTTGGGGCAGCATTTGTCATGGCAATGAACTGGGAGCAGCCCAATGACCATCAATAAGAGGAGGCTAATAAAATGTGGAATTTTCATATAATACTAAAGTAGGACAGAACGAATAGATGAAGAGAGCCAGAGATTTTTCTGTAGAAATGCCCAACTCCCAAAGACTGGCTGTTAAGTAAAACAAAACCAAAAAACCAGCCAAGCAAAAACAAAGTTGCAGAATGATGTATTATAAACAATCCCATAAGACAATCTTTTTTCCATGGGCACACACGGCTAAGCTACAGTACAGCAAAGGGCTGGAGGGAGTAACTTAGAGGTGACTGAGGGGCAGGAGAGGCTCACGGTATTGACGACAGAAGCCTCTAAGATGGGAGTGTGGATTCTCCCCACTGCTCTTCCATATGTTTTAAGTGTTAATTTTTTTGGATGAGAAATTATTTCTTTTAATCAGAAAAAAAGATGGCAAAAACTAGGGGAACACTTCTCAATGTGGTTGGGAGAGTAGAAGAGACACACGTATGAAAGCATCCAGCGTGGTGGTGCTTGGTGCTGAAGGGACACCTTGTTTTCTATATAATGTGTCTGCTGGTGGACAAAGACCAGAGGTCATGTACAAAGGAGAGGAATGGATTGTGGGGGCAGCAGAAGAAATATGAAAAGCAACAAAAATCAAGTTAAGATAGGAAGGGGAAGAAGAACACAGCAAATGGCTAAATGAAATTCCACATTATTCCTGCAAACACCACTGGGAAGAAGTCATCTGTGACGCACAGCTTCTGTGCCAGGTGTAAGGACGTGCTTAATGAATGCCATTTAATGAAGAAAAAGGCTCTTATAAAACACCTGGCACAAGCAGGGTGCGGGAGTCACAGAGAAGGGGACCTTTGCTGCACCTGCTGGCATTTTAATAAGCACCTTCTAGAGCGCCCGCTCTCCAAGGCTGGTCAATGGTGTCAGAAAGAGGTCCCTGACCATTGCCCACACTTGCTGACAGTTTGGGGAACCTTATTTCTTAAAGACCATATGCTCAGGTATCGGATCACCCTGGAAGGTAATTAAAATGAATCATTTTCAGCTGGAAGGGCCTGACTAACACTCGAATCCTCCTCAATGACTTCACAGCCAGGATTCCTGCTCCAAGTCCCCTGTGTTTCCCAAGTGAGGCTCTGAATTACGATTGAGATCTGTGAAGACCCAGAGATGTGAGGAGATATTGTAATTCTTTCTTGTAACTTGTTTCCGCTAAAACAGAAAGTCAGTTATTTTAATCACTCTAGGCTCTAAAATATTTTCAGTTGTGGTTTTCTTTTCATATTGATTTTGGAGCCAACCTCAGGGAGAAACCACCATGCGCAAAGTTTACTATCATTTGTCACGGTCTGATGAGTCTCTTTTTTGTTTCGTTTTGTAATTGACACAAGCCAAGACAAGTAAGGTTTTGTAAAACTTAAAAGAGACCTATTTCCTCTACAGTTATATTCACTATCTTATAAACCTTCTATGCCCAGACCTAAAACTTAATTCCAAGTATTACCCAGTGAACACAGGCCCATGCCAGGGGAGCTGGACCAGTATCAACAGGCACACAAGGCCGCTATAATTAGGATGTGGCGACTGACTCAGCGCACTTTTTTTATTGTGCTCCTACTGTGTGCTAGGCACTGCCTGGCACCGAGACAGTTTAAGAAACCAAATGAAACGTGTATCTTCCCCTTTAGGAATTTATCCATAAGTCAACTGAAACACGAACATAAATCTCCTATATCACAAAGTAAAAGCTCTGAATATCAAAAGATAGGCCATAAAGGACAATATGGTTATATGCTTCAATTTTAAAACAGTGGCATGAAAAAGAAATAACTGGGTGTGGTGGCTCATGCCTGTAATCACAGCACTTTGGGAGGCCAAGGCGGGTGGATCACGAGGTCAGGAGTTCAAGACCAGCCTGAACAACATGGTGAAACCCCGTTTCTACTAAAAAATATAAAAATTAGCCGGGCGTGGTGGCGTGTGCCTGTAATCCCAGCTACTCAGGAGGCTGAGGCAGGAGAATTGCTTGAACCTGGGAGGTGGAGGCTGCAGTAAGCAGAGATCACGCCATTGCACTCCAGCCTGGGTGACAGAGTAAGACTCCATCTCAAAAAAAAAAAAAAAAAGAAATAACCAAAATAACAAACATCTGTTGAGAGTCTACTACAGGCCAGGCACTCTGTTAGGCCCTGGGAGGTATCCAGGGACATGGGAGCCATGGTCCCACCTGCAAAAAGAAAAGACTGTGGCTGGGGAGAAGAGGCCCGAGCAATGAAATAGTAATTCAAGAGTCTAGACAGTGGCCCAAGAGATGTCACAAAGCCAAGGATGGGCAACGGAGGCTCCGGGAGTCAGAGAGGTAGGAAATGGGATTTGACTTGCATGGCTGGGAGGGGCTTTCCAGGGAGGCCCGCGTGAAGGCTTTGTTCCTGGAATTTTCACTCCTGTAATTATTTAGGACTATGGCAGTTACTACTCACTGGGCACTTGCACCATTCCTCATGTTCATACACATCTCTAATGTAAACAACCCAGCAAGGGAAGTAGTACCCTATATGTGGGGGAAAAGTGGTTCAGAGAGGTTAAGTAACTCACCCAAAGTCACACAGCTGAAGAAAATGGCTGGGCTAGGATGTGCGTTCATGCTCTTTCCACCATGCCATGTTGCTTTACTGAGATGACACAGGGCACAAAGTAAGTGCAAACACAGACCTGTTCATTTTCCATTCAGGAAGCCCATTTGCCACGACCAATGCAACTCCAACCTACCAGGCTGACTGTAGAATGGGTTTTCCTCATGGGCAACACATACACACATGCATGCATGCGCGTGCATGCGTGCACACACACACACACACACACACACACACACAAAACCAAATCACTGTGCATTGGACAAGGGGAAAAAAAAGCTGCCACTGGAAGATGAAGGAAATCACAATTCCAAACTCCCCAAGTTCCTAAATGCATAAAGTACGTGCAGCTTGACGGCATATGGCAAATCAATTACTAGTTTAAATCTTAAAACAAAAACATGGCAAGTGTGGTGCAGAAATAATCAAGAACAACGGTTAGGTTTAGATTACAGTGGGCCACTAGAGTTTTGAATACAATTAATCATCATTCCAGGCAATGGGAAGCCATATTGACACTTATTCCTAATTTGAATATTTAATTAGGGTGAAGTTCTTCATCAAATTATCGCAGAACTGGGAGAAAGCCTGGAAGACTTACACAATTACTATCTTAACCCCTTCCCAGCTGCTCACCTGTGAACACAGCCATTCTAGTCCCAGCTCCGCAGGGGAGGTTGCCTGTGCCCAGTCTCTGATGCTGTGGGGTGCTGGAGGGGTGCTGGTGACTGGAGTTGCAACTGCAGCAGGCGGGAGCCACGTGGTGGCAAAGGAAAGGTCTAAGGGGATGCCCTGCTCATGCTTAGGCTAAGTTCTGCATTGAACCCTGGACACAGACAGAAAGCCAGCATGCATGGGTGCTCACTGGGCACCAGGGTGGTGCTTTCTGTGTCCCCCCCCAATTTAATTCTCATGACAAATCCTGCAAAGGAGGCATTTCTATCCCCATTTCACAGAGGAAGAAACAGGCTCAGAGAGTGATAAAACTCACTCAAAGTAACACCGCCTGTGAGTGGTGTAAAGAAGGCCCAAGGGACACACACACACACACACACACACACACACACACACACACACACACAGAGTTACTCACCAAAAGTGATGACAAAGAGAACACGCAAAGGCCCACAAAAATGTTTTCAAGGCTGTATTTTGGATCATCTGCACCGTGTGGCTAAATCAAAGGAAAACCAAAACCCAGGCCTCTTCAATCAGCATTCTAAAATTTAACTCTTGGGTTCAAAATGCATTACTGAGCCCCCCCCCACAATGGAAGTCACGATGCCGTTGTGGCCAGGGGCTCAGCAGAATGGTGGAGGTGGGGGCAGCAAAGCTCAAGGAACAGTCCCACAAGGCCGATTTGAGGCAAGGTGACAAGGTGGCCATCCAAACCCCGCAGAGTAGGACTCGAGAAGGTGGGCGCTGCGGGACAGGTGTCCTTGGGGAGGGGAATGTTTGCAACAGGACAAAAAAATGTGAACTCTTTCTTCTTTCAAGATGGCCAAGGCTCAATGATAGCATTTAGAACTATACATCAGCTTGGTGATTACGTTCCTTAATGTACGCCTTTGCTATCTGAAAAGACTTTTACTAACATTTCATAGATACTATGTGATTCTACGTGACCAAAAACAACACATTTTGCCACATAATCTCCCCGAAGGACTCAGGACACGGCCAAGGGCTGAGTGCACACATGGGACTGGACCACGGTAGGTCCAGAGACCTTTCTGCTTCCAGCCTCCACCGAGAAGCCGAAAAGGAGGGACATCCTGATAGTTTCAGGTTAGCCATCTCTCCTTAAAAGCCTGTGACGGGTTCACTTACCCTCTTGTGGAAAAGGCTCCATTTGCAGTGGCCACTTTCAGCAGGAAGTGGATCGCCAGGCAGAAGGAGGGAGCCGCCCCAGCCCCCTGCCTGGGCCCACTGCAGGCACAGACCCCGGATCCGGATCCATCAGGCCTGCGTGGGGGGAGCGAATGGCATCGGGAACTTTGAAACTTTCCTTTGTATATTACATTAATCCATATAAGAAAATCTCTTTTAATGAGGAGTGATGTAGTTACAAACTCTCCAGAGCCATAATTAGAGCAAACTAATTGAAGTTGTGTTTTGACACACTTTCCAAATTCACGGGTGCCGGATGACATATTCACAACACTGCTGCCGCACAACCATGGCGACGGCAAAATCATTAGGCTAATAACGCTTATTTGCATTCTTATCATGCCGGCAGCTCGCCCTTAAATACTGTTTCCACTACTGCTCCTTTACTGTAAGTTTCCACCGAAAGATATTAACAGTAATTATTAGTACTTTAGTGGAATTTTAATGTTAAAGAATAACAATGTGCATTAACATACATTGAATGGCAATTCTTTTTCTTAACCACCCATCGGAAGGTTTGGGGGTTCTTCCTTGGCCCTCTCCCCAGAGCTCAAGGGTAACCAGATGCGATTTCAGCTTCATTTACAATTCAGGGTCCACACCCAGTGGGATCTGAAGTCAGGTTTCTGAACCATTCTGCTCCAAAAGTTTGATGAGAAAAATCTTTCTTTCTTTTTTTTAAGTACAATAAAATGAAATAGTTAAGGAGAAATTTTTTCCTAGCAGTTAAAAAAAATCTCAATTTACAACACGGTCTTTGGTAATAACGCTAATGAATTCCAGGAGGACATGCCGTAGCCATTCCCTGTCGCCCCCCTCGCGGTGATTAAAGGCAGACGGGGAAGAACTGGGTTGTGAGGGCGTCGGTGGGGGTGGGGTAGTCTCAATCTGTCAGTGTGGGGGCACTGCTTGCCACCAACAAGGCCAATTTTGGGGATGCTTAACTCAGACACTCACAGAGAGGAAGACTCGACAGTTCTAAATAATGGTTATTAATGACGCCCTCCTCTAAAGTGACAAATTACTTCTGAAATTTAGAATTGAAGAAGTATGAAGAGTGAACGTGTCCTATTGAACGTGACAGGAAATGCCGGCCAGCACACAGAGCTCCCACTCGTTGTGTGCTGGGAGAAGGCCAGGGTCCCTCCTGCTTTGGGCTTTTGGCTGTTGTACAAGGCAGTGACCACAGCTACCTCTCCCTGACGTGTCTCCCAGCAGTTACTGTTGGTGACTACGGGCACATCCTGGCCGTAAAAACGCTTTTTGGGTGAAAGGCATAAAACATTAGGTGTGCTGTACCAATAAGTGAGACCTAGTCCCAACTTGGGGTTGGGCTAGATATTTGCTCAGATCCTAGGCTTCTGTAAATACCCTGGGGTCAAGCAAAACCACCACTACATCACTGACCACTGATAACCCAAGAGAAAATGTCTTCACTAAAAATATACACTTGTGTTGAATTTCAAACTATTCAAGTGTACATTTCAGGATGAATGCTTAATCTCAGCCTAGGAAGATTTAAATGAGTGAAGAAAATGCTTCCGCAGAAAAATATCAAAGCCTATACTCCTTTAAAGCATGGGAGTTTTCAGTTTCTTAAGTTACAATCCTTATACCAATCTGCTATTTTTCAAGTCACTGATTACTTAATAAAAAAAAAAAGATGAAGAAAGGAAACTAACTTTCATAGCCACAGCAACACTCCAAATCATGGTATTTATTCACTACATTTAAGTTTTATTACACTTGAACCTTGCAATGCCAAAACACCGACCTCCCATATAAAAGAAATGAAGAAAAAAGCCAAGTCTGGGACCAGGGGCACCAC
The DNA here is from genome assembly GCF_000001405.40 of Homo sapiens. Taxonomy (NCBI): domain Eukaryota; kingdom Metazoa; phylum Chordata; class Mammalia; order Primates; family Hominidae; genus Homo; species Homo sapiens. The sequence continues at coordinate 126,406,666 of NC_000009.12, read as the reverse complement.
ACTTCCATTCCAGATGATCTAGTCTAATCTTATAAACTGAAATATTTAAAGAGTCTCTAAACCTCGCTGACCTTACTTTTAAAAACAAGGAACATATGGGCACTGCTAGCTTTTCATCTTCTTCCAGCCTACTAAAACATCCGCTTTTCGAAAATTCAAGAGTCGGGGGACTGCCAAAGTCAGATTCATAAAGGACTGTGTGCGTGAGAGCGCAGGGCAAGCTGCAGTCTGGACTGAATGCAGCACATCCTCTATCAAAGAGCCAAAGGCAACACTTGTCTCCTCCCTGCCCAATCCATCTCAAAAGCTGTGGAAAACAATTTGTTTAACAAAATACAGCCATGACTGAAGAGGAGGTGGAATGTGGGCTACAGGCTGGACGGTGATTTTTGGTCCCATGCAAGGTCGAGCTCACAGCAGAGGGTCAGCGTTCCATCAGGAAGCCCTGAGGCTCCTTGAAGGCAGGCAGGGCATTATGGTGAGACCTCTCCTCTGCTCACAGCCCCTCTAAATCCTAACTCTCTGCCCTTGGATGAATCATGATCTCTCCAAGCTTCAGTCTTCTCAACACGCCAGCCTGGGTGACAGAGCAAGACTTCGTCTCAAAAAAAAAAACCCCCCACAAAACCAAAACAAAATAAAATGAGGACACAATTATTCACCTCACAACATGGTTATAAAGATTAAAACTACATATATATCTATCTCTGTGTGTGTAGGTGTGTACATATATATATAACGTTTACACAATGCCTGGCACAAGAAGCCCAGAAAATTACAGCTGAAATAATAATGATGATAATAATAATTGTATTTATTCTAATAATAATAATTATTAATATTATTATTCAACTGGAAACAAAACATCTGCTGCTCATGAAGGATATTCAGATTGAATTCTACCCTACCCACTGGCAAAAACTGAACCCAAATAAACTCAAAAGGCCTTTTAAAAGTAACTGCAAGCAAAGGATTTTATTAAATATCCCAATTAATAATTGAAACTCTGCATCGAAATAGAGCAGCATAGTTGGGGCGGGGGGTAGGGGGTGGTAGTAAAATCCTGGGAAATATCGCTGGTTTAACGCCCATTTTTACTTTATTTGGCAGCTAGATTTACACTGAGAGACCCAGGTGAAACATTCCACAGAGCTACCTGCAAATAGACTGTCAGCTTCCACTCTGATAAAAGGTAAAATATCCTTCTCTAAATGGTCTGGTTCACAAAACCGACCCTAAAGTGAACTGATAAATCTGTTCTGACACACAGAAAACTATTTTCATAATCCTGAAAAAAGCCTTTCTCAAAACCCTGGCGCTGAAACCAACTGCACAAAGAGCCCTCGTGCACTCGCGAGCTGGACTCAGAAGGGAATAATTTCCCATTTCTAACCCTGCTTCTCGGGACGATAACAACAAAAAAGCAAACATAACCACCATGACCACTGAGAAAAATAAGACACTCAGAAATTCACCAAAATTACAAAGATAACACATTTACAAGCAGCAAATACCTTGTCAAAAATCTGACATGAGACTGCGAACGCCAAGGCCAGCTCCGAAGCGGGAGCTGAACTGACGAATCGTCAATTCTTCATTAAATAGAAGCTCTGACTTCCCAAGAAGCTGTATTAAAAATTAATATCAAAAAGTGTATTGCTCAGCCTAAACTCATCATTCATATCTAACAATACCGAACTGCATTCTAATGAAATTTCCCCTTCAAAATTACTCTGACACCAAAACTAAGTTTGATACGGGTCCAAGAGCGGCCGCCGCTCTGTTCACGAGCATTTTGAAGATATTCAAATAACCTCGCTCTGTAGGTCTCTTTCATGCCACTCTCACGATCACCAGAATCAACCACACTGCTCGTAACCCTGCTTAAACGCCCGCTTCAAAGCGAGGGAGGGATGGTGGTGCTGGGACCTCCTGGGCTGGCCTCCACATGTTCCCTCAGTCGGCGACCACAGTGCAAGTGTGCTGGACACCGGCCAAAGTTCACACGTCTCCCTAAGACCGCTTAGGCGGTTTCTGACCAGAGGGGCCTCTGTGGGATGAGTTCCCCACCCACACGCCCTGGGAAGTCCTCATTCACCAGTTGCTGGTCAGGAGCCTGGAGAAGCTGCACAGGAAGATGGCGGGGCCACCTGAATGGGCACCCCACCTACCCACCAGCCCTTCCAGGCACATGCTTGGCTCCCTGATGAGAGGCTTCACGGCTGGGGGCCTCGTGACAGTCTGCACACTAACAGTAGCTTGCCTGCTTGGGTGCAGATCCTAGCCCTGACACTTGCTAACTGTATGACCTTGGGCAAGGGATTTAACCTCCTCACCCTCAGTTTCCTCAACTTAAACCTGGGCTGATAATAGTAACTGACTCACAGAGCTATTATTAGAATTAAACGAGTTGGCCGGGTGTGGTGGCTCACGCCTGTAGTCCTAGCACTTTGGGAGGTCGAGGCAGGCGGATCACTTGAGGTCAGGAGTTCGAGACCAGCCTGGCCAATATGGTGAAACCCCATCTCTACTAAAAATACAAAAAATTAGCTAGGCGTGGTGGCACATGTTTGTAGTCCCAGCTACTTGGGAGGCTGAGGTGGGAGAACTGCTTGAACCCAGGAGGCAGAGGTTGCAGTGAGCCGAGATAGCAGCACTGCACTCCAGCCTGGGCGACAGTGAGACTCTGTCTCAAAAAAAAAAAAAAAAAAAAAAAGATTTAAAGGAGTTATTTGTAAAGCCTTTGAACAGTACCTCACACCTAATAAATGCATGATAAGTCTCTGCTGGATGGATGGACGGATGGAAGGGCGATGCATAAAATATGATGTCCAGTCCTATGTATTAAACTAACTCATTTTCTGCATCCAATAAATACTTTCTGGGTGCCTAACACATGTCAGCCACCTGGAATTCAGAGTTCTTTACCATCTTGGGGCCACACATTTTCCACTGAGCACTTACTGTGAGCATGGAATGAGATGACATGGTTGAAAGTACTTGCTCAAATTTGATGAACGGTGATGCAATATGATCATCATTGCTATTTCTGTGTGACTAGCCTCTTTTGAGGCTTTAAAGGAGAAAAAGGAAAACATGAGGATCTCTGTCATCAGTAAGCAGCAAATCTAGTCAGTAAGATCAAACAGAAATACACGCAGCAATGACAGGGAACTGTGAGATGCCAGGCTGTATGACGCAGGCAACTGGAGGAGAAGAAGGAAAACGACGCAGGCCAGGCTTTCTAGCAGTGATGTGGGCTACTATAGGCCTGGGGTGGGGCTGGCCAGGGCCAATCCTAAGCATTCTGGAGTCCAGCCTAACTCTTCCAGGAGGGAAGGGGCTGGTACAAACTGAGGTGCATGGTGAAGGCCAGAGCAGAGATGCTTTTGGAATAAGAATGGTGTGCCCCGGAGCCAAGAGGAGACTCACCTAATTAATGTAAGAGGATGTGTGGGGGGCGGTCGGATAACAGGAAGCCAGTGAAGTTCTCGATTGAGGAAAAAGGAACATATGTGTGTCTGAAAACCCCAGTGCAGTTATCAGGTCACCACAGACTTTAAGGTTACAGGCAAAGAATGTAAATGCAGGCTATTTACAGAAACAATACCTGAGCCCCAGAAGCCCACCCCAGATCCATCTTTGATTTAGTGTTCAGGTTCGACCCCTCCAGAGGGCTCGTCTCTGAGACAGGGCTGGCTGCTGGTCCTTTCGGCTGGAAGGTGCCACTTGCGCAGCGGGATCATTCACACCCCCGTGCTGACGTCCGTGCTCCTTGTGTAAAGAACCCTGCGCTACAGTCTTCATCTTAAAAGACAATGAAAATGTATGTTCTGTCTTTAGAGGTAAAACAAACAAAAAGCATGTGTGGCTTTAGTGTGAAGGAAGAGGAAATCTAATTTTTCCAAGTGAAGCCAGACCCATAGTTATGCCTGGACATGACCTGCAGAAGTGTCTGAAGGCCCCCAAGCCAGAAAACCAGGGCCCAAGCCCTCGTCTTCTTCTTCCATTTTTTTTTTAAGATAGGGTCTTGCACTGTCGCCCAGGCTGGAATGCAATGGAGGAATCATGATCACAGCTCACTGCAGCCTTGATTTCCGGGCTCAAGTGATCCTCTCACTCAGCCTCCTGAGTAGCTAGGACCACAGGCTTGTGCCACCACACCCAGCTAATTTTTGTATTTGATTTTTTTGTAGAGACGGGGTTTTGCCATGTTGCACAGACTTGTTTTGAACTCCTGAACTCAAGTGATCCTCCCGTCTCAGCCTCCCAAAGTGCTAGGATTACAGGCATGAGCCACCACACCCAGCGCCCCAAGCCCTCTTTTGATGGGACCAGGACAGAGTGCTCCATTGCTTAGCTCACCTGCCCCCAAACCATTTCTTGCCACTATGGAAGTGGAGCTCAAAATCCATGTCACAATTTATTACTAGGGGACAAAAAGAGTCATTGGAATCACCTGGGATACACAGAACCCCTCTCATAAATGATGCACCTTACATGAAACCACAGATTTCAACTCCAATCCTCTGCACTGAGCCTTCCCCTACTGAACCCTAGGGAGAAACTTCTCACAGGCAAATGCCTCCAGCACCAAGCCTTTTGCCACTCTGAACAGGTAGGTAAACACCTCAACAGGAAAAGGAAAACTCAGCCTCCCTGATCTGTGGGATTCTGGGCCTTTCGTTCAAGTCCTGCAACAACAGGACAGGTGACATGTCATCTGGGGTACAAGGGCCATCTTACAATTGAAAACGGACAGAAGGCAGCCGAAGGATTTGAGGCTGTCAGTGTGGACAACAAGGCTCCAGCCAGTGACCTAAGGCTCCGCCCCAACTGCTGACTTACTCTGCGAGTTAATCAGAAAGTAATGGAGTTGATCCCCATGTCCAGAGGGAAGGCGGGGTTGGAGAGGCCAGGACGGAGCGTGGCACGCTCATGGGCTTCTGACAATGATGTGATGGGGGACAAGCCTGGGCAGCACGGCCTGAATTCTAGATCACCACGGCATGATTTTTCCTCTCCTCTAGGAAGGGCCATTAACCTTTCCGATGACAGCCCTGGGATCAGAGTGATGGAACGATTTTTGAGGTCAGCAAGGATCTATGTTCTCAAAACCTGACATCGACATGCAAAAGTTGTGACTGAATCCTGGTGTCCCTGAGAGGAAGACTAAATGCATGTGACAGATCTTCTGCAATCAAAATGCCCCATTTCCCAGAGTATCTGTCACAGATTGATAACATCCATGCAAAAAGTTAAGTACAATTATGTCTGTCACTAAGAAACATACTTCCGAACCTGTGACTGACAACTTGCTGGGAGCTGACAAATTACAGGAAGATGACTGCAATAGCGAGCAACACGTCACCTCCTACGGGCAACCCAGGCCTGGCTGACACTCCAAGAGGCTCCTGGGAGCTGCATCTTGCAGGGGAGGCTGCCGGTCAGAACTCAATGGCTGGGAAATGCTCTGTGACTTCGGGTGGGAAAATAACCCTTTCCCCCAAGAGAGACAGTGTTAGGGAAAGGTCACAGGATGTGCCCATGGCCTGGGGTCTGTGGGGAGGAGAGTTTGGGCAGCAGCTTCTCCCTCAGGACCATGGTGAGGACAGCCCAGGTCAGCAGGAAGGGTGGGGTGAGGCTACTGGAACCACACATTGCAGATTTTCTAGGAGAGCCCCCGCAGGATGGATGTTCACATAAACATGAGATGTCCCGAAAATCCTAGCCAGCTGGAGGCCAGACTACATGTTTCTGACAGACTCTGAAAGGGACAGAATACCACCCATCGTCAGCTCATGCCTGCCTACCCTGGACGGAGACACGGTGTCCGCATCACCAAGGGAGGGCCCCGGACGTTGTGGGAGGCCCCTCTGAGCCTTCCCTCTCAGGGAGGCTGCACAGCAGCAACTCTCCACTATCCATACCTCCTCCTCTGACCTCGGCACTGGTGAGTGGAGGAAGGCAATGGCTGCAAGTCAGATACAGAAGCAGCATCGACGACGGCTTGAGGACCTCTGAAACCAAGGCCCACTGCTCTGTGCCCTCCCTGCCCACTGCAGGGCCCTGAAGTTCTCTGGACAAGGTGTCTGTGACCCTAACACGTAGTTCTGCCGAACCTGAATTTCTGTAGGTGGGGAGAGGGAATATGACAAGTTCCTTAAATACGGCTTAAGAAACACTGATTGCTCTAGTTCTCCTGCAGTCTGAAGGATCCAAATGCCGTCTGACCACCCCTAGCATCTGGGAGCGCATCACCCCTCAGGTCAGCTTCTTGATGCCACAGAATTTTCACCTTGGGGAAGCTGTCTTTACTGATTTTTTTAAAGTGTTAAGCCTAAATCTATCTCCTTGTAACTTCAGTCCACCTGACCTAATTCTGCCTTCTGGAGCCCCCAGCCATCTCTCCACCCCTCCATCCCCACCTGGAAACACTTCTACTTTCTCTCCTGCCATTGACCCTTAAGACATCTGCAGCAGGCTGGCCTGTCTCTACTCAGCTCCAAACTGGATTCCTCAAACTTGACACTGGATTTGGGTAACCTCTGCCTGGTGGTGTGAGGCAGTGCACACGCCCCAGGAGCAGGACTCCACTCAGGGCCTCCCGCTGTGCACACCAGGCTGTACTCCACACACCCACGCTCCGACCCCCGCCATTTCACACACTTAGCTGCTAAGCCAGGCCTCAGTTTGGCTCCTGTGTGATGGATTTTTGAACCTCGGGGGCCCTCTCCGCCTGCGCCCATCGCCTCCCATGGCTCCAGCAGGTTGTTCTGGCTGTAGAGGAGATGCAGAGTATTGATTCTATCATTCAGCACGTCAGCTCACCCTAATGACTCTGCATCATCTGCAAATTTGATAAGCATGCCTCTGATGTCTTTATCAAGCCATGGTTCTGCTGCTTGCTGAGCTAGAGGGCTGCAGCCCACCAGGGGACTCCTCCTGGGTCGACACAGAGCCATTCCCTTATCACACTGGGGACTTCTGGTGCTCCAGCGGTTGTGAGCCCACCTGCCTCCTGGGGCTCTTCCCAACCTCTGTCCCAGCAGCAGCGGAACCTCTTCTTCCCAGCAGAAACAGGTGACGCCCTGCATGTGACAGACGGTGGAGGGGCTGCTCTGATAGAGGCCAGGAAGGTGTTTCCTCTCTTGGCCCCCTGCCCCAGACAGCATCACAGAGCTGAATCAGAAACCCCACCATCTGATCACATGCCCAAGGCTGACTCACAAAGCTGGGCCCAGCCCCAAAGAGGGCCACAGAGATGGGACTGTGCCTCCGTCCCCAGGCCAGCTCTCTCCTGTTGATCGACGTGCATGACATAGGCAGGCAGGGGATGGAGCGCCTGCGGCCAGAGATATGGAGAGGCTCTGGGTCCCAGAAGAAGTGGCTGCCCTTCTTCACTAGAAGACAGTCAAGAGATGTGTGTGGCGATGTCTGTATGTGAGATGAAGCATCACTGTATGAGGGAGAGGAGCTCTGCCAAGCTACCTTCTACCACCTTAGCCACCAACTCACTGGATACAGCCCAGGAGCATCCCTCTCCCTGGGGACCTGCCTGCTCCAAAAGGACAACTCCAAAGCCGGTGACACCACAGCATTTTCTGCAATAACGGAGCTTCTGCGGGAAGCTCCTGCTTCTAGAGGCAGTTCCTGCTTTTGGACAGAGAAGGCAGTGCTGCTAGAACCACGAGGTCCTCAGGTGATGGCCTACAGACGGTGCAAAGATCCACCTTTGTCTGAAGTAAAGCTGGGAATGAACGGCATTCCAAAAAATGGCAGGAAATTCTTTGAAATCTGAGCGATGACACAAGAAATGGAGGCGGAGCACATGGTTTTGGCTTTGGAGAGGAATACAGACTCAAGAAGGCAGCAAGATCTGTGACCCACCGCTTCCTAGGTCCTCCTGGCTGGCCTGGGCCAGGGCTCTGCGGCGAAAGAGCCTGCCACTAGCTCCGGCTCAGAACCGCATTCCCCGCCACCGCCACGGCTGGGCAGTAGAGGGCGCTGCGTCACCGCGCTCCCAGAGGCCCGATCCACGCCACACAAAGACCGCACTGGACGTGGTTCTCAGGTTTATGGTTAAGGCTACCTGAGAAAAGAGTAGCAAGATGCAGACTTGCTATTACACGATATGATATCACCTATGTAAAAAGTACACAAGAAAAAGACTTGAGGGAAATATAACAAAAGGTTATAAGCATCTGCTCGTGGGAAATGGAATTCCTGTTTTTTCATACTTTCTACATTCTGCCAATTTTCTACAAGCCTGGATTACTCTCGCCATAGGAAAAGACCCGCGCAGTGCTCAGGGACCAGGGAGTAGTCTGGAGGGGTTGCCAGGGACGCATTTATGGTGAAACTGAATTCGTGCCTGGATTCAGGTAGGCGCTGGGGAGCTCCTCGGAGGCTCACCACATGCCCTCACCACCACACGGGCTCGAGATGCCCCGGAAGCGCTCACAGAAGAAGACCCAGCACAGGCCCAGCCCAGGAGCCTCTGGGAGGGCTTCCCGGGAGAGAAGTCCTCTGCGCTGAGACCTGTCAAACACACCTCATGTGCAGGGAGCACCGGGAGCAAAGGCGCAGAAGCCAGGGGAGGAGGAGGCTGCCAGCGCACGTTAATGTCTGGGGCTCTGGCTGGGAAAGGGAAGACAGGAAATCCCGGAGCTGGTGTGCAGCCCTGCAGGCCCCACTGAGGGGCCTGCCTTACCCTATAGGCTCCTGGTAGACCCCCAGCACTCGGAGCACAAGCCCCAGCCACTGCTCCCCACCAGAGGGGAGGTGATCAGATTCCTCCTCTGGAGAGTGTAGAGACCTGAAGCCTCAAGGAATAAAACAGCATACTCATCCTTTCCTAGGTCTTCAATGGAAAATTTGAATGAATAATCAACATTTCATTTTAAAATAAATCAAAGATACTGGATAGGAAAACAACACACAAAAAAACCCCACAAAAACCAAAAAACCCTGATGGATGAGGCTTACATAGGTGTGCATCCTACCTGTAAATTACCGCACAGGAGAACTTGGGACAGACAAATGGCTTTTACTTGGAAGCACTAATGAACATTCAATTATCCTGTTGCATATTGGCTGACTTAACTCAGCCAAATTAGAATACATTTTATATTGACTATTTTGACATTTGTTTTATTTGGCAAGTAAAACAAAACTGATCCGATTTCCTTGCAGCCATTGTAAACCATAAACTGTACAGCAGAGGTGATAAAATACATAAGCCTTATAAACATCTGGTTCTGACGCACTACCCTCCAAACCCACCAGGCTGCCGGTGGCTCGGTGTTCTCGGCTGTCTTGCTTCAGGTGCAAGTGACTTTGCTCTCACAGTCACCAGCAGGCTTCTGAGAGCTCTCTCTGCTTTATCTGAGAGAACTGGTGTTCTTTCTTTAACCACAGAAAGTCAAAACCTGCCTGAGGTGGTGCCCATTTCTGGGCCCTTCTAGACCACATGATGTCAGCAGGGAGCAGCTGTAACAACTTCAGGGCAACTGCTCCTGTGGGGGCTTTCCAGCCTCTGCAAGGAGCCCACACTTGAGCTGCTCCAAGTACAAGTGATGGGCCTCAGCACAGGTGATGGAGGACCCCGACACACAGGTGATGGACTTAGCTGACTCCCCAGCACAGGTGACACACCTGATATAGCCTTGAGCACAGGAGACAGTGACCCTCAGCAGTGCCCTCCAGGGCGGAGCTGACAGCGCTCTGGCTCAGAAGTGAGGAACAAGTGCTGATGGGCAGTGCGAACCTCACACTCTTGAACCCAACAGAGACTCAACTGTTCACCCTGCAACTCTGGGAGGCTTATTAGAGATTCCTATCTTTTTATGCCAAATGAAACTGAAAACTACTTCTAAAGTTTCAGGCAATTCCAGGGGTAGTTAAGTTTAAATACCACTCTTGGTTTGTGAAACTGTCATGAGAAGGACCAGATTGTCTTTATAGGGGGATGTCCCAGAGGACAGAGTCCTCAGGGCTTTGGAGCCTCATTACAGCACATTCTTCCAAGTGAGACGGAGGCTTGGCACAGAGGAACAGAGTACAGAGAGCTGGTGGTATGTCCCGGAGGGCAGGCTGTATTGTGGATGGCCCAGGAAGACCTACTGGTGACTCTTCTGTCCGGTTCCTGACAGATTTTGTTCATCTCTATTCACCCACGTGGAAGCTTGGAGATCCATTCTCATTTACGTTATGTCAATCCCTAAGTGTTGCTGCCTCACCGTTCTTGTTTTATTTACTTTTGCAATCCCTTTCTCAAGCTTAATCCATCAGTGCTGTTTGTTCCTTGCCCTTAGTTTACTCCTAGTGATGCACAGGATTTTTATTTGACAGGATTCTTTTTGCAGAAAGTGTAGAGACTGTTACTACCTCTGTTATGACTGAAATCAGTTGCAGAGCAAACAGTTGGCTCACCCAAGTTTCTTTGCGGAGACAATTGTTAAAACTAGCATTTCCTGAAAAACTCCTCACTATTCTCTCATACCCAAACTACCCATTTCTTACTTTATAGCTCATTGGAAAAAGAAATTATATGAAAATGAAGAATATAAGAACTCACCTACCCTCCTGGGTTTCAAATGAGTTGCTGGCCAAGACAGAGAAGGAATTTGACCTTAAGGCCAGTGATCCCAACCCCATGGCTATACAGCACGTGTCTGTGTGTAGCTAGCAGCTCTTTTGAATAGGGAGCCAATTTTAAGTTGCATAATCTGCAATTTTAGAAGCCTGCAGAACACGCACAAAATAGACTATAGAATGGCCTTTGCATTCATGTAATGCAAAGATTTCCAAGTGGATTTTTAAAAATCTCCTCTAAAGATATATTGCTTCTACAATTATTCAGCTGTACTTTGCAGTATTTCAGCAGACACTAAGTGGTGGTGTTCTAAAATGTTGTGCAGGGACCTAAGACCACAGGACAACGCAAGACACCCCGACAAGGCCTCACCTGGGAAGGTTGGGGGCTGGGGTGGAGGCAGCTGATGACTGGGAAGGCGTTGTGGGTTGAGATGAGTCATGATTTCTTGGTACTCTGCCCATTCGATACCAGATCCCCATGCTGTTCAGTTCCCTTTAGGAAAAAAGAGAAATCTTCATGGCTCTGGTTAGCACAAAGCATTTACCTGAGTGACAAAGCAAACCAATTCATTTAAAAGAGTCATGGCCTCAAACACCAGGGAATCAATTCTTGCCCTCCACGTGAAATGGGTTCCACCGTCTCCTTTGTGCTCTGGGTGTCATAGTTCACACGAGGGTGACCCGTTCCATCTAGGCAGGCCTTCGGGACAAGGCCGCCTGCATCACCCTTCCCAAGCTTGCCTTCCTACTCCAACTGGTACTTTCCTTGCTTCTCCAAACTTCTTTTTGTTTTGCCATTTCCTTGTGGAGTGTGACGTGATAATCCACATCAAGTCCTTTGTGCAATTAGGAGAGACAGATAGGGAGATGCTGGTTTTTAACCATGAGAAGAATTAGCCCCCTACTCTATAACACACTCCAATCTCAGGATACAGCCTCTTGCAGCTGGGTGTCACCTGCCGTTGGACTCATTCTCAGGGTCAGTTTGGGAGTCATCTTCAAACTACAAAACTCGAGGCCCCATGAACCACACAACTAGGAGTGGACACCAAGGGGCCTCCCAGACGCCGCATAAGCTCTCCTGTGACCTCCCTCGCAGTCACCACAGCCCCGCCCCCTACTACACCACACACTCGTGAGTGCTGAGGAGACAGCCACGCTCCTAGGAATAGTGACGGGATCATTTTCACCATATTCAGTTTCCAACTTCCCAGTTGCCCACAGAACTGCATCTTTGGGACCTGATGTAGAGGAATATAATCTCTTCAAAAAATGGAAAATGACTTATTCTGTGGGAACCCCTAATAAGCTTCTCAGAACACCCCAGGAACCATGTAAAACCACAATCCTGTCTTCTTAGATGAGTGATTCCAATGAACTGCACTGATTTCTCCACCTCTGGGCCGTGGCCTCCAGCTGCCAGGCTTTGGAGGTGCTGTTTGCAATGTGAGGTTTCTATCTTCCCCAACTGACAATCCCAAACCCTTGCAAAGTAACATGTAGAACTGTGCCCGCTTTTAAGAATAAGTGACTTAGAGTTCTGAATACTGAATTCTCTTTCCTTGCTTAAAAATAACACTGGAATTGTCTTCCTCTGGAAAAGAACTGTTGCCCCAAGATGAAATAAAACTATAGCAATATTTCCAAAGTGACATAAAGGAAAAAAGCCTTTGGTTTTATCAAGGTACATACTGGTACATATCTATTCCTTAAAATTTTTAAATTGGTTAAAAATGGAATCTTTTTACAACAGGATAGTTTGTAGTTAAAGATACACATAGCAACTGAAATTAGATTTAAAAGTTCATTACTAAATTGCTGGTTTCTGCCATTTGTATGTAAATGGGTGCTTCTGAGGTGCCTGAAGTATGTTTATTCTAACTATTTCCTACTCCTGTAGTCCTGTTTACATAATTAGTGTAAACCGTGTTGCAAAACGGGATTTTTGAGTGTGTAGGAAGGGAATGATCACAGAGTCCTTCTTAACCACATGATCTTGACACAGAGCATTCAGATGCCAGAGCTGAACACCCACCGAGGTGAAACTCTGCATTTCTGTGGTACCTGCTCCCTGCATGCTTCAAGCAAATGCCACGAGGGCTCATCTGCTGTCTCACCGGGTCTAGGCTATCAGAAAGGCCCTGGCTGATACAAAGGCGGCTCTGGGCTCAAATGAACAAGAGTAAAGCAGAGTACAGGCCTGAGCCAGGAGGCTGGCCTCAGAAGCCGAGGAGGACAGGGTGCCTCTGGGAGCCCACAGGGAAACACATGGCCCCTGCCAGCCCTGGCCAGGGAAGACGCACATGGCTGAGGGGGCTGTAAACCATCTGCCACACCGAGTAAAGTGCACACCTGGATTTCAGTTGACTGAAGACAGTGAACATCTATTTCCTTCTGGACAGCTGGCATCCACTCACCCCCTTTCTGACTTTTGACTGCCCCTCCATATTTTAGGAGCAGCACCAGTCGTGGTTTGTCCTTGAGTTCCAATGGAGCTGATCCTACTTCCTGCTCAGGCCTGGTCAATGGAAGAATTTTCCAGAAAACAGTGACAAGCCCAGGGTGCACATGACCCTACCTAGATCAATCAAGACCAATGAGACTAAATTCTAGAACTTCTTTTGAACTGTCAGGAACACAAACTTGCTCTTGGCCTCTGGACTTGAACCTGGATGAAAAGCAGGTGGAGCTACTGTAGCACCAGGCCTCCTCGAGGGGGAAACATGTCAGAACAGAGCCCAGCACCGGAGCCAGGGGGAGACAGGGAAACCAGAACCCAGTGCCGGCCTTCAAGCTTCCGCTTCCAGGCATGCCAGTCCTGCCTCCCCAACTCCTCTGTGATGCCAGCCAATAAATTATTCCTTTTGCTCAAGCCAAACTGGGTTGGGTTTCCTGTCACTTACAATCAACAGAGCCCTAAGTGAAACCCTGGGATTTCACTGTAGTAAGTATTTATGGAGCTGCAACAGAGCCAGGCCCATGCTCAGTGCTGAGGCTGCTGGAGGAACAAGACACAAACGGGCCCAGGCCTCAGCAGTTCTCTGCTTACTGGGGAATTATCATGCAGCTGTGTAATATTTATGTTTCTTCCTGACTTGGAGCCCTCCACTGACTTTCTAGCGTGCTTGGAATAAACTCCAGGCCATGTCCTAGGAGGTCCTGCCAACCCTCGCCCTTGTCCCAACATTGTCCCTGGCTCTTCCAGCTGCACAGGGCTGTGTTCTGCTCCCAGAACGTGCCATGCTCATTCCCACTTCTCTCCTTCTGCTTCTGCTCTGCCTCAAAGACTATGCCTTCACATCTGTGCATGGCTGGTTTCCTGACATTCAGGTCTCTGCTCAAGTGTCACCTTCCTGACCCCCTCACGGAAGAGGCCCCCACTCCATCATTGTGTTTCACTTTCTTCACTGTCTGGAATTATCTCATTTATTTTCTTGTTTATTGCTCGTCTGTCCCTTTTAGAACATCAGCTCTGTGACAGCACGGCCTTTGCCTCACTTATATCCACATCCAGTGGCCTTGGCCCCGTGGTACAAAATAGGTCCCTGTGACCTTTCCTAGGGTGAATAACGAGTGTGAAGAGCTGAGGCCAGTGGCATCACAGGGTGTCGGGGAAGGACCCAGAGGAGCTTCAAGGCTGAATGCGCAGAAGGGCAGGGGAGGAAAGGCCCTAAGGTGGAGTCAGCAGTGCGAGCCGAGGCTCAGAGAGACCGCAGCTGAGCAGGAAGGGCAGCGAGGAGCACTGGGCTGACAGAGGCCCATGGCTGAGAGCCTGGGGGGCTGCATGGAAATCTCTTGGACCTCATTGCCTGGAGTGGCCTGAGTGCTCTCAGGGAAGAGAAGCAGCTGACAGTCCTGTTATTAAGACTCACCCAATAAACGTGTACTGAGGCGGGGCCTGCTTGGTCCGGCCCATGATCCGAATGTCACAAATCGCAGCTTCCGTTGAATCCCGTGGAATAAATTTAATGCACAGCCTCTTCTTCCTAAAAGCCACTTCCTCTGAAGGAAAGGACAATAGAAAAGGTATGAGTTTTCCAGAGATACCAGAATCTCTATTCTGAAAACCACATCCCCTGTCACGCCCTATTCCTGGCAGCAGAAGTGGCAGGTCACCTAAGCTGCTGGACAGAAGGGCTGCGCTCTGCCGCCTGCCTTCCCCGGGGCTGCAGTCACCCTGCTCTGCATGTGGGACCCAACCCAGACACCCCCTGCTGAGAAGGGGACCACACACCCTGCAGTAAATCTGGGTGGCTTCTAAGAGCCGCAACCACAATCTGCTCACTGCTCAGCCATCAGAAACCTGCACACTGACGCCCTGAGCATTAACACATTTCACCACACGGACTTCTTTTCTTTTTATTACAGAAATCTTCAAACATACCCCAAAGCAGAGAGAACAGTGGAATGAATCCACGTGTTCCCGTCACCCAGTGTCAATGCTGTGCACAATGGACAAGCTGGTTTCCTCTCCTCCCACCCCTGCAGTTTTGCTGGATATTTAAAATGAATCCCTGACGACACTACGTTATGTCACCATCAATACCTCAGTAGGCATCCAGGACACTGTTCTTTAAAGACCACCATGCCATCACCATTCCTAACAAAACGAACAGAATTCCTGAGTATCATCCAACAGAGAGTCTACATCCACGTTTTCTCCAGTCTGTCTGCATCTGGATCCCCAGGATGCTGAAACACTGCCTCTGGGTGTCAGGCCTCCCAGATCATTTGACTCTGGAACAACCACTCCTGTTCCCTTTTCTTCAGGGCACTAACAGGTTGGAGAAATCGGGTCACTCCCCTGTGCCTCCTGTAGGCTGGCAGAGCTAAAGCCTCGATTAGACTCAGGTTAGGTTTTTTAGGCATGCACGCCGTCCGGGGTACACGTAAGTCTAGGCTGTCATATAGTGAGGCCCAGAGTCTGGCTGGGCCATTCTTGCTGAGCTCTGCTGGCGTCGGCCCAGGACCTCGGTCACACAGTTCCCCAACTGCCATCCTCTGAGCACTTTCTCACCCTCTGATGACTGTTGCTAAGATCCATGTTTTATTAAAGGTTCACAATGGTGATTTTTGAACTCTGTCATTCCTTCTGCTCTTTTTTTTTTTTTTTTTTGAGATGGAGTCTCACTCTGTCACCCAGGCTGGAGTGCAGTGGCATGATCTTGGCTCACTGCAACCTCCACCTCCGGGGTTCAAGTGATTCTCCTGCCCCAGCCTCCTGAGTAGCTGAGATGCGTGTTACCATGCCTGGCTCATTTTTGTATTTTTAGTAGAGATGGTGTTTCACCATGTTGGTCAGGCTGGTCTTGAACTCCTGACCTCGTGATCCACCCTCCTTGGCCTCCCAAAGTGCTGGGGTTACAGGCGTGAGCCACCGCGCCTGGCCTCCTTCTGCATTTTTTAGCTAGAATCCTTCTATATGTAAAAAATAACTTTCCTTCATCAACTATTTGGTCTCCCTGAAATAAGTTTTGTATAGGAAAAAAAGGATAAGCACGTGATTCTTTTCTCTTACTTATCAAGCCTTAGAGTAAGGAGTTGGTGCTCTAGCAACCTCCAGTGCTGACCAACGGGAGGTGTGTGTTTGTTTGTGCTTTTAAACCTGAGTTTCAACCAACTGCGGCCATTTAATACACGAGTCAGACAGATCTGGGTTGAAATCCCAACACCAACATTTCCTGGCACTGTGACCTCAGGCAAGTTACTTAATTTCTCTGAGTCTTGGTAAACTGTAAAAGGGAGTTAATGAAACCCACCCCACAGGGATGTGGGTTGGATGCACTGTGCCAACACATATGATCCACTTAGCCCAGTGCCTGGCACACAGTAAGTGCTCAGTAAAGAACAGCTGTGTGGGATCTTACCGTCATTATTGACAAGTAAGCCTCTAGCATGTAATTTATGCCTGTGCTTGGTATTGGGTTTCAAGACCTTGCAATTCTGTGGCAGGAAGTAAGACATTCAACAGCACATTCAAATTGAGGAACAGAATGAGGGGAAGTACAGTCCTGCCCAGGGTTTCTTATAGGGGCCGGGAGTGGGGAGGGGGACAAGAAAATCAGTGGAATTGTTTTGTTATTATATTTTGAGGGGGGTAGGGTTGTTTTTTAAAGAGTCAGATAACTGTGGGTTCCTCAGGCACAGAAACTGAGGGCTAGAGCAGATCTACGAGCAGAGAGAAACAACGTTCTGAATCCAGACCCTAAACATTGCTAAACATCTAGGAAATGATCCTAGAACTGGAAATGAAGAGGCCCCTGCTGCCCACCCTCCTGTGTGACAAGACCCAACCTCAGGGTCCACACTTGGGACAGCAACCTGGGGAGTTGGGGGCGCTGCTCATGGCAACTCTGCAACTTCAAAGATTATCAGCTGATCAGATCGGCCTTAGAAAGCACGAAGAAGAGAGACCTTTACACAAAGAAAACTAACGCCGGGTGTTTCACTTGCTGTTGCCACGCTGCTCTTGGCTCCATTCTTCCGTCTGCAGCAAACTCGGGGTTAAGAGATGGAGCCACTGATTACACATGCTTAAGCAGGCCTAATTTTAAGTAAACATATTATACATAGTCAATAGAAATGTGTTCAGTCATGCTAATGAACACAGAGAAAGTACACAGCACTTTACTAAAACAAACATCTTCCAGTTTTTCAGTGCTATATGGATTACAGCAAACCATATTTTCAATGAATTACAGGAGTCTCCTGTTTTTGGCTGACTGTATAAAATCAGGGTCTTGAATACTCTCAGATGATACAGAGCTGATCATAAGGCTTATGTGGCCAGCTTGGGCTCCTCTGTTCCCTGGGTGAAAAGCTCCAGGAAATGTTGCTAGAACCAGAAATGAAGAGACCCCCTGCTGCCCACCCTCCTGTGTGACAAGGCACCTGGCATTGGGCCCAGGACCGATCTCAGAGTCCACACTTGGGACAGCAACCTGTGTACTCCCAGTCACAAGGGAGAAACTTCCCAACCAGGACCCCTGGGCCCCACAGCAGCTGGGCCCCAAGCCCAGACAGGACAGAGCCTCAGTGAACTGGTCCAACTAACCTAGAGGAAAATGCAGAATGGAAAACCCATTGTGGCTCCACAGCACATCAATATAAAAACATTCGAAGTCAACTGACTGTCAAAAAACGAACACCAATGCAAATTTTAAAACTGTGAAAAACACAGGGGAAAAGGAGGAAAGTGATCCAAGTCTTGGAGAAAACTGTAGATCCTAAGCAGAGGAGATAATACAAATGGCCAACAAGCACAGAAAAAGATGCTAAACATCATTTGCCATCAGAGAAGGGCAAACAGAAAGCACAAGGAGATTCCATTTCACACCCACTAAGATGACTAGAATCAAAAAGACAGACAATAACAAATTGCTGGTGAAGATGTGGAGGAATTGGAATCTAAGGACACTGCTGGTGGGAATAAAAAACAGTGCAGCTCCTTTGAAACATCATTTGATAGTTCCTCAAAAATACCAAGTTACCATATGACCCAGCAATTCCATGACTAGGTAGATACCCAACAGAAACGAAAACATAAGCCCAACAAAAACTTGTACATGAATGTTCATAGCAGCCTCATTCCTAACAGCCAAAAAGTACAAACAACTCAGATATCCATCAGTTGAATGGATAACCAAAATGTGGTATATCCATATAATGTTATATTATTTGGTGATAAGAAGGAATGAAGTAATGATCTATCCTACAACGTGGGCCAACCTTGAAAACAGTATGCTAAGTGAGAGAAGCTGGTCACAAAAGACCACACGCTGTATGATTCCATTTATATGAGATGTCCAGAATAGGCAAATCTACATAGAAAGTAGATCAGTGGTTGCCTAGGGCTGGCGGGGAGTGGGGAGGTGAGGGTTGGAGAGCAATAAGAGAGTGATTGCTAAGGGGTACAGGGGTGATATCCTGAAAATGGGTTTTGGGGGTGATATAATGTGCCATAATGGTTGCCAACTCTGCATTTACTAAAAGCCACTGAACTGTGCATGTTAAATAGGTGAATTGCACGGTATGTGAGTTATAGCTTAATTTTTTAAAACTCTGTACATTAATATAAAACATATCTGTAAAAGGTGCTTATACACATGCTCTTCCAGTGTGCCGCCGTGGTTAAAAGTGTGGCTGGAGTAAGACGTATGTGAGCATTCTAGTTATTCCTCCACTTCCAGATGCATGACCTTGGCTAAGTTCTTTAATCCCTAAGGAGTGAGTGTGCTTCATTTTTCTCATATCTGAAATGGGTATAATAATGTCCATCTCTAAAGAGGGGTCTTCTGAAGATTAAATGAAATCAGGGAGGTAAAGCATTTATCACAGGGGTGAACATACAGTAAATGCATACTAAATATCAGCTGTTATGATTATCAGGTAATACATAAAATAATAAATGACAAAAAGCAATCCAATGTTGAAATGTGAAGAGACCATCAGGAAAATAAAAATATGCTATACAACGGGGTCTGCTGGTTTCATGAAAATAACAGCAGGGGATCTGCGTAAAGATAGAAACTCTAGTTCATATCATATGAAGTGCTAGCAAGAAAACAGCAAAAAACAGTGGGACCAAAGTGGGGCTAATTATGAAAGAATAAAGTATGAGACAGAAAATGAGACAGAGAATTTAATAAATAAACCCTGAGTCGTAATGAAAGGATTCTCTGTATTTGTTTTGTATTCATTGCTTCACTGTTGTAAATACCATAAAGTTGGCTGACCAGTGATTAAAAATGAAACAAGGTAAGTTAAATTACACCAAAACAAGGAAGCCGAATCACCAGAGGTTTTCCAGCACCATTTAATAACCCATGTGTGGGTCAAGAAGCTCCAAGGGCTCCAACACCCTGAAGACGCTGCCGATTCCTCAGTGATTCACTTCTGCTTGGACCTGCTCAGTGGTCAGAATATTCAGTCCAATTCGAACCTATGAACTTTAATTTGCAGTCTTTTTGATTCTCACTTTTCTTGTTTGCTCAACGGGCCCCAAATGGGCACATTATTGGCCTTGTGTTCTCTGGGCGTCTTTTGATTGTTTTCTTTCCGCTTCCTTCTGGGTCTTATGCCAAGCTTGGCTTCAGCAACACCAGAGGAAGGACTAAAGACAAACTGTATAGTTTCACCATTCCATTCCCCAGTGAGCCGATTCAGCAGGGAGCACCATTCTAAAAGAAAGGCACGTTCTGCTCATTTACATGCTGCTACCCAGAATACTCTGCAAACTCCTTGGAGAACCCAGCCAGACACACATCAAAAGCAGCAGGGTTTGTTCATGGGCATGTAGTAAGGCCTCCAAAAGTGTTTCTGAAGAAAAATGCACATAGAAAAACACCTACAAATATACCTGGAGGAAGAAAACGCTCATTGTGATGAGTGCTACTAAAGGATGACTCACGTGTGTCCACCGTCTCCTGAATTGGGATGAAGCCCACAGGCAGTGTGTCCTTGATGTCAATGAGCTTCATATCTACTAACACGTTCCCCAGATGACTCTTGGGAAGAAAGAAAAGAGATACAGACTATTAATCTGAACATGCATGTGGTGGGTTTGCCATTTTGGCTTCCAGATGCATATTTAACACAATGACTCGTGCAGCTTTATGACAGCAGGTTAATTAGAGTAGGTGACACTTAATGGTCCCCAGTGGTTATGCAGGGACTCGTGTGGCCCCTGGGAAGGAGTTTCATCTGCGGAACCTCAAAGCCACTCAACTCAGACACGGCCTTGGTGAGGCAGGAGCAACCCAGGAGATGCTTTAGACATAACCCAGCAGAGGGCAGCTGTGCACACAGGTCCCAGGACCAGGCTGCCATTCAGCCCTGAGCATCAGATCTCAAGGCCAGGAGGTTTTAGGAAGAGCAAATTCCTGAGGCACTCGTAGGAAAGAGCTGCATCTAAACCTAACAGGGAACCAATCACTCTCCTAAGTGATCACCAGTCTGCATACTGACACACATTTCAGTTGCTAGATACATTCTGCAAAATCCCAAGAATCATACACTAATACAGAGTGAAAGCCCTGCTGCCTCAATATTACACATCTTCTAAAATGACACGCACAAGGGCCTCCTAAAGTTTCTGTTTAGTGGTAGTATATGGGGTCCACAGTGCGCAGTTTCGGTAACTGGTGTACAAATATCTTTCTAAGACAGTACACCATTCTGTAATTGCGAGAGAGAATTCTTTGCAAACACGCCAGCACTTGCAGCCCACATTTCAAGCTGGAAATGAGCTCTAAAGATATCTACCCTACAACTTAAATATGTGGGGCCACTTTGGAGATTTCATTAAAATCTTCAGAGTAATTTGCAGCTTGGTTCCCCCTCTCTCGTCAGAGCCAGTTAAGGAAAGAATGATGGGCTCAAATCCCAAATCTCTCCTGTTAGGATACTAGCAGTGCACTCCACGTGCCCATTTTGCAGAAGTGCCTCATCCCCGAAGCCCAGTGTGAACATGCTCTCTGTTTACTTGTTCAGCATCCTTGGACAAGCATCTAGTTGGTCAGCCATCACTCTGCCCTGGACAGCAACTTCTCAGGCTGTTGTTCCATCTTGCTTAGAGAAGAAGGGCTGCTACCTCCATCTCTGCACATGGGAGCCAAGATCCCACCTCCACCTGCACTGTGTCACGTCTCTGAAAGCCAAGCAGGGAGTTCTTATCATCTAAACTGTGTTATGTTCCCTCTTGGCACTCTCTTTTTCCCTTCCTATCAATTTATGGGGTTATTTGTTTAATATCTGTCTTGCTTCTAGAGTTTAAGAACCATGAAGACCAAAACTATCTCTGTTCCTACTATAAATACA
The DNA here is from genome assembly GCF_000001405.40 of Homo sapiens. NCBI lineage: Eukaryota > Metazoa > Chordata > Mammalia > Primates > Hominidae > Homo > Homo sapiens. Next base: position 126,385,249 of record NC_000009.12, on the reverse strand, counting down.
AGCCTAGCATGGTTTTTGCCACACAGCAGGTGCTCAGTAACTACTTGCTGAATAAATTAATTTCGGGTGCACATTTTTCAACCGGGCCACTCAGAGTCACAAATCGAACTGGAGGCCGGGCGCTGTTGCTCATGCCTGTAATCCCAACACTTTGGGAGGCCAAAGTGCGTGGGTAGCTTGAGTTCAGGAGTTTGAGACCAGCCTGGGAAACATGGCGAAACCCCATCTCTACAAATTAAAAAAATTGGCTGGGTGTGGTGGCACTCATGCATGTAGTCCCAGCTACTCAGGAAGCTGAAGTAGGAGGATTGTTGGAGCCTGGGAGGTTGAGGCTGCAGTAAGCCAAGATCATGCCTCTGTACTTCAGCCTGGGCAATAGAGTGAGACTCTGTCTCAAAAAAAAAAAAAAAAAAAATCTGCCAGGCATGGTGGCTCATGCCTGTAATCCAAGCACTTTGGGAGGCCGAGGCAGGTGGATCACTTGAGGTCAGGAGATTGATACCAGCCTGGGCAACATGGTGAAACCCTGTCTCTACTTAAAAAAAATACAAAAATTAGCTGGGTGTGGTGGTGGACGCTTGTAGTCCCAGCTACTTGGGAGGCTGAGGCAGGAGAATCGCTTGAACCCAGGAGGTGGAGGCTGCAGTGAGCTGAGATTGTGCCACTGCACTCCAGCCTGGGCGACAGAGGAAGACTTCGTTTCATATATATATATACACACACACATATATCAAGTTGAGTTTGCTGAGATGTCAAATCTAAACTATATGATTAAAAATATCAAAAGTATTGATATACACTAATAAATATTATGAACCAAAAGTACACAAATGAAACCAATTATTAGAATTTAACTAGGAAGGTCATAGCAGCAAGTGTAATCTATGACCAGTGTTTTTACGGCACTGCCATCAGGAAACCGTTTCTTCCTCTCAGAACTATCATATTTACCAACAATTTGATATTCTGACATTCCAGGTAGCTGGGCCTCGGGAAGACAATGTACAGTGCAGCCTAGTTAGTGGTAAGTGGGACCCTCAGAACACGGAATAAATCTCTGACCGTGTAGGAAGGGTTTGAACTGTTAACCTAACTTGCAAACATCAGCTGCTTTCAGAGTCGCCTGGTCTAATCTATCATAATTTTTTTTCATGGCAGTTGCTTTTCCATGTCATCACTGCTTTCTGCATTGAGAAATTAACAACTAGGCATGTTTTCCTGCCCCGCAGATGGATGGGCATTCATCAATATCCTTCTCAAATGTCTTCTGCTTGACAAGTTGGGTTTTACAGAAGTCAACTGCAAACCACTTAGTGACCTCACCCTCCACACACTCTACCAATGTCCCTGATCATAAAACCTGAACATCAGTGGTGTGGCCATTAAAAACAAAGCATCAAAAAACCCTTGCATGCATACAAAATGGGAGGCTGCACTGTCAGAGCTCCCCACAGCCCAACTGTGGTCCCTCCTCACACAGGGCTGCCACTGTACTGGGTTTAATACAGTGGGTCTGCGACACCATTAATTTTGCCTGTTCCTCTCCCCTCCCCCATCTGTTCTCTCTTTCATTTCCTCCTCATAAATATGAAGAACGTATTCCCAATCCTTGTTGAGCAAATGATTCATGCCAAAAGCCCAATATGCACTGACTCAGGGTATTTATATTGTCTCTGGTAGCCAGTATTTGCTAGTATACTGTAATTATTTTTGACAACCTTGCATTTAAGGTAGCCACAGATAACCAACTTAATATTCAAATGTTCATAAATCCTTCTGTTTAATATCCTCCCTACCTAATCTATGTACATTATTATTACAGGTAATGCAGAAAGTACAGGGCATGAAAAGTGCAATTAATCTCGATCCTTCCCCAGGAAGCAATGTCACTCCAAAGCCAGATTTCTGTATTAATAGCATTATTGGGGGAAAGGAATTTGGGTTCCAAAGGAGTCTCCCAAAACTCCTACATTGGGAGTCTCAAGTCAGCTAATTAAGAATCTGTCCAGTCTTGAGACCCCACATCCCTCCTTTACAGTTGTAAAAAATGATGGTCTGCAAAGTCTTGGTTTGGACTACAGGGCCAGCATAGACTGGCTGTAACAGATTAAAATATTCTGATTCCTCCTCCACTCCTGGGCTGGCAAGTGGGCCCCTGCCAACTGCTGGTACTCGATCGTTTGGATCGCACTATTGGATCCATTCATTCTTTTTCCAAAAACAATATGCACCACGCACCTATCTCCTACTCTGCTTCAAAAGTGAGGCAGAGGCTTTTCACACTGCCCTTGTCCTCTTCTTACATCCCTCCATCATGCCCAATAAATATCTTTTTAATGTTCAACATATGTTGATGAAATCAATGTGTTTTCTTTAATACACTTACCCATGACACCCAATGCTAACAAGCCCCAGTGACTTCTCTTTGTCACATTCAGGCCTGTCACTGTCCCCACTCCAAGGGATGCAGGGACTCTGCTAGCCTAGGTACCAACACCCCATAGTCTCTGGGGGGAAATGCAATGAAAACAAAATTAAAAAATGATCACAGAGATCATGGCTGTCCTCAGGCCATTTTTAACTGAAGCCTCTTCGGCCTCTACTCATTTTTAACTGAAGCCTCTACTCAGCCTTCAGCCCACTCCTGGGTACCTCAGGCTGCTCAGTGAGCTGGGGGACCTGCAGGGACTCATTATAAGATCTCAGTGCCCTTGTCCACTCTTTAGCCCTGCCACCTTCCTGGTATTTAAAATACACTCAAAAGCCTGAATTGAAAAGATTTCCAGACTTTTGTGTCAAGATTTCCCCTGACTCCATTATAAACTCTGTACTTCACAAGGAGCATATATTGCTCTTGTAATTAGGGGAAAAAATAAAGCAATGACTTTTCTCCCAGTCCTGTATATGTTCAGAATAATTATCGTATCAAAGAATTAACCACAAACAACAGGAATGGGTGGCAGAAAAGAGTGCAAGCCAGAGAGCCACATGATGGTCGATATTCAGAAAACACCAAGGGGACACGCCAGGACCCTGTGATGGGACCCTGGGCCTGCGGGGCCAGGTGGCAGAGAGGATGACTAATGCTCTCCCCCTTTCATGCTGTTGAATGAGGATATTTGTTGTCTGGGTTCAGTTTTTTTTTTTTAACTGCAAATAAATATTACTTTTATAATATAATTTATATAAATAAATAAAAATATTTCCCAAAATAAAAATTTACATGACAAAGAGACAATAACATATGGCCAAAAATAAAATGTTAGCCCTGAAAATGAAAATCCCAACTGCTCCCTGTTTGGGGCTGGGGAAGAGAAGTAACCTTGAACAAGCATATTCCCTCTTGGATCTCGGTTTCTTCAATGGAAAGGAACTTCCACTGGTAGAGATTACCTGGGGACAGAATGAGGTGCCCAGGGCAGGCCTTGTACAGAGCAGATACTCACCAAAGCTATTTCCTTTCTTTCTAAGCCATCTATTAAAATATCTTATTAGATGTTTTTAAAAAAAAAACCTTAGTAGGTATCTTTAAAGTTTCCTAATTTACAGGTGCAAGTATTTGTTTTTTTTTTTAAAAGCATAGAGAAATCTACATGAGTCAATACTTACCTACAAAAATAACGAAATGTGATATGTCACACAGAGACTCAAAGAGCGAGGAAACGTCACTGTGGAAGCAAGGGCATGGGGTGGGGTCACAGGGGCCCTCCCTGAGCCATGCTGCCTTTGCTGGCCAGCATTAAATCCCGCTCCACTGGAGAACTCTCACTGCCGCACTACCCTGTGATCTGTTGCTTGGAGGAAAGGTAGGCAAATGAGAGCTGGGAGAGAAATTTCCTGGTTTCCTTTTGAGAACACAATTTAATGGAATTCACGGTACACTTGGGTACGTGGTTAATAACACTGTTAATAAATGAAACACAGTGCTGGCTGCTGATTCTACCCAGTTCACTAAAACCACAGATAAATTAATATGGCAATGAAAATAAACCACAACAACAACAAAATGAGGAAATTCCAAACAGGAATGTAAATTACTTGTGCTCACTCAGCAAATGGAAACTACGACTAGACTTACATTTTCTTTGGAAAATGATCTTGTGAAACACAGGTATCTGGTAACCTTGGATTTAAATAAGCCGTCTTTCCAGAGGTCAGCATCCACACCATCTGCTGTCTGTGCAACCTACACCGGAGAGACAGAGAAAAGGATTGCAGGTAAGGCAGGAAGGAACTGAAGGTGCGCGTGGGCCACTTCTTCCACGCCTGTTCCAATTAACACCAGCTTGGGATCTCCCGGCATCTCATTAGCTCATTTCACTAGGCACTGGGATGAGATTTTCCAAAAGGGAGGGTGTGAAAAACACAACTTCTAAAAATACTGTCCCTGGGGAAGCCATTGATTAAAGACACCCTGACAAAAATGATTCTAATGAGAAAAGAGCAACTTTTGTCGTAATGGACCAAGAAGGGATTGGGTAAGTCAGTACATTAAGCGGCTATTACCACTTACTCGGGGGGATGGTGCGGGGTGAAGAAAGGAGTCCACTGGGTGTGATGAGCCACCTGAGGGGGCGCTGCCTGCGGCGAGGGTGACACAGCCTCCTGCTCTAGGGCCCCAGGACCAGCTGGGTGCTTCAGTCAACGGGATTCTACTGGAGGCTGGGGCAGGGAGGGAGGTCAGAAACATTTCACTCCACCCTGCGTCCTCTTGGTACAAGCCCTGACAGTGGGGTTCAAGGTGAGAAACTGGATCAGGATAGAAAAACAAAAGAAGACTCACTCGGTTCCTTGTTTCTAGTCTCACTAAGAAGCCATTTTCTCATCTGCAGCTGTAGAAATTCTCACTAGGAAGAGTCTGAGAATGACGCCAGCCAGCCTTGATCTGAGTATCAAAGCCCCTGTGACCTAGACTGGGGCTGGGCTGGGGGATATTCCCATGAAAGACCAGGCTTTGTGGGAGAGAGTGCAAAGGAGATGGGAGAGGAGGAGGAGAAGAAGGCTAGGAGAGGGCGGTGCTTTCTTCCTATTTCTTTCCAGACTGCTCTGTGAATCGCTGGTCAGGGCTTGGTCTGTTTTCTGACTCAGCCTCCCTCTGAGAGCATGAATCAACCTTGCACACCTTCCTTTAAGCACCGCGAAGGGGGACATCCAGGAAGACTGAGGAGCAGTGCCTGTTTTGGGATAAACTCTGCAGGAGGTCTCTGAGCAGTTCACTTTCTGACTCCTTCTGGGTTGTCCTTTTGAGCTTCAGACTTTGGGATCCAGTCCTTGACCTGACAAGCTCCCGCCCATCCTGACAAATGGCTGGAAGTGCCTCCATTCTTCACACAAAAGTGCCCTGATTCAGCCCCATCCCACACACTGACTGCAGGCTCTGCACAGAGCATGGCAGGCCCCACAGCACATGGATGGCCTCTGCCTGTCACAGGCTCAGGGCGGAGGCGGGAGCCAGGACCCCAGCCCAGTGGGCTCAGGCTCCCCAGGACATTCCTGGAGCCCACCACGGCCACGCTCTCTGAGGCTGCCTCAGAAAAACCAAAAGGCCAGGAGGCAAAAGAAAAAATCCTTGTTTTTCAAACCAAACAATTGTAAATTAGCAAATATAACAACAGGAAAAGAAAGGCCCTTATGATAAAGATGCAAATATATTTGACCTGAAAGCTGAAGGAGGAATGGTATGGGGATAATTTTAGGAACTGTTTGCTCCAAGTATGTCACCCCCACAGATAGAAACACGATCGAATGGGGGTCAGGCCTTGTCAGCATCTTTCCCCATAATGGTCACACATAGAGTTTCTAGGGAAACATGAGATTTAAGGCAGTGGTCTCAGCTCCTCCACACAAAGCACCCCCTATGCTTGTTTTCTCCCATGGATTACATGTTTTGAAAGATTTTTGTCTCCCAATGCAACTTTACTGTATTTCCTCAATTCTAGGATGCAGTCATTTGGGGAACACCCCTTCACACGAAAAAGGCACAGCACCATATCCAAACACATGCATCTATTTTAAGATGCATCCCAATTTCAGAATCACTAAAATGTAAAAATAAAAGATGCTCTAAACAAAGGGAATAAGGGAACCTACATGGTCTCTCTATAATAAATGCATAATTTCTGAAAAACTTTCAAAAACAGAAACTGTCTGCAGGACGCTCCAAGGCTGTGGAACCACAAGCTGCCTTGGAAGACAGGGAGCTGTGTCTTTAACGTTCCAAGAGACAAGGGCGTCTAGAAGGGCTTGTTTGGATATCTGGAAGTGCCACAGAGGGGTGCTGTGCATTCTAACCCAAGGCTAGAAAGGTCTCCAGGGCTTGCCAATGATGGTTCTCTCCACCCACCACACTGCTAGAACTGTCCTTTTTCAGAGTGAGAAATGAAAATGTAATGGGAGAAGCCGGCAACGTGAGCCCCTCTGTTTGAGCCCACGCTTCACTGTTTGGGCAGTTAGAGCCTCCCAGTCCTTGTCTGCGAAGCATTAAAAAAGGATGACCAAAGACCCAGCTTTGACCTGGGCCCAAACTCATTTGCAATGACGTGGAAGTGTGTAAAGGCATCATGAAGGGCCCAGGGAGGTGAGGTGGGAAGAAAGAAAGAGAGAGAGAGAGAGAGAGAGACAGAGAAGAGAGAGAGAGAAAGAGAGAGAGAGAGACTCCCCTAACCTCCAAGGAAGGCAGTACTGGGCAGAGAAGGGCTCTGGAATGGTCCTGGAGGGCTGGATGGTTCAGGGACCCACAGGACCAGGTACTGGGTGAGGAGTGAGATGTGGGTTCCTGGCTCTTTGAGAGCACTGGAAAGGCAGCCCTGGTGGAACAAGGGGGGCATTTCTGGCCTGTCTTTCCTACAGCAACAAGATGTACCCAGAGGTGTCTTCCCAACCCAGTCACATAAAGGTGCCTAATAACCTAAATTCTTCCCATCCCAAGTCAGGAGAGCTAATGATCTGCAAGATAAATGATCTATCTATGCGGCTGAAGTCACAGTGTCAAGAGGAGCCTCCACCACTGACTCAAGGCAGGGTCTACCTGACAGTGCCCACGCCCACCTGGCGGCACTGCAGAAACTTACAAACTCAGCAGTCAGCCTCAGGTCCCAGCATCAGGAAGCTGGGGTAAGGTGGGGTGTGGGGTGGAGGACCAAATGCTTTGCGTGCAGCATGCGCAACATGGAGTTCAGAGGCAGACTTGAATTTGAGGCCCAATAGCTTAAACCAGTCCTGTCCTCCTCTGCAAAGTGGACATGCTGCCTTTCCCTGCGGGCATCACTGCCGGGGCACAGGAGCCCACGAACATGCAAAGTGCCTGCCTTAGTGCATGAGCACTCCAAAGACAGCGCGAATGTTTCTAAACCAAAAAAGGGGACATCTGCTCTGACAGCGAACCAAGTCTGGAAAGTGATGTCAGGCTACATCAGGATTCAAAAAGTCCTCAGTTGTCCCGGGGCTCTGTGCCAATCTCTGGGAACAAAGCTGGTCTTTCCAAACACAAATGATATACTTGTACGAGGAACATCTGCCCTCCCGCTGCTATCCCACCCTGGACTATAAGCTTCACAAGGACAACGGCAGTGCCTGTTCTGCTTGCCATTTTACCCCCTGTGCCAAGCACAATGCCTGACACGGATGGGCTCCATCAAACCTTGTTGAAAGAATAAATGAACGAGTCAACTCTGCAATCAGGGCAGTGTGAAAAGCCACATACCCTGTCAGCTACCCAAATAAGGTAACGGGAAGTTTTTCAAATGAAATTTCCAGGATTTAATCCATTGAGCTGAGTGAATCCCCTTCAAAATCACCACTCTGAGACACATATCCATTTCAGCACTGAGGCCACCTACTCTTTTGGTTCTCTTGTGTGTTTGCTGCCTTGTTCCCAAGACAACTCGATATGTCTGCTGACTGCAGAACCTTCAGAGTCTGTTACAGGGCCTCGCATACACATGTGCACATGTGCACACATGCACATGCTCTTGCACACTCACACTCACACATTCTCACAACCTCTCTCCTAGCATTTCTTCCCCAGGAGTAGGAGCTGTCTCTGAGGAGGAGCAGGAGGGCCCTAGGGCCAGGCAGTGGCGGAATGTACACATGGTTTATCTCTCTTCCTGCCAGGATTCTTCTAAAACAACAATCAAATGGACAGTGCAGAAGCCTCCACAATGACGAGCAAGAGGGGAGAGGCAGCACAAAGGCCTGGCACTGCAGAAGGCGGAGGGCAAGGGATTTAGCAAGTGTGGGGGAGGGGGCGGGTTGTGACCTAAGGGGCCCGTGGCAGCCGATACTGAGCAGAGCCCCAGGATCCAGAATCACCAGACACCATTGGGGTGGGGGCGGGGGAGCAAGTGCAAGTTTAGGGCTGAATTGGGTAGACTGAAACAAGGTTCATAAACAAAGTGGTTAGACTCCCAGGTGCCCACCCCAGTTTCAGGTGTATCTTCTGCAGAAAGGAACCCAGCACAGCTCAGGACTCTACAAGCCCGGCAGGTGGGGAAGGAGGCTGGAGGTCAGGAGGAGGTGGGGGAGGAGGTGCAACTTCAGAGTGGAAACGAGGGTAATTGAGTAACCAAGCGTACACACTGAATGGCAATGGCAGGCCCCTCCCTGCCACCCGCGCTTACCCTCCTTCTTGCTTCCAGCCGCCTCCCCTGAACACTGGACACTGAGGGCTTTGTCTCTGGAAAGCGCCAGGGTGGACCAGCCCACGATCTGAGCCAGCTCCCTGCTCGTCGCCCCACTGTGTAGCACACCAGCCAGCAGGCCCCCCACCCACAGGGCTCCAGCCCATGAGCTGGTGCCTCCATCTTAAATCCCAACCCACAACAAAGGGTCACCAGGCACTGGGGACAGGCTCAGACATGACAGAAGGGCCCAAAATAGAAAAAAGGGAGCTTGAAGGTAGCAAAGAGAATAGGGGGAAACAGTGCCGGCTCAGGACAGAGAACCCAGTCTGTAATTAAATCCTCAGAGGGATGAGTGAATAGACTGCAAATACCAAACAAGAACAGAGTATTATGAAAACGTTTTTAAAAAGGAACAATTTGAGGACAATATAAAGAGATTAGAAACTGTAAACACTGGAAGAGAAAGCTGAGGAAATCTTCCAGAAGGTAAAGTACAGAGATGAAGAGATCAATTATAGGAATGAAAACTGAAGGGTCAAGACAACATCCAGCTAACAAAAAGTTTCAGAAAGAACTTTTAAAATAAAAACCGGAGGGGAGGGGGAGCCTCTGTGTTAAAGAGGTCCTGAGTGTTTCCACAAAAGTGGATGAAAAAGACCCACCCCAAAACGAAAGAACCGAGAATCCCACCACACTGGGGATAAAGAAACCACCTTAAACACTTGCAGAGAAAAATAACGGGTCACATACAAAGGGACGGGAATCATGTTGCATCAGACTTCCTAACTGCAACATTAGAAACTAAAAGACAAGATAACAATGTCTTCAAAATTCTGAGGAACTCTGGAATTCCACATCTAAGCCCATTATCGATTAAGTGTGAGGGTAGAATAAAGACCTTTGCCGATGTGCAAGGACTTAAAAAGTTTATCTCCCAGGGGCCCTTTCTGAGGAAGCTACTGGAGGATGCATCAGCAGAACCGAGGATTAAATCAATAAAGGGGAAACCATAAACTCCAGGAAACAGAACCCACACAGCACAGCAGCCAGAGGACAGCAGCACGCCCAGGCCCAGACAGGGAAAGGAAGAGACGTCAGGGCAGCAACCTCTGGGGAGGAGGGGATGTGGAGGGGAGAGCATTTAGAACTGTACTTTCTCGTTCGAAAGAAATAGGGATGGGCATGTGACAACTGCCTTAGAGCATTTAGAACAATGAAAACAATGCACCTAAGGCTATTTGACAAAAAAAAAAAAAAAAAAAGAATCAATTTAAAAATTAAAAAGACATTTTAAGAACGTACTGTGAAAATCAATAGGCACCCGGACAACTCCTCAAATGAATGAAACAAGTCTGATTAATTCCAAGAAAAAAATAAAAGGTTGTATGAGAAAGAACACACACTCCTAATATGTTACTTGATTCAGTGGTATTCAATGTCTGCATTGTAATCTATGTAAACACTAAGCATTAATCCACCAAAAATTGTGATACTGCCTAATGGGAGGAGATTATAAGAGAAGAAAATAATCAAGAAATAAGCAATATAATAAAATTACTTAGAAATATGGAGATAAAGTACTAGAGGGAAAAAAATCTTAAAAAGTGGAAAATAAATGCCTCTAGGAAATAAAAAGGTGAAGGTGGGGAGACAGGGCAGGGGCTGCTATATTTTCTTATGAGCACTCTGATTTTTTAAACTGTGCACGCAGGCATCACTTTGTTAAAGTAAAAGCAAATTTTAACTTTGAAAGAGAGCTGGGGAAATATCTCATGGAAGATAGTATGATAATTCGTTATTTCTTTTAGGCAAGCTGCCGCTATTGCTGCCATCAGGGACATGACTAGCAATGCAACATAATCTCACTCCTAGTTAGCTTGTTAGTGTGTTCCCAAGTGGGTGACAATGTCCAAAGCTGCAAGTCCAGCTGATTCCAGCCTTCCCCACAGCTACAGTCCACCAAAACTGAACATGCAGATGGCTGGGGACGGAGCTGCAGCACCCAGGCAGTCCCTGGGATGGTGGCTGCCAGTGCCACAGAATCGACACAAGGCTCTACAAACCTTTCGGGACCTGGCCCCCACCCCTGTCTCACATAGCCCAGGTCTCTGATTGCTTTCTCTAGCTTGAGTTCAGAGGTCACATTCTGGGCCACTGTGCAGCAGTCACAGAGGATGATGTGCGTTCAGGAAGCCCTGAACAGCCCACTGGACAGTGGGACTGACTACCTGAGGCTGGCCTGTAAGGCATGTTCACTGTAAAGAGACCGCTGAGGTTAAATGTAAGCAGCCTCCCTGGTTCAAGGGACTCCCTTAATCCCTGAAAGATCTGGGGGCCGGAGGCCTGGGAGACAGTTACTGTGAAGACCCTAGGGTAGAAATAAAGTTGTCATATTAAAGGGACAGAAAGTGGGGCTCTGTAACTGGAGCCTGGTAAGATGGGATGAGCGTTATTGACATGTTTATTGGGGCTCAGTTTATAAAGGTAAGAGTGGGAGATGATAAATTTCTAATGATTAGAGGACATCCTCACAATAGAAGACTCAACAGCCATTTGAAACAACTTTGTACACATACACACACTAACACGGAAAGTTCAGGAGAAAGAGTAAGTTACAACATGGTTTATAAAGTACAATACTTTAGTTTGTTTTCAAAACAATTATCTGTATAGAAAAGGATCTAGGCAAATATAAAGCAAAGCATTAACCACTGTTTGGCTCTGCACAGTTGAGATTATGAGTATTTTTAATGTTCTTTTTTTTCCCCTGTATTTCTGCTTTTTTGGTAATGAGCATATATAGCTTTTATAAGAAAAATAATGGTAAATACTTCATTTGATGGGGTGAAAAATAAAAATCCGCTGGATTTAAACTTGAGAAGCACTTTGTAAATCAGCTATCCAACTAAGCCACCTAAAGAGGAGCGGCGCAGTCAATCATTTCAACCGTCAGAGGTTCTTCAACGTTGGAATTGAGTGCTCCTTGCCAAAGAGAAACTCTCAAAAGACAAGCTAACCACCAATTTCATCAATCTGTTTACACACCGGTGTTTCAAGAGAGCCCACCCACAATTCAAAGGTGTATTCAGCAGACAGAAAGCAATGAAAGGGGCCAGGAAATCCTGCAGACATTCCAAAGGAAATATCTGGCTGACACGATGAACAAGAATGAAGTTCATAGGCCTCTGGGTATGTTAGATCATCAGCAGTGGAAACACACACACTTGGCCCAGGCCAGACAGCGGGCAACTGTGAGCCACTTAAACTCAATAAGAGCAGCGTGGGCACAGCAGAGGCAAGGAGCCTATCCAACCATCCGTGGACTCCCTAACAGGTGGTGTGCTCAAGATGCTTTCTACAAATATAAAGTGAAAGGAAGAGGCATTTGACTAATCCAGTGAAGAGGTCAGGAACTCTCAGTTTTTCGGTTCTGATTTTATTTGCATCATTTTCTTATACCTTTAGCTGAAATGTCTCTTTTTTTTAGCAAAAGAAATGAAAAACATAAACCTGTTCCCTGAGACAAATGCATCTGCCTCAGTCTTCAGGTGGTCCTTTCCACTCACGGGGCACAGGGACACAGTGGACCACCCAGCCCTGTTGGCCTTGCACCCCTCTGGGCCTCTATGTCTAACCCTAGTACTGTACCCGCTTTCCACTCTAGTTCTCCTTCTCAGACAGGTCTTTCCTAACTGTGCCCCGCCATTTCCTGCCTCCCTGCCTTTGCTCGTGTTGCTCCCTCTCGCATCTGTCTTGTTGAAATGATCTCATTATTTAGGGCCTGGCTGAAAGAATCCCCTACTCTACAGCCTCTGTGATGATCCCAGCAGGCAAGAACTTGGATTTCTGAAGTTGGGTAGATTCGAGTTCAAGTCCCAGCTCTGCCATTTACATACTAGGGTTTTCCAAAGTCACTCTTTTACTCTCTGAGCCTCACCTAAAAATGACAATAGAAATAATACCTACCTCATAGGATTATTTGTAAGGATTAAATGAGAGAAAGCACAAAAGGCACTTAACCACAATGAGATACCACTTCAGAACCACTATGGTAGTTAAAAGGACAGGACAATTAAAAGGACAGGCAATCCAAATGTTGGCAAGGATGTGGACGAATGCGAGCCCTCTGCACTTCTGGTGGGATTGTAACAGGGTGCAGCCACTTTGGAAAACAGTCTGGAAGTTCCTCAAAATGTTAGACATAGAGTTAGCATATGACCCAGCAATTCTACTCCTAGGTATATACCCAAGAGAAATGAAAACAAGCGTCTACATACAAACTTGCATGTGAATGTTCATGACAGCATGTTTTCTTAATTACCAAATGAGGAACTAATCCAAACATTCATCAACTGATAAAAATGTGGCATAGCCATACAATGAAATAGTATTCGGTCATAAAAGGAATGGTATACTGATACATAATGCAACTTAGAAGAACCCTGAAAACAGTTTGCTAAATAAAATAAGATAGACACAAAAGACCACATATTACATTATTTTGTTTACATGAAAAGTCTAGAAATGGGAAATCCCTAGAGACAGAAAGTGGATTGGTGCTGCCAGGGACTGGGGGGCAGGAAGAGTTGATGGAGAGAATGGCTAATGAGTGGAGCGTTCTTTAGCAGGTGATGACAATGTTCAAAATTAGGTGGCAGTGATAGTTGTGCAAATCTGTGGCTATACTAAAAACCAATGGATTGTACACTCTTAAAAAGTGAACTTTGTGGTATATGAATTATATCTCAATAAAGCTGTTAGTATTTCTAGAAGTACTTAGCATAAGGCCTGGCACATGGTGACACTAAAAAAATGTTACCTACTTACTATTATCTCTGGTCCTTAAAGTAAAGATCTTATCTTATTCACGGAATATTTTTCTGAGTACCTAGCCCCATGCCTTGTTTACAGTACACAATCAGATATTTGCCAAACAGCTGATTGAACCATTGAACCATGAAAAGAATGCATGGTAGGAAAAACACACAAAGACTAAAGCCTGGTGCATCTAGGACTACACAAGATAGCCCTTTCCTCATTCTACCTGTGGCACAGGTGCCTTAGCCATGCCAGGCACAGAGGGGATGGCTTCCTGAGGTTGGGCAGGGAGGCAGAAAGCAGGTCCCTATTCCCAGCAAAAGCCCTTGTAGAGGTGAAGGGATTAGGAGCCCTGGCTCTGCACCTCCTGATGGCCGAAGGGAGCCAGGCAGGGAAGACAGTTCCGTGGGGGGCCCACGAGACAGGAAATGGGAGATACACATAGGCAGGGCACCTGGCCGCATCGCAGCAGGTACGTCCTCCCTGTTCCAAGTCATCAGGAAGGAGGCTCTGGGCCAGAAGTGCTCCCGTTTCTGTCGCACCCAGACGGCCAAGCTATGACACGGCCCTGGACCTCCACAAGCCTGCAGAGAGCAGCATCAGCAGCCTAGAGGTTGCCTTGCGGCTGGTCGGCACCCAGGGGAAGGCCGGCTCCTCTCAGCCACAGGATACCTGGTCTACCACGGCACTGCCAGTGACGCATCAGTGGCTGAAGTAGGGACTAGTCAATCAATAGTACCCAGACACCTGATCGTCACTACAGAGGAAAAACTAAGTTGAGCCCTACCTCAATTTGTCAAAAACAAATTCTTGATGGATTAAAGATGAAATGTGAAAAGCAAAACTTCCAAACTTTTAGAAAAAAATGTGGAGTATATTTATGTTTAAATAGAGAGAATTATTAAAGAAATAGATGGACATGTACAAAACCATCTATAAAAGAATAGGCTGATGAATCTTACTACCCTAAAATTGAAAACTTGGATACTTTGTAGTATCCCTAGGGATCCCAAAGGGATCCTTTGTAAGACACAAGACACAAAGTAAAAAGATAAGCCTTAGACTGGGAGCAGTGCACAGTGACAATAGATTAACATCCAAAATAAGGAAATAAAAAACCCCTCCAGGCCAGGCGCGGTGACTCACACCTGCAATCCCAGTACTTTGGGAGGTCGAGGTGGGTGGATCACTTCAGGTCAGGAGTTCAAGACCAGCCTGGCCAACACGGTGAAACCCAGTCTCTACTAAAAATGCAAAAATTAGCTGGGCATGGTGGTGGGCGCCTGCAATCCCAGCTACTCGGGAGGCTGAGGCAGGAGAATCACTTGAACCCAGAGGCAGAGGCTGCAATGAGCTGAGATGGCGCCACTGCACTCCAGCCTAGGCAACAGAACGAGACTCTGTCTGGGGAAAAAAAAAAAAAAAAAAGAGCCCCTCCCAAGCAATAAGAAAAAGACATCACCCACAAGCAAAATGGCAGTGCTAGACCATTCACAGCAAATCACTGACCAAACTGCAAATGTCCAACAAAATGAGTGGAGTACAAACCTGAACCTGCACGCCACTTCAGAGGGCACATGTCCATATCCAGAAAGGCGAAAATGACCGGCAATTCTATTCCTAACTTGTTCCCTAGAGAAATCCTTAGCATAAAGACAAAAGGATATTATTTACAACATTGTTTATAGTATTGCATTATTGAAAATGACCCAAATCCTCACCAACAGAAGAATGAATAACTAAGTTATAGTATATTCATGGAATATAATTCTATACCCCTTGAAAATACATGAACTAGAGCTGTATCAGCAAGGAAAAATATCTCAAGAACAATGCTAAGAAAAAAAAA
Organism: Homo sapiens; assembly: GCF_000001405.40. NCBI lineage: Eukaryota > Metazoa > Chordata > Mammalia > Primates > Hominidae > Homo > Homo sapiens. The sequence goes on along the minus strand of NC_000009.12, from coordinate 126,369,958 downwards.
CATGCTGGCTGGGCATGGTGGCTCACACCTGTAATCCCAGCACTTTGGGAGGCCCAGGTGGGTGGATCACCTGAGGTCAGGAGTTCGAGACCAGCCTGACCAACATGAAGAAACCCCGTCTCTACTAAAAATACAAAATTAGCTGGGTGTGGTGGCACATGCCTATAATCCCAGCTACTCGGGAGGCTGAGGCAGAAGAATCATTTGAACCTGGAAGGCGGAGGTTGCAGTGAGCTGAGATTGCGCTATTGCACTCTAGCCTGGGCAACAAGAGTGAAAATCTGCCAAAAAACAAAAAAACAAACAAAAAAAAACCCACGTGAAAAATACATATAAGTGTGACGTATATCCCATGTAGGATATCACCTATATAAAGTGTGAAAACATGGAAAGATACCTAGGAATGAAAAACACCAAACTCAGAGCAGTAGAGACTCTGGAAAGGAGGGAGGCATGGGCCTGGGGGTTGCATGGGCATCAATAATGTTTTCTTTCTTTTATTAAAAAAGAAATCTGACAGAAATTTGGTGAAACATCAAGACCTGGAAGAGCTGCATGGTGGATACATAGACATTTGCTACATTGTTCCCTATACTTTTCTATATATTTGGAATATTTTGTAACATAACTTTTTAATTTTAAAAATCAGACAATAGACCTGAAGAAGAAACTTTTTATTTCAAATCTCACAAATGTGCATAAGGAATGGAGTTGCTACAGACAATACAGGACACCCAGTGAAATTTAAATTTCTGACAAACAACAAATACCTTTCTTAATTAAAAATTTTTTCAAAATGTTCATCCTGTATTTTTATTTGCTAAATCCAACAACGTTAACAAGGAAGCATGCACTAAAAGCTTTGTTCAGTGAAAAACTGAAGGTAAAAGAACTACAGGCTGAGCAGCAGAAGGCTCCTGTGGCCCTCACTCAACCACGGAGCATCACACACCCGTTAACAAGAGTGTGGAGGGTCTACACACGCGAGTCTAGAAAGATCTACATGACATATGTACATCTTCATAAAAATAAAGCATGAGCTGATGGCATGATCTAATTTATATTAAAAACACAAATTACAACGATGTATTTCTGTAAGTCATTTACATATAAATGCAGAGAAAAAAGTCAGGAAGAAAAATGAGCAAACTGGTGTGGTTGAAAGGTACTTAAGCCTTGGCTGTTATTATTTAATTTTTTTAGATAAAAGATATTCTTCTATTCCTTATTTAATTAAAAATAAATACTTTTTTGGTAAAAAGAAAAACATAAGTCTAGAAAGATACTTGCAAACTGTCAACGAGATGTATTGGCATTAGAGGAAAAAAGAAAGGTAATATTTTCACTCTTTGGTTGATAGAATTCTACATGATTTAGATTTTCTGAGATGAGCTTTGATAATTTTTTAAATGTCATGTGATTTTTTTTAAAAAATTTTAAAGACAAGGTTCTCCAACCCTCTCTCTACCACGGTATCCAAGGAGTTCAAGGTGATTTCATTATGGAGGGTGCATCTGCTGAGCAGAGAAGGAAGAAAAAGCAAAGCAGGGCAGGCTCCAAAGCCCCTTCCTGGCTGGAATCTGGGATAACAATGTTTGCTCCACATCACCCAATACCAGCCTCGCAGGCCAGCAGCATACAGAGTTTAAAACATGGGCCTTGATACTAGACAGATGTGATTCAAATCCTGGATTCACAAACCAGTAGTGGCTGTGTGGCCTTGGCTGTGTTACTTAACCTCTCTGAGCCTCGGCTTTTGTCTCTATAAATGGAAACAGTAGGTCCTAGCTCATACAGTTGTAGTTACAGCACCAAAGAAAGTGCTTTGGTCAGTACAAAGTAATCACTTAATCAATGCCAAGTATCGGCGTTGCATCGGAAACCACTGCTTCCCTTCCGCACCTAGATATGCAGGCGGGCCTGGCATCAAATAGAGCCCTCCCCAGCATGTGCCATCATCACTAAGCTGCAATTCATCTCTTCAGGACACAAGTCTTTCCTTTTCTTTCAGCAAACATTCTCTAGCCATTTATGATATGTCAGGCACTCCCTCCCCTCCCTCCGAGGATGGCTCCCAGGTGAGCTGAATCAGGAGTGAGGGCGCAGGGAAGAGAGCCACACAGAGGCAGGAGACCTGGGTTTGACCTCCACTCAGCCACACCCTTGAGCTCTCAGAGGCTTTGCTTTCTTACTTGTAAAACAAGACTGCAATAGTAACTTGGCAGGGTTATTGTGTGAAATAAATACTGTGTGTGGAAGCAACTAGTGCAGGGGCAGACACAGTATGGATATTTGGTGTCATCAGAAGTGTAAGACAGAATCACCTCCGTGCTGTAAGGGAGCGCCAAGTGCTGAGAGCTCTCAAAAGCAAGCATAAGGCAGAAGGAGAAGAGGCAGGCTGCTGGGAGGATAAACAGAACCAAAGGCATCTTCAGGTGGGATGCATCATAAAGTGCTGGCAGGCAGAAACGAAGTAGGGGCAGAGGGGCAGGCGCACCCCTAGAAGAAAGGACAGAAAAGGCCAGGGTGTGGGTCCTCCCCGGCACATGTGGGAAGCGTGGGGTTGGCTGGACCACTGGCCACGCGGATGAGAGAGAGAGAGCAGACCATACGACCACAGAGATCTGGTGGGAGGAGCTGGAACCTGGGAGGCTGCAGGGCAGGTGCTGTCTTAGGACCTGCCCCATCCTAGGGAGCAAGAGGGGGAGCGTGGCTGGAGAGCCCCGGGCAGGAAGGAGAAATTCTCAGAGTGGCGCTTATAGGAGAAACCTGGAGTCGAGATGGGAGGCACCAGAGACTGCTTAGAAGAAACTACCCGCGTCAAGACTTGTGAGGACCTTATCCAGCTGGTAGCAGAGACAGAAGAGGAGGATGAAAAGATGAAGAAATGCCTGATGGGGTGCTGGCAGGTAGGGCTAGCAGAGAAGCCTTGGAAGGATTCTGGCCTCTGTCTCGTGGGAACATTCAGAAGAAGGGTGGTTGTAGGTTGGGTCTTCTATTGGGAGTGGTAAGGAAACAGAAGAGGAGTTCGGTTTGGGAATATTCAGGTTGAGGTGTCAGCCGGTCACGATTTGTGGGCTTGTCCAGCAGCCTGGTGGAAATGGAGGCCCCGTGCTACGGAGAGCACAGGCTGGCTGCGTGGAGTCAGAAGCTCGGCGCCTGGCAGGGCCAGACGCCAAGTGAGAGAAGAATGCTCAGTGCAGGAGGCTGGGTGGGAACTGGGCAGGGTGCACAGTGAGGGAGAGGCTACTACAAGAAGGGGGGTCAGAGAGGAACAAAGCTGAATGCAGCTGAAATCAAATGGAAGGAATGCAGCATTTTAGGAAAGAAGGACTATAGAAGAATATCCGATGATCTAAGAAAATACTGCAAAAATACAATAAGAAAATATGATGCAATAATAAGCACGTTATAAAATTTATATAAATAGAATCCCATTACTGCTAAAACACACACACATACAAACTAAACACAGTTAAAGTGTGGACAATAGTTTTCCTGAGTTGTAGGATTACAGGTCGCTTTTATTTTCTTCCTTGTGCTTTTTAACATCTTCTACATAGTCCATAATGAACATGTACTAGTTCTGCATTCAGAAAATGAATATATTAAGGCAGGAGGAAATTGGTCAACAGTAACCAAAGTAGAGATGAGGTTGAGAAGAATACGGATTAGGAAAGAGCCACTGAGTTAGACAATTTAGGAATTGAGGGGTGAGTGGGGATAATGAAGAGGAGATGGCAAGCAGGGACGATTTTGGGGAGTAGGGCATACAAAGATGGTGGCTGGAGGAGCTGGTGAGATGAAGGGAGGGTGGCGGAGGCCGCATCTGCTAAGAACAGAGGGGACAGAGGCATGTCTTTGTGGAAAGGAAGACACAGAGGAGGGGAAGAGATTGACAGCACAATGAGGGAGGGAATTCCAAGCAAAAGCCAGGCAGGAAGATGTGGAAATGAGAACTCACCTACTGGGATTAATCTTGGGAAGGAAGAGGGCCACTGGAGGGTGCTCCAATCTCTGCTACCCCTGTTTTCATTTTAATCCTTCAGTCTGGGTCTGTAAATTCCATGCAGGCAAGTGCTACATCTGACCATTCACCACTCAGTTTGCAGTACCCAGTACAGGCCCGTGGTGGGGGCTTAATAAATAACTGCTAATAAATAAAAACTTCCCTCTTCCTCTGCTCCATCTCTAAAGTTTGATGAAATCTCCCTTTGGACCCAGGAAAGTGGATTTATAAAATGAGCATGCCAGCTGATTTAGAGAAACAATAGAAAGGTATATTAATAAGCAACTGCATGGTCTGAAAGATTCTGGAGGCCGGGTGCAGTGTTTCATGCCTGTAATCCTAGCACTTTGGGAGGCCAAGGCAGGCGGATCATCTGAGGTCAGGAGTTTGAGACCAGCCTGGCCAACATGGTGAAACCCTGTCTCTACAAAAATACAAAAAATACAAAAATTATCTGGGCACGATGGTGGATGCCCGTAATCCCAGCTACTCGGGAGGCTGAGACAGGAGAATCACTTGAACCTGGGAGACGAAGGTTGCAGTGAGCTAAGATTGCACCATTGCACTCCAGCCTGGGCAACAGAGCGAGACTCTGTCTCTTAAAAAAAAAAAAAAAAGACACTTTGGGAGGCCGAGGTGGATAGATCATGAGGTCAGGAGATCGAGACCATTCTGGCTAACACGGTGAAACCCCGTCTCTATTAAAAATACAAAAAAAAAAAAAAAAAATTAGCTGGGTGTGGTGGCAGGCACCTGTAGTCCCAGCTACTCAGGAGGCTGAGGCAGGAGAATCACTTGAACCTGGGAGGCGGAGGTTGCAGTGAGCCAAGATTGCACCACTGCACTCCAGCCTGGGTGACAGAGCAAGACTCCCTCTCAAAAAAAATCCCAAAAAACAGGCCAGGCGCGGTGGCTCACGCCTGTAATCCCAGCACTTTGGGAGGCCGAGGCAGGTGGATCATGAGGTCAGGAGATAGAGACCATCCTGGCTAACGCGGTGAAACCCCGTCTCTACTAAAAAATACAAAAAATTAGCCAGGCCTGGTGGCGGGCACCTGTATTCCCAGCTACTTGGGAGGCTGAGGCAGGAGAATGGCGTGAACCCGGGAGGCGGAGCTTGCAGTGAGTGGAGATTGCGCCACTGCACTCCAGCCTGGGCAACAGAGCAAGACTCCATCTCAAAACAAAACAAACAAACAAACAAAAGAACAAGAAGGGAGGAGTTTTTCTATCAAGCCAAATCAATTAACCTCAAGGTGGGTCCAAACCTAAGACACAATTCCTGAATGCAATTCGAGAAGGCTATGAAAGCAATGGGTCTAAGGTAAAGTGGCAACATCTTTGATAAAAGACACCATGTTTGCCTTAGCTAGGGCACTAGCAGGATGTGATTAGTAGTGAAAACTAGTGATCCAGCCAGCATTTCAGCAGCCCCGTGCACACTCCTACCCATGGTGCTGGCCCCACCTCTGCCCTGGAGTGGGGAGTGCAGCCTCCTCTGGCTCCAACCAACTCAGACTGCAAGGCCTGGCTCTGGGCTTCTTGCTGGTTTTAACAAAGGGGCCCTGAAAGAGACCCATCAAGACAAGGAGGGCAGGAAGAGTTGAAGTGATGGGATTTAAGAGAAGACAAGTTGAACTCGCGCCGTTCATGAGTCATGCCCGATGACAGGAGGCAAGAAAGGAAAGGAGATAAACTGGTCCTCGTGCCTAAGTCACTCTTCTTATGTACTCTATTACTCAGCTCTCAAAGCACATTGCCAGCTGTAATTGCATTTCAATTCATGTTTAACACAAACATAACTTAGCTGGATGTTGGCATCCAATATCCCAGACACAAGAAGGCCAAACAGAAAGGAGCCAGCTAATTCAATTCAATAAACATCCTGTGTGTGCTGGTGGAGAATGTGTGCACCAGGCCCTGTGCTGGGTACTGGGGGTACAGCTATGCGAAAGGCATAGCTCTGTGGCCTCCTCCTCATGGGGCTCAGTACACAGAGAAGTAATTAAAGAGTGGTAACTGTAATTAAACTGTAATTAAAGAGTGGTAAGCACTGCAATGGAGGAAAAGGGTGCCATTGAAACACACAGAACCAGAACATAATTCCACAGGGAGAGGAATGGTGGGCATGCACAAAAGCACAGAGGCAAGGATGGGCACAGCACCTCTGAGGAACTGTGAGTGGGGGCAGAATGAGAACATGAAAATTAGGGAAGGAGCAAATCTAAACAACTCTCAGATGCCAGTGAAGTCCATTCATTACATAAACACTTACTGAGTGCTAGGTGCTCAGCGCTTGGTGGTAAGTAAAACAACGAATTTGCCTGTAAGTCTAAAAACAGAGAGCCAGAGGACAATTCTAAGCAGGTGAGTAACCTCATCTTTTGGAAAGTTTCCACTGGCAACAGTTCAGGGAAGACTGGAGAAGGTTAGAATGGAGTTAGGGAAATGCATTAGAAGACAATCCAATAGGCCTTAAGAAAGGAGCGTGGAGAACGGAGTCAACGTGTATTTGCTTAGTCCACAGGTCGATCACTTCTTACATTCTTCTCCAATCACCTGCCACTCCCTACACACACGGTAGTTTGTAATCACATAATTTCCCATCATATACATACCTCATAAATTTGTCATCCTAAACCATAATCTAAAGGGTCATGGAACAGCCAGGAAGCAAGGGAGGGAATTAGAAACAAGAATTCAATGAGGTTGTTGAATGTAAGAGAAATCTATTTTTAAAACTTTAATTTTCTTTTTTTTTTTGAGACGGAGTCTCACTCTGTCACCCAGGCTAGAGTGCAATGGTGTAATCTCGGCTCACTGCAACCTCCACCTCCCAGGTTAAAGCAACTCTCCTGCCTCAGCCTCCTGAGTAGCTGGGATTACAGGCGCCCGCCACTACACCCAGCTAATGTTTGTATTTTTAGTAGAGACGGGGTTTCACCATGTTGACCAGGCTGGTCTCGAACTCCTGACCTCAGGTGATACCCCCGCCTCGGCTTCCCAAAGTGCTGGGATTACAAGTGTGAGCCACCACGCCTGGCCAAAAATTAATTTTCCTTTATGCAAAACATGTAAACCACACCAATAACCATTTTAAAAAATAAAATGAGGTGGGGGAAACAGTACCATTTACATTAGCAAGGTCAATTGTAAAACTGACCTTGGTAAATTAGCTCTGTAAAACAAATGAAGAAGCGTCCAATCTTTTTTCAAAGCTTTAGGATAGTTTGTACGATGTAAAAATTAACTGTTCCTTGGTAATTTGAGAGAATGTTACTTTAAAGCAATTTGGGCCTAGTGCTTTTGTTGTAAATAATTCTCTAACAACATTTCCAATTTCTTCCTTGGATACAGGCTTTTTAGGATTTGTTCTTAGATAGCAGTAGAAATTATCTAACTCATCAGGATTTTCAATTTCAGTCACACATGGCAGTACATAAGAGCTACACATCATCTTCTTTTATAATTTTGAAATTTCCTATATTCTTACTTTCCTTTTCCCAAATAAATTTTCCTTATCTTTATATTATTTTATTTTACTATTAGATTTGCCAGAAGTTTATCTATTATGCTTTTTACAAAGACTCAATTCTTAATTAACATCTCTCCCTCCTTTTCTCTTACTTTTAATTTCTGATTATATCTTTGTTATTTCCTTCCATGTGTTTTTCTAGCTATTTAAGCTGTGGGACAATATCTAGTGGTTCAATATACATGTCACTGGAGTCCCAGAAAGGGAGAACTGAACAAGAAATACTTTAATAATAAACAGAAATATTACAAATTTGATGAAAACTGTAAACCCACAAATTCAAGAAGATCAATGAGCCTTGAGCAGAATAAACATTAAGAAAACTACACCAAGGTATATCATAATCAAAATGCTTAAAACCAGTGATAAAGAGAAAATCTTAAAGACAGCCTGAAACCCTCTATGTACAGAGAAACAAATGTAAGAATGACAGCAGACTTCTTATAAGAAACAATGCAAGCCATAAGATAATGGAGCAACATCTTTTTTTTTTTTTTTTTTTTTCCAGAGTTTCACTCTGTTGCTCAGGCTGGAGTGCAGTAACGCAATCACAGCTCACTGCAGCCTTGACTTCCCGGGCTCGGGTGATTCTCCCACCTGAACCTCCTGAGCTGCTGGGATTACAGGTGTGCACCATCACACCCAGCTAATTTTTTGTATTTGTAGCAACATCTTTAAAGTACTGAAAGAAAATGCCAACTTAGATTTCTATACCCAAGGAAAACATCCTTCAAATACAAAGACAAAATAAAGACTTTGTTCAGACAAACAAAAGCTGAGAGAATATATCACCAACAAACCAACACTATGAGAAATGTTCAAAAAAGTTCCTCAGGCTGAAGGAAAATTATATCAGATGCAGATCTACACAAATGCAGATCTACACAAAACAATGAAGAGCACTAGAAATAGTACCATAGGGATAACTATAAAAGACTATGTTATTATTTTTAAGTCTTTTATAAGATAATAAAACTTTAAAGCAAAAATGATAACAATGTATTGTGGAGTTTATGACATACGTAGAAAAAAAATGTATGCCAACAATAGCACAAGGGCTAGAAGAGGAACAATAAACATCCTGTTCTTACACTACACATGAAGTTGTGTATTACTTAAAAGTAGACTGTGATAAGCTAAAGATACATGGTATAGACTCAAAAGCAACTACTGAGAAACAACAACAACAAAAAGAAATAGAACTGGTAAGCCAACAGAGGAAATAAAATGAGATAAAAATAATTAATAAAAAATGTTGGAAAAATAGGAAAAGGGGAAAAAACAACAGATGGGAAAAAATTAATTAAACAAAAAGCAAGATTGGTACATTTAAACCCAACCACATCAATAATCATGTTAAATGTAAATGGCTAAACACCACAATTAAATGGAAGAAATTGTCAGACTAGATAATACGGTGTCTACAAGAAACCCACTTCAAATATAAAGACACAGATAGGTTCAAAGCAAAAGGATGGAAAAGAATATTTCATGCCAACACAAATCAAAAGAAAGCTGTAGTGGCTATACTAATATATGACAAAGTAGATTTCAGAGAAAGGAATATTAACAGGGATAAAGAGGGTCACTTAATAATGATGAAGGGGTCAATTAATCACGAGGACATATCATTCCTTAATGTTTATGCAACTAATGGCTGAACACCAAAATACAGGAAACAAAAACTTATAGCACTGAGAAAAAATAGACTCATCCACAATTATAGTCAGAGATTTTAATACCCTTCTCTTAATAATTGATAGAACAAATTGACAGAAAATCAGGAATAATATAGAAAACTTGAACAATACTATCAACCAACTTGACCTAATTGACATCTGTAGGACACTCAACTGCAACAGAAGAAGAATATACATTCTTTTCAAGTGTATGTGGAACATTCACTAGGACGGATCACACTCTAGGCTGAAGTCAATGAATCACAGCTTGCAGGCCAAATCCAGCCTGTAGCCTGTTTGTGTACAGATTATAAATTACAGATAGTTTTATATTTTTTCAAGAGTTGAAAACATAATAATATACAATGGAGATCATATAGCTCACAAAGCTTAAAATATACATTATCTGGCCCTCTACAGAAAAGTTTGCTGACTCATATTGTAAGCCATAAAACTATGTTCTCTGACCACACGGAATATATTCTTAGTAACAGAAACATATCTAGAAGTCCCCAAATACATGGAAACAAAAAACCACACATCTAAATAATTTATGGGTCAAAAAAGATGTCAGAAGAGAAATTAGATAGCATTGTGAATGGAATTAAAATTATATACAACACAACAAAATTTGAGGGATGCAGCTAATTCAGAGTTTGGAGGGAAATTCATAGCATTAAATGCTTATGTTAGAAAAGAAGAAAGGTCTCAAATCAATGACCAAAACTTCCACCTTAAACAATAGAACATTTAACCCAAAGTAAGCAGAAGAAAAAATTTTAAAAAGTGAACACAATAAAGTTAAAAACAAGAATAGAAAAAGTCAATAAAACCAAAAGCTGGTTCTTTGAGAAGATTGATTAAATTGATAAAACTAAGACTATAACCAAAAATAAAATGGAAAGAACTAAAAAAAGAACTACTATTTGATCCAGGATGGCAGCCTGAGCAAGAAAAAAAGAGAGATGACACCAATTACCATTATTGGGAATAAAAGAGAGTACATTCTCCAGATCTTAGAAGCATTAAAAGGATAACAAGGAAATATTTTGAACAGCTTTATGCCCAGGAATTAGAAAAATTAAATTAAATGAAAAATTCCTTAGCAGACACAAACTACCAAGGCTCATTTAAGAATAGATAACCTGAATGACACTACATCTATTTAAAAAATTGAACTGTTGTTTAAAAACCTTCCCACATCCAGGCCCAGAGAGCCTCACTGGTAAAATCTGCAAATATTTACAGAATAAATAATACCAAATAAACATTAAATATTTCAGAAAACAGGCAAGAAAGGAACACTTCTCAACTCAGTATATGAGACCAGTATTACCCTAATACTAAAACCAGATATTATAAGAAAACCACAGACCAATCCATATTCCTTATGAACATACACATAAAATTTCTTAACAAAATTTTAGAAAATTGAATCTAACAATATATTAAAAGGACAATTTATTATGTCCATGGGGGATTTATTCCAGAAATGGAAGTTTGGTTTAACACTCAAAAATCAATCAGTGTATTTCATTATATTAAATGATTAAAAGAGAAAACCCAGGCTGGGCATGGTGGCTCACATCTGTAATCCTAGCACTCTGGGAAGCTGAGACTGGATACCAGCCTGGGCAACAGAGTGAGACCCTGTCTCCATAAAAAAAAAAAAAATTAAAATTAAAAAGAGAAAATCCATATGATAATTTCAATAAAAGCAGATAAAGCATGTGATGAAATTCAATATCCATGTATGATTTAAAAACCCTCTGGAAGGGTACTTTCTGTTAAATAGTATCTATTTCAAAATCCACAGCAAATGCCATATTTAAATGGTGAAACACCGAATGCTTTCCCCCTAAGATTTGGGAAAAGGCAAGAATGCTTGATTTCACTACTTCTACTCAATAGTGTACTGGATGCTCTAGCCAGTTCAGGGAGGCAACAAAAAGAAATAAGAGGCATACAGACTGGAAAGGAAGAAGTAAAATTGTTTTTATTCACACACAACATAATTATCTACATAGGAAGTTGTAAGAAATATTCAAAAACGTTATAAGAACTAATAAGTGAGTTTAACAAGATTGCAGAATACCAAGTCAATCTACAAAAATCAATTGTATTTCTATCAACAAGAATGGAGTTAAAGTAAAAATAAATACCATTTACAATAGCATCAACAATATGAAATGCCTGAAAGATTAGACAAAAGATCTGCAGACTTTACACTAAAACTAAAAGACTGCTGAGAGAAATTAAAGAGGACTTACATAAATGAAGAGATGTACCACATCCATGGATCTGAAGACTTAATATTGTTAAGATGTCAACTACCTGCGAATTGACCCACACATTTAATACAACTCCAATCAAAATCCCAGAAGGCTTTTTTTTTTTGTAAAAATTGACATGCTTATTCTTAAATTTGTATTAAAATTTGAAGGACCTAGAACGACCAAAATAACTTTGAAAAAGAATAAAGTTAAAAGACTACCTGGTGTTAAGAATTATTACAAAGCTACAGTAATCAAAGAGTATGGGTTTGGCATACAGGCAGACTTATAGATCAATGGAATAAAACAGAGTCTAGCAATGTGCCTATACATCTACGATCAGCTGATTTTTGACATAAGTGCCAAAGTAATTCAATGAAGAACAGATGATTTTTAAAGAAAGGGTACTAGAACAATTGGACAGCTATATATAAAAAATGATATTTGATCCATATATCATATCACATATAACCATTAACTTGAAATACATCATTGATCTAAATATAACAACTAAAACCATAAAACTTCCAGAAGGGATTAGAAGGAAAAATCTTGACCTTAGGGCTAGCAAAGATTTAGTAAATGTAACACAAAAAGCACTAACTATAAAAGAAAAAAAATAAACTAGACTTCATCAAATTTTAAAACTTTTGCTTTTCAAAAATACTGTTAAGAAAATGAAAAGGCAAGCTACAGACTGGGAGAAAATAGTTCATACATATCCAACAAAGGAATTGTACTTAAAATATACAAAGAACCCTTTCAACTGAATAAGACAAATAACCCAGTGAAAAGCAGGTAAAAAATTTGAACAGATGCTTCACCAAAGAAGTTATACTAATGGCAAAAAAAAAAAAGCTCAAAATCATTACTTGTTAGAGAAATGCAAACTAAAATCATAAACAAATACACATCCACTAGAATGGTTAAGATTAAAAGAATGACTATCTCAAGTGTTGGCAAGGATGTGGAAGAACTGAGACTCAGATGCTCGGCTGCTGGGATATAAAATGATACAACCACTTGGAAAATAATTTGGCAGTTTCTTTTAAAGTTAAACATGCATCTACTGTGCAATCCAACCCTTCCACTCCTAGGTATTTATCCATAGGAAATGAATGTGTATGTCCACACACAGACTTGCATATGCATGTTCACAGCAGCTTTACTTTAATAGCCCAAACTGGAAACAAGCCAAATAACCCTCAACAGGTAAACTGTCATACAGGTGTACAACAGAGCACTACTCATTAAACAAACAAACAAGGACACACTCAACAATATGAATGAATCTCAAGATCATTATTCTGAGAGGAAAAAAGCCAGACAAAATAAAGAATTTACATAAAGTTCTAGAAAATGCAACCTAGACTACAGTGACAGAAAGTAAGTAGACCAACGGTTTCCTAGAAGTGGGGTTGGGGGAGTGATGGCTTGTATTAGGCCATTCTTGCATTGCTAGTCTCAGGGAATACCTGAAACTAGGTAATTTATAAAGACAAGGGGTTTAATTGGCTCATGGTTCTACAGCCTATACAAGCATGGCACCGGCATCTGCTTGGCTTCTGGGGGGCCTTAGGGAGCTTTTACTCATGGAGGAAGGTGAAGTGGGAGCAGGCATGTGACATGGCCAGAGCAGGAGCAGCAGTGAGAGAATGAAGGCAGGTGCCACACAGTTTTAAATGATCAGGTCTCTCGAGAACTCTCTCTCTCAAGGACAGCACCCAAAGGGAATGCTAAACCATGAGAAATCCGCCCTCGTGATCCAATCACCTCCCACCAGGCCCTACTTCTACCACGGGGGATTACATTTCAACATGAGATACAGGGTGACAAAATACCCAAACTAAATCAGGGATGCATTGTAAAAGGGTAGGAGGAACCTTTTAGGGGTGATGAACATGTTCATTATCTTAACTGTGATGATGGTGTCCCAGACATTTACATACATACTCCAAAACTCATCAAATCATACACTCTAAATATATGCAGTCTATTGTATGTCAATTATAAAGCTATCAAAAAAATCCATGCGCAACAGAAACCAAACACGTACGTACAATAACAGAAATGACAAAACATCTGTGGGATACTTTAAAACTTAACTAAGAAGTACCAAAACAAGACCTAAGTACCCAAATCATGCTCCCAGATAGGAAAACTCAGTATTGCAAATATGTCGAATCCCTTCAAATCAACTTATTACCCACTGCAATTGCACTGAGGATCAAAACATAGTATTTTGTGCAATTTGACGAGTTGAATCTAAAGTTCTTTTAGAAAAAATAACATGTGGTAGTAACCAAAACAATTTTGAAAAAGAGGAGAAGGAAGGAAATAGTTCTAGCAGACATTAAAATATATTCTAAAAACCTTGAAAACATGACTCTAAGTGAAAGAAGCCAAACAAAAAAGGTCACATCTTATATGATTCCATTTATATGGAATATCCAGAATAGGCAAACCCATAGCAACAGAACACAGATTGGTGGTTGCCAGAGGAAGGCAGCGAAGGGAGAATGAGGAGCAACTTTTAATGGGTACAGGATTTCCTTTTGGGGTGATAAAAATGTTTTGGAACTAGATAGAGGTGGTGGTTGTTCAACATTATAAATGTACTAAATGCCACTAAATTGTTCACTTTAAAATGGTTAATTTTATGTTACTTTACCTCAGTTTTTAGAAAATCAACAATTTGCTAACTTCAAAAACGATGCTATAAACCTGCAATCACTGAAACAGTGGGCTATTGTAGAAGAATAGGTTAAATTGATTAATTAAAGAGAATGCGGCCTAAAAACATTCTGGAAAATCCCTCTCTTTGGGGCCCAAGCAAATGCCACCCGACAACAAGATTTCTTCCTGTGGTCAGCAGGCTGCTTCCTAAATCATTTGAAGCCAGCAGGCCTTAAGTTATAAGCAAGATGTTGCAACGCCCTCATAATGCAGTACTTTAAATTTAAGCAGAAAAGTAGCGTTGAATGTTAAGGGCATGATTTGCTGTTAGTGGTATGACTTGACCTAACCTGAGTATTGTTTATGCCCCTGGCCCTGGGCCTGCTGCAGTGTAGCTGCTGTTATATCTACTACAACCTCTATGCACGTGGGCCTCACATCCCAGCCTGAAGGGCAAAGCCCACCCAGCATTTCCGCAGACCCCTAGGATGGGGCTTCCAGGATCAGCCCCTCACCTGCTAGCTGGAGTCTGGCTTGGGGTCATCAGGGGTCAGAAGGAGGTGGTAATAAAGTTTATTTCTTTTTCCCCTATGTCCTGTATTCCCTGCATAAGGGCCCTATATTAAGGAAAAAGAAGCTGCCGTGGGTTTCATCTGTGGGATAGGAAACGAGCGTTCTAATCAGCATAAATCTGTGCATATGCAAAGACCTCTAGCATATGACAAATGCAGCTCATCAAAACCACAGGGAGAAGACAGTGTTCAGAAAATAGCTACACAATTGGAAAAAAATAAGTTAGACTCCACTTTATACTCCACTCCAAAATAAAAATCTGATGTTTAAAAAGCCAAATCAATAAAATAGACGGTATATTAGCTGAAAATCGATGATATTTCTATTATCCTGAGGTAGTCAGGCTTTTTTGTTTCTAATTTTTTTAAGTTTTTATGTAAAAATAATTTCATATTTCAAGATCGGCTACAAAAATAATGCAAATAATTCCTATATACCCTGTCCCCAGATTCCCTAAAATGTTAACATTACTATGTTTGCTTCCCCTTCTTTCTCTGTATTTATATATGTATACATTGCATTCCCACGCATGTGTGTATATATGTGTTTTCATATCCATGTGGTCATTTACATGCTGTGTCCTTCTCAGTGTAGCATATCAGCAGGCACATGACATCTAATTGTCTCATTACTGGTAATGTTAACTTGGATCACTCGCTTACAGTGGTATCTGCTGGGTTTCCCCACTTTTATTCCTTTGTAATTAACAACTATTTTGTGGAAGATACTCTGAGACTCTGTAAATACACTGTTTCTCATAAAAATATCACCTCCTAGTTTTAGCATCTAGACAGGTCTTTTAAAGAATTAAGACCAAACAAATCATAACAATCATAAAGAAAGAAAGAAAAAGATTGACAGATATGATTACATAAAAACGAAACAAAACTTTGATAAGAGGAACAAACATATCAACAAAATGTGATACTATGAACAAGACTGAAAGATTGACAGTCCGAGAGAAAAATATCTGTAACATATATAACAGGCAAAGAACCAATACACAGAATATATAAGGGAAGCCTAGAAACCAGGAAGAGAAAGCCAGCCATATGAGCCAGCTACAAAAACTGGAAACTGACAGTCAAATGCAAAAGGCCAAGAAACATGAAAAGATGCTCAGCCTTATTGCTAATCACAGAACTGCACATTCGCAAAATGAGCTCCTAGTTTTGAAAAGTAATAAAAAGACTGACAATAAAGGGTAATGGTATGGACAAGGGTAAATAGCTATTTGGATATACTGTTTACTAGGAGTATATATAAATTGGTGAAGTATTTTTGAAAAGCTACCTGGTATAGTAATTACTGAAATTTAAAATGTACACATCCTTTGATCCACCAGCACACACCCAGAGATGTATGAATGGGAATACTCATCATCAGCATTGCTTTTCACAGACCAAAAAGAAAAATCTAAATTTTTATCAGCAGCACAGTGGTTACTAAGTTATTCTACAGTAGGGAAACATACCAGTAGAAGAATAGAGGCTGAGTGACATGTCATGACATGGAGAGACTTCTTACATATAATGTTAAGGGAAAAAGAAAAGTCAAGGCACACTATGTACTGCATAAGAATACATAATAATAACACTAAGGTAACAGCCACAACACTCACGCTACTGCCAGTCACTGTTAAATACATTACAAACATTAGCTAATTTAATCCTCAACACAATTCTATGAGGAAAGTCCTGCTATTAATCCTCACTTTTGAGACAAGACAACTGAGGCACTAAGAGGTAAAGTAACTTAACCAAGGTCACCATCAAACTATAGGGCCTCTCTCTATAAATAGGTATTTGCAGATTTGTGGGAAAAGGATTGGAGGGATACAGACCAAACTGTTAACGATAATTACCTCTGGGAAAGGGAAGGTGACAGTGCTTTATTGCTTGAATCTTTTACAGTGAGAGTGTATTTATACAGTATAATACTTGCACTATTAAAACAAAACAATACTTTACAAAGACATGAATGAATGAATGACAGAAGTGAGCTGACAGATTCCCTGGATGTCTGCCTACTTCAAGAACCAGAACAGATCCTTCCTTCCAGTCTCATCTCCCCTTCCTGGAGACATCTCATGGACTCTTCTCTTCTTCAGTAGTCTCCACCTTTCAATACTGCTCACCAGCCACAATCCTCATCTCCAGCCACATCTCCTCTTCCTGATTTGCATAATCCCTCCTGCAAACAGCCTTTTAATACTATAAATCTGGACTACGAAAATTGAGAAAGATGGCTCCGCAGCATTTTGAGTCTTCCATACTTTAAGGAGTAACTAGCAAGTATTTTACAAGCACACAATAGCATACTTCCTGCCTATATATATAATATTAAGGCTGAAACATAAATGTTTTGGAAAGATTTATGACAGGCTTAGAAATAAACAGATTCTCTGGCTAACTCTGAATTAACATAAAATTAAAGCAAGCCAGTACTTCCACTTCCAGGAATATGGAGTAAATATACTTTTCCCTAATCTTCCCAGTAAGTACAACTAAAAAAACTGGAAATTATACCAAACAAACACCAGAAGACTCTGAAAGGTGAAATAATCCGTCTGACCAGCTAGGGATCTCATGACCCAGGGAACAACATGGTGGTGAGTTCTGTGGTTTTCTTTCTGCCTCATATATCCCAGACTTGAAGCTAAAGAAATCAGCAACCCAGAAACAGCAGTAAACACAAACCAAAAACCAAAGAAACAAACAAACAAAAACAACAGAAGCCTGCTTTCTCTAGTCAGGGGGCAGCCTAGCAAGAGGGAAGATGTTTAGACAATAATTGCTCTACCCCAGCCAAATGCCACATAAAATACTGTGGCCCCACACCCACCCATGCCAACAAAGCCAGAGTAAGGATCCCAGACTTCCACATCTAAACATCTAAAAAATAATTAATACTAATTCTACACTGTCTCTTCCAGAAAACAGAAGAGGATGGAACACTTTCCAATTCATTTTATGAATCTAGTATTACCAAGCCAGACAGACAGTATACAAAAAGAAAACTACAGATCAATATCCCTCATAAATACAAACACAACATTTTTTTCTTTCTTTTTCAGACATCTGTAACAGCCAAAAAAAATTCTTAACAATCTGTTATCAAAGAGAATTCAGCAATAAATAGAAAGAATTATATACCATGACCAAGTGAAATTTATTCCAGGGATGCAAGGCTGGTTTAATATTCAAAAACCAATCTATTTAATCCACCATGTTAACAAGCTTTAAAGGAAAAAAAAAATCACATGATCATATTAATTGATACAGGAAAGGCATCTGACAAAATTCCATACCTATTCATGATAAAAACTCTCAGAAAAACAGGAATGGAAAGGAACTCCCTCAACTTGATAAACAGTACCTACCAAAACACCTTCAGCTAATATTATACTTAAGAGTGAAAGACTGGGGCCAGGCACGGTGGCTCAAGCCTGTAATCCCAGCACTTTGGGAGGCCAAGGCAGGTGGATCACAAGGTCAGGACTTTGAGAACAGCCTGGCCAACATGGTGAAACCCCATCTCTACTAAAAGTACAAAAATTAGCTGGGCATGGTGGCACATGCCTGTTAATCGCAGCTACTTTGGGGGCTGAGGCAGGAGAACTGCTTGAACCCAGAAAGTGCAGGTTGCAGTGAGCTGAGATCGCACCACTGCACTCCAGTTTAGGCAGCAAAGCAAGACTCAGTCTCAAAAAAAAAAAAAAAAAAAAAAAGAGTGAAAGACTGAATGTTTTCCACCTATGATCAGCAATAAGGCAAGAAGGTCTACTCTCTCACAGGTAACATAGTGCTAGATGTTCTATCCTTTGCAATAAGGCAAGAAAAAGAAATAAAAGGCATACAGATGGGAAAGAAAAAAGGATGAGATTGTTGTCCAGGTGGAAAATCACAAGGAATCATAAGAAAAAAACAAAACCAAAAACCTAGAACTAATAGTGAGTGCAGCAAGGTCACAGGATGTAAGATAAACCTATAAAAATTAACTGAATTTCTATATAACAGCAATGAACATGTGAACATCAAAATTAAAAGTACAATTCCATTTATAATTGCTCAAAATCTAAAAATAAATATTTAGGCTCAAATCTACCAAAACATTATAGAGCTTGTTTGCTGAAAACTACAAAACGCTGGCGAAAGAAATGAAAGAAGAACTAATAAATGAAGAGACATACTATGTTCATGAATTGGAATACTCAACATAGTGGGGATGTGAATCCTCCTCAAATTGATATGCAGATTTAACATCAATTGCCATTAAAACCCCAACAAGTTTTTTGTAGATATAGGCAAGATTATTTTAAGATTATATGGACAAATAACTGGAATAGCTAAAATCATTTTGGAAAGGAGAATAAAGTAGAAGGAATCATTCTACCTGCTATAGTTTGAACGTCCCCTCAAAAAATCCTGTGGATACTTAATCCCCATTGTAGCAGTATTGAGAGGTGGGGCCTTTAAGAGGTGATTGGATCATGAGGGCTCATTCATTGGATTAATGGATTGATTGGTTATCATGGGAGCAGAACTGGTGGCTTTATAAAAAGAGGAAGAGATCTGAGCTAGCATGTTAGCACTCTGAGTCTCCTCGCCATGAGATGACCTGCACTGTTTTGGGACTCTGCTGAATCTTCACCAAGCAAGAAGGCCCTCACCAGATGTGCCTCTTGAACTTGGACTTCCCAGCCTCCAGAAATTAAGGAAAAAATGGATCACAGACGTAAGTGTTAATGTAAAACTATAAAAGTTGTAGGAGAAAACAGGAGATAATCTTCAGGATCTAGAGCTAGGCAGAGAGTTCTCAGACTTGACACCAAAACATGATTCACAGATAGAAAAAGTAATAAATTGGACTTCATCAAAATTAAAAACATTTGCTCTGTGAAAGGCCCTGTTAAGATGAAAAGGCAGGTAAAGACTAGGAGAAATATTTGGAAACCACATATCCAACAAAGGACTCATAGCTAGAATACACAAAGAGCTCTTAAAACTCAACAGTAAAAAAAACAAACAATCCAATGAGAAAATGAGTAAAGGGCATGAAGAAATTTTCATGGAAGACATACAGATGGCAAATAAGCACATGAAAAGATGTTCAACATCATTCATTAACCACTAGGGAAATACAGTGTGAAACCAAATGAATTATCACTATGCACGTGTCAGAATGGCTAAAACAAAAAAATACTGACGATAACAAATGCTGGAAAAGATGTCGAGAAACTGGATCCTCATATATTCATTACAGCTACACCAAAAAGTAGTTTAACATTTTATTTAAAAACTAAACATGCAACTACCATGTGACCCAGCAAATGCATTCCTGGATATTTATCCCAGAGGAATAAAAACACAGCCACATGAAAGCCTTCACCTGAGTATTTATAGCAACTTTATTCATAATGGCTCCAGAATGAAAACAACCAAGATGTCCTTCAATGGGTAAATGGTTAAACAAATTGTGGGATATCCAAACCATGGAATACTATTTATCAGTAAAAAGAAATAAACTATTAACCCACACAATAGACTCTCTGCATGAATCTCAGGAGAATTATGCTGAGTTTTTTTTAAAAGCCAATTCCAAAAGGTGACATACTATAATTCCGTTTATATAAGATTCTTCAAATGCCAGAATTATAGAAATGGAGAACAGATTAGTGGCTATCAAGGGTTAAGGAGAAGGTGGTAGTATAAGGGAAGTGAGTGTAGCTATAAAACGACAACATGAAAGATCCTTATGGTGATAGAAATTGTATTTTGGCAGGTTTTTTCTATATTTTATGAGGCTTTGATATCCTGAGGTCTTGCAGAAGCAGGGAGGGACTGCCCCTCCTAGGTGAATGACTTGCTTGTGTGCATGCCTTGGATATGCAAACCAACCAATACTGAGTTCTTATCTCCATCTGCCTGCTTTCACGGGCTCTTGCAGTCCAGGACACGATTCCCCTGCCCTAAATCACCCCAGGGCCAGGTACCTGACAATGAGGGACTCACCCATGTACCCCAGGACCTGCCAAAATTATTCAAACTTAATCAATCCTAACTGTGCTCACCCTGCTTGACACTGCCCTTCCTGGCTCGTTTCTCCCTGGCTCTCTGTGCTTCCTGACACACCCCACGCTTCCCCACCTATGTTTCCCCACCTGTGCTTCCCCAGGTGGCCCTACAGGGTGTGGCCTGTCTGCTCCTCTTGGGAACTGCGAGTAATAATCTTTCCAGTGGCAATCCTCTCCTCATTTATTGGCCACATCATATATGAATAAAAACAAAAACCTGGGCACGTTTTAAAACAGAAATGTTCTGTATTAATGTACTGTATTAATGTCAGTATCCTGGTTGTAACATTGTACTAGTCTGCAAGACTTTACCATTGGTGGGGGGTAAACAGGATCTCTCTGTAGTACTTCCTACAACTGCATGTGAGTCTACCATTGTCTCAAAATAAAAAGTTTAACTGAAAAAAAAGAAAGAAAAATTAAAGCAAGCGCCTCGTCTTTTTTCAACCATCCAATTAATTGACGTTTCATTATTAGAAGGCTTTTTAAATAGGGAATTAGGAAGTTTTAGCAAACAGAAGGAAGTACCAGAACACTGCCTGTTCCCTACCACTTTCCAAATGAATCAACTACGGAACAAGTCATTAGCGGGAACTTTGGGTCAAAACGAAAAATTCATGGTTAGCAGGGAAGGGAAGCCTAGAAGAAAACAAGACCAGCTCCTCTGCAACCAGGTGCTTTAAGCCACTATTTCTAAGAGGATCACCTAACGATAGCTGATGTTTGCCTCCTGCACACCTCGTGGATGCCAGCACTGTGCTAAGTGTGCCACGTGCATTCTCTCAGACCACAGCTCTGCTCCCTTGGGGCCAGGGTGCGGCAGGACAAAGGGGAATGTGGAGGGAAGGACCTTAAAAGAGGTTTGCTAATCCAGGCCACAGGGAACAAAGGCCCAGGGCTAGTTACAAAAACCACTTTCCGCATTTCAGTAAATCTCAGCTTAATGTATTTTCTAACAAAACAAAAAGGAGGAACACCTGGTGCCTTTTATCAAAACAAGCTCTGGTTTTGAAAATAAACCAATCTGTGTGGCAGGACTCAAAGTCTGTGGTTATTTCTGCAGTTAGTAGCCCCACGATAGCAAAGCCCTGTGCTCAGGAAGCTGGGACAGCAAGAACAAGCTGCTGCCCTTGTTTCCTCATTGGCTTCATGGAGGCAGAGTTCCAGGAGGGGCAACTAACTGCCTGAGGCTTTGGGCTGCCGCTATCCTCCAGCCCATGGAGAACGAGGGCAATTTTCCTGCCCCCTGAAAGGCCCCCCACCACAGCTTCGGCTTTCTGAAAATCCATGTGACAGCTGTGCTCAGACGGGATATGCCAATGTCCCACATTTCCACTTGATATCTGCCATATGTTTTTAACAAGATATAGTTGCCATCTTCACATGTTTTTCATAACGTGATTTTTAAAAATTCCTTGAGCACTATATAAAAATGCAAGCTTGTTTGAACTTGTATCACCATTGAGATTCTTTTTCCTTCTCTTACTTTAGTAAGTAAAAGAATAGGACCTCATTTGGAGGTTTGGGATTTTAAACTTATCCCTCCCTATGTTCCCTATACCCAGCCCACTGGCCCAGAGAGAAGCAGACCTCTCCTAGGACCCCCATAGTCCCGCATATTTGCATTCAAGCATTTGAAACTCCAAGTATTCAGGAAATTCCTACTACGTTTTGGGCATATATAAATTATACAGGTCCAGTTGTTTTTTTAAAAAAGGTTCTTTTGTCTAATTAGTTTCAGAAATAAATAGTGTTGAGAGAAAGAGACATGGGGGGAGGCAGGAGCAGCAAAAAAGGGGAAGTGGAGACTCCCAGGGCAGCTGGCCCATGTGCTGCCCGCACAGGCCGAGCCCAAGGCTGGCTTCCCAGCGTGCAGGGGCAGGACAGGGCAAGGGCTAAAGAAACATGACCCGGTGCCCCTCTCAGACTGGGCTCTGGGTCCCAACTCCTCTGCCCCCTCAAGGGCCCTGCCTCATCAGCCAGCCCCTCTCTCCTGTATCTACACCCCTCCCTTTCTTTGGTTCCTTCTCATCAGTAACTAGACACATTCGACACTTTCCTACCTTTAACAAAGGGAGTCATGGCATCCTCTAGCTGGGGTCATGGCATCCTCTAGCTCCCGCTATGCCCTGGCCTCCCCTCTTCAAAGGCCATCTGCACTCTCAACCTCTCGTTGTCACCTCCCACTTACCTTGCAGGTCCACTCTAACCTTGCTTCTGAGCTTGCCACCAAGTTCACAACCATCTCCTTGCATTAAACCCAATGGACACCCTTCAGGCTCCTTTCACTTCGGCAACTTTGAACATTACTCACCACTCCTTCTTACAGAAATACACTTTTCCCCTTAGTTTTCTTTAATTTTCCACCTACCTCTCCAGATGCTCAGGCTTAGTCCCCTTTTGAGTGCCTCCTCTTCTACCCATCCTTAACCAGTGACCCTCCACGGTAGTGGAGTCTGAAATGGCACACCCTCTCTTCTAGTCCCACAACCCTCCCTAGACAAGCCCACTTATGCCCGCAGTCCTTGCTATATGAGGATGGTGCTCAGACCTCTCTCCAGACCTTCAGCCCCAGGGCTCCGCTAGATGTCATACAAGCAGCTCAAACTCAAGGTGTTCAAAACTGACCCAAGAGTCTCCCTCCCGCCTCCACCCGACCTGGCTGTCTCTGCTCCTGTCCCAGCAGAGAACCCCAGCATCTACCCATGGCCAGCAAGACATCCTGTGGCACTCTCATCCTTCCCCTTCCTCCCTACTCCCCCACCTCCCAACATTCAACCCATTCTTGCCATCAAAAATACATATTTGGGTTCCCACGTCCCACGCTCCCACAGCCCCAGGATCCACGTACTGCTTCACATGTCCATTGTCAATAGCCTGGCGCAGGCTCTAGCTCTCACTCTGCACGAATTCACAGCCTCCACACACGCCCACCTGCCTCACTGCTTATCCTCCCCCGAAGGGTTTTCCGTGCCAACCAAGTGATCTTGGGAAAACACACATCTGTCTAAGAGCCTCTTTTTTCTTAAAATCTCCCAGTGACTCCCACCACCCTCAGAATAATTGCAAATTCCTTAGCGTGGCTATGATCTGGTCTCACCCACCTGCCCATCCTCATCTCTCACCTCTCACCTGATGGAGCCCAGCCTTCTCAGGATACTGGATTTCCAGTGCCTTGGACAATAGCTAAGTGGCCAATAAACATTTGTGAAACCAATGAGCAAATAAATAAATGAATGAGTAATGGTCAGAAAAAGTTTCACTAAGGGGCTATGTAACCTGGATTTTAAGGATGAGAAAAGTTTTACTTAAAAGTTGGGGGACTGGGTATAGGCATTTCAGAAACATGAAGAAAGAGGGTTTAAAGGTACAATGGTACAAAGTTCCTGCTTATTCTGGATGTGAGAAAGTGAGCCGTTCAATGGTTCTGGAGAAAGGATGAGCAGAAGGAAGTAAGACTGTAAGATACACTGAAATCATGAAGCCAAATCAAAGAATTTGGATTTTTATCCTATAGGTGGTTATCAGAGAGACCTCCTGGGGAGTGGCTCCTTGCCTGCCACTGAAACCTATGCTTATTATCAT